>NC_000011.10:18185000-18810000 GCF_000001405.40 Homo sapiens
TAAAAGAGTACTTCTATTTCTTCTAAATTGTCAAATTTTGACAAAAAATCATTCAAAGGAGCTTTTTATTTCTGTATTTTTAATACTGGTAGTACGTACCATGATAGTCTCTCTTTGATTCCCAGTGTGAGTTTTGTGTTTTCTCTATTTATATTTTTCTTCATTGGTATTGCTAGGAATTTATCAATTTTATTATCTTTTCAAAAATATAAATTTCATCATTATTGTTATTTTTCTATTGTACCTTTGCTTTTTTTTTTTTTTTGAGACGGAGTCTCGCTCTATCGCCCAGGCTGGAGTGCAGTGGCGTGATCTCAGCTCACTGCAAGCTCTGCCTCCCGGGTTCATGCCATTCTCCTGCCTCAGCCTCCCGAGTAGTTAGGACTACTGGTGCCTGCCACTATGCCCGGCTAATTTTTCTTTTTTTTTTTTTTTTTGGATTTTTAGTAGAGACGGGGTTTCACCATGTTAGCCAGGATGGTCTCGATCTCCTGACCTCGTGATCCTCCCGTCTTGGCCTCCCAAAGTGCTGGGATTACAGGCGTGAGCCACCGCACCTGGCCCCTTTGCTTTTTACTTTTTTTTCCAATCTTTATTATTTCCTTCCTTTTACAGTAGTTCCATCTTATCTTTAAGGGATAAATTCCAAGACCCCCACTGGTTGTATGAAAAGTGTTTCAATTGACAGCAACCAAAACACATTTCTGTTCACCTCTTCAACACAAAAATTTAATGCTTTTTCTATCTTAATTAAGTAATCGTCATGTAATGTGGCCATAGCTTTTGCAGTTTGAGGTGCAACAGCAAAACCAGCATGATTTTTTTTTGCCTCCTTTATGATGTAACTAGTTTTTACTGTAGACCTTAGCAGCCTCCACATTCTATTTTTTTTCTTCCTTATTAAGTTGTAAACTTTCACCTTTACTTAGAGGGAGCACTCTATCACTTCTCTTTGGCGTATCTGAATTGCCAGCATCCCTATTTCTAATGCTTTGGAGCCATTAATAAGTAAAATAAAGTTTACTTGAACACAAGCACTGTGATACCACAACAACTGATCTAGCAACTGAGAGGGCTACAAATGGATGGATAGGGTACACAGCATGGATATGCTAGGCAAAGGGGTGAATCACATCCCAGGAAGGACAGAGCAGGACCACAAGAGATTTCATCACACTATTCAAAGTGGTACATAATTTTAAACATATGAATTATTTATTTCTGGAATTACTGAATGGAGAAAATCTGCTTACCTTTTAAAAACAAACAACTCTTTATTTCATTGATTTTTTCTTTTGTTTTTCTAGTCTTCTTTTCACTTATTTCTGCTCTGATCTTTATTATTTCCTTCCTTCTACTAATTTTGCAAAGTATACATTTGATAAAGGATTAGCATCCAAAATATTTAAGAGACTCCAACAACTCAATAGCAATAAAACAAATGAACCAGTGAAAAAGTGGGCAAAAGAACTGAATAGATATCTCTGAAAAGAAGACTCAAAAATGACCAATAGATACAAGAAAAAATGTGCAATGTAACTAATCATCAGGGAAATGCAAATCAAAACCACAATGAGATATCATTTCTCCAGTTAGAATGGCTACTATCAAAAATACAAAAGATGACAAGTATTGTAGAGGATGTGGAGAAAAGAGAACCCTCATACACTGTTGGTGGGAATGTATTTTAGTACAGCCATTAGGGAAAGCAGTATGGAAGTTCCTCAAAATATTAAAAATAGAACTACCATATATTCAGAAATCCTGCTCCTGGGTTGATATCCAAGGGAAATGAAATCAGTATATTGAAAAGATATCTGCATCCCCATGTTTCTTGCAGCACTATTTACAATGGCCAAGATATGGAATTAACCTAAGTGCCCATCAACAGATAAACTGATGAAGAAAATGTGGTACATATTCACAATGGAATACTATTTAGCCTTAAAAAAGAATGAAATTCTATCATTTCTAGTGACTTGGGTAAGCCAGAGGACATTCTGTTAAGTGAAATATGCAAGGCACAGGAAGAAAAATAGTGCATGATCTCACTCATATGTAGAATCTAAACGAGGTGATCTCACAGAAATTGAGAGTAAAATGGTGGTTGCCATAGGCTGGGTAGGTTAGGTGAAAGGGGAGATGAGTAGACGCTGGTCAAAGGATATGTAATTACATTTAGATGGGAGGAACATCCTGGGTTGATATCCAAGGGAAATGAAATCAGTATATTGAAAAAATATACTGATTTTTTTTTTTTTTTTTTGAGACAGAGTCTTGATCTGTTACCCAGGCTGGAGTGCAGTGATGCAATCTCAGCTCATTGCAAACTCTGCCTCCTGGGTTCAAGTGATTCTCCTGGTTCAGCCTCCTGAGTAGCTGGGATTACAGGCACCCACCACCACAGCCAGCTAATTTTTGTATTTTTAGTGGAGATGGGGTTCATCACATTGGCTAGGCTGATCTCAAACTCCTGACCTCAGGTGATCGCCCACCTCAGCCTCCCAAAGTTCTGGGATTACAAGCGTGAGCCACCACACCCAGCCTGGAGGAACAATTTTAAGAGATCTATTATACAGCATGGTGACTGTAGCTGATGATAATATATTGTGTTCTGAAAAATGCAGAGTGGGTAAGTGTTCTCACCACAAAAATACCATATGAGGTAATATATTTGTTATTTAGCTAAATTTATACCACAACGTCTATGTACTTCAGCATCACATTGTACAGAATAGATCCATACAATTTGAACTGTCCAAAAACCTTTTTAATTTAATTGCTGAGGAGTATTTCCTTGTATGGATAGAGTAAGCTTTGTGTCATTATTCTTGGTGAAAATACATTTGCTTTGTTTCCATTTTAGCTATTAAATAAAGCTGCTATTAACATTTGTGTTCAAACTTTTAAGTGAACATCCTTATCCACTCTCTTGGATACATTCCAAAGATAAATTGCTGGGTGATATGGTAAGTGTATATTTAACTTTTTAAGAAAATTAAAACAGTTTTCTAGAGTACTGTACCATTTACTTCTCCACTGGTAATGTATAGAAGATCCACTTTCTCCAAATCCTTGCCAATATTTGAAACTATGAGTATTTTTTTACTTTAGCCTTCTAAGAGCTGTATACTGCTGTATCATCATGTTTTCCTCTGAGACCTCTCTCCTGGTCTTGTAGATGGGGTCTTTTTCTCCCTGTGTCTTCACAGGGTCTTCCCTCTGTATGTCTGTGTCCTAATCTCTTCTTCTCATAGGGACATCAGTCATGTTGGATTAAGGCTCACTCTAATGAACTCGTTTTAACTTAACTAGCTCTCTGAAGACCTCCTTCCCCAAAATACTCATATTTTGAGATACT
Organism: Homo sapiens; assembly: GCF_000001405.40. Classification (NCBI taxonomy): domain Eukaryota; kingdom Metazoa; phylum Chordata; class Mammalia; order Primates; family Hominidae; genus Homo; species Homo sapiens. The sequence continues at coordinate 18,188,362 of NC_000011.10, forward strand.
GGGGCTAAGTACTTCAACATATGAATATTAGAGGGACACAATTCAGCCCATAACAAGGTCTTTTTAAAATATTTTTTCAGCATTGAAGAATATTTCTGAATATTTTAAATAGATTCTAATTCAAATGACATTATTTTTTAAATGACAAGTAGCTTAATTTGGCTACAGCATGAGGCACAAGAAGGGCAGTGATAGAAGATAAGGCTTTAATTTTTTAATATTCATACCAAATGGAAATAAATAACAAATTTCATGAAGTAGAGGGAGGAAAAATAAGGATATATTATATGTGCTGAACTCTTCACACTTTATAAGGGATGTCCATTAAGCCACTCCTTAATACTGATAAATTAAAAATAGAAATATGTTTATATCCAGAGCTCATAATTTTAAAAAGTAAGAATAAAAAGGGTAGCAAAGGGAAGCCTCTGGAGAACAGATTTAGGGAGTCTTTCACTTTGTATGTACTACGTTGTCATTTGGAATTAAAATACACACATAGATGCATTATCACTGTGATCATGAAAACATACCAAAAAAAGGGCTGTGACTGCCCGGGCGCTGACGGCGGTGGCGGGGGGTGCGGTGTGGACGCCCGCGGTGCCGGCTGGGGCATCACCGTGGGCCTCGAACCCGAAATGGCTCTGCTGACCGAACACCTGCTGAAGCCGCTGCCCGCGGACAAGCAGATCGAGACTGGGCCCTTCCTCGAGGCGGTGTCCCACCTGCCGCCCTTCTTCGATTGCCTTGGGTCCCCAGTGTTTACTCCCATCAAGGCAGACATAAGCAGCAACATCACAAAAATCAAAGCTGTGTACGACACCAACCCAGCCAAGTTCCGGACCCTGCAGAACATCCTGGAGGTGGAGAAAGAAATGTATGGAGCAGAGCGGCTCAAAGTAGGGGCCACGCTGGCGCTGATGTGGCTGAAAAGAGGCCTCCGCTTCATCCAGGTCTTCCTCCAGAGCATCTGCAACGAGGAGCCGGACGAGAACCACCTCAACCTCATCCGCGTCAACGCCACCAAGGCCTACGAAATGGCCCTCATGAAGTACCACGGCTGGATCGTGCAGATCTTCCAGGCAGCACTGTACGCAGCCTCCTGTAAGTCCGACTTCCTGAAAGCGCTCTCCAAGGGGCAGAATGTGACGGAGGAGGAGTGCCTGGAAAAGATCCGCCTCTTCCTAGTCAACTACATGGCGACCATCGATGTCATCTACGAGACGTATACCCAGATGAACGCTGAGCTTAACTACAAGGTGTAAGTATGCCCACCGCTGGACACGCCCCCGACTCGTGGCCACACAGAGAAACGGCAAACCAGAATCACTGTGAATCAAGTCGGTGAGCTGCCCCTGGTCTGCATCGCCCAGAGCAGCCCAGGGTCCTGCCAGAGTCTGCAGGGGACAGCCCTCGTTTTTTAAGTCTTTTTTTGGGGGGTGGGGTCTATTCTAAAGGACCAGTAAATAATGATCTTACTTCCAAATCTCCTTGGAATTTCACGACAGCACAGACTGACTTTATACCTTCATTTCAGCGTGGTAAAAATCGATTAACACTTCTAATGAGTCAAGTCCTAGGCTTTTTTGGTTTTGTTTTGTCGCCAAAAAGGAACACGGCTCTGGGTGAATGGTGTCATCCACCTCGCTTTAAAAATAAGCACATGATGGCCGGGCGCCGTGGCTCACGCCTGTAATCCCAGCACTCTGGGAGGCCGAGGTGGGCGGACCACCTGAGGTCGGGAGTTTTAGGCCAGACTGGCTAACATGGTGAAACCCCATCTCTACTAAAAATATAAAAAATTAGCCAGGCGTGGTGGTGCGCACCGGTAGTTCCAGCTACTCAGGAGGCTGAGGCAGGAGAATCGCTTGAACCCGGGGGGTGGAGGTTGCAGTGAGCTGAGATGGCACCATTGCACTCCAGCCTGGGCAACAAGAGCAAAACTCCGTCTCAAAAAAAAAAAAAAAGCGGCAGGTGGATCACTTGAGGTCAGGGTTTGAGATCAGGCTGACCAACATGGTGAAACCCTGTCTCCACTAAAAATAAAAAATTAGCCAGGCACGGTAGCGCATGCCTGTAATCCCATCTTCTTGGGAGGCTGAGGCAGGAGAATCACTAAAACCCGGGAGGTGGAGGTTACAGTAGCCGAGATCGCGCCACTGCATCCCAGCCTGGGCAACAAGAGCGAAACTCCGGCTCAAAAAAAAAAGCACGTGACCTTATGAGACTCTCGCTGTATTGCTATTTTGGTTATTTTAAGGACTATAAAGAGCTTGATTTGAAATTATGCAGGGCCCCTATGTGGGATTTTTTTAAAAAGCAAACTGGTGTGTATTCTCATGTGTTTTGCACAGCCCAGCCTCACAGCAATATTATAAACCCTGCTCTTTCTGTCTCGCTAAACAGGGTTTTTTGTTTGTTTTCGTTTTTCTGGTTGTTTTTGTTATTATTGTTTTACAGCTGAAACCAACCAGCAAGTCTTTGATGACCAAGAGGCATTTCTTTCAAAGCTATAGGGCACAAACAATTGACCATAGAAGACTCTGTTTGCATTCTTCTGCAGAATTATTTCCTTCAGGGACAGATTTTCCAACCTAAGAAACTACCTACTGTGTGTATTCTCTTGATGGGGAGAGATGAACCCTTCAGCTGCTAAGATCCAAGAAAATGCCTCACTGCCTTAACCTTAACTGTTCTTCCTGGCGCTAAAAAGAGCTGTATTTTTTAAAGTGCTGGGGCAAACAAAGCAACCCCAAAAGAGTTGATGTGTGTTTTAAAAGAAAAAACCCAATGAGGAGCAACTGGAGATTTTTATGCAGAAACTAAATAATCCTTAATAAATAAATCTCTATTTTGGAATCACAAAAAAAAAAAAAAGAAAACATACCAAAAAAAGTAGAATCAGGCCATTGTAAGTATTGAATGACCCTATGATCCACTTTATTCTTTAGTTATAAAGCTCCACAATGCAAGCTCTCATTGCTTGATGGTACTACCTAGGCTTGCAGTTGGCAATTAAGGGTCCAGAACAGCAATTACTTACAGGGAGGTGAACCAGAAAGGATGGAATGAGAGAGGCTAATGTGTTATGGAAATGGGGTAGAGGCTAAGAAACATCTCAGTGAGAAATCCTGCCTCAAATGCCTCTGGTCTCTAATTTTTCTGTAGTTCTTGTGCAGGAAATCACAAGATGTCCAGCAACTTGATAAGCCTGGCTTAGTCATCAACTTTCACTTCTGCTCCTGAAGGCATCTCCACAATTAGAGAACATAGAAAAATCCTCAGGTAGAAAAGAAATCATATTTAAAAGACACTGTAAACGCATAGTGTTTTGTTTTGTTTTGTGACGGAGTCTCACTCTATTGCCCAGGCTGGAGTGCAGTGGCGTGATCTCAGCTCACTGCAACCTCCACCTCCCAGGTTCCAGCAATTCTCCTGTCTCAGCCTCCCGAGTAGCTGGGACTGTAGGTGCACACCACCATGCCAGCTAATTTTTGTATTCTTAGTAGAGACGGGGTTTCACCATATTGGTCAGGCTGGTCTCGAACTCCTGACCTCAGGTGATCCACCTGCCTCGGGTTCCCAAAGTGCTGGGATTACAGGCATGAGCCACCACGCGCAACCGTAAACACATATTTATAGCAGCGCAATTTGCAATTGCAAAAATATGGAACCAGCCTAAATGCTCATCAACCAATGAGTGGATGAAGAAAAAGAAACAACATAATGGCATTCGCAGCAACCTGGTTGGATTTGGAGACCATCATCCTAAGTGAAGTAACTCAGGAATGAAAAACCAAACATTGTATGTTCTCACTTTTAAGTGGGAGCTAAGCTATGAGGGCGCAAAGGCATGAGAATGATATAATGGACTTGGGGGACTTGAGGGGATGGGCGGGAGGGAAGTGAGGGATAAAAGACTACATATTGGATACAGTATACACTGCTTGGGTGATGGGTGCACCAGAATCTCAGAAATCACCGCTAAAGAACTTATTCATGTAACCAAACACCACCTGTTCCCTCAAAACTATTTAAATAACAATAATTTCATTAAAGAAAAAGGAAAAACAAGAAAAATCCTCAGGCATCACTCAGTCCAAGGAAGGCTGTCCCCATTCAGCACCAGACAACTCTCTACCTCTGGACAAAAGAATGGAGGAAAGGTAAGGATATATACCAAAAACTGTCTGATTTCCAGTTATAACTTTTGCTCTAGTTTTATATCCCTGTGCTTATACCTTGGAGTGCTACATGCAGTGGGTGATGGTGCCTCCCTCAGGAAAAGGCAGGAGATATAAGCCCTCCTTCTGGAGGCTGAGTACTGGCAGCCTAAACTATGGCAGTTCCAAACGGAGTCAAGCGGACCTTTCTCTCTTCAGATCCATCTCCCTGTATCACTCCTTTTATTCCAACCATTCAAATCTGCTTTCATGGAAAGAAGCTGCCTCTTACATTCATTTAAGGACTAGGATAACATACAGGTATTGCTTCCCAGAGCTGAACTGCTGTACACCCAGGTTTTATTGCATTACTTGCTTTTCAAAGTTATTCTCCTTTGTATATTTGGAAAGGTCCAGGAAGAAACAAATAGTCCTAACTGAAATAATTGAGGAGTGTTTCATGAGGGAACTATTTACTAAGATGGGCCGAATTAAAGGAAAGAGACAATGCCTGGGGCAGCACCCTAAGCAGCAATAGTGGAGCACTGCTTCCTCTCCTAGGTTTAAAGGGACAGGGAAGGAGGAGTTATCATTGAAATCATAGCTTTACCTGTAGCTAGCTGTAGGGGCGGGAGAGGACGACCAGGCAGGCAGAGGAGCCCTGCATCACCAACACACAGCCACATAGGCAGAGAGCCAGGAAGTGAAAATCCGAAATGACTCTCCTCCTGCTGGGATCTCCCAGTGGCTCAATTCAACCAGAAAGCAGAAGGAAAAGAATACCACTGATGAGGTAAGCATCCCTCTTCAGATGTCAAACAGAATGGAAAAAGGTGGGGAAAAAATATCCAGGGCCAATGAGATGATCCCTCAAACCTCCCTTTATTCCTGGGGTTTTCTCTATCTAAATGTTATTAAACCATTTTTTTCATCACATCTCCATCAGTTACTTTTTGTCCTGTTTGCACTTTCTTTCTCTAGTGTCACTTAATGAAATAATCTTCCATATTCATCAAAAATTCCCTGAAAATGGAATGCAATTGAAAAAGAAAAAACTTTTTGCTTATTGGTCAGAGTGTAAGTGTGGCTGCTTTAAAAAAGTCCCGTAGTAACAATGACTTCTGTAACAAAGTTTACTAGACCTGGGTTGGGCTGGAGGTTCCAGGCATCAGACACCAGAAGCCCTTCCATGTTGCTGCTCCCTAATCCCTAGAGAGGTGCCCTCATCCTTGTGATTCTGCAGGCTTCCAGTGACATCAACATTCCAGCCTGGGATGAAGAAGAAGAGGAGAGAGGGAGACCACACTTCTTCCATTAATCCAAGAGTCAGTTACACCATATCTGCTCACCTACCATTGTCTAGTGCCTAATCACAAGATGTCATGCACATCAAGGCAGGGGTTGGGGTAAATAGGATCCTTGTCATGATTTATAACTCTCAGAAATACTATGTGACAGGCCAGGCACAGTGGCTCACACCTGTAATCCCAGCACTTTGGGAGGTCAAGGCGGGTGGATCACCTGAGGTCAGGAGTTCCAGACCAGCCTGGCCAACATGGTGAAACCTTGTCTCTACTAAAAATACAAAAATTAGCCAGGCATGGTGGCAGGTGCCTGTAATCCCAGCTACTCAGGAGGCTGAGGCAGGAGAATCACTTGAACCTGGGAGGTGGAGGTTGTAGTGACCCAAGGTCACACCACTGCACCCCAGCCTGGGCAGCCGAGTGAGACTCCATCTCAGAAAAAAAAAAAAAAGGGAAATACTATGTGACTGAGGAGAGGAATGGTTAGCAGGGGACACTAGCAGTCTCTACAGACCATAATAGTCTCTCAGATTCTGTGTTCACATGACAATTTTTTGGGTTTCCCCCAAGAAATAATGATTGATAGGGCAGAAGACAGTGGAAAAGCCTCAGACAGGGCTCCAGGAGACAGAGGCTGGTATTGGCCATGCTATTCATGATGTGAACAGGAAAATCCAATGTACTCTTTAAGCCTCTTCCTGTATTAACTGAGAATATTACAAAAAGAGGCCCTAAAAGAGCACATGCTAAATGTTGAGGACACAGTAGTGAACAAATACAGGTATGACTTAGTTATGAAGGTTCAGCTTTGATAAGGAAGACAAATGTATCACACCCTAATAATACATTTACAAACTGTTCAGTACCTTGCGTGGGAGCAACAGAAGTCTTGGTTTTCCTTCCTTTTCTTTTCCTGGCCAACCAAGGCTGTGGGAGTTTGTCTCTCTAAGAGAGCTCATAGTGGATGCATCCACGCCTGATGCTTCTCTCCACCCTCAGAAGAAAATGCATCCTCTTTCCACTTAGAGGCCTCCTGATTTATTGAATCCTCTGGATGACTGAGTGATGGCTACATTTGTAAGGTAGAAAAGGGCTCCAGGATTCTCCTATCTGTTCCTAATTGGCTTTCACTCATCTCTCTTTTGTTTCCTATTTGATTTGCTTCTTATTCTCTCTCTAACTGAAGCTTGTTATAGTTAGCTTTTTTTTCAACCCCCGATCTTGACAATCAACTTGGATGTAACTTGGGAATTACTCCCCTGCTTTCCCCCTCAAACGTGTGTATTGAACGCTTGGTGGTGTTGGGGCCAAAGGGCTGGACCTAAGATTGAAACCTGAGGCAGCCCTGTTAGGTTCAAATCCACATTGTGTGAGACCAAGGAATAATTATGCATCCATTTTGTGCCCCTATGCCATCGTCTGTAAAATGGGAATATTAATAATTCTTCCCTCCTAAGCTCTTGAGAGGATTAAAGGAGACAGTAGTAGCTGGTAAACTCTCAATCAGCTGCTGTTATTTACCCGGATGAGAGCTAGTCCTCTGTCTCCAGTTGAAATCTGCATGAGCATCTCTCTTTATACTCCAAGCCTGGCGCTTTTTCTACATCCCAACATAGACTCCTCTCACACAGAAGATTTAGCCAGCAAAAGAAACTCTTCTAAAGATCTCCTGGGAAAGAGTGAAGTAGGTTTATGTTGTGCACACCCAGCACACCACTTAGTAGTCCTCCGTCTCTATTCCCACACTTCAATTTCCTCCTTCAGTGGCACTCAGACCTCACACTTACTCCTTCATTCACTATATTGCTGAGCACTTCAGCTCAAATCCACTTCCTACTCCAACATTGTGTACCAAAATGCTTCCAGATGTTCAGCAAAGCCATACTGAGTTCTCATATCAAAGGCACATCAGTGGTCAACTTCAGCTATTTGGGCACACATCAGTAATTACTCTAACACACACAGAGCTGTCCAGAAAAAGAATTCTGAATAAATGAAATTTTCTTCATCTCATTATACATGTGTGTTCTAATGCTTTTAATTGTGCTTTCATTTTTATTTCCCGTTTAACCACCAAATCTGCTACTACCATTAGGCTCCTCATTCACGCATTCATTCATTGAATAAATATTTGCGGAGAACACAGTGTGCTGAACAAGGAGCTAGACACTAGGGTTATAAAAGGTGCTTCTGACTTCAATGACTGACACACGGAGCCATTTCTAACCCACAAGGCCCAGCCATTCTTACATCTCTCCTAGCAAAATATTACATTGCTCTCATGTCCCTTAAATCATGGTCTTCTTTCTCCTCCATGGATAGACCACTCCTAGTCATGGGGGTGTCACAGCCATCTCTTTGTCTTTCTGAATTCCTGCACCTGAGGGAAAATTTCTGGCCCAGGAGAGAGTAATGCTTGGGTCCATAGCCCTAGCCAGCTGAGTGAAGGTATTTCCAGCATAGAATAGTCCCATGTCAGCAGAGGACCTCTGTTGCAATAGAGCCCAGGCTTTAGAACCGGCGAGAACTGGGTTTGAATCTAGTTTCAAGGGATCTCTACCTTTTGATTTGCTATTTATTCTCTATAAGCCAGTCTCCCTTCTCTGTAAAATGGGGACAGTAATTCACACATTGCAGAGTGGTCCTACAAATCAGAGATCATACAGATGGTGTTTAAATCTTGTTTGTGTTCCCACTAACCTTCCAGGGGCACCAGTGGAGGGTTCTGAGCATGGATCCAATCATTCCAGCCTGAAGGACAGAGCTCACACCAGTAAATAAAAACAAATGAGACTCCTCTTCTTACTTGTGACTTGAACACTCTGAATTTCTTCACCAGCGTGATGACCTTTGCCTACCTTGTAGGCCTGAGCATGCTGAGTGCCATCAGTACTGAGTGCTGCCTGTCTGTCCTGCGGCCTATCTGGTACTGCTGCTGCTGCCCAAGAAACCTGTCAACTGTCATGTGTGCCCTGCCCTGGGCCCTGTCCCTGCTGCTGAACACCCTGGAAGGGAAGTTTTGTGGCTTCTTAGTTAGTAATGGTGACTATGGTTGGTGTTGGACATTTGATTTCATCACTGCAGTGTGGCTGGTTTTTATATTTTTAAATTTTTTTTGTGGTTCTCTGTGAGTCCAGCCTGGTCCTGCTGGTCAGGATCCTCTGTGGCTCCCTGCACATCCTGCTGACCACGCTGTGTGACCATCCTGCTCACAGTGCTGCTCTTCCTTATTTGCAGCCTGCCCTTAGGCATTAAGTGGTTCCTATTATTCTGGATCCTCGTGGATTTTGATATCTTCCTTTGTCATTTGCAACCAGTTTCAGATGTCCTGTCCTCTCTTAACAGCAGTGCCAACCCCATCATTTACTTCTTCATGGGCTCCTTTAGGCAGCGTCAAAATTGGCAGAACCTGAAGCTGGTTCTCCAGAAGGCTCTGCAGGACACACCTGAGGTGGATGAAGGTGGAGGGCGGCTTCCTCAGGAAACCCTGGAGATGTCGGGAAGCAGATTGGAGCAGTGAGGAAGAACCTCTGCCCTGTCAGTCAGACAGGACTTTGAGAGCAACACTACCCTGCCAGCATTGACAGTTACCTGCTCTTCTCTCAGCCTCATGCCTCTGAAGTGTCTTAGTGATTCCTCAATGACTTTGGGTAGATTAATTTTAGCCTTGTTTTTCCTGGGTTTTTTTTTTTTTTCTTAGAAAAAGCAGTCTAAACGAAGAACATCTCCATCTTTCTCAACTTAACCAATAAATTCTTTTTTTTTTCTGGAAATGGGAAAGGAGGGAATTCATAGTAGCATTGTTAATAAAAGCATAGAAGTAATTTAGGGAATGGTGATCTGTATGTAAATGAGTTTCTTTCCTTGTGCCACCCCAAGTATTTTGTCACTGATACAGTTTAGCTATGTTCCCACCCAAATCTCATCTTGAATTATCATGTGTTGTGGGAGGGACCCAGTGGGAGGTAATTGAATCATGGGGGCAAGTCTTTCCCATGCTGTTCTCATGATAGTGAGTAAGTCTCACGAGATTTGATGGTTTTAAAAAGAGGAGTTCCCCTGTACAAGTTCTCTCTCTTTGCCCGCTGCCATCCATGTAAGACGTGACTTGCTCCTCCTTGCCTTCTGCCATGATTGTGAGGCTTCCCCAGCCACATGGAACTGTAAGTCCAATTAAGCCTTTTTCTTTTATAAATTGCCCCCATCTTGGGTATGTCTTTATGAGCAGCATGAAAATGGACTGGTCATAGTTGCAAGATCCCTCTTAAGAGGACTCTAAAGGCCAGGCACAGTGACTTATGCCTGTAGTCTCAGAACTTTGGGTGACCGAGGCAAGAGAATCTCTTGAGTCCAGGAGTTTGAGGCTTGGAGTTCAAGACTAGCTGGGCAACACAGCAAGACACCATCTCCACAAAAAATTAAAAATTAGTCAGGCACAGTGGCACATGCCTGTAGTCACAGCTACTTGAGACGCTGGGGTGGGAGGATCGCTTCAGTGCAGAAGGTCAAGGCTGCAGTGAGCCAGGATTGCACAACTACACTCCAGCCTAGGCAACAGAGCAAGACCTTGTCTCTAAAAAAAATTTAATTTAATTTTTAAAAAAGAAGGCTCATAAGGCTGGAGTGCTTTAAACAACGACCAGTGTCTGTAGTGGCCTTGAAGTGATAGGGGTTGGCAATCCTTTTGTGAAATTAGTTGGAATGAACTGTTTAATATGGCCAAGTCTTGTGCAGGCCAGCCAGGTCAGCCTAGCAGGAGAAGCCAAAAGGCAATGTCTTACCCTCCCAACATTCCTCCCCGGAATATGTCAAATCCTTCAGGGTCAGAAAACATTGGTAAAAACAACAGGGAGATAGAACAAAGAGAAGTGTGGGAGTAGGGGGAAAGAGAGAAGCAGTGGAAAGCACCCTCTTCTCTGGTGCAGCATTTTTGCCTGCAAAAGACCCAAAGTGGAATTAGGGAAGATAGTTTATCTTTAAATTAAGTTCAACATTTTATTCCTCACATAAAAATCCAACTCTAAACTTTTTTATAGGCTTGATATGGATGATGGACTGAGAGTTGGTAATTGGTTATCCAAAAACTTCACATTTAAATTCTGCATTTCACCTTGCACCTCTTTTGAAATGTGGTATCTACAATGTCTTTTTTTTTTTTTTTTTTTTAGTAGAGACATGGTTTCCATGTTGGCCAGGCTGGTCTTGAACTCCTGACCTCAGGTGATCTGCCCGCCTCGGCCTCCCAAAGTGCTAGGATTACAGGTGTGAGTCACCCCACCCAGCCTAGTGTCTTGATATTTCAATTAAAACTTCTGTTTCAACATCCAGCTACACATATGAGAGAATAATGAATATCAATTTCAGAAGCTCTGAAGAGATCAGTGAGAGGAGAGATGCAAGTTTGAGCCTCTAGATATAGCTGTAAAATTGTATTTATTTATTTTAAAGACCAATTGGAAGAAAATATGACAAAATTTAATGCTTCATTTTACAGATGTGTGTATGATGCTTATTATATGATCTTATGGCCCGTGTGTCTTAGTTTACAAACTTCTCATTAACATACCCCTCATCGACATCACCCTCATTCTTGGTGACTTCAATTATCCACATAGGTAGTAGGTAGTCAACCCAACCAACTGCTCTTTCCATTGTTTCTTAACTTTTCATTCTGAATTAATTACAGGTTAACCAGAAGTTTCAAAACTAGTACAGAGAGTTCCTGTGTACCCTACACCCAACCTACACCAATGATGACAGATTGCATAAATATAGTATATTATCAGGCAATTGACACTGGTGCAATAAAATTATCTATACCATAGCTAACCATTCAGATTTCACTAGTTTTTATACACTCATTTTTTTTTTTTTTGGTTGCAGATTTCCCTTTGCGAATCATTCTATGACATTTTATCACATGTATAGATTGACATAACTACCACCACATTCAAGGTATAGGACTGTTACTTCACCACAAAAGAACTCTCTTAGGTTACACATTATAGTCACACCCGCACCCATCCCCCTTCCCAAATCCCTGGCAACCACTCACTTGCTCTTTATCTCTATAATTTTGTCATTTCAAAAATGTTATAAAATGGAATCACATAGTATATAACCTTTTTGAGTTTGACTTTCTTCGCTAAGCATAATGTTCTCAAGATCTACCCAAGTTGTTGCGGTAAGTAATTTGTTGTTGATTTTCTCTTTTTTTTTTTTTTTTTTTGGAGACAGAGTCTCTCTCTGTCGCCCAGGCTGGAGTGCAGTGGTGCGATCTCAGCTCACTGCAAGCTCCGCCTCCCAGGTTCACGCCATTCTCCTGCCTCAGCCTCCCGAGTAGCTGGGACTACAGGCACCTGCTACCACGCCTGGCTAATTTTTTGTATTTTTAGTAGAGACGAGGTTTCACCATGTTAGCCAGGATGGTCTGGATCTCCTGACCTCGTGATCCGCCCGCCTCGGCCCCCCAAAGTGCTAGGATTACAGGTGTGAGCCACCGTGCCCGGCCGTTGATTTTCTTAAATTGTTAAGTAAGATTCTATTCTCTAGGTGTATTAAAGTTTCTTTCACTATTCATAAGTGGAAAGACATTTGGATTGTTTCCACTTTGGCTATTATAAATAAAGCTGTTTGTATTAGTCTGTTTTCATACTGCTGATAAAGGCATACCTGAGACTGGGCAATTTACAAAAGGAAAAGGTATAATTGGACTCACAGTTCCACATGGCTGGGGAGGCCTCATGATCATGGCAGAAGGCAAGGAGGAGCAAGTCACATCTTATGTGAATGGCTGCAGGCAAAAAGAGAACTTGTGCAGGCAAACTCCCATTTTTTTAAAGCCATCAGATCTCATAAAGACTTATTCACTATCACAAGAAAAGCACGGGAAAGACCAGCCCCAAAATTCAATCACCTCCCACAGGGTTCCTCCTATGATATGTGGGAATTGTGGGAGTTACAATTCAAGATGAGATTTGGGTAGGGACACAGCCAACCCATATCATTCCACCCCTGGCCCCTCCCAAATCTCATGTCCTCACATTTCAAAACCAATCATGCCTTCCCAACAGTCCCCAAAAGACTTAACTCATTTCAGCATTAACTCAAAAGTCCACAGTCCAATGTCTCATCTGAGACAAGGCAAGTCCCTTTCACCTATGAGCCTGTAAAATCAAAAGCAAGTTAGTTACTTACTAGATACAATGGGGGTACAGGCACTGGGTAAATACAGCCATTTCAGATGTGAGGAATTGGCCAAAACAAAGGGGCTTACAGGCCCCATGCAAGTCTGAAATCCAGCAGGGCAGTCAAATCTTAACACTCCAAAATGATCTCCTTTGACTCCGTGTCTCAAATCCAGGTCACACTGATGCAAGAGGTGGGTTCCCATGGTCTTGGCAGCTCTGCCCCTGTGGCCTTGCAGGGTACAGCCTCCCTCCCAGCTGCTTTCATGGACTGGAGTTGAGTGTCTGCAGCTTTTCCAGACACACGGTGCAAACTGTCAGTGGATCTACCATTCTGGGGCCTGGAGGACGGTGTCCCGCTTCTCACAGCTCCACTAGGCAGTGCCCCAATAGGTACTCTGTGTCGGGGCTCTGACCCACATTTCCCTTCTGCACTGCTCCATCAGAGGTTCTCCATGACAGCCCCACCCCTACAGCAAAATTCTGTCTGGACATCCAGGCATTATCATACATCCCCTGAAATCTAGGAGGAGGTTCCCAAACACCAATTCTTGACTACTGTGCACTAGCAGGCTCAACACCATGTGGAAGCTGCCAAGGCTTGAGGCTTGCACCCTCTGAAGCCATGGCTCAAGCTCTATGTTGGCTCCTTTCAGCCATGGCTGGAGTGGCTGGTACATAAGGTACCATGTCCCTAGGGTACACACAGCACAGGGACCCTGGGCCCAGCCCACAAAACTATTTTCTCCTAGGCCTCTGGGCCTGTGATGGGAAGGGCTGCTGTGAAGACCTCTGACATGCCCTAGAGACACTTTCTTCATTGTCTTGAGGATTAACATTGGGCTCCTCGTTACTTATGCAAATTTCTGCAACTGGCTTGAATTTTTTCTCAGAAAATGGGTTTTTCTTTTCCATCACATTGTCAGGCTGCAAATTTTCCAAACTCTTATGCTCTGCTTCCCTTATAAAACTGAATGCCTTTAACAGCACCCAAGTCACCTCTTGAATGCTTTGCTGCTTAGAAATTTCTTCTTCCAGATATGCTAAATCATCTCTCTCAAGTTCAAAGTTTCACAAGTCTCTAGGGCAGGGGCAAAATGCCACCAGTCTCTTTGCTAAAACATAACAAGAGTCACCTTCGCTCCAGTTTCCAACAAGTTCCTCATCTCCATCTGTGACCATCTCAGCCTGGATCTTATTGTCCATATTGTTATCAGGCTTTTGGTCAAAGCCATTCAACAAGTCTCTAGGAAATTCCAAACATTTCCACATTTTCCTGTCTTCTTCTGAGCCCTCCAAACTGTTCCAACCTCTGCCTGTAACCCAGTTCCAAAGCTGCTTCCACATTTTCAGGTATCTTTTCAGCAACACCCCACTTTACTGGTACCAATTTACTGTATTAGTCCATTTTCATGCTGCTGATAAAGACATGCCCGAGACTGGGTAACTTGCAGAAGGAAGAGGTGTAATTGGATTCACAGCTCCACATGGCTGGGGAGGCCTCATGATCATGGCAGAAGGCAAGGAGTAGCAAGTCACATCTTACGTGGATGGCAGCAGGCAAAGAGAGAACTTGTGCAGGCAAACTCCCATTTTTTAAAGCCATCAGATCTCATGAGGCTTATTCACTATCACAAGAACAGCATGGGAAAGACCCACCCCAAAATTCAATCACCTCCCACCAGGTTCCTGCCATGATATGTGGGAATTGTGGGAGTTACAATTCAAGATGAGATTTGGGTGAGGGCACAGCCAAACCATATCACTGCTATAAACATTTGTGTGCAAATTTCTTAAGTGAACATAGTTCCATTCTCTAGGATAAATGCCCAGTATGGATTGTTAGTTAAGAATGGTGTATATAGATACCTTTTTAGGTAAATATGAAAGAGTTTCCCAAAGTAGTTATACTATTTTACTTTCTTACTGGCAATGTATGAAAAATCGAGTTTCTCCAAACCTCTGCCAACATTCGAAACTATGAACTTTTTTTAGCCATTCTAAGAGGTGTATAGTGATATCTCATAGTGGCTTCTTCTGAGGCCTCTTTCCTTGGCTTATTTATGGGAACTTCTTCTCCCCTCTTCACATGATCTTCTATGTGTCTGTGTCCTAACCTCCTCTTCTTATAAGGACATCAGTCATATTCAATCAAGGCTCACCCTAACACGCTCATTTTAACTTCATTCACTCTGTAAAAACTTTGTCTCCAAATACCGTCGTCTTCTGACATACTAGGGGTGAGAACTTCAATATATGAACATTGCAGTGACACAATTCAGCCCATTACACAATCCTTAATAAATATTTTCTGAATGAATCTATTAAAAAACTTTTCTAAATATTTTAAATAATTTTTAATTCAAATGGCATTTTTTAAATGACAAGTAGCTTGATTTAAGTGTCGCATGTGGCACAAGAAGATAATTCATAAGAGATACCATTGTGAGTATATATACCAAATGAAAATAAATAAATAACAATTTTCATGAAGTGGAAGGAGGAAGAAGAAGGATACTTACATGTGATTAACTCTTCACCTTTTAGAAGGGAAGTCAACTGATCTACTTGTTAATATTGATAAATTTAAAATAAAACTATAGAGGAGGGGCTTTGAGATGGCTTACTAGAAGCACTGGACACTAGCCTCCTCCACAGAGAAGAATCAAAATAGCGACTGGATTATCACACTTCAAACAGAGCGTCTAAGAAAGAATGCTGGAATTCAGCAAAAAAGTGACAGAAAACACTTGACGCATGAAAAGACGGCGGGGCGAGTGGGAAAGCCCAACTGGGATCAGCTGGAAGCCCTGAGCAGCTCCCCAGTGTGGGGAAAGGGTAAGAGAGAGATCTCCAGCAGTTTCACATTCCCATCATTAACTCCTGCAATCTTAGCCACCGGAGAGCCCCTCAACTGCCATGGGCCCTGAGACTGGTATAGAGAGCCCCCTGGAGTCTGTACTACAACATTGCTCCAGAAAGGGAGCTCATGCGAGGTCCCACACATTTCCTGGATACCCAGACAGCTGCAGCATGGTACCATTTTGAGAGCCCAGAACCCATAAGACTACATCCTGCCCTGGAATCCAACAGCTCCTGCATCACTATATTGCCCAGAGCCCCACCAACATCTCCCCATGTTCACCTGGAGTGCCACAGTTAAACGCAACAGACTTGCAAGGTTTTCAGCACTCTAGCCCACATGCTCTCCTGCACCCTGGGGAAAGGGTGGTGCCGCACTCAAAGGAAACTGCCCCCAGGATAAAGGGAGTCAAATCACATTTTTCCTAGAGCCTGAATCCCACCTGCCTCATGCCACTGCCACTGACGGCATCTCTGCTCCCACCAGCAGCTGGACTACCATGCACTTGCATGCACTCTGAGAATAAGCTCTCCCTGCCAGCCACTGCCACTAGGATGAAGTGTGCACTCCCCATATCCTGAGAGCCACCTGTCTGGGGTGGCTGCCACTGTCAACAACTCTACCTCTCCCCAGCAGCAGGGCTGCCATGCACTTGCCCATGCCCTGAGAAGACAGGCTTTTCCCACCCACTGCCACCACTGCCACTGCCAATCAAGCACACCATCGAGAACTTGAGGATAGCCTCACCTCTCCCACTGCAGCCTGCACCTGTGTATGCCACTGAAGGGCCTATGGACAGACCTGCTCATCTTGCCACTGCCACTCATGGCCCAAGCCCCCTGCCTGGGGGCCTTGGGATTGTTCCACCCATCAGTTGTCCAAGGCACACATGTATACCACCAAAGGATCTAATGACAACTCCAGAATGCCTGCCACCACCAGCACCCTAGCACACCATCCAGAAGCCTGGAGATTGCCCCACCTAGCCTACCACAACCTATGCCTGTGGACACCATAAAGGGGAGACTGAGGACAGGCCTGCCCCACCTGGCATGGCCCACCTCAGTGCCCAAGCACACCACCCTAAGGCCTGAGTGGTGCCCCACCTAATCTACTACCACTGATATCTATACTGTCCTCCTGGGGGCCTGAAGATGGGCCTGCCAGTCTGCCACCACTGGCACTCACCCACACCCACCTGAGAAGCTGGAAACTGGCCTGCCCAGCCTGTCACACCCACTGCTAACACCAGTGTTTGCCACCTAGGAGCCTGAGGGTTGTCCCACCCTGCCTATTGTCATCACTTATGACCACACGCTCTGCTCAGAGACCAAGGACTTGCCCACCTATCTGACCAAGTGCTGTCATCACTGGCACCCAAGAAAGCTGACTGGAAGCCCAAGAATCATCCTGCCAAGACCCTCTAACACTAGTGCCTGTGTATGCCACCCAGGGGCCCAAGAACAGGCATGCTCTGCCTGCTGCCACCACTGGGGCCTGTGGACTGGCCCACCTGGCATCCTATCCCAGAAAAACCTCATCACATCCTCCATTAACAACTGCAGCCTAAGTCACTGAAGGAATCACAGACAATATTGACAGTATTCATAGGCAAAGAAATTATATGGTGACAACACTACTGCACGTACCCATAATCAAACCTAAAGTGTTTTACTCAACCAATACAATAGATAAATCTACAGGAAAAAGTCTTGCCCTACAAATGCCAATCCAAAAAATTTTAAAAACCACTCTTACACCAGATGCACAGATATTAATGAAAGGACAAAAGAAACATGAACAAGCAAGGATATATGACACCTCCAAAGGAACACAATAATTATCCAGCAATAGATTCCAATGAAAAAGGAACTTATGAAATGCCTGGAAAAGAATTCAAAACAATTGTTTAAAAGGAGCTCAGTGAGATACACAAGAACCCAGATAAATAATACAAAAGAATTAGAAAAATAATTCAGGATATGAATGAGAAATTTACAAGAGATAGATATCATTAAAAAGGAATCAAACAGAAATCCTGAAAATGATTAATTTCAATAAATGAAATTTTAAAATAATCAAGAGCTTCAACAATAGACTATATCAAGCAGAAGAAAGAATTGTAGAATGTGAAGACAAGTCTTTCAAAATAACCCAGTCAGACTTTTTTAAACAGAACAAAGTTAAAAAAAAAAAAAAAAAGGGAAGGGAAGGGAAAGGAAGGAGGCCAAGGCAGGTGGATCACGAGGTCAGGAGATCGAGACCATCCTGGCTAACATGGTGAAACCCCGTCTCTGCTAAAAATACAAAAAATTAGCCGGGCGTGGTGGCAGGCGCCTGTAGTCCCAGCTACTCAGGAGGCTGAGGTATGAGAATGGCATGAACCCAGAAGGAGGAGCTTGCAGTGAGACGAGATTGCACCGCTGCACTCCAGCCTGGGGGACACAGCAAGACTCCGTCTCAAAAAATAAAATAAAAAATAAAAAAATGACCAAACCATATACCACCACCTACAAGGAACTCACTTTACCTGTAAAGACACAGACTAAAAATAAAGGGGTGGAAAAAAAATATTTCACATAAATGGAAACCAAAGCAAGCAGGAGTAGCTGTACTATTAGATAAAACAGACTTTAAGTCAAAAATAGTAAAATGAGACAAAGAAGGTTATTATATAATGATAAAAGGATCAACTCAGCAAGAAGATAAAATAATTCTAAATATGTATGCACCCAACACTGGAGTATATGGACATATAAAGCAAATATTATTACCTCCAATGGGAAAGATAGACTACAATACAAGAAAAGTTGGGGACTTCAACACCCCACTCTCTAATTATTAGATAGATCATCTAGACAGAAAATAAACTAAGAAACAGTGGATTTAAACTGCACTTTAGACCAAATTTATAGAACTTTTCATATGACAGCTACAGACTACACATTCTTCTCATCAGTACAAGGAACATTCCTTGGGATAGACCATATGACAGGCCACAAAACAAGTCTCAACAAATTTTTTTTAAAGTCTAAATTATATCAAGTATCTTCTCAGACCACAATGGAATAAAACTAGAAATCAATAATTCTTATTATTTGAAAATTAGACAAACATGGAAATCAACAACATGATCCTTGACAACCTTTTAGTCAAGGAAGTAATTAAGAAGGAAATTTTTAATAATCTTGAAGCAAATGAAAATCAAGACACAACATACCAAAACCTATGGGATACAGGAAAAGTAATGCTAAGAGGAAAGTCCATAGCAATAAACATCTACATCAAAAAAATTGAGAGATTTCCAACAAACAATCTAATGATACACCTCAAGTAACTAAAAAAGTGAGAACAAACAAAGCCCAAAATTAGTAGAAAGAAGAAAGATAAGAGCAGAAGTAAACAAAATAGAAACAAAAAATATATACAAAGGTTCAATGAAACAAAAAGTGGTTTTTTGGAAAGATAAACTCAGTCTGGGCAAGGTGGCTCACACTCGTAATCCCAGCACTTCAGGAGGCTGAGGTGGGTGGATCACGACCTCAGGAGTTCAAGACCAGCCTGGGCAACATAGTGAAACCCTGTCTCTACAAAAAAAAAAAAAATGCACAAATTAGCCGGGCACAGTGGTGCATGCCTGTAGTCCCAGCTACTTCGGAGGCTGAGGTGGGAGGATCTCTTGAGCCCGGGAGGTGGAGGTTGTAGTGAGCCAAGATCGCACCACTGACTCCAGCCTGGGTGACAGAAATAAAACTTTATCTCAAAAAGAAAAAAAAAAGATAAAATCAATAAACTACTAGCTATACCAACCAAACAAAGAGAGGTCCCAAATAAAATCAGAAATGAAAAAGAGATATTACAACTGATAACATCTAAATAAAAAGATCATCAGACTAGTATGAACAACTGCACACTGACAAACTGGAAAGCCTAGAGGAAATGGATAATTTTCTAAACACATACAACTTACCAAGGTTGAATCAGGAAGAAATAAAAAACCTCAACAGGCCAATAATGAGTAAGTAACAAGATTCAATGAGTGATAAAAAGTCTCTCAACAAAGAAAAGCCCCAAGGCTGAATGGTTTCACTGCCGAATTCTACCAAACTTACAATGAAGAACTAACACCAATTCTTCTCAAATTATTTCAAAAAATGAAAAAGGGGAGGCAGGGCAAAATGGCAGAATAGAAGGCTCCACCCATCATTCCCCCCACAAGGACACCAATTTAACAACCATCTACACACACACATACACACACACACAAAACCTTCTTAAGAACCGTAAATTAGGTGAGCCCTCATAGTGCCTGGTATTAACTTGGTATCACTGAAAGGCTCTGAAGAGGTAGAAAAAACAGTCTTGAATTGCTGACACCCCCTCTCTCCCACAGCCCAGCAGCAGCTGCATGGTTTGTGGACTATCGGGTGCTGGGGGAGGGAGAACACAGCAATTATGAGCCATTGAACTCAGTACCGTCCTGTTAGAGCAGAAAGGAAAACCAGACCAAACTGAGATGATGCTCACCCACAGAGAGATTTTAAACCAGGACCAGCCACAGAGGAATCACAGGCCCAATGGTTGGAACTTGAGTTCCTGCAAATCTTGCCACCTACACTGCTCTGTTTCTTTAAGTAAATATGAAAGGCAGTCAAGGCCATAAGGACTGTGTGATGGTTAACACTGAGTGTCAACTTGATTGGATAGAAGGATGCAAAGTATTGATCCTGGGTGTGTCTGTGAGGGTGTTGTCAAAGGAGATTAACATTTGAGTCAGTGGACTGGGAAAGGCACACCCACCCTCAATCTGGGTGGGCACAATCTAATGGGCTGCCAGCATGGCCAGAATAAAAGCAGGCAGACGAACATGGAAGGACTAGACTGACTTAGTCTTCTGGCCTACATCTTTCTCCCGTGCTGGATGCTTCCTGCCCTCGAACATCAGGCTCCATGTTCTTCAGCTTTGAGACTCTTGGACCTTCCACCACAGACTGAAGGCTACACTGTTGGCTTCCCTACTTTTGAGGATTTGGGACTCAGAATGGCTTCTTTGCTCCTCATTTTGCGACGGGCCTGTTGTGAGACCTCACTTTGTGATAGTATGAGTCAATAATCTTAAGAAACTCCCCTTTATGTATACATCTATCTTATTAGTACTGTCCTTCTAGAAAACCCTAACTAGGATGGGTGAGTGCGGGGCGGGCGTGGGGAAGGACCGGGCTCCCCTCGCATATGGTTGGAGAGAGGTGAAACGCGCCCAGGCGGCGCGCGCGGAATCAGTTGAGTCTCTTCGGTTCCCGGCTCTTTCTCCTGCGGTGGGTATTTGTCCGGCTGCTGGGCGACCTTTCCCGCGAAGGAGGTTGTGCCTTCATTCGGTCGCGCCCCGGGCTGGGGAGGCACCTCCCTGGTGCGCAGGAACCGCAGGGGCGGGTAGGAGCCTGGCTCTGCCTGAGCTCCGGAGGGAGCAGAGCTGGCACCGCGCAAGGGCCCCTGCCTCCCGGGAGACTGGGATTTCTGGCCTCCTCACCTCGGGACCGCTGACTGTGGAGTGTCAAAGACGGAACAGGGTTTAGTGATCTTGTCCAACCCCCTCCCCGCTTTTCACAGACTGGGGAAATGGACGCCTGGAGAACGGAAATCCAGTTATCAAAATTGACTCCAGAAGAGAGAACCTAACAGAACAATAACAATGGAAGAAATTGGGAATATTATCAAAAAGCTATCATTCTGTTAAACTCCAGGCTTGGATGGTGTTACAGGTTTAAAAAAAAAAAAAGAAAAAGTCCTTCATGAAAAAAGAAGAACTTAAGCAACATGATGGATTCAGAAGCTCATGGAAAGAGACCACCAATACTAACATCTTCGAAACAAGATATGTCACCTCATATTACAGATTTAGTGAAATGAAGCATTACTTGTGTGGCTGCTGTGCAGCCTTCAACAACGTCGCAATCACATTTCCCATTCAGAAGGTCCTCTTTCCACAACAGCTGTATGGCATCAAAACGGGGGATGCAATACTTCAGTTGAGAACGGATGGATTTCGAAACTTGTATCGGGGAATCTTTCCCCGATTGATGCAGAAGACAACTACACTTGCACTTACGTTTGGTCTGTATGAGGATTTATCCTACCTTCTCCACAAGCATGTCAGTGCTCCAGAGTTTGCAACCTGTGGCGTGGCAGCAGTGCTTGCAGGGACAACGGAAGCAATTTTCACTTCAGACATTGCTTCAAGACCACAAGCACCATGACAAATTTGCCAACATTTATCAGGCTTTCAAGGCACTGAAATGTCATGGAATTGGAGAGTTTTATCGAGGTTTGGTGCCCATTCTTTTCCAGAATGGACTCAGCAATGTCTTTTTTTTTTCGGCCTTCGAGGTCACGTTAAGGAGCATCTGCCTACCGCGACGACTCACAATTCTCATTTGGTCAATGATTTTATCGGTGGAGGTCTATTGGGTGCCATGTTGGGATTCCTGTTTTTTCCAATTAATGTTGTAAAAACTCGCATACAGTCTCAGATTGGTGGGGAATTTCAGTCTTTCCCCAAGGTTTTCCAAAAAATCTGGCTGGAACGGGACAGAAAACTGATAAATCTTTTCAGAGGTTCTCATCTGAATTACCATCTGTCCCTTATCTCTTGGGGCATAATCAATGCAAAGGTTATATGAAAAAAAACATCAGTTAAGTGCCACTTATCAACTGAATAGACCTTCTAAGAAGAATGCAGTTTGGCCTCTTCCTTAATTGGCCAAATACAAGTTGGTGTCATAACTCCAGGCCACAGTGAGTTATGGGCAAAGCTGTTTTCCTTAAGCATCAACAAAATAGAATAAAAGGTTCCAATAGGAAAATATAAGGGTTTTTTTGTGTTTTGTTTTGTTTTTTATCATTACCTAAGATACTTAGGCTAATTGCCTGGTAAATAGCTGTCCATCTGATGGCCTTTGACAGGGAACCTAATCCCCAAGATAAGATTCTTTTTCTCAAACCAGTCTTGAAATCTTCTGCATTGAAACATAAACGGCTGTGACTGGCCAGAGAGAAGGTCCTCAGGGGCCAGGGGCTCCTCAGTCTTCCTTTGTTACTCCATTGCTTGCTTCTCTGCCCCCAGGGGCAGCTGCAGAGGGTAGTCTTCATTAAGCTCAAGCATATGACAAAGAGGCAGAACAG
Source organism: Homo sapiens (assembly GCF_000001405.40). Taxonomy (NCBI): domain Eukaryota; kingdom Metazoa; phylum Chordata; class Mammalia; order Primates; family Hominidae; genus Homo; species Homo sapiens. Next base: position 18,211,058 of record NC_000011.10, read on the forward strand.
AGAAGAAAAACAGCTTATTAGGTATAGGCTTTTCTTGATAAATTGCTTGTATTAGTTTTGAAACTAAGCACCTATTGGATAGTCGTTATCCTATTTCTATTCAGATACGGTAGATCAAGGAGCTATGAAAGTTCTCATTTTGCTCTGTGGGTTTGAAAGTTTTCTGTTTGATTCTGACTGTGGCCTTCAACCCTTCCAAAATATCCTTATGTTAATTGCACTTATTTCATTGTCAAAAGATGAAGGGACTTAAATTTTGTAATAGGTGTTCCAACAAGTTTTCATATTAATTGTGTATAGATAAAATTCTGTTTAGCTTGGTTTCTTTGAATTATTGGTGCCATCTCAGCAAAGGACTGTGGTTATTTTTCCCCTTGAGTAGGAGTTGGTCATATTCAAGCATCCTGTTCTCTTAAAACTCTCCTTTTAAAAAATAAACACTTCCATAACATTTTGTTTCAGAAGTTTATTAATGCAATCCCACTTCCCCCCACCCTGGGTTTCTAAATATTGCAGAGGGGGGAAAAGGGCTCAGGATAGTTTTCACCGCACAGTGTTGGCTGTCTTTTATTATACTCTTGGAAATAGAGACTCTATTAGAGTTTTGACATTTTGGGAACCCAGTTTTACCCTTGTGTCAGTAAAACAATAAGATAATTTGAGAGCATATGATCTAAATAAAGACATTTCAAGGGGTAGTTTGAATTCTAACAGTAGGTAATAGCCAAATAGCATTCTCATCCCTCAACAGATGAAAACTTCTTTGTCAAAGGAATTGGAAAATGTGAAAATATTTTTTTCAGATAAAGCAAAATGACTCATGTGCCACTTCTAATTGACTAATGAAACGTAAGAGACAGACTGAAAAAGTGGATTATGAATCTTAAAACCCTTTCTGTAAATATTATGTAGTTAAAGATTGACTTCCAGCATCTGACATGATGGTAGGTTTCTTGTTAATCAGTTTTTCTTCTTTCTGGGTAATTGCATGTGAATATGTGCACATACTGACCAAAATAAAATCAGGGCCTCAACTTGGTAGTTTACTTAAAGTTTCTGGGCAAATAGTCCGTAAAAGCTGTTTACCTCTAAATGCTGTATGGCTGGTTAAATACAGTGAACATCCTTCTTCCAGCTATAAAGAATGAAGCATATTAAGTATTAGCCAGGCAGTAATGAACTTAATAGCCATACAGCAGCTCTGTCTGACAATGCTGTGCTGGATATTGCAGTTTACTTTCAAGGTGCAGATGTAAGGATTTGAAAATAATAATAATTTGGCACCAAATAAATATGAAATAAATATGAATAGCATCCTTTGGCCTATTAAATAGAGTCAGGATTTGAAGGGAGTTGAGTTTGAGAAATGAATGAATAAAAGCACCTTGGTGCCTGATCCCCTCATTCATGTGTGCACTTCACAGGTGTGTCCAGCTACTCAGCACAGGGCATGTGGGTTAGCCTGGGGTTATGCCTTCGCCCTGGGAATAAACACCACTGGGCCTTTGATTTTGTTGGGCTTCCTTTTTGTCTTTACACTCCATACAGGTGGTAGAAATCTGAAGCACTTTTGTGAAATATAAGCTAAGTGAGAATTCTAAGGAAAATGCTTTGGTTTCTGCTGTCTCAAATAAGTGGCATTTAAAAACAATTATTAATAAATATTTTTAGGCTGGGCGCGGTGGCTCACATCTGTAATCCCAGAACTTTGGGAGGCCGAGGCGGGCGGATCACAAGGTCAGGAGATCAAGACCATCCTGGCTAACACGGTGAAACCCTGTCTCCACTAAAAATACAAAAATTTAGCCGGGCGTGGTGGCGGGTGCCTGTAGTCCCAGCTACTCAGGAGGCTGAGGCAGGAGAATGGCGTGAACCCAGGAGGCAGAGCTTGCAGTGAGCTGAGATCATGCCACTGCACTCCAGCCTGGGCAACAGAGCAAGACTCCATCTCAAAAAATAAATAAATAAATATTTTTAAAGGTTTCAACTTAATTTTTTTAAATTTCTTTGTCACTTTTTACAGCTTTTGAAGACCAGACTGCAAATATATTACCAGGGATGGTTTTGTGTTGTCCTACAGACTTCTTAAATTTGACAAAAATTCAGCTGAACTTGTAACCAACAGCTTTGTCTGAACTTGAAGTCAAAATGTGTTGTTAATAAGAGATTCTAGCTATTGCTTTTACCTTCAGTGTGAACCAGTGTGGTAATAATTTTGAAAAAGCAGGCTGGACACAGTGGCTCATGCCTGTAATCCCAGAATTTTGGGAGGCCGAGACGGGCACATCATTTGAGGTCAGGAGTTCAAGACCAGCCTGGCCAACATGGTGAAACCCCATCTCTATTATATAAGAAATTAGCAGGGCATGGTGGCACATGCCTGTGATCCCAGCTACTGAGGAGGCTGAGGCAGGAGAATCACTTGAACCCAGAAGGCGGAAGTTGCAGTGAGCCGAGACAGTGCCACCGTACTCTAGCCTGGGCGACAGAGCAAGACTCCATCTCAAAAAAAAAAAAAAAAAAAAACTTGAAAAGGCAAACATGATTGAATATCTGAAAAGCTTTAAAAGTGCCCTTTCTGTTACATATGTGGCACAAATGGCTCATGAGAGCAGGACATTTATGGTCTTGTGTCCTATACTTCATGTCTGATGCCATCAGAAATGTTATGGATTCTGGATTTAACACACTTAGAGTGATATGATCCCTCAGGACTGCACCACAGAGTAAACACAACCTTTATATGGTGGCGAATATGTGTGTCTTTCTTGTTTCATTTGTGGTTGGGGACAAAATCGATGTTTTTGTCTAAATAGTCAATATTCATCTTAACATGTTTGGCTGTGTAATCACCGGCTATATTGTGAACTGTGCAATAAAACAGAAACATGTGTGTATATAATTACCTTTGGATACCTGAAATTCCCAAGCCCAGTTACAATGTAATACTCAGTATAAGGCTGTGCAAACATGTAAGGAAATAATGGTGGTCGATGGGATATATGAAATAGGATCTAGAGGGCTTTGAGTGAAGACAATCATGTTGAACTAACACTGGTTCAGTGTAGATGAAGTAGAGTGAGGGGTATGCAGTCATAATATGAAGGGAGAACAGGAGATTACATTTGAAGAAAGGGTAAGCACTCAGACTTGGTTTCTTTTAAATTAAAATATTTCTTTTATCATGTGCAAATGCATATCAAAGACTTGAACAGGCATTCTCTTGAAATTTGAGGATTTTTAGTTTTTAATGCTGTCTTTGTTTAATATTAAATACATGTTGCCTAGTGGCTCCCAAATTTTGTGGGAGTCTCTAAATGTTTCCTCTTAAAGGTTCATTATTAAAAGTGGTTAAGCACACACTGCTATTTTTGTTTGATAGTTTGAGTTTTATGACCATATGAGTTTAAATGAAATCTGTTAAATGTTCCAGAGTTAACACTTTTTTTGGATAATTTGGAATAAAGTTTGTTTTTCAAGTCAAAAAAAAAAGAAAGAAAGAAAACTCTGACTAATACAGACTGCAACTCTTAGGTGAGTCCTAGTGCTGAATCAGGCCCAGACACAGTGGACTGGGCAAGGACGGCACGTAGGGGCAGACAAATTACTGAGACACCAGCTGGGGTGCTAAGGGAGTGCTGGTATCACCCTCCCCTAAGCCCAGGCTGCACAGTTTGTGGTTCCAAAAGAGAATTCAGCCTTCCACTTAAGGAGATGAGAGGGAAGAGTGGGGAGAACTTTGTCTTCCATCTTGAATACCCACCCAGCCACAGAAAAATAGGGCACTAGTCAGAGTCACAAGGCCCTGGCTCCTGGATAACATTTCCAGATACACCCTGGCCTGAAGGGAACCCACAGCTTTGAAAAGAAAAACCCAGTCCTGGCGCCATGCATCACCCACTAACTGAAGAGCCCTTGGGCCCTGAATAACCAGCAGCAATACCCAGGTACTATATTGAGGGCCTTGAGTGAGCCTCAGGACTTGCTGCTTCAGGTGACACTCAGCACATTACCAGCAGTGGTGGCGATGGAGTGAAACTCCTTCTGCTTGAGAAAATCAGAGGAAAAAGTAAAGGAGGCTTCACCTTGCACTGGTGCACAGGTGCCACCAGCGCCACATGGGGTAGAGCACCAAGCAGGCTGTTGGGGTGCCCAATTCCAGGACGTGGCTCTTGGCATTTCTGGACCTGCCCTTGGACAGAGGAGACCCCACTGCTCTGAAGGGTGACTTTTAAGCCACACAACATTCACCACAAACTGACTAAAGAGCCCTTGGGCTTTAAGGGAACATTGGTATTAGTCTGGTGGTACTACCTGTAAGCCTGTGGTGGTAGTGGCCACGGGGTGAGGCTTCTTTGCCTTTAAAAAGGGGAGGGAAGAGTGGGAACAACTGCATCTTGTGGTTTGAGTGCCACCCTAGCTGTAGTACAATAGAAAACAGGTAAATTTCTAAGGTTTTGGACTCTAGTCCCTGAATCCTGGTTGGCACCTCTAGACCCACCTGGAACCTGAGGATACTCACCACCCTGAAGGGAAGGACACAGGCCTGACTGGCTTTGCCACCTGCTGATTGTAGAGCCCCAGGGCCTTGAGTGAACATAGGCAGTAGCCAGAGAGTGGTTATAGCAGACCTTCGGCAAGACCTTGTGCTGTGCTGGCTTCAGGTCTGACCCAGACCAGTCACAGTGGTTGTGGCCACAGGGGTGCTTGTGTCACTCCACCCCCAACTTTAGGTGGCTTAGAACAGGGAGACAGACTCAATTTGTTTGGGAGAAGTAAGAGAAGAGAACAAGAGTCTCTGCTTGGTAATCCAGAGAATTATCCTGAATATTGTCCAAAACCATCAAGGCAGTACCTCTACAAGTCTGCAAGAACCACAGCTTTACTGGTCTTGGGATGCCTGCTAAAACACATACAGTTTAGATCAAAATACTCAAATCTGTCCAGATATCTGGAAAGGCTTCCCAAGAAAGTTGAGTACAAAAAATCCCAGACAGAACACTACAATAAATACTTTAGCTCTTCAGTGCCCAGACACTGAAGAACATCTATTAGCATCAACACAATTTAGAAAAACATGACCTCATCAAATGAACTAAATAAGGCACCAGAGACCTATCCTGGATAAATAGAGATACGTGACTTTTCAGACAGAAAATTCAAAATAGCTGCATTAAGGAAACTCAAAGAAATTCAAAATAACACAGAGAATAAATTTATAATTCTATCAGATAAATTTAACAAAGATACTGAAATAATTAAAAAGAATTAAACAGAAATTCTGGAGCTGAAAAATGCAATTGGCATGCTGAAGAATGTATCAGAGTCTTTTAATAGCAGAACTGATGAAGCAGAAGAAAGAATTAGTGAGCTTGAAGACAGCTTATTTGAAAATACTCAACAGGCTGGGTGCAGGGGCTCATGCCTATAATCCCAGCATTTTGGGAGGCTGAGGTGGGTGGATTGGTTGAGGCCAGGAGTTTGAAACCAGTCTGGGCAATATGGCAAAACCCCATCTCTACTAAAAATACAAAAATTAGCTGGGTGTGGTGATGTGCACCTGTAGTTCCAGCTATTTGGAAGGCTGAGGCACAAGAATCACTAGAGCCCAGGAAGCAGAGGTTGCAGCAAGCCTGGGCAACAGAGTGATACTCTGTCTGAAAAAATAATAATAATAATAATCAAAAAAGCAAGAGAATAAGGAATAAAAACCAATGGAGCACACCTACAGGATCTAGAAAACAGTCTCAGAAAGGCAAATCCAAGAGTTATTGGCCTTAAAGAGGAGGTACAGAAAGAGATGGGGTAGAAAGTTTATTCAAAGGGATAATAACAGAGAACTTCCCAAACCTAGAGAAAAATATTAATATCCAAGTACTAGAAGGTTATAGAACACCAGGCAGAATTAACTCAAAGAACACTACCTCAAGGCACTTAATAATCAAACTTCTGTCCAGGCACAGTAGCTCATATCTGTAATCCCAGCACTTTGTGGGACAGATGCAAATGAATCACTTGAATCCAGGGGTTTGAGACCAGCCTGCCTCTGCAATAATACAAAAAATTAGCCAGATATGCTTTCACATGCCTGTAGTCCCAGCTATCAGGGGTCTGAGGTGGGAAGTTTACTTGATCCTAGAAGGTTGAGCCTGCACCACTGCACACCAGCCTGGGTGACAGAGTGAGACCCTGTCTCAAAAAATGACAATAATAATAATAAAACTTTTAAATGATAAAGAAAGGATCCTAAAAGCAGCAAGAGAAAATAAACAACATACAATGGAGTTCCAATACATATGGCAACAGACATGTCAGTGAAACCTTACAGGCTTAGGAGAGGGGGCATAACATACTTAAAGTGCTGAAGGGAGAAAATTTTTACCCTGGAATAGTAAGCCTGGCAAAAATATCTTTCAGACATGAAGGAGAAATAAAGATTTTCCAGACACACTAAAGCTGAGAGATTTCATCAACACTAGTCCTGTCCTACAATAAATGCTAAAGGGAATACTTCAATCAAAAAGAAAAGGATGTTAATGAGCAATAAGTAATCATCTGAAAGTACAAAACTCACTGGTAATAGTAAGTACACCGAAAAACACAGAATATCATAACATAGTAACTGCGGTGTGTAAACAGCTTTTATCCTAAGTAGAAAGACTAAACACTGGACCAATCAAAAATAATAGCTACAACTCATAGATGGTACATAAGATATAAGTAGAAACGATAAGATATAAGTAGAAACGACAAAAAGTTTAAAAGTCAGGGGATGTAGTTAAGATGTAAAGTTCTTATTAGTTTTCTCTTTGCTTATTTGTTTTGTTGTTGTTGTTGTTGTTCATGCAAACAGTGTTAAGTTCTTACTGGCTTAGAGCAATGGGTTATAAGATAGTATTTGCAAGCCTCATGGTAACCTCAAACCAAAAAAACATACAATAAATATACAAAAAAATAAAAAGCAAGAAACAAACCATATCACCACAGAAAATCACCTTAACTAAAGGAAGACAGGAAGGAAAGAAAGAAGGAAGAGAAGTTCACAAAACAGAAAACAAAAAAAATTGGCTGAAGTAACTCCTTATTTATTAATAATAACATTGATGTAAATGGACTAAATTCTCCAATAAGAAGATATAGAGTGGCTGAATGGATTTAAAAAAACAAGACCCACTGATTTGTTGCCCACAAGAAACATGCTTCACCTATAAAGACACACATAGACTAAAAATAAAGGAATGGAAAAAGATATTCCATGCCAATGAAAGCCAAAAAAGAGCAGGAGTTGCTATATTTATATGAGACAAAATGGATTTCAAAACAAAAACCATAAAAAGAAACAAAGAAGGTCACTATATAATGATAAAGGAGTCAATTCGGCAAGGGATATAACAATTGTAAATATATATGCACCCAATGCTGGAGCACCCAGATATATAAAACAAATATCATAGCTAACAAGAGAGATAGACTGCAACACAATAATAGGTGGAGGCTTCAATGCCCCACTTTCAGCAATGGACAGATCTTCCAGACAGAAAATCAATCACACAAAAAATTGGACTTAATCTGCACTATAGATCAAATGATCTAATAGATATTTACAAAACATTTTATCCAACAGCTGCAGAATGCACATTCTTTTCCTCAGCACATGAATTATTCTCAAGGATAGGCCATATGTTAGGTCACAGAACAAGTCTTAAAACATTCAAAAAATTGCACTCATATCAAGCACCTTCTCTATCCACAATGGAATAAAACTAGAAATTAATAACAAGAAAAATTTTGGAAACTGTACAAATGCATAAAAATTAAACAATATGTTTCTGAATGACCAGTGGGTCAATGAAGAAAGTAAGAAGGAAATTGAAAAATGTCTTGAAACAAATGATAATGGAAACACAACATACCAAAACCTATCGGATACGGCAAAAGCAGTACTAAGAGAGAAGTTTATAGGTATAAGTGCCTAACCAAAAAAGAATAAAAACTTCAAATAGACAATCTAACAATGCATCTTAAAGAACTACAAAAACAAGAGGAAACCCAAGACCAAAATTGGTAGCAGAAAACAAATAGTAACGATCAGAACAGAGATAAAAGAAATTGAAGTGAAGAAAAGAATACAAAAATCAATGAAACAAAAAGTAGGTTTTTTGAAAAGTTAAACAAAACTGGCAAACCTTTAGCCAGACTAACTAGACTAACTAAAAAAAAAATAGAATATCCAAATAAATAAAATCAGAAATGAAAAAGGAGACATTATAACTGACCCTGCAGAAACTCAAAAGATCATTAGTGGCTATCATGAGCAACTATATGCCAATAAATTTGAAAATCTAGAAGAAATGGACAAATTCCTAGACTCATACATAACCTACCAATATTGAACCAGGGAGAAATCCAAAACCTGAACAAAAACAATAGCAAGTCATAAGATCAAAACCGTAATAAAAAGTCCCCCAGTAAACAAAAGCCTGGGACTTGGTGGCTTCTCTGCTGAATTCTACCAAACATTTAAAGAAGAACTAACACCAATCCTACTCAAAATATTCCAAAATATAGAGGAGGAGGAGGAGGAAATACTTTCAAACACATTCTATGAGGCCAGTATTACCCTGATACCAAAACCAGACAAAGACATGTCAAAAAAAATAAAACTACAGGCCAATATCTCTGATGAATATTGATGCAAAAATCCTCAGCAAAATACTAGCAAACTGAATTTAATAATACATTAAAAAGATCATTCATTATGACCAAGTAGGATCTATCCCTGGGATGCAAAGATGGTTCAACATATGCAAATCAACCATGGTTCAACATATGCAAATCAACCAATGTGATACATCATATAAACAGAATGAAGAATAAAAGCCGTATGATAATTTCCATTGATGCTGAAAAAGCATTTGAGAAAATTCAACATCCCTTCATGATAATAACCCTGAATAAACTGGAGAGAGAAAGAACATATCTCAAAATAATGAAAGCCATATATGACAGACTCACAAGTAGCAACATACTGAATGAGGAAAACTGAAAGCCTTTCCTCTAAGAAGGGGAATACAACAAGGATGCCCATTTTCACCCCTGTCATTCAACACAATACTGGAAGTCCTAGCTAGAGCAATCAGACAAGAGAAATAAATAAAGGGCATCCAAATTGGAAAGGAAGAAGTCAAATTATCCTTGTTTGCAGATTATATAATCTTATATTTGGAAAAACCTAAAGACTCCACCTGCTGGAAACCTCTGTGGCCAGGGGTGCCTTTGCCCAAGTTTTGCTCAGTCCTGCTAGGCTCATTCCATTCACTCTGCCTGGCAGGCTGCATTTGGCTAGTGCTACTGGCCCCAAGGTCATGCCTGCCAAGGGCAAACCAGGCACAGAGTGGCAAGGGATGCATGAATGAGCGAGGGGACAGCCAGGCCTACTGGCTGCAGTGGGGCAGGCAGCTCCAGGCACCAGCATGGGCTTCCACTGCAAATGGCTTCCACTGAGGGTACCAGGGAACACGGTGGTACCTGGAAGCTTGGAGATGCCAGGAACCACGGAACCTCAAAGAGGGTGTCACGCCCCTAGCTTGGGGAACTCCTAGGTCTGGGCTCCCTGAAGGGTCACAGCTCTTCTCTCCTCTCTTCTCTCCTTCATGTTGCCCACAGTGTGGCGAACAAGAGGGATGTTTCAGTCCAGTTTGTGTTACAGCTCTTTCAGTCCTGCTATCCAGTGGGTCTGGAGGGTCCTGGGTTCTTGTCCCACATCCGGGAAGAATGAGGTACAGAGACAAGAGGAGAGTGAGCAAGGTGAATAAGAGCTTTATTGAGTGACAGAATATCTTAGAGGAGACCCTGGAGTGGGTGGCTCCTCTCCACAGGCAGGTCATCCTATCAAGTTGAAGAGACCTGAATTGGGTAGCTCCTTCCCACTGCTGGTAGTCCCAACATCTTCCCAGCTTTTAGCAGAGAGGAGACCTTGGAGTGGGCAGCTCCTCTCCACAGCTGGTTGTCCTGTGGAGTGTCTGAGTCTGGCTGAGCTTGGGGTCTTTATGGGCTGAGAAGGAAGGAAGTGCATGCTGATTGGCCCACAGGTAGCCATGGACAGGCCTGGAAAAGGCACTATAAGTTCTTATTCTGGTCCATGGAACTGGCAGCCTGGCCCCCAGGCTTCCAGTCATCCCTGGCTTAAAGGTAGGGCTTCACCAGGGACCTGCGCCTTTCTGCCCAGGAGCCTGTCTGCCTCCTGCCACTGTTCATGGTGCCCAGGCTGTTTGTGCAGAGGGGCACCTGCAGGCCATCACTGAGCTGCCTTCAGCAGCCACCTTTGCCTCCCTCCTGTGCTCATCAATGCCCAAAGTCCAGAGGGGGCTGAGGCAGCAGGGGGCTGGCATGTCAGCACTGCCCCAAGTGTGTGCACTCCCAGCCGGGTGATGACAGTGCCCAGGCTTGACCTCAACTTTGCTCTGAGATCAGAGTGAACACCGGGAGTGGGGAGAGGCCAGGCAGCAGTGGTAGGCACTTCCGAGCCTGCAGGGATGGGGGCCAAGAGTGCAGGCCCAGGTCCGCAGCCATGTCTTGGGCAGCTGCAGCCACACCTGGGAGAGTGGGGCTCCTGCCTGCTCCCAGCCCTCAAGAGCACAGGGGAGGACAGGGATTCCCAGGTCCACAGCCACAGCTTGGGCAGGTGCAGCCACACCCAGGAGGGCAAGGCTCCTGTCTGCTCCTGGCTCTCTCTGGCTCTGCAGAGCCCACAGCCCAGTTGCGCCTTCCTTGCTGCTGACAGCATCTTGGCAGTGCCCACACCAGGCAGGCCACCATTGCCATCACCGTGTATATCAACAGAGTGATATTGTTAGTCCATATGTCTTTCTTTTACTTCCAAGTGTCACACTGCTCTCCAGGATGATAACCCATCTACATGCTCTAGCAGTACAGGAGGATTTCTATAGCTCTACATCCTTGCCAAAACTTGGCACAATCCAACATCATTTTTTTCTAGTCTAGTAGATTCCATCAAAATAATGATTTTGTTTCAAAGGTATAGATTAAAGTCTAAACATTAAATAAGATATTATAGGGTTTCACAGGACATAGTAACAATCTCTGAGGTGTTTTTTGTTGTTGTTGTTGTTGTTGCTGCTGTTGTTTTACAAAATTCCTGTTAGGAATAACTTTTGTGTCCAGGCGCGGTGGCTCACACCTGTAATCCCAGCAATTTGGGAGGCTGAGGCAGGTGGATCGCTTGAGCTCAGGAGTTTGAGACCAGCCTGGGCAACATGGCAAAACCCATCTCTACCAAAAATACAAAAAAAAAAAACAAAAAACTAGCTGGGCATGGTGGCACATGCCTGTGGTCCCAGCTACTCAAAAGGCTGAGGTGGGAAGATTGCTTGAGCCCGGGAGGTGGAGGTTGCAGGCATACCACTGCACTCCAGCCTGGGTGACAGATTGAGACCTCCATCTCAAAAAAAAAGAAAGAACTTTTGTAAGTACAGCTTTTATTATCCTAACTGCTGATCTAGCAGCTACAGGAGAAAATGGAACATTTTCTCTTCCTTATCTTGAAGAAACTTCTTTCACCAGAAATTAGTAGGGCCTCTAGTTCTCAAGGTCAACTGCCTAAATTCCATTGGTTAATCCTGATGGATAAGCAGGCCTGAGAAGAAACGAATCACACTGGGGAAAAAGGTCAGAGTAAGGATTATTGGAATATGGAGCATATTTCATTGCAATCTTTATTAATTTGTATGCATTATGTGTACCTATGTGTTTGCATATGTATTGCTGTGTGGTGTGTGTATGTGTGTGTGGTGTGGGGGGGGTGTGCGTCTTGTGTGTGGAGAGTGTGTGTGTGTGGTATATGTGGTGTATGTGTGTGGTGTGTATATGTGTGGTGTGTGTGTGGTGTGTGTGTGTGAGGGGGTGTTGGGGGTGTGTGGTGTGTGTATGTGCTGTGTGTATGGAGTATATGGGGTGTGTGGGGGGTGTGTGTGTGTGAGTGGTGTATGTGTGTGGTATGTGTGTGTGGTCTGTGTATGTGTGTGTGTGGTGTGTGTGTCTGTGTGGTGTATGTATGTGGTGTGTGTGTGGTGTATTTGTGTATTGTGTGTGTGTGTTGTATATGTGTTGTGTTTGTGTACAGAATTGGCTTCAGCAACCAACCACTTCCTCATTCTCATCGCACCCTCTAGTCCATAGAAGGAGAGAGAAAGAGAGAGAGAAAGAAAAAGAGAGAGGGTTATAAACTCTAAACTATATTATAAATAAAATATTTGTTATTTGTCCTTGTCTGAACACTGGAATCCCAATCAGGACAGGAACAGTGTAGTTGGGTTTTTCACTATGGATATTCAGTACCTGCGAAGGTGCCCGTGACATAGGTCGGTTGAACGAGTCTTAGCTGAGTGGACATGTTCACTGATGGAAACTTGAAAAATACAAAATAAGTATAAGGATAAAAATAAAAAGCAATACTAATTTCATCAGCCAAGGCTGGGGGAGGGGTAAGGAGAACCACTGTAGAATCTTCATACTTGGTCTCTAATCTATTTTCTAAGTGTTTATAGATATATGAATACATAAACACCAAGTGATACAATATCTACCATTTTATAGTCCACGTTTTCATTTGGCAATTTAACATAAGCATGTTTTCATGTCATGCCCTTAGCTACCACAGAGTCAATGACAAAGCTGAAATTCAAATCTGGTCTGATAGGATTAAGTGTTGGGATTATTAACCAAATGCTATATAGCTGCAACCTAAACTTGGCAGCAGTATAGCATATATACAAATACATGTACAACATAATGTAATTCAATTACATCAACTAGCTTGATAATAACTCTTCCAGTGAAACATCAGCTGCATGAGAGCACTAGTCTTCTCTGCCTTATTCCCTACTGTATTCCCAGGGTCTAGAAGAGTTCCTGCCAATACTAGGAGTTCATTAAATACATGTTAAATAAATAAATAAATAAATGGATGAGTGAATTTCGCAAGCATCTTTACCAGAAAGGTAAATAGATTGAGGACTTTGTGTTAAAGAGAAGCATGGTACTATTTGGACAGTACTAAGTCCAACCCTAAACAGGAGTAAACAAAGATCACAGTGCATTGCACACTTGCCACAGGTCAGATCATGCAGGAACAAGGCCCATAGAGCCCAGCCTAGAGTTACTGTAAATTCCCTCAGCCATTTCACCAAAGGTACAAGTAGGTCATCGGCTAGAGTTTTTGCAAATATGTTTTAAACAATGTGGTTTGAAATAAAGCATACTGTTCTCTGAGAATGGACCTGGATTTTTTCCCATAATTAGAGATTGTAAAAAGTGAACCTAGTAAGTTAGAGGATTGCAAGATGGCTGCTTTTGACCCAAGTTTGGAAAACAAGCTGTTGAGTAATATTTTTTTTCCCTCTGACCACAGCTGAGACCAAAGAAGCTCCAAGTACCCCACATTGTAGAGAGAACATCCAAGAAGTAGAGCCAGATCTCATAAGCCCCCAAGGCTTATGAAGAGGTAGCAGTGTAGGCCTTCAGCAACCAACCACCTCCTCATCCCCATTGCACCCTCCAGTCCATATAAGGAGAAGACTGAGGAAAGGAATGGGGGAGAGAGCACGGTTGTCAGTCCGTGGGGAGTACAGTGTTTGTGGAGACTGGTGATTTCTTCATATAGATTTGGGATTCAGAGAGGAAAAGAAGAACACTGTGTAGAAGCTCTTTAGTTTAATTAGATCCCACCTGTCAATTTTTGTTTTTGTTGCAATTGTCTTTGGGGACTCTGCCAAAAATTCTTTGCCAAGGCCAATGTCAAGAAGGGTATTTCCTGGGTTTTCTTCTAGGAATTTTATTGTATGAGTCTTATATTTAAATCTTTACTTCTTTACTCCATCTTTTTTTTTTTTTTTTTTTTTTTTGAGACAGAGTCTCACTCCATCGCCCAGGCTGGAGTGCAGTAGCTTGATCTCGGCTTACTGCAACTTCTGCCTCCCAGGTACAAGCAATTCTTCTGCCTCAGCCTCTTGAGTGGCTGGGACTACAGGCATGCACCACCACACCCAGTTACCTTTTTGTATTTTCAGTAGAAACGGGTTTGGCCATGTTGCCCAGGCTGAACTCCTGAGCTCAAGAAATCTGCCCACCTTCTAAAGTGCTAGGATTACAGGCATGAACCACCACGCCTGACCTCTTTAATTCATCTTGTTAATTTTTGTATATGGTGAAAAGTAAGGGGCTAGTTTCAATCTTCTGCATATGGCTAGCCAGTTATTCCAGCACCATTTATTGAATAGGAAGTCTTTTCCCCATTGCTTGTTTTTGTCAGCCTTGTTGACGATCACATGGTTATAGGTGTGCAGCTTTATTTTTGAGTTTTCTAATCTGCTCCTTTGGTTTATGTGTTTGTTTTTGTACCAGTACCATGCTGTTTTGGTTACTGCAGCCTTATAGTATAGTTTGAAGTTGGGTAATGTGATGCCTCCAGCTTTTGTTCTTTTTGCCTAGGATTGTTTTGACTATTTTGGCTCTTTTTTTTTCTTCCATATGAATTTTAGAATAGCTTTTTCTAATTCTGCAAAGAATAACATTGGTAGTTTGAGAGGAATGCCATTGAATCTGTACATTGCTTTGGGCAGTATGGCCATATTAACAATATTGATTCTTCTAATCCATGAACATGGAATGTTTTTCCATTTATTTGTGTCGTCTCTCATTTCTTTCAGTAGTGTTTTGCAGTTCTCCTTGCAGAGACTGTTCACCTCCTTGGTTAGCTATATTCCCAGGTATTTCATTTTCTTTGAAACTATCAACAAAGTAAACAGACAATATACAGAATGGGAGAAAATATTCACGAACTATGCATCCAACAAAGATCTAATATCCAGAACCTATAAATAACTTAAACAAATCAACAAGCAAAAAACAAACAGGCAAAGGACATGAACAGATACTTCTCAAAAAAAGACATACAAGTGACCAACGAACATACCAAAAAAATGCTCCACATCACTAATCATCAGAGAAATGCAAATGAAAACCACAATGAGATACCATCTCACAGCAGCCAGAGGCAATTATTAAAAAGTCAGGCTAGGCGTGATGGCTCATGCCTATAATCCCAGCACTTTGAGAAGCCAAGGCTGGCAGATCACTTGAGCCCAGGAGTTCAAAACCAGCCTGGGCAACATAGCAAAATCCCATCTCTGGGAAAAAAAAATACAAAAAAGTAGCAAAGTGCAGTTGCATATGCTTATAGTCCCAGCTACTCAGGAGGCTGAGGTGGGAGGATCACCTGAGCCTGGGAGTTTGAGGCTGCAGTGAGCTGTGATTGCACCACTGCACTTCAGCTTGGATGACAGAGTGAGACCCTGTCTCAGTAAAAGTAAACAAATACATAAAATAAAATTAAAAAAAAGTCAAAAAGCAACAGATGCTGATGAGGCTGCAGAGAAAAGGGGACATTTATACACTGTTGGTGGGGAGGTAAATTAGTTCAGCCACTGTGGAAAGCAGTTTGGAGATTTCTCAAAGAACTCAAAACAGAGCTGCCATTAGACCGAGCAATCCCATTGCTAAGTGTATACCCAAAGGAAAATAGATCATTATGCCAAAAAGATATACATACTCATATGTTCATTGCCACACTATTCACAATAGTAAAGACATGGAATCAACCTAGGTGCCCATGAGTGGTGGGCTGGATAAAGAAAATGTGGTACATACATGCTATGGAATACTACACAGCCATAAAAAATAATGAAATTATGTCCTTTGTAGCAACATGGATGCAGCTGGAAGCCATAATCCTAAGTGAATTAACACAAGAACTGAAAACCAAATACCACATGTCCTCATGTATATGTGGGAGCTAAACATTGAGCACACATGGACATAAGCATGGGAACAATAGATACTGCAGACTACTAGGAGGTGGAGGGAGGGGAGAGTGGGTTGAAAAACTACCTTTTGGGTACCATGCTTACTACCTGGGTTCAATATATGTAGACCAACCTGTACATGTACCCACTGTCTCTAAAATAAAAGTTGAATTTTTAAAACATTAAAAATGAATAAATACAAAGAAAAGAAAAATGCCTTCCCAGCTGGGTGCATACTGAGCTGCAAAAACTGCCAGCTCATTCTGGTGCCCCCATCAAAGCAGAGGGGAGTGTGGTGAGTTCCTGAGAGAGCTCACCATGTGTGAACATTCTGGTGCCTGCTTCTCATCTGGGGATTTCTGAAGGATGGAGTAGCCCAGGCCAGCAGAGCTTGAAGAGGTATTGGTGGAATATGCCTAAAAAGAAGATGGGGTGACTTCTTACCCAACTCTGATCTCTGCACCCCTGGGCAGGAAGAGAAGAGATCCTCAGCCATTCTGGTGGGTCTATTGAGAAAACCACTGAGGTTAGGGAAAAAGCAGTGGCTGGGCCAGGTAAGGTAAACCTTACCCAGAGAGGGGGCTTGGAACAAGGACCACTTTCAGGACCAGTCGTAGATACAGCTGTTCTTCTCTGGGCAGTTCCACCCCCATATCTGAGGGAGCTGGATTTCACATCAGGAAGAACCCTGACCACCATCTCAGTAGAGACCTCCACATCAGTAGAGAATATATATCAGCATCAGTTAGAAGCACATCAAACCAGGGTGAGGCCAAAATGATTACCCCCTCCTTTACATCTCTCCCCTTTCCCAATCCTGAGGCTGAGAAGTGTGATAGAAAGACATCTCAGAACTAGACTATCCCCACCCTTCTCTAAGGTGCTGGTGCCAGAGGAGCAGGGAAAGAGTCTCTAACCGTCACCCCTCCCAGCACTCCCACTACAATCTAGCCAACAATAGCGGAGCAGGATGCTTTAAAACAGACATGATATTGGAGCTTGAAACGGGACTGCAGTGACCTTTAATAATCTAAATAATCGGCCAGCCGCGGTGGCTCACGCCTGTAATCCCAGCACTTTGGGAGGCCGAGGCAGTGGATCACGAGGTCAGGAGACTGAGACCATCCTGGCCCACATGGTGAAACCCCGTCTTTACTAAAAGTACAAAAATTAGCTGGGCGTGGTGGCAGGCGCCTGTAGTCCCAGCTACTTAGGAGGCTGAGGCACAAGAATCGCTAGAACCCAGGAGGCGGAGGTTGCAGTGAGCCGAGATTGTGCCACTGCACTCAAGCCTGGCAACAGGGCGAGACTTCATCTCAAAAAAAATAAAATAAATAAAATAAAATAAAATAAAATAAAATGGGGAGACTAGTTAGATGGCTACCGCAGTACCCCAGATGAGAAATGATGTAGCCAGGAGCATGAGGGTGTAAATGAGAGGAAGTCAATGGATTAGAGATGAACTTTGGAAGTTCACATCCAGCGGATTGAATGTGGGGGTAAAGTGAAGGGAAGCATCAACACATTCCCCTAACTGGTGTGAGGAACAGAGAGAATGGCCATGTCATTAACTGAAATGGAGAAACCTGGAGTGTGAAGAGTTCTGACGGGAAAACCCGAGTTCATTTTGGGACACGTTAAGTTTGAGATATCTGGAAGCCAGCTATGTAGATATGTCAAGTAGCCAGTTGGATGTACAAGCATGGAGCTCAGAAATGAGTTTTGCAGGGGGAGATATAATTTTAAAAGCCATCCACATATAAGTACTATTTAGACTTGTGAAAGAGAGCATAGAGAAATAAAGAATGGGGGCCCAGAGCCAAGTCTGAAGAACACAGAGTTTGGGGAGATAAAAAAAGTCCCAGCTAAGGAAATAAAGGAGAATTGAGGTAGAGGGTAATATTATGCTACTTAGAGCTGATGAAGGAAAGAGTAGTATTATGAAGCCAAGAGACCAAATATATCAGGAAGGAAGGGGAAGGCAACTGCGTTGAATGTTGCTCACAGAGCTACTGATATGAGAAAAGAGAGATGTTCATTGTTTTTGGCAGCATGGAGGTCAGTGGTGACAAAGGTATTTTGCTGAAGTTGTGGGGACAGAAACCAGGCTGGAGTGGGTTAACATATGATCAGAAGTGAAGAATCAGAAGGTGTGTAGATGGGCAATACTTTCAACAAGTTTGACTTATTAAGAGGAAGAAGACAATGTGCAAGAGTGAAGAGTAATGTGGGTTGAAGTGTAGGTTTTCAATGGGATAATCTAATTCAGAAAGCAACTACTGAGTGCCTGGACCCTGCTAGGCATTAAGCATGCAGTGATGAACAAGATATGGTGCCTGTTCTCAAACAAGTCAGACATTTCCCCAAGCATAAGGGCTCACCTGGCCATTTAAACCAAGTGCTGGAGATCCACGAAGAAGAAAGGGGTCTCCACTGCTGAACCTCTTGGCCTTGTTCAGTGTATCACAGGTTCTGAAGTCAGACAAACCAGCCTGCAGTCCTGGCTCTGCACCTGTTACATATGTGACCTTGGAGAAGGTCCTAAACACAAACCTCTCTAAACCTCAGTTTATCCAGCTGAGAACATCAAAGCCTTCTCTGCAGCTTAAATCAGATAAAGTATTTAAACTGTAGGGCACAGTCTTGCAATTGCAATTAAAAATGGCAGCTATTCTAATTACTATTTGCTGACTTCCCATACCCCAGCAAAATTTGGATTGCCACCAGTGTGTGCTTCTGTTGAGGCTCTTACTAAACTGTGTTGTCTATCTACATATCTCACTTCCCCTTTAGGACAGGAAGTAGAATTTTATTTGAACTAAAAGCCAACGAAATGCCGGCCAGGTGCAGTGGTTCAGGCCTACATTTTCAGACCCTTGGCCAGTTGAGCCCATGAGTTAGCCCAGCCCGGCCAACATGGTGAACCCCCTTTTTTATTAAAAACCCAAAAATTAGCCAGGTGTGGTGGCCCATGCCTGTAATCCCAGCTGCTCGGAAGGGTGAGGTGAAAAAATCCCCTGAACCCGGGAGGCGGAGGTTGAGTAACCCGAGATCACCCCATTGCACTCCAGCTTGTTTGACAAAGGGAGATTTTGTCAAAAAAAAAAAAAAAAAAAAAAAAAAAAAAGAGAATAAAGATAAGGAAAACCAACAGGAGAGTCATTCCTTAGGTAAAATGAGCGGGACAAATTAAAAATTGAGTCAGGGGAGGCACGGGTGTTGATAAGAGATAAATCAGAGTCGGCCAGGCAGAGGGGCTCAGGCCTGTAATCCCAGCACTTTGGGAGGCCAAGGCAGCAGATCATTTGAGGCCAGGAGTTTGACACCAGCCTGGCCAACATGGCGAAACCCCATCTCTACTAAAAACACAAAAATTAGCCGGGCATGGTGGTGCGCACCTGTGGTCCCAGCTACTCCAGAGGCTGAGGTGTGATAATTGCTTGAACCCAGGAGGCAGAGTTTGCAGTGAGCTGAGATCGTGCCACTGCACTCCAGCTTGGGCAACAGAGAAAGACTCTGTCTCAAAAAAAAAAAAAAAAAAAGAAAGAAAGAAAGAAACCAGAGTCCAAGATAGCAGTTTCTAGGATAGAACTCCTAGGATTAGGCTTCTCTAAGCAATGTACCTTGTTTTTATTGAGACAGGGTCTCACTCTGTCATACAAGCTGGAGTACAATGGAGTGATCATAGCTTACTACAGCCTTGACCTCCTGGGCTCAAGCAGTACTCTAGCCTCAGCCTCCCAAGTAGCTGGGAATACAGGCACATGCCATCATGTCTGGCTAATTTTTTTGGTTTTTAGTAAAGATGAGGTTTCACTATGTTGCCTAGCTGGTCTTGAACTCCTGGGCTCAAGCGATCCTCCTGCCTCAGCTTCCCAAAAGGCTAGGATTACAGGCATAAGCCACCACACTCAGCCCACAATGTACCTTCTCCATAAGGAAAGAGCTCACTGGGGGACAAGGCCTAGAGGCAGAGAGTGGACAGGATGCAATGAATTGGGCAGTACAAAGTCTGTATACAGAGAGGCCTGGAAACTGCAACAAAATAAACTGTGAGGCCCTGAAGAAGAAGTGGGAATTTGGGGGTAGAAGTCCAATCTGAGATACAGAGGAGACTGATGGAAGACTGCCCAGGGCTGTGCCAGAGCCATGACTCCAGCCACTCAGAAGCCCAGGATGATGGTCAGTGCTTTGCCGGCTTAGGCTTACTCAGGAGGGGAAGCTGGGGCCGAAAATGACCAGAGAAGCTTGGCTTGGGTCATGTGAGGAGCCTGCATAGTTACAGGCCAGCTGGGAGTCCTTGGTCCCCCTCAGTCACAGGCTCATCTGCCATGGTGCTGTTTATCTTCCATATGGCCTCAGATGACCATTCTTCCCAGAAAGTCTGCCTCAATGTTCCCAGTTTCCACCAACAAATTCAATTTGACAAACATTTATTGAACACCTCTAGGTGCCCTATACCAGTTCCTGGGGACACAAAGCTCAGTGACCCTGTGTCCCTGTCTGGGGGGAGAAGTGTGTGGCTCACAGCCCAGTTTCCCTGAGAGCAGAGGAGCAGGAAGCTCAGTATTTCTTAGGCAGGCCGTCAGGTCTGAAGCGGTCGGGGTCTTTGCCACTCCGGCCCCATTCCTCAGCTTTCTCGTTGGACTTCGAGTCCTCCAATACAGTGCTGCTGTTTCCAAATAAATAGCAGTCTATTAATCCCTGAAGATAGACCCTGGAACGGCTGCAACCCAAAGAAAGGAGACAGGAGATTAATCTCTTGACTCACCTGCTCACCTGAGACAGCTCCACCTGCTAACTCCCTCCTCTTCTCCCACCCAAGTAATGACTGAGAGGAGGCTGGAAAACTCAAGGAAAGGGGAAGAAAACTATCAATCTTCTTGGGCAAAGGCCTAAGTCTACTGATACTTGCGCTCTGCAACAGAGTGCTTTCCCTTTTTTTTTTTTTTTTTTTTTTTTGAGACAGGGTCTCATTCTGTTGCCCAGGCTGGAGTGCAGTGGCTCAATCATGGGTCACTGCAGCCTCGACCTCCTGGGTTCAAGGGATCTCCCACTTCAGCCTCCTGAGTAGCTGGGACTACGGTGCATGCCACCACGCCTGGCTAATTTCTTTTATTTTCTGTAGAGATAAGAGTCTTGCTATGTTGCCTAGGCTGCTCTTAAATCCCTGGGCCCAAGAGATCCTCCCACCTTGTCCTCCCAAAGAGTTGGAATTACAGGTGTGAGCCCCTGCACCCAGCCCCTGCAACAGTGTGCTTTCAAGACCTCTCCTCAGTTCTTACTTTCCCTTGTGGGTGAAAGGAGACATGTCTTCACCAGCCTTGCTCTGGCTCTGCCAGCCACCCAGACCCCAGGAGTATGTGGAGGAGGGGAAAGAGCCACAGGTTCTCCTGACTCTCAAGACAGATAGGCACTGCTGGCCTCTCACTGGAGTCCCCGGGAATCTGTGTTACCTGATGAGTTTAGCAGCCCAGACACCCCCAGGTCCTCTTTGGGCAGCATCATAGTTTCCCCGAGCATAGAGATATCTGTTTGAATTTTGGTGATTGGATATCATTATGTCCCAATAGGCTCTGCCCATGTCCCCAACCCCTGGAAAGAAAAAAAATGACAAAAATGAACCCAGTGACATACTGGAGAAATGTAGAAATGAACATTTTCCACTGATTTCCAGATTTTGGCCCTTGACAAAATAATCCTTTGAAATCATACGTGGAGATAAACATTACTTCCTGTGAACAGCTTCCCTGAGTAACTGTAAGGAAGGTGCTTTTCCATGGATTACATTGAATTGTATTGGTTGGCAGTTGTCATGCCCTGGGCTACATCTTACATGGGTCTGTGTGTGCTGTGTACAAAGAGGGGACGCTCATGTGAGGAATGCTTTTCCATGGATTACATTGAATTGAATTGGTTGGCAGTTGTCATGCCCTGGGCTACATCTTACATGGGTCTGTGTGTACTGTGTACAAAGAGGGGATGCTCATGTGAGGAATGTCACAATGGAGAATAGTACTACAGATGTAAGATCCAGGGACATTACAAGGGACTTGGTGAGAAGAGGAGGGGGCTGCACATCTACCATAGCCCATAAGAAAAATACATCCTTACCAGCTGAGTGAGGACAACTAGGACTTGAATAAATCTGACTGCTATGGGCATAAATGGCACAAGAAAGCCGAGGGAATGGGCAGTACGTGATGAGGTGGAATGACCTGAGAGAGCTTCATAGGACCTGGATAATCAGACTTATCATGAAGGGCATGAATGTAAATGTTTAACTCTCTGCCCTGACAATTAAGTGTCAGTTTCCACATTCTTCAGTTGGGGGGAATCATACCTACCTCCCTGGTGGACTAAATGAGAAGATAAAATGAGGTAACATACATAAAATGCCTAGCATATTGGAATACTTGATGCAAATTGGATTCCTGTTCCTATTAGTGAAGGGCAGTAGTGACAATAAGATACCACTATACACCCAACAGAATGATAAAAATTTTTAAAACTGACAATATAAATTGTGGGCAAAAATGTGGAACAACTGGAACTCTCATAATTGTTTTGGGTTTTGTTTTTTGTTTTGTTTAGTCACAGTCTCCCTCTGTCACCCAGGCTGGAGTGCAGTGGTGTGATCATGGTTTTCTGCAGCCTTGATCTCCTGGGCTCAAGTGATCATCCCACCTCAGTCTCCTGAGTAGCTGGGACTACAGGCACCTAATAACACACCCAGCTAATTTTTTTTTTTTTTTTGGTAGAGATGGGGTCTCACTTTGTTGCTCGGGCTGGTCTCAAACTCCTGGCCTCAAGTGATCCTCCTGCCTTAGCCTCCCAAAGTGCTGGGATTACGAGTGTGAGTCATCATGCCCAGCTCTCGTAATTGTTCATGGAAGTGTAAATTGGTACAATTTTGGGAAGCTGTTTGCTGGTATCTACGAAAGCTAAATTGACATGACTATACCTTATGACTCTACATTTCCATTCCTGAGTGTATACCCACAACAGAAACGAGGGCTTATGTACACTAAAGTACATGTACACCAATGTTTATTACAGGTTTAGCCATGATAGCATAAAACTTTAAAAAGCCTAATTATCCAATAATGTAGGATAAATTGTGATATCAGTATACAATGGAATACTATGTAGCAATGAAAAAGAACAAAATATTAATACACATGACAAATGCTGTCATGTATATTAGTATGTCGTAATGTTGAGTGAAACAAAGCCGGATACAAAAGACATATTCTGTATGATTTCTTTTATTCAAAGATCAAACACAGGGACACTAATCAACAATGATAGAGGTAAGAATAGGAGTTACCTTTCGTGAGGGTTGTTAACTGGAAGAGGGCATGAGAGACCCATCCGGGGTGTGTGAAATGTTTGACATCTTGATCTGATGGTGTAATATGGATGTTTGTATGTGTAAAAACCTCATCAAGCTATACTGTGTACTATATGTAAGTTATATATCATTTTAAAGTTTTTAAAAAGATTAGTGGAAAAATAGATGTTTGAAACAGGTCTAAGCCAGGAAGAGCTATAGAAAATGTCTATCAGTGCCTGTGTTGTTCAATCAATAAATATTTTTGAGTTCTGCTGTGGTTTACGTGTTACCAAGTTCTTTAAACCAACTCACTTGGAAAAAAGAAAAGCTGTGATAAATAGTTTTAATTGTTACTTAGGTACTGTGTTCTAAGGGATATTTCTCACTAACTTCATGTATTATTTTGTGTCTGTAATTTTGTCAAATAGTTTATCTCTGGCATGGCATGACTGTCCTTTCTCTGATGCATGCTTTATGTTCATTCTATGTTTTCCAGATCTACTAGCAAGAGTTTTCTCCAAGCATCTGACAGATTCTGTCACTGGGTGACAGAAAAACCCAAGACAGTTGTTCTCATTGGCATTGTGCTTAAAGTAACCTGGGGAGTTTTTCAAATGCTATTCCTAGTCCCACTTCACTTCTAAGATTCTGACTCAGTAACTATGAGAAGAGGCTTCAGAGTGTACTTTTAAAACAAACACCGGCCGATTTAAATGCTGGTGGACCATACAACAAATTCTGAAATACACTGACCTAAGGGAAAAGATATTCTCTACTATGTGCAGAAAAACTTAGTACATGCTACCAAAACTTTTTAAAAACTATTTATAGAATATCATTTTTAAAAGCACAAAATGCAGAAAAAATGAAAATTTATAAAATTTCAATTGAAAAATTACAAAAAATTCAACTACAAAATTAATAACAACACATGAAGTTCAAAGTATTGCATAACCTGACAAACATAGTTTTCCCATTTTAACAGCTAGTCAATAAGATTCGTTTCCCATCCAGAATGGCAGAAGTCAGTTTCCCAGCCGTATCTCAGCCCTCCTGTGGCTAATCAGTAGAAATTTGCTCTTTTTATTTATGGATAGAAGTTAGGGCTTAATTTTCATAAGCTCTGCATCCCAAGCATTGGCCATTTGCTTGGGTACAGGATGGGATTTCTCTACTCTCTGCTAGGCATGTCTCAGTCTTGGAGTATAATTGTGAACTCAGTATATTCCCTGAGGTGGATGAGCTAAATAAACATCATGCCCTGAGAAATCTGCCATCTGTAAATTTCCGCAGTGGGAGATAACCCCCTGGAAGTTTTTATCCTTCTGCACTCTACACCAAGAGTACAGGCTGGGCCCAAAGCATCTTTAACCTCTCGTCTGGAAACCCCAAGGGAGGGTGATAAATCAGACCAGCCTAGAGGAAGAAACAGATACAGAAAACCACACTCCTGCTCTGACCTCTGTGTGGCTTCTCTAAGGAGCACTCACATCCAGTGAGTATGTGGCCCCTGCTCAGAATGAATCCTGGGTATGTGCCCTCCATCCTCCAGAGTTCTTACCTTGGAGAGCCTCCTTGAAAAACGAACGCCAGCTTTCACTGGTGACTCCCATGACCAAGGAGCAGAAAACAATGCCTGTGAAAAGCCTCATTGTGCTGAAGAGAAAGAAAGACAGGGGCAGAGGATCATAAAAAAAAACACAGATCTATGTTTTGAGGACTGAATTTCTTTCCTTTTTTTCTTTCTTTTTTTCCTTTTCTTTCTTTCTCCTTCCTTTCTTTCTTTCCTCCCTTTCTTTCTTTCTTTTTTTTTTCCTATTGCCCAGGCTAAAGTGCAATGATATGATTAAGGCTTACTGCAGCCTCGACCTTCTGGGCTCAAGTGATCCTCCCACCTCAGCCTCCTGAGTATTAAGGACTACAAACGTGCACCATCACACTCAGCTAATTTTTTTTTTTTTTTTTTTGGTAGAGACAAGGTCTTGGTATGTATGTTCGGCCCAGGCTAGTCTCGAACTCCTGGCCTCAAGCAATCTTCCTACCTCAACCTCCCAAAGGATTACAGGCATGAGCCACTGTGCCAGCCAAAGGACTGAATTTGAAAGACTAATTCCCCATTTCCATTTGTTTGTATGAGAATCATAACTGCATGAAAGATTGAAACGGGTTTTAAGAAGAAGCATAAACCCTTAATTCTCAGCCCAGATCTCTAGAAAGAATAAGAGGATTCCAACGTGTTATTTGGTCTGTGGTCAATTTGTCACCCAATACAGCAGACTAAAGTCAATCAAGAAGCATTTCCTGAGTTCCTACTCTCCTCAGCACTGACCCCGTAATGAGGTAGAAAACACAGTTTCTCTCCAATTGAAATTTGACAATTATGTGAGAAAAGGATCTCAAAAGAGTCAAATAAGAGAAATTACTCCTTGGAAGAAACCTCACCTGTGGACCTTTCTCCAGATGAAATTTCAGTAAAGGCAGAGCTGCTGGTATCTTCTGGCCGTGGAGCTATAGTTGGTACCTCTGCTGGCTTTGGCATTAATGGGAGAACGGTTTTAAATCCAACAACCTGCCTTGCCAAAGTCCTTTTTGCTCAATTCTTTGGGTATTTTAAAAATTAACATATTGGGTAATAGTGTTTCCTTATCTAGAAGTAGTTTTCCAAATTGGGTCATCAAGGTATTTATTTTCTGGCAGTTTTTCTTAATTGCCACTTTTCCCTCTTTTTAGTTTCCTGTATCACAGAAGAGTTGTATTTGCAAAATCCAGTGTGGGAAGACAGAGGTCTTTCTCCACTTTCTTCTCTTTGTGTCTTTCCATTCTTAACTGTTTAGTAGGAGGTCTTCCCAAAAAATTGCACATAGATATTATGCTGTAGGAAGTGATCAATATTATTAGCAAAAGAGATGTTTGCTTGTCTCTTGTGACTTCTCTCTAAAGAATGTAAGGACACAGAACAAGCAAGACTTGACTGTACCATTCATGGGATGAGGTAATGATTCTGGGAGAATACAAGGACAGGAATAACACCAGAAGATCAAGGGTGAAGGCCTTTGAGGCATAAAAACTCTTTTTTCATATAAATATGTATTATTCTGCACTTTCTTTTAAACTTACTATTTATTGGAAGTCTTTCCATGTCGGGCTTGTTGCTTTTTTTTTTTTTTTTTTTACAGCTACACAGTATTCCATTGCATGGATGGACCATAATTTATACAATATTAATGGCTGTTTTGACAGTTATTAACCTTTTGATATTACAAATAATGGTGCATTTATTAACCTTGTACATATGTCTCTTGCACATGTACAAATATATCTCTAGGATAAATTCCTACAGAAGAAACTCCATGGTGAAAAAGTATCAGATTTTATAAATTTTTTGTTTGTTTGTTTGAGACAGAGTCTCACTCTGTCCCCCAGGCTGGAGTGCAGTGGCATGATCTCAGCTCACTGCAACCTCCACCTCCGGGGTTCAAGAGATTCCCCTGCCTCGGCCTCTTGAGTAGCTGGGATTATAGGCACATGCCACCACATCAGGCTAATTTTTCTATTTTTAAGAGAGACGGGATTTCGCCATGTTGGCCAGGCTAGTCTCGACCCACTTACCTCAAATGATCTGCCCACCTCGGCTTCCCAAAGTGCTAGGATTACAGGCATGAGCCAACGTCCCTGGCCCTAGATTTTATAAATTTTTATATGTTGCAAATTGCCTTCCATGAGGGCTGTATCAATCTCTACTCCCACCAGAAATGAGTGAAAGAACTTGGTTCCACATTGTCTCTCACACAGTATACTCTCAAACTTTTTGGTCTTTGAAATTGTGAGTAAAATAAAACTCAAAGTAATTTTAATTTACATTTCTCTTATTATGATTTTGGTTTCACATCTTTCCACATGTTTAAGAGCTATTTCTATTTTCTAGGAATTGTGAATTCATACCTTCATATCAAAGTAGTCATTTTTTACTGGTTTATTGTGTTTTTATTTATCACATTAGAGAAACTTTTTATATACAGGGAAAATGAGTATGTTATCTAGGATATGAGTTACAAATATTTTTCCCAGCTTATTTATCTTCTGATTATGATGGCTTATGTTCTGCCAAAGAAATTATTTATGTTCTTGTCTTTATTAATATTTTCTTTAGTTGTCTTCTCAATTTCATAGTATTTGAAGAGCTTTCCCTACTTTGTTTTTTTGTGGTTTTCTTAAACTCAAATGTTTTTATTTCATTCCTTTTTAAAAATTTTTTGTGGGTACATAGTAGGTGTATATAATTATGGGGTACATGAGATATTTTGGTACAGCCATGCAATGCGCAATAATCACATCATGGAAAATTGGGTATCCATCCCCTCAAGCATTTATCCTTTGTGTTACAAATAATCCAATTATACTCTTTTGGTTATTTTACAATGTACAGCTAAATTATTACTGACTATAGTCCCCCGTTGTGCTATCAAATACTAGCTCTTATTCATTCTAAGTATTTTTTTGGTACTCATTAACCATCCTCACCTCCCCTCACTCCCCCCCTCCCCACTACCCTTCCCAGCCTCTGGTAACCATCCTTCTATTCTCTATCTCCATGAATTCAATTGTTTTGATTTTTAGATCCCACAAATAAGTGAGAACATGTGATGTTTGTCTTTCTGTTCCTGAATGATTTCACTTAGCATAATGACCTCCAGTTCCATCCTTGTTGTTGCAGCTTTCCCTACTTTGGGCTATAAAAGAATTTTCCATGGATTCACCAGATAATGTTAATATTATTATTATCATTTTCCTTATTTGTTTATAAATATTTAGCATATTTGGAATTTGTCCTACCGTAATATATACAGTATGTTTTCAACATGATGTTATTTTAGATGGTCACCCAGTTGTACCAATCCCATTTGTTGAATAGTCCGTCTTTTACTTAATACGTTAACATACAACCTTTATCACATACAAAATTCTCATATGCACTTATGTCTAATTCTGAGGATTTGGTTCCACTGATCAGGTTTTTTCTATATATAAGTCAGTACTACACTGTTGTACTTATTGAGGCTTTCTTCAATGTATTAATTGCCCTCATTACTTTTTTTTCAGAAGTAGTTGGAGTTCATTTTCTATTATTTCTTCTAACTGCTAGTTTTTGTATCCACACCTTCTTGTCTGTGGTGTTTTGATTGATGTCTGGGGTGTCCAGGAGTCCTATCATACCATCTCCCATTCTCTCTTATCACTGCTCCATTTAGTTCTCCAGACCTTCTCCTGCAACCACCTTCACGAGATAGTCAATGACTCCATGTTGCTTAAGCCAAAGGTGAACTCCTCAACTGCTAAGCAGAATCTGATACTACTAATCAATATCTCCATCAGGGATTCTGGAACACCATGCTTTCCTAGTTTTCCTCCTTTCCCAACAGCTGCTCCTTCTCAGTCTGTTTTGCTGTATCCAGCTTCTCCTCCAAACTTCTTAGAGAATGGAGACACCACACTGAGCCTTCAGACCTCTCTTCAGTCTCCATCCACATGCTGAGGGAGCTCATCCATGCCTCTTAGCACAGGTTCCAAAGGCCATGGTCTTGTTAGTGGTGGTTATTTACACTGAATCTTCATTGCCTGGATCAATGCCTGGGTCATGTAGGAGTGAAGAAAAAAGGCTTCTTCCTTCACTCTCTACAGTTCAGCTGAAAATAAACTGACAAAGGCAGATTAATAGGAGAAAAAGTCATATACACGTATTTTAACATGCAAGGGGGAAAATCACAGGAGGGTGATTTCCCAATAACCCAATGGGGTACCGGTGATTATATACTATTCTTCATAGGGGAGGAGAAGATGGGGAATGTACACAAATTTTTTGAAGTCATAAATGATTATTAGGAAGAATGAGTGGACCTGGGGAATAGAAATTAACCTGTAAATGATTCTCTTGAAATTTGAATGAGGCAAATAAGCAGGTGTCATCTTTTGAAAAAGTCCATCCAGTTGTGGTTGTATTCCTCAGTCATCTTCTCTGAAATAATGAGATTTCATGGAGCAGGTGGAAGGCTATTGTTTTCTCTTTCATGGGATGCAGCCATAAGGCAGATAAAAGAAGAGCAGAGAATAGCCTCTTCCAGCATCTGCTGCCTTTCAAAGGCCTTTAAAATAATCAGCCTACCAGGGTACTGTATTTTGGGGTGACATTCCCTGGGTTCCTTTAGTCACATAGCTACTTATTTAATAAATGTTGATGGTACTGGTATAAAAATAGACACGTAGACCAATGGAACAAAATAGAGAACCCAAAAATAAAACCCCATACATATAACCAACTGATCTTTGACAAAGTCAACAAAAACATACAGTGGGGAAATGATACCTTATTCAATAAACGGTGCTGATAAAAGTGGATAGCCATATGCAGAAGAATGAAATTTTATATCTCTCATCATATATATATATACTCAAGGTGGATTAACAACTTAAATGTAAGACCTGAAACAAAAAATTCTAAAAGAAAACCTAGGAAAATTCTACCAAAC
This sequence comes from Homo sapiens, assembly GCF_000001405.40. Taxonomy (NCBI): domain Eukaryota; kingdom Metazoa; phylum Chordata; class Mammalia; order Primates; family Hominidae; genus Homo; species Homo sapiens. Next base: position 18,240,799 of record NC_000011.10, read on the forward strand.
ATTGACCTAGTCAAAGAATTTATGACTAAGATCTCAAAAGCAAATGCAGCAAAAAAATATATACACAAGCAGGACTAAACTAAACTAAAAACTTCTGCACAACAAAAGAAATAGCCAACAGAGTAAACAGACAACCTAAGAACGGGAGAAAATATTTGCAAACTACTCATCTGACAAAGGACAAGTACCAAGATTCTACAAGGAACTCAGACAACAAGAAAAAAGGAAATAACCCCATTAAAAAGCGGGCAAAGGACATGAACAGGTATTTTTCAAAAGAAAACATACAAATGGCCAACAAAATATGAACAAATGCTCAACATCACTAATCATCAGAGTCACAAATTTAAACACAAATTTAATCACAAATTAAAACCACAATGAGATACCATCTCACACAATCAGAATGGCTATTACTAAAATGTCAAAAAAACAACAGATGTTGGTGAGGATGTGGAGAAAAGGGAATGCTTATACACTGCTCATGGGAATGTCAATTAGTACAGCCTCTGTGGAAAGCAGTATGGAGATTTCCCAGAGAACTAAAAATAGAGCTACCATTTGACCCAGCAGTCCCATTACTGGGTACTACCCAAAGGAAAATAGATCATTATATAAAAAATATACCTGAATGCATGTATTTATCACAACACTATTATTCACAGTAGCAAAAATATGGGATTAACCTAAGTGTCTTAGGTTAATCAACGAATGATTGGAGGGGTGTGTGTGTATGTCTGTATACACATATATACACCATAGAATACTATTCAGCCATTAAAAAGAATGAAATCGTATCTTTTGCTGCAACATAGATAGAACTAGAGGCCATTATCTTAAGTGAAATAACCCAGAAAGTCAAATATCACATTTTCGCACTTATAAATGGGAGCTAAATAATGTGTACACATGGACATAGAAAGTGGAATAATGGACACTGGAGACTCAGAAAGATGGAGGGCAGAAGGGGGCCGAGGATTGAGAAATTACCTGACAGGTACAATGAACTCTACTTGGGTGATGGTTACACTAAGAACCCAGATTTCACCATTATGCAATCTATCAGTGTAACAAATCTGTACTTGTACCCCCTAAATCTATAAATAAATAAATGAATGAATATTTTAAATAACAATAATAAATGCTGAATGAACACATGGAAGCACATTTCTGAACGTTTGAAATAATTCCTAATTCAATGACATGTTTAAAAATAACAAGCAGCTCAATTTGCATGTAGCATGAGGCACATTAATTAGTCATAGGAGATAAGACTGAAAAGCTTGGATACCCTATTAGTCAGGGTTCTTGAGAGACACAGGACAAATAATTTATTTGTGTATGTATGTATGTATTTATTTATTGTAAGGAATTGGCTCACAAGATAATTGGGGCTGAGAAGTCCCACGATCTGCCCTCTGCAAGCTAGAAACTCAGGAAAGTGTAATTCAGTCTGAGTTCAAAGGCCTGAGAACCAGAGCAACTGATCACGTAAATCCAATTTGAGGGCAAGAGAAGATGAGAGGAGATGTCCAACTCAAGCAGTGAGGCAGGGGAAAAGGGAGGCAAATCTGTCCTTCCTCTATTTTTGTTCTATTCAAGCCTTCAACAGATTGGGTGATGCCCAGTTGCATTGAGAATAGCAATCTACTTTATTAAGTCCAATTCAAATGTTAATCTCCTCTGGAAACACCCTCACAGACGACCCCAGAAACAATGTGAATCTGGGCAGCCTCAAACCGACACAAAAATAAATATAACAGTAGGCTGGGCTCAGTGACTCATGCCTGTAATCCCAGCACTTTGGGAGGCTGAGGCAGGCAGATCACTTGAGCCCAGGAGTTCAAGACCAGCCTGGGTGACACGGCGAAACCCCATCTCTACAAAAAATATAAAAATTAGGCAAGTGTCATGGCGCACATCTGCAGTCCCAGTTATTCAAGAGGCTGAAGTGGGAGGATCTCTTGAGCCCCGGGAGGTCGAGGTTGCAGTGAGCCATGATCATGCCATGGCACTTCAGCCTGGATGAAAGAGGGAGATGCTGTCTCAAATAACGAAACAAAACAAAACACAACTATAACAAAGAGCAATGCAATTTCCCTTTCTCAAACTTTTCTAACAGAGAGAAGCATGTTAATTCTTACTGAGGAAAACCAAGTAATTAATAAAAGGTATTTGGGTGTGCCAGAGCATAGGTATTAGGTGTGACTTTACAAATTATAAATTCCTGGGTAAACCAAGCACCTTTTTCCTTGGATACAAATTTCGATTTAAAAATTTTTTTCTTGTTTTTTTTATACTTTTTCTTCCTCTGAACCTATGGACTATATTGAATTAAATTTTTTTTCAAATTATAGATTTCAAGAAGGGGAGTGATTTGGTCCTTTACAGACGGATGAATGAATTTCTGTATCCAAATGTTGCTTCAGTTAATTATTTCTAGTAATAATATGTTGATTGCAAAGTTTTGAATATCTACAAAGACTAGACTTTGAAAGCTTGCTTTATTTGACTTTGAAAGCCATTCTTTCTCTCATCCTCCCTTTCTCTCCCTCCTGCCCCCCAAAATCTACAACTTCAGTACTTGTGACAGAAATCTAATTGTAAGCATTTACAATTGCTATTGTAATAATAGCATTACAGTCTTTTTTTACAACTTGGGGTCAACTCAGACTTTACTAGACTGAACACTAATCTCAACAGTGCATTGAGTCTGCTCCCATGAGCCAATCTTCCACGCCTCTCTCCATCTTATTTATCTTGCCCTTGCCTTGTTTTGGCATTGGCACATCTTTGAGACTCAGACTCAAACCTCCTATACCTCCTATACCTACACTTCTATTAGTGTCTTTTGATGAGAACTGTATGAGAAAGTTCTGTTGTAAATAGTTCTACTTTATATCCATACATTTTCTTCCTCCTTGACAAATAAATTTGTCTTTACTCTGTAAATATAATTTTATAACTAGTCTTCTCACCTTAGGAGTCCTCCTCAATCCTTTTTCAGAGAAAAGGGGTATGCCAGTTATCAGTTTCTTTATTTTCAGCTCCACACCCACCCCTTTGTCCTATTTGTGATGCTGGAGCTGGACCCTGTGAACATTTCTCCTTTGCCAGTTGGGCATGATGTTAATCTTCACCCATAGAGGGCGCTAGAGGGCCAAGCAGGAGATGAAGACATCTTTTCCTGTTCTTTTGTGCTTTGCTTCCTTTCAGCTCCTGCAGTACTCTTCTCCTGTACAGGACAACCAGTGGCACTTGCCCCAGAGATCTGAGTGGCATCCCAAGGCCAAGACAGTTTCCTGACAATTTCTGTGGCACCTCAGTAGGATGTCCATGATGTTTACCAGCAGCCCACTTATTTTAATCAGCTTGGGCTGCTGTAACAAAATAGTACAGCCATGCTGTGAGTTGGGGTTTCAACATATACATTTTGGCAAGATACAGTTCACTCCAGAGCACTGCCACTTCCACAGCTGGCTTCCCAGGGGTTTTGATAACCTATCTCCTGCCCCCAAGCAGTTTCCCAAATTTGTCACAGGAACCCTAGCTGCATTCCCAGAGTTAAGTTACACCCTGGGTAGCTTCCTGCCAAGTTTCATTAATACCTCAATGGAGTTCTTATATGTCAGTTTTGGCTTGAAGGACCCAGTAAACTATTTGCCATCCAATGTCAGTCTTGTGAGGGGCCCAATCTCAAATTTATACCTTCTCATATTCTGTACTCTTAGAAGTTAATGCTGCTCTCAGTTAATAATTCTTTATATTAAAATTTCCCTTTTCAAATTACTGCCTGGTTTCTGTCTCCCAAAGGGACCCTGACTGATAAAACAGTTCTTCTCTATCTGGCTCTCTCTCCACTGCCACCACTTCCACAACTTTGATCTAGTTAAGCTCCAGAAACTCAGAAAACATTCATAAAAGGAGTCGCATTACATATTTAGACTTGAAAGAAGGCAATGAAAATAGAGTGGAAGAGAACTGCATTGGAGGTATTTTTTAGATGGAGTGGGTAGAAATTCATTAATGCCTGGATTTGTAGGTGTTGCTGAGAAATGAAAGGAAGACTCGGGTGGCAGTCGCTGAGGCAGGACTTCACAATTCAATTGTCTGTAGCCCCTGCCTCCAGAAACAGAGATCACTGAGGAATGAAGAACTGAGGGACAGAGAAGGTAACAGGAAATAATTCACAGGAGATGAGAAGCCTGGGCAAGGAAGGGACTGGAAATAGCAACAATGTAACCACAAAGGTCTGGAAAAAAGGAGGTCTAATTTGTGGAAGGGTTGATGCAGGTGTCTGCACTGTGACTACTAAGAATGTCTCCTCACATCCAAACACATAGGCCTACCTAGGCTCACCCTTCATGTGGGTGTGCATTGATTTCCCTTTTGTACCAAACAGGCAGTCAGCACCAAAAGAAGAACACACTGTTTCAACAAATTCCACCTCTTAAGCATTTATTAGATGCCTATTATATGCCATATCTCAGCTTCTCTGGACATAGACCTCACTAACTTTGTATCCCTGCCCCGAGGGCCTCATAGCCAGGTCTCCTGAGAGCAGAGTGAAGAGGAAGCTCAGTATTTCTCAGGCAGGCCAGCAGGTCGGAAGTGATTGGGGTCTCTGCCACTCCTGCCCCATTTATTGGCAGCCTGATCGGCCAGCGAGTCCTCCGCACCACGGCCTGTGAGTCTCTGGATATTCTCTCTGGCATTGCTGTAGTCCAGGCAGGCAAGAAGGAGATTAATCATCAGGCCAGTGAGCAACAGCTCACCCTCCCATTCTCCCCGTTCCAAGGGAGGGCTCAGAGAGGAGCCCAGAAAGGCCAAGGAAGGAGGAGTGAAAACACTGACCCTGCCTGGGCACTGCCCCATTCAGACAGGCTGGGCACCCCTAGGCTGGATGAACAGCACCCAGAGGGGGAGGGGGAGGAATCACTCACTCCTACCATCCACTCAGACCCTCACACTGAGCACAGAGGCAGAGAGAGGGCAAGAAGAGGAGGGACCACAGCCTCTAACTTCTCCACAAGGAGCTCGTCTCCCTCCTGACTGTCCAAGGCAGGCAAGCTCTGCTCACCCAGCCCTAACGTCCCAGGAGCTCCAGTTACCTGATCACTTCTGCAGCCCAGGCACCCCCAGGTCCCCTTTTGGCAGCATCATAGTTCCCCCGAGCATGGAAGTATTTGTCTGAGCCGATGTAATTGGCTTCTCTCATGTCAGAGTAGGCTCTCCACATGTCCCGAGCCCCTGGAAAGGAAAGGAAAGGCAGAAGGGACATCAGGAGAACATAAAGACTCCAACAACACCTTAGAGGGGAATGAAAGAAGGACAAATCTTCCACTGACTTCAAGCTTTCAGCCTGTGATCATAGCAGCCTTGGATACCATGGGTTGAGAAGCACATTCCTTTATCCTAGTTGGCTTCTTCAAGTGCCCTGGTGAAGAGCCACTGCTATAGAATGAAGCTGCCTATGATAAGATCCAGGAGTGTATATGAATGAGGTGGTGACATGGAATACTGATGCTGAGAAAGGTGGCAGACACAGAGTACTTCTGCCCTGACTACTAAAGTATATATTCTTGCAAATGGAATACATGTCATTGTGACCTGAGTTCCAGTGACTGTTAGGAGCATAAAAGTCCCTAAACACTTTCTCAGTAGGCTGTACTGATACTGTGGGTTGCTTGAGGAAGCAATAGAGCAGCGGTTCTCCGCCGTGGTTGCACTTTCTTTTTCTTTTTTATTTTTTTAGACGGAGTCTCACTCTGTCACCCAGGCTGGAGCACACTGGAGCAATGTAACTCACTACAACTTCCGCTTCCCGGGTTCAAGTGATTTTCCTGCTTCAGCCTCCTGAGTAGCTGGGATTACAGGTGCCTGCCACCACGCCTGGCTACATTTTCATATTTTTAGTAGACACAGGGTTTCACCATGTTGGCCAGGCTGCTCCGGAACTCATGACCTCAAGTGATTCATCCACCTTGGCCTCCCAAAGTGCTGGAATTACAGGCGTGAGCCTTGGCTGCACTTTCTAATCACCCAGAGAGAAACTGAAAGTCCCAGTGCCCAGGCCACACCCCAGGCCAGTTTCTGCAGACTCTGCTGGGGAGTTGAAGGCATGGGTAGTTCAGGTGATGCCAAGGTGTGTCTGAGATTCATAACCATCAACCTCTGGGAGGTGGTCAGTGATGCGTCTACCTGGCAAGAGCCCTGACCTCAAGCACAGCCGGGCTCAAACCTCTGCCCTGCCACCTGCTGACTGGCAGTAAGTCCCTGGGCATTGGCCTCAGCTGCTCTAAGTCTCAGCTTTCTCACCTTCACAGAAGGGATGCCTGCCTCACAGAGTCATTCTGAAACTAGATGAGAAAATGCTGTGGTCCTTGTGGGGGCTTGAGGCACGTTAGTTCCCAGCTCTTGTCAAGAAGGCTGGAGAAGGAAGAATGGAAACAGAACAAACCAGGAAGGGAGCCCCTGACAGAGCGAGGCTAAAGAGCCCTGTACATTATCCAACTAGGAAATCGAAGGAGGAAGGAGAAAGAAGACAGAAGAGTCAACAGCCTTAGTCATACTCCTATGCGATTTATGCTGAGGGACATTTTATACCAATTGCAGGCCTTATTTTGCATCTTCTACTCAAAACAAACAGCTCAGGTGCTCCTGGAAAGGATGATTGTTCTTTCTCTGAGTAACTGACAACAATCCTCGACTCTCTAATCTGTTTAGCAGCTCCCCAGGCACATTGGGCAGCACAACCTAAGGCAGCGGCTCAAATCTTAAGGAAGCCCAAAAATACCCCGTGTGCGTTGTTACTGGATGCCCCGTCCCTTACGGCTCAGGAGATGTGTTTTTGATACACCTTGCAGCGGCTTCTGAAATGTGATCCATCCACTTAACACATCCTGAGAAGCTGCACTACGGGGAAAGGGGATATTCCCAGCAGCTCTGAAAGACTCGAGACAGGCAACCCAGCAAACCCTAGTTCCTGGCAGGCCTCAGCAACGCAGACACTAGCAACTCTGTGGTTCAAAAGCAGCCTTCCGAAAGCATCATTTTCCCCAGTTTATCAGGTCCAGGGCGATGTTTCTCTTCAGAAATCCTGCAAACCTTCTGAAGCCTTACCATCAAAAGCCTCGCCAAGGAACGAAAAGAAGCTTCGGCTGCTGACACTCAGGACCAAGGAGCAGAAAACCAGGCCCGTGAGAAGCTTCATGGTGCTGAAATGAAAGGAGAAGTCAGGCAGTCGCCCACAAGACTGGCACAGCTTCCCTTGGGACTTATATTCCGACGAGAGCCTGGTTATTTCCACTGGATCTTATTAGAGTCTCAGTGGCTCATCTAGGAAACCTTGCAGCAGGACCTCACTCAGAGCCAGAAGCCCTCGGTTCTGAACCCATCAGCCCTGAAGCCTGACTGCATAAGAGGATGCCAATGTGGCACTGATGGAGGAAGGCAGGAGTTACCACCAGACTGTCACTCCCTCAAGTAGCCTATAATTCCCCATAACGCATTTACCGTGTGTTCCCTCTGCCCCGCACAGAACTCAACATGGGATAAACACAAAGCAGGATCATTATTTTTTATTCTTAAAGCCTTTAGCACCTGGTATTCCCAGGTGTTCTCCCATCCAAGTACTACCAGGCCCGACCCTGCTTACCTCTCTAGATCAGAGGAGATAAGACACCTTCAGAATGGTATGGCTGTATGCCCCAGGATAACTATTTTTTTTAAAGGAAATGATAATCTTGTTGGGAAAGAGAAAACAGAGTAAGTTTTAAAAATCACTCCTTGGTGTGCTCCTCACCTGATCTGTGCTGTAGCTGAGCTGCGGGTCCCTGTCTGCCAGGGAGAGGTGGCTGCTATTTATAGTGAGCCTTGCTGGTCTCTTGGGAGGGAAGAAAAGCTGGATGTGGTCCCTGGGGAAAGTCCCTGCAGGTCATTTCCCCTACAAACTGGTCTAAGACAAGTTCCTGGATGCCGGTGGTTTCTTCATCCCGGGTCATTTATCCCAGTTGTGTAACCTATGGGAACAAGAGAGGTTTGCTGTGCCTTGGCAATGGACAGGGTGCTAGATCAGCTCTGCTCCTCAGCATTGGGGGAAGTGCAGCTGCAGAGATGCCAGTGGGAGCCCCGTGATGGCGGCACCTGGGCTGCTGGAAGGTGTGGAGTGAGGGCAGCTCTTCAGCCAGCTCCTGACTATACCGGTCATTTCCTCAGGATGGGCCCTGCTGGGCCACATGGCAGATGACCCTGACTGAAATCCCTGTGAGTTCATGTCTAAAGCTTTAAGCTTTAAAACGGACAGCCTACCCCTGCCACATCTCATGTGTGCCCTGGAAGCCTCCTTCCACCCCTCTGGATGTCCTGATATTTCTCAGCACAGAAAATCTCTGCTCCGCTGGCTTAGCCAATTTGGAAATGCTTTTTCTAAGTTGGCTCCTGAGCCAAGGACAATGTAGAGAGGGGGACTTTCTGCTGCCCCAGCCTAGTCCTGGAGCCCCACCTTGGGAGAATGAGAGTGTGGTGCGTTAAATAGGCAGCCCAGCTGGGGACGTGCCCAGCATCCAGGCAGGGAAGGGTGGGAGAGCTCTTGGTCTGCTGTATTATCACGGAGGGGTGCAGGGGGCATGCAGATCACTCTCTCATGAGAACATCAACAGGGTCAGATTAGCTCTGCAGAGGCTTATGGAGGAGCATGGTGGCCAGAGATGGGTCAGTACCAGAGCCCAGGGGGGCTGAGGCCAGGACATGCAGAGAGGCTGGTGGACATAGCAGCAACTCTGGTTTCTTCTTCTCCAGTCCATGTTCATACCCTGAGGGCTAGGCATTTGTAATAACAAACAAACAAGCAATTTAGAAATGGGCCAGGCATGGTGGCATGTGCCTATAGTCCCAGCTACTTGGGAGGCCAAGGCAGGAGGCCTGCTTGAACCCAGAAATTTGAGGCCAGCCTGGGCAACACAGCAAGATTATCTTAAAAAATTTTTTTTAATCTCTGAGAAATGGGTAGGGCCAGGAAGTAAAGGATGGCCAAATACTCCATAAGCAGCAAATGCGTGGCTCCAATGTGAACAATGATATTATAGACTCTGTTCTGAGACCTATGCATTGACACCTCCACCTCCCCCACTACATCTTGCCACCTTAAAACCACTGAGAGTGGTACCTGCTGGAATGGGTCCACACACACAGTCACACATATTTTAGGCAGGGTAGTTGACATCCCCAGGGAAAAAGAGCTCACAGAGAGAGGCTGAATGTTTCCAACTGGGTAGCAGTAATAGTACATCATGCTGTACATGGTACAGCACAGATCAGGTGAAAATAATAGCACATCGTGATTAACCAGGGCTTATTCCAGGGAGTCAAGAAGAGTTTCATATCAGAAAAATCTATCTTTGTAATTCACTATACCAGTAATCAAAGAAAAGGATTGTACATTTATTTTACTAGATGCAGAAAATGAATTTCATAATTGTCAACATCTACTGATGATAAGGAAAATGTATAACAAAATAAAGAGACCATTTCTGACTTGAGAAAGGATAAATACCAATATGTTATAGCAACAGTTCTCAAACTGTTTTCCAGGGAACCCTAAGAATCCCTCCTTAGGGAGGCTTTGATCTCAAAATTATTTTTAGAATAGTGCTAACACACTATTTTCATGTTTCAGTCTCATTTTCTCATGAGTACACACAATATGACAAGTTAGTTGATATGAGTGTGGATTTCCACATGGTAACTGACTTTTCAGAAGCTACCACTTGTTGAGTTTGGTATAATATAGAATAGCCACAATTATCTAAAAATACCATTAAAATACACTCCCCCATTTCAACTATATATCTGTGTGAGGCTGAATTTTCTTCATATACTCCAACCTAAATAACATATTAAAACAGGTTGGATGATGAATCAGATAGGAAAATCCAGCTATGAAAAAAAAATCAGACATGAAAAATTTTCAAAAGGGTAAAACCATAGTACTCTTCTTACTTTTTTTCTTTTGGAAGATGGTTATTTTTCATAAAAATATATTATTTATGTTAACATATAGAAGATGGATAATTTTTTGAAGAATTGATAAATGTTTAAATTTTTTCTTTCTATTATGGTAAATACTGATGAATAGAGTCCCCATAAATAAAAGTTCTTTGGGGTATTCAATAATTTTTAATAGTGTAATGGGATCCTGAGACCAAAAGGTTTGAGAATCATTGCTCTACAGCAAACATTATGTGTAATTAAGACACTTCAGGTGCATTCTCAAGAAGACCAATAAAGAGGCCACAATGGCAGGCGTGGTGGCTCACACTTGTAATCCAAGAACTTAGAGAGGACGAGGCAGGTGGATCACTGGAGGTCAGGAATTCTCAACCAGCCTGGCCAACATGGTGAAACCCTGTCTCTACTAAAAGTACAAAAATTAGTCGGGTGTAGTGGCAGGTACCTGTAATCCCAAGTACTTGGGGGGTTGAGGCAGGAGAATCACTTGAAGCCGGGAGGTGGAGGCTGCAGTGAGCCGAGATCGTGCCACTGCACTCCAGCCTGGGCAACGGAGTGAGACTTCATCATGGAAAAAAAAACAAAGAGGCCAGGATGTCTGGTTGTTACTGCCACTGTTTCACATATCCCTGAAGGACCTGCCCAATGCTAAAGAAACACAAGGAAGGTAAGAGGTGAAAGAGAAGAAATGAAACTATCATTGTTTGAAGATGACACCATCTTTTACATAGAAAACCTGTTAGAATCAAATGGCAAGCTATTAGAACTACTAAGAGAATTCAGTGAGGCTGCTGTATTCATGGCAAAATTTTAACAATTGATAGCATTTCTCTGCAACATTCCTTAATAGTTATAAAATACAGCACAAAGTAGTACCAAAAATATTAACTATCTAGGAAATAACCTCTTACAGAGAAAATTTAGTCTGTTAAAGGATAAACAGTGGCAATGTACGTCATGTCCACAGAGATTATATTTTAGCTTAGCAAAGATACCAATTCTCCCAAATTTATTTATAAATTAAATGCAATGTGAATCAAAATTTCCCACTGGAATTTTTATCAGGAAGGCAACAAATTCTTTCTTTCTTTCTTTCTTTCTTTCTTTATTTATTTATTTATTTATTTATTTATTTATTTCCTTCCTTCCTTCCTTCCTTCCTTCCTTCCTTTCTTTCTTTCTTTCTTTCTTTCTTTCTTTCTTTCTCTCTCTCTTTCTCTCTCCCCCCCTCTCTCTCTCTCTGTCTCTCTCTCTCTCTCTTTCTTTCTTTCTTTCTTTCTTTCTTTTTAAGACAAAGTCTGGCTCTGTCACCCAGGCTGCAGTGCAGTGATACAATCTCAGCTCACTGAAACCTCAACCTCTCCGGCATCAGGTGAACCTCCCACCTCAGCCCCCCGAGTAGCTGGGACTACAGGTGCACACCACTGGGCCTAGATAACTTTTTGTATTTATTGTAAATAAACACAAAAAATAAATATTTTGCTCAGGTTGGTCTGGAACTCCTGGGCTCAAGCAATCCGCCTGCCTTGGCCTCCCAAAGTGCTAGAATTACAGTTGTGAGCCACCACACCCAGCCAATAAATTAATTCTTTATGATGAATAAGTTATCTATGAAAATTAAGTCAGCTGGGTGCGGTGGCTCACGCCTGTAATCCCAGCACTTTGCCGGGCTGAAGCAGGTGGATCACCTGAGGTTGGGAGTTCAAGACCAGCCGGACCAACATAGAGAAAACCCGTCTCTACTAAAAATGCAAAATTAGCTGGGTGTGGTGGCATATGCCTGTAATCCCAGATACTTAGGAGGCTGAGGCAGGAGAATTGCTTGAACCCGGGCGGTGGAGGTTGCGGTGAGCCAAGATTGCACCATTGCACTCCAGCCTGGGCCACAAGAGCGAAACTCCATCTCAAAAAAAAAAAAAGAGAAGTTAAGTCAATGAAAAGTTAAGTCAATTAAAAAAGTAAGAGCTGTAGTGTTTAGATATATACACACACACATATATATATATTTATCTTTATATATGTATATATATCTTTTCCTTTTTTTGAGACCGAGTCTGTTTTTGTTGCCCAGGCTGGAATGCAGTGGCGCGATCTCTGCTTACTGCAACCTCTGCCTCCCAGGTTCAAGCGATTCTCGTGCCTCAGCCTCCCGAGTAGCTGGGATTACAGGTGCCTGCCCCCATGCCCGGCTAATTTTTGCATTTTTAGTAGAGACGGGGTTTCACCATGTTGGCCAGGCTGGTCTCAAACTCCTGACCTCAGGTGATCCACCGGCCTCAGCCTCCCAAAGTGCTGGGATTACAGGTGTGAGCCACCGCGCCCAGCCATATATTTTGCTTTTCATCTGCAGCTCCTGGATCCTAACTCCTTGTTATATTGTTGGGCACTTTAGGCCTCAGTAAACAGAATCTCTGTCTATGACCTTCTCCTGTCCTTCTTCCACCTGCCCAAAGCAGGACTCTAATTTGATTGTGGGTCAAAAGACTCTCATTCCAGAAAGGGCCTTGCCTCATACCCTAGAGGAAGGAATGCTGCACAGAAACGCCAAGTCTGAACAGACAAGCCTTGCTGGGTTTATACCATATGCTTTTTGTCCAATCACATTTCTTCATGGTTGCCAATCATGCCTATGTAATGAAGCCTCCATAAGAACCCAGAAGGACAGGGTTCAGAGAGTTTCCACATAGCTGAACACTATCTGGAGAGTGAACACTTCCTAGAGAGTGGCACACCCAGAGAGATCATGAAAGCTCCACGCCCCTTTCCCCTTACCTCGCCCTCCACATCTCTTCATCTGTATCTTTCATAATATCCTTTATAAATAAACCAGCAAATGTGTTTCCCTGAGTTATGTGAGTCACTCTAGCAAATTAATCGAACCCAAAGAGGGGGTCATGGGAACCCCAACTTGAAGCCAGTCAGTCAGAAGTTCCAGAGGCCCAGACTTGCAACTGGGGAGAAAGAGGGGGAGGTCTTGGGGACTGAGCCCCCAACCTGTGGGATCTGACACTGTCTCCAGGTAGGTAGTGTTGGAACTGCATTGGAGGACACTCCTGGTGTCTGCTGCTTGGTGTGTGGGGGGAAAAACCCACACCTTTGGTTACGGAGGTCTTCTGTGTTGACGATCATTGCTGTTTGAGGGCAGAGGGAATACACGGTTTGAGAGAGTTTTTCCCTGACATGAGCGAACAGGGGACATGTACTGGTCTCTGAGATGGGGGATCATGGGATCTGCCACAAGTGGGGAGACCACTGTGACCCCTGCCACAGTCTTTGGGGCAGAGGGTGTCTCGGGGGCAGAAGAAGCGAGAGTTGTTTGCAGTAGCAGTTATGTCCAAAGTGGGCGCCAGGAAAGTAGGGCTGCCCAGCTTTGAAGAGCCTCCTTACTCCCAGCCTGAATGAAACCATTTCCTGTAAAGCGCTAAGCATAAAGTTTGCCAATGGTGATCCACGGAGAAGTGAGTGTACCCCACCCCGCCATCCCACAGGGAATGTCGGAGTGATGTTGATCTGCACCTAGGGAAGGAATGGTTCATGAGATGTGGTGGAGATGCTGAGGGCCCGTGGACATCAGATCCTACCCTACCTGTGCCAGGACAAGCCATGCGCATGTGCTTCAGACCACCAGGCAACAGGAGTGTTGCATGAGGTGTGAAGCAGGCACCTGGGAAAGAGGAGTGTGAACAGCAGATGGGACACACTGGGGGCAGTCATAGGAATGAAATGTCCCAGGATGGATGCAGGCAGGTTATGGAGGACTTAGTGAGGACTGCTCTCCTGGTGGGAATTGTGGAGTGGGAGACTGGATGGAGACTGGAGGTGTTTTAAGTAGGGAAGCCAACTTGCAAGGGTGACCAGGGAAACTATGTCGGCCAAGGGTGAGACATGCACTGGCAAGACTCTCAGACAGCCTGGCTTATCTAAGCAGAATGCTTGAGCCATGCCAACGGTGCCTCGCAAGTTGTATTAATCATGTCCTTTCATTTTGTGTTTTTGGTGCTTGGCATCTGGGCCCTTGCTGACCCTAAGGGACCATTTCTCTCAGAGCTAGTCAAGTCCTAGACACAGTAAATGACTCTCCTGGGAGCATGCCTTCCATGTGCAGACCAACCAATCAAGAGTCCACACTCCCACCCACCTCCTTTATCGAGCTCTCACATCCTGGGGCACCATCCACCTGCCCTAATCACTCAAGGACCACGTCCCAAACAACTAGGGACAGCCTCCATGCCCCTGCACCCATTGAAATTATTCATGCTAGCCAATCCTAAACCTGTGTATGCTGCCACACCATTCCTTCCTGCAGAAACACAGTAAGGACTCTTCCTACACCTCCCCTACTTCCTCTGCTCCCTGACTTACCCACTTACTTCCTGGTGCAGTCCCCTGTGGCATAGTTCACTCTCTTCTTTTGGGAACTGTGAGGCTATCTTCTCAATGGCAGTCATCTCCTGAGCTGTTGGCCTTGCCATACCTAACTAATAATAAAATCTATATTCTAAGGTAAAAACAAAACAGATAGGGTCTCACTCTGTTGCCCAGGCTGGAGTACAGTGGTGTGATCATGACTCACTGCAGCCTCAAACTCCTGGGCTCAAGCAGTTCTCTCATCTCAACCTCCCGAGTAGCTGGGACTACAGGCACACACCACCATGCCTGGCTAGTTTTCTTATTTTTTTTGTAGATACAGGGTCTTGTTATGTTGCCAAGGCTGGTCTTGAACTCCTGGGCTCAAGTGATCCTCCTGCCTTGGCCTCCCAAACTGCTGCAATTACAGGCATGAGCCACCATGCCCAGATCAGAAATCTTACTAAAAATATTTCAAGGAGAAGAGAAAGCCAAAGATGTTGAATATATATATATGTGTGTGTGTGTGTGTGTATATATATGTATATATGTGTATATATGTGTGTATATATATATGTATATATGTATATATATATGTATATATGTATATATATATGTATATTGGGGCAGGCGTGGTGGCTCATGCCTGTGGTCCTAACTACTTGAGAGTCTGAGGTGGGAGGATTGCTTGAGCCTGGGAGATCGAGGCTGCTGTGAGCTGAGACTACACCACTGCACTCCAGCTTGGGTGACAGAGTGAGACCCTGTCTCCAAAAAAACAAAAAGAAAAAGAAAAAAAGATGGAAAAAGACATGAAAAAACAACAACAGAAATACCCACACATCATCAATGGGAGGGAAGCATCTTGAGGCAGCAAAGCGGGAGTGCTAGTAGAGAGGCAGATAGGGCGTTGGACCTGAGGCATTAAGGAAAGTCAGGATTTGGAGCTTACAAGTCTCTCATTGGAGATGGGATGGGGTTGGAATGAATGTCTGAGCAAACACAAAGCATTTCCTTCCCTAATGACTCCCCACCAGTCTAAAGAATCCCACATTAGGTCGAACACGGTGGCTCACGCCTGTAATCCCAGCACTTTGGGAGGCCAAGGCGGGTGGATCACGAGGTCAGGAGATCGAGACCATCTTGGCTAACATGGTGAAACCCCGTCTCTACTAAAAATACAAAAAAATTAGCCGGGCGTCATGGTGGGCGCCTGTAGTCCCAGCTACTCGGGAGGCTGAGGCAGGAGAATGGTGTGAACCCGGGAGGCAGAACTTGCAGTGAGCCTAGATCGCGCCACTGCACTCCAGCCTGGGGGACAAAACGAGACTCTGTCTCAAAAAAAAAAAAAAAAATTCCCACATTAGAGTTGGGGAAATGGGCAGTCCTGGTGGAAGTTAGGGAACAGATCTGGGACACGTTATAGCCAGCTGGACTACAGGAGGCCATAAGCTCAATTCTTCCTTGACTCTGAAACCTTCCACTGGTCCTAATGCCTAGTAATTCCAGGCCTTTCCCAGTTGTGCCAGGCTTGGAGGTGAACACATCTATGTGCCAAGAAGGAAAGGTATGCCAAGCAGGGGCTTAAGTCATCCTTATCCTCAGTCTGTCTATGAGTGGTATGTACCCCTGTTCCCCTTGCAAGATCTGCTGGGCTTAGGTCTCCTGGCTGTGAGTTCCCCATACCTGGGCATAAATGTAGTGAGCCTGAGCTCCCAAATAAGGTTGGGGGCTCCAGAGAGGTGGAGAGCCCTGTGTCTGGGAAGTGTGCCCACCCAGCAGGTCTGACCAGGAAGATACACTGCTAGGGTTATGGAAAAAGACTATGTGTCAAGGTCTCTTGATTCTCCATCTAGGCAGAGAATCATCTTTAATTAATGGGAAACTGGAAGGCAAATTACTTGGACCTGAAATTACTTTTTGTTTATTGAACCACTGTGTTGTAAATCACATCTCTCTGAAGGCAAGAGAAATCAGGGAGTTACAAAATGTTTAGGAGAACTAAACAGGACTCCCTGTTTTGCTAACTAATCAGATTGAGACAGGCTCTCTGGTAAATCTACAAATTTGATGTTGTTCAACCATAAGCAGTAAATTTCCTATGCTGGATTTTCCTGACAATGAATGTAAAAGGAAAAGGAGTCTTTTTGACAAAATATTTTATTGTTCATCTAAACTGAAAAACTTCTCTATTTTTCAAAATTGCTATACGTGTTTAAAGATGTAGATATTTGAATAGCCTAACTGGTACAGAAGGTTTAATGATGATTCCTAAGACATACCTATAAATTACTTGAAATTGAAACGAAATTTAAGAAGAATTATTGGAATTTTCCCCTTCTCAAATGAGTTCTTAGTTTCATAAATACTATACAAGTCCATAAGAGATTTGGGGTTTTGAGATGTCTTTTTTTTTTTTTTTTTTTCAGACGGAGTTTCACTGTTGTTGCCTAGGCTGGAGTGCAATGGCGTGACCTCAGCTCACTACAACCTCCACCTCCCAGGTTCAAGCGATTTTCCTGCCTCAGCCTCCCAAGTAGCTGGGATTACAGGGACCTGCCACAACGCCAAGCTAATGTTTTGTATTTTTAGTAGAGATGGGGTTCACCATGTTGGCCAGGCTTGTCTGGAACTCCTGACCTCAGGTGATCCACCCGCCTATAATTTATTACTCCCTTTTGCAAATGTTTGAAAAGGAATAAAGTGCAATATTTTTAAACAGAATGCAGAGTTCTGTTGTCCTTTGGCAATACCAGTTTCAGACTCTGAGAGTGGCTCTTGCTGTTGCCGACAGTGGGCTGATGACCAAATCCCAACATGCCCCCGCTGCGAGTCCTTCATAACCTGATTCAGTCATCACTTAGAGGCCAGCAGGCTTCAGGGAGGCGTGAGCCTCAGCCAACAACCTATAGGGGAAGAGACGCAGAACTCAATGCAGACAGGTTTGGATTCTGGTGCCTAGAGAATGCAACTTGGAAACTCTGAGCCAGGAGAAAAGGGTTCTCTCTCCATGAGAGAGTGTGGGCTTTGTGAGAAGCGACACACAGCAAACACAATTAAGAGTCCACCCCTCAGCGGGGCGCAGGGGCTCACGCCTGTAATCCCAGCACTTTGGGAGGCCGAGGCGGGTGGATCACGAGGTCAGGAGATCAAGACCATCCTGGCTAACACAGTGAAACCCTGTCTCTACTAAAAATACAAAAAAATTAGCCGGGCGTGGTGGCGGGCGCCTGTGGTCCCAGCTACTCGGGAGGCTGAGGCAGGAGAATGGTGTGAACCCGGGAGGTGGAGCTTGCAGTGAGCCGAGATCGCGCCACTGCACTCCAGCCTGGGCGACAGAGCGAGACTCCATCTCAAAAAAAAAAAGAAAAAGAAAAAGAAAAAGAGTCCGCCCCTGAATTAAATAGTTGGTCCTTTTGTGTTCCTGGTGATTCACTTGCTAAGTGGAAGAAACAGGAGGGAATCTTTTCTCCTGCCCTCCTGGTAATCCATAGCCCATGGCCTGGCTTTACTTCTGTAAAGTGGCAGGAGACCTTTTGACAGCTGAGCCATTTCTTATTTTATTTATTTTAATAAGAGATGGTAGGAATGAGCAATGATATTAGTACCTGGGGACTGTTGTTCTTAAGGAGAAACAATCTTAGAATGATTAGTGATACCCCTTGCTTTCTCTTTTCTTTCATTATACTTTTTGTACACATATTTTTCCCATTTATTTATTGGAATCTTACTGATTTATTATAAGTATAAGCTTTATGTCTACACATGTATAATCATTTTTCCCCAAGTATAAGTCTCTTTTTCATGGAGGCACAGCCTAGACCTGGTTAGCCGCCATCTCCCCTCATTGTATGCCCAATATCTATTGTAGTATCTGCTGCATAGAAGGCACTCGATGCGTGAATGGATAATGACTGATGATGAATCAATAAATAAATGGACATGTCATTGTAAAAAATTCTAAAAATCTAGAATAACACAAGCTGTTGGCACTACCTAGAAACACAGATGTAAAACTTCCTAGGTTGTGTTTCACCATGGGAACATGTCTTTGAACAAAAATGGGATCATATTCTATTGCACTCTTTCCCTTAAGAGATACTTCTCCAGGTCATTAAGTGCTCTTCCACAATATCAGTATATGGCAGAGGCAAGGTCATACCAGGTCTGTCTGAAACCAGGGCTTGGCTCTTAACTTGCAGCCATACTGCCTCCAAGTCTAGGTGGCTGGGTTTTAGGATCTGTAATGGGAACTCAGTGTCACAACCTCTACTGGGAAGGTATTCTGGTGTTGCATAACAGGACTTTCTGTTAGAGATAACCATGGCAAAATGGAATAGAGACAAAGTTCAGGTTTCTGCTGCCAGGAGCTGAGATTGCTGTGACCAATGGCATTCTCCCAAACCAAATAATCCAACCTGGAATTACCATAAACCACTCCTCATCTTTTCAAGGGGTGTCCAAGTTCCCAGAAAAGAACATTTGTTAAGGGATGGAGGCAAGGAGGTGGAGAAGAAAGAGCACTGGCCAAGGTATCATGAGTGTCCTGGGTTCTGGTCCTTGAATAAGCCATTTATCTTCTCTGCAGCTTCTCCATCTGATAGGAGTTTGGAGGCAGAGTTTTTTCTTAATGAGCAAAAGACAGTCGTGCCTAGGAGATGTGGTGTACATGTTAGAAAGAAGGGACTGGCTGTGACTCTATAAAAGATGAATTCATACAAAAACAAATTACCCTTTCCCAGGGAGAAAGTTTGGATCCAGTAATTAGAGATCTCAAAAAGTAGAAGACCTGCCCTGTGAGGCCTGTGGCCTCCAAGTTTGAATGCTGTGTGTCAGCTTTAAAAACTAGTTTCTTGCTGATAAATGTTTCATATTAAGCATGTGTTGAGAGTACTCCTTGCCTACCTTCACTAGCCACTGTTTCCTTCCCCTCCTCCCTTGTCCCTTCATTCTCTCCAGAACTTTCTGCTAACTTCCATTCTCTTCAGGACTTCAGCATGGTTGGGAGAAGATCAGAAAGGCATCCTCACTGTTTTTATTTTAGTCCACTTGACCTTTGGGGAGTAGTTCCACTGGCTCATAAGTATCAGCCCCCCATAGCACAGCACCCCACACTGAGCCCGGAAGCAATAAAGAATCCCAATCTGCTGTCACTAACCAGCACGCTCAACTGCCATGCCCTTTACTCTTCTCATCTCCCTGCTTTCACGTCACACCAACTAATTTCTCTATGAGTCAGCCTCAACTCTCCCAACACTCTGCCCACCCTTCTTCTACTACCTTCCAGTGAGCTCCTCGAAAGAAGGGTCTGCGGTGAGGATGCCCCTTTATCTCTGCCTATTTCCTTCCCATTACAAAAACTTGAAACCTGCCTTTCCCATGTTGATTTCACTTTATTCTCATCTTTACCCATGGGGTATGCCTCCTGCAATTCCTCCTAGACAATAGAATGAGAAAGAGGGGTCCTCGTCCTCTTTGCTTTCCATGACCATTTCTCCATTCTTCACCTCTGTGATGTGTCCTCTTTGAAGTCCCTGATAAATTCATTACCACCTTCTCTCCAGTCTTACTAATGTTATCTGCACAAGTGATTTCCAAACAGGAAGATTTTCAAACACTGATTCCTGAAGATCACCCCCAACTCGCTGAACTGAGACCAAGACCTCCAAGATTATGGCTTAGGAATCTGCATTTTTTTTTTTTTTTTGAGACAAGAGTCTCGCTCTGTTGCCAGGCTAGAGTGCAATGGTGGAATCATAGCTCATTGTAACCTCAAACTCCTGGGCTCAAGTGATCTTCCTGCCTCAGCCTCCCAAGTAGTGAGGACAACAGGAGTGTGCCACCATGCCCAGCTAATTGTTAATTTTTTGTAGAAATGGAGTCTCACTATGTTGCTCGGGCTGGTCTCAAACTCCTGACCTTAACCCATCCTCCGCCTCCGCCCCCAAAAGTGTTGGGATTACAGGTGTGAGCCACCGTGCCCAGCCTAGAAATACCCACTAGAAGCTTCTGTGTAGACAATCTGCTTAGTGATGTTTGGAGACAAAGTACCTCTTTATTGTATTCATTGACAAAACTCTCCAGTCCTCTCCCATCTTCATGGAAAATTTTCACAGTTCATTTACGGCCCTCTTTCCAACACATTCACTGCCAATACTCTTATTGACAATAACTGTATTGTTGAACCTTCCAGTATCCTGCATTCCCGGATCAAGGCCCCCTCAAAGCCCTGATATGCAAATATCTGGGAAAAGAATGTTCCAGAGGAAAGGAACAGCTAATCCGAGGCCCCTAGGGTAAGATGTGCCTGGGGGTTTGGAGACCAGTGTGGCCAGAGCAAAATGAGCAGGAGGAGAGAATTGGATGATGAGGTACGAGAGGAAGGAGTTAGGACAGTTTGAGTAAAGTTTGAAAACCATTATAAGGGCTTTGACTTCAACTATGAGTGGAAGTGGAATCCTCCGGAGAGTTTTGAATGGAGAGTGATAGAAGTTGTCTTGTGTTGTAACAGTCTGGCTGCTATACTGAAAAGAGACTAGTTGGCGGCAAAGGGGGAAATGTGGAAGCCAGTTAAGAAGCCATCATAACCCAGAAGGTGATGCCTAATAACATCTCTCTGGGAGCAGCGGAGAGATGATAAGGGTTTGCCTTCTGAATATGTTTTTTGACAATTAATGTAAACATTTCAAGTAGGCTGAGATTTTATTGCATATTAACAATGTCCATGTTCACTCGCGGCAGCCGCCCCCTTCTGCGCGGTCATGCCGAGCCAGCACCTGGGCCTGGAACTGGGCCGCAGCCCCCAGCTTCACCCACCACCTCCCTACCATGGACCCCTGCAAAGTGAACGAGCTTCGGGCCTTTGTGAAAATGTGTAAGCAGGATCCGAGCGTTCTGCACACCGAGGAAATGCGCTTCCTGAGAGAGTGGGTGGAGAGCATGGGAGGTAAAGTACCACCTGCTACTCAGAAGGCTAAATCAGAAGAAAATACCAAGGAAGAAAAACCTGATAGTAAGAAGGTGGAGGAAGACTTAAAGGCAGACGAACCATCAACTGAGGAAAGTGATCTAGAAATTGATAAAGAAGGTGTGATTGAACCAGACACTGATGCTCCTCAAGAAATGGGAGATGAAAATGTGGAGATAACGGAGGAGATGATGGATCAGGCAAATGATAAAAAAGTGGCTGCTATTGAAGTCCTAAATGATGGTGAACTCCAGAAAGCCATTGACTTATTCACAGATGCCATCAAGCTGAATCCTCGCTTGGCCATTTTGTATGCAAAGAGGGCCAGTGTCTTCGTCAAATTACAGAAGCCAAATGCTGCCATCCAAGACTGTGACAGAGCCATTGAAATAAATCCTGATTCAGCTCAGCCTTACAAGTGGCGGGGGAAAGCACACAGACTTCTAGGCCACTGGGAAGAAGCAGCCCATGATCTTGCCTTTGCCTGTAAATTGGATTATGATGAAGATGCTAGTGCAATGCTGAAAGAAGTTCAACCTAGGGCACAGAAAATTGCAGAACATTGGAGAAAGTATGAGCGAAAACATGAAGAGCGAGAGATCAAAGAAAGAATAGAACGAGTTAAGAAGGCTCAAGAAGAGCAGGAGAGAGCCCAGAGGGAGGAAGAAGCCAGACGACAGTCAGGAGCTCACTATGGCCCTTTTCCAGGTGGCTTTCCTGGTGGAATGCCTGGTAATTTTCCCGGAGGAATGCCTGGAATGGGAGGGGACATGCCTGGAATGGCCGGAATGCCTGGACTCAATGAAATTCTTAGTGATCCAGAGGCTCTTGCAGCCATGCAGGATCCAGAAGTTATGGTGGCCTTCCAGGATGTGGCTCAGAACCCAGCAAATATGTCAAAATACCAGAGCAACCCAAAGGTTATGAATCTCATCAGTAAATTGTCAGCCAAATTTGGAGGTCAAGCATAATGCCCTTCTGATAAATAAAGCCCTGCTGAAGGAAAAGCAACCTAGATCACCTTATGGATGTCGCAATAATACAAACCAACGTACCTCTGACCTTCTCATCAAGAGAGCTGGGGTGCTTTGAAGATAATCCCTACCCCTCTCCCCCAAATGCAGCTGAAGCATTTTACAGTGGTTTGCCATTAGGGTATTCATTCAGATAATGTTTTCCTACTAGGAATTACAAACTTTAAACACTTTTTAAATCTTCAAATATTTAAAACAAATTTAAAGGGTCTGTTAATTCTTATATTTTTCTTTACTAATCATTGTGGATTTTTCCTTAAATTATTGGGCAGGGAATATACTTATTTATGGAAGATTACTGCTCTAATTTGAGTGAAATAAAAGTTATTAGTGCGAGGCAAACATAAAAAAAAAAAGTCCATGTTCATCTCTAAATGACATCATTGTTCCAAAGCTTTTCCATTCTTCTTAACCTTCCACCTGTCAATCTATAGGAGATGACTTCTCCTACTTCACTCATGCATTGACTCCTTCAATCAATAAAAGTGACTAAGAACCTGCTACAGGTGAGGTGCTGTGTTTGGTGTTAAAGTGACAACAGTTATCTGTCAATAAGCCTGACAAGGTTCCTATCCCTGTGTTTTGTGCACTCTGGGTCAAACTCAGAAATGCAAACAGGTGGAGAGCGATGAGTTCTATGACTGGTAAAGAAAAGGGCCTGCTGGTTTCCCTCAGGATCTCTGTCCTTCATCTCAAAATGCATCTTCCTTGTTATCGTTCCTCTCCTTCCTGTCTCAGAGGAAGACCTGCTCCTGCTACACTCTGGGCAACCTTGTCCCCGTGGCCCTGTGGCCCCTTGGTTGTTGAAGTCTATGTTATGCCCTATCTTTTACCCTCAGTCACTCTCTCTGTTAACATTCTCCCTGTGCCCTGTAACCCTCCCTCATCTTTAAATAAATCCTCCTCCTTTGACCTTCGCATGTATTCAGTCATGCAACTCAACAAGCATTTATTGCACAGTGATATTCAATTTGCCACTTGCTAAAAGTCTGAACCTTGGCAGCTGAATGTGATCAGAAAAAAAGCACGACTGCTATGACTAGTCTCACTTTAAATTCATGGTCGTTGACCAAGAGCTACCATACAATCCACTACCTTTCTCAAGTTCAGTCACATTCTTCCTTTCCTAGATGTCTGCTTTCTACTTCTCTTCTCTTCTGAAACTTCCCACAACTCCTCGTTCATTCTCTTCTCAGTTGACAACTTTGCTTCCTATTTCACTGAAAAATAGAAGCAATCAGATATGAACTTCTGGCTGGGCATGGTAGCTCATGCCTATAATCTCAGCACTTTGGGAGGCCAAGGCAGGAGGACTGCAGGTTAGGAATTTGAGACCAGCCTGGGCAACATGGTGAAACTCCCACTGTACTAAAAATTTTAAAAATTACTCAAACATATTGGCAAACAACTGCAGTCCCAGCTACTTGGGAGGTTGAGATGCAAGGATCACTTAAACCTGGGAGGCTGAGGCTGCAGTGAGCCATGATTGCACCACTGCACTCCAGCTCAGGCAACAGAGCAAGACCCTGTCTTGAGAGGAGAGGAGAAGAGAGGAGGGGAGGGGAGGGCAGGGGAGGGGAGGGGAGGGGAAGGGAGAGGGGAGGGGAGAGGGGAGGAGAGAGGGGAGGGGAGGGGAGGGGAGGGGAGGGGAGGAGAGGAGGATCAGGTGAGGAGTATGCCAAGGAGTGTTTTTAAGACTTACTGTTTTCTCTTTCCCAACAAGATTGTCATTTCCTTTAAAAAGTAGTTATCCTGAGGCCTATATTCATAGCATTCTGAAAGAAAGAAAAGAAAAGAGGAAAGAAAGAGAGAGGAAGGAAGGAAGGAGAAAGAGAGAGGAAGGAAGGAGAAAGAGAGAGGAAGGAAGGGAGGAAGAGAAGAAGGGAGGAAGAAAAGAAGGAAGGAAGGAGGGAGGGAGGGAAGGGAGGGAGGGAAAGAGGAAGAAAGGAGGGAAAGAAGGAAGGAAGAGAGAGAGGAAGGAAGGAGGAAGAGAGAAGAAGGAAGGAGGAAGACAGAGAGGGAGTAAGGAAGGAAGGAAGGAGAAAGAGAGAGGAAGGAAGAAATGAAGGAAGGAAGGAAAGAAAGAAAAAATAAAAGAGTGAAAACGGACTGGAGAAGAAGAAACCACAGTTGCTGCTATATCCACCAGCCTCTCTGCATGTCCTGGCCTCAGCCCTGCTGGGCTCTGGTACTGACCACTTCCTTCCTTCCTAATTTCCTAATTGACTAGGCCAGCTGAGCAGGGCTTTTCTGTGCTGAGGAGGTAAATCTCTGGATATCTAGACTGAGGGGTGGAAGGAGCCTTCCAGGGCACACATGAGACATGGCAGGGGTAGGCTGCTAGTTTTATTTTGTTTTCTTTTAGACACAGGGTCTTGCTCTGTTAACCAGGCTGGAGTGCAGTGGCGTGATTATAGCTCACTGCAGCCTTGACCTCCTGGGTCTCCCACAATCCTTCCGCTTCAGCCTCTTGAGTAGCTGGGACTGCAGGTGCACACTACCACACCCGGTCCATTTATTTTTATATTTCGTAGAGACAAGATCTTACAGTTTTGCACAGAGTGATCTTAAACTCTTGACCCCAAGTGATCCTCCTGCCTTGGCCTCCAAAAGCATTGGGATTATAGGAGTGAGCCACTGTGCTGGACCTAGTCTGTCAGCTTTGAAGCTTTAGATATGAACTCAGAGGGACTTCATTTCAGAGGCATCTGCCATGTGGCCCAGCAGAGCCCATCCTGAGGAAATGACTGGTAGAGTCAGGAGCTGGCTTCAAAGCTGCCCTCACTTCACACCTTCCAGCAGCCCAGGTGCCGCCATCACGGGGCTCCCACTCTCAACTCCGCAGCCTCAGCCCCCTCAATGCTGAGGAGCAGAGCTGGTCTCCTGCCCTGACAGCTGCCAGGCACATCTTGTTCCCTCAGGTTGCACAACTGGGATAAATGACCCGGGATGAAGAAACCACTGGCATCCAGGAACTTGTCTTAGACCGTTTTGTAGGGGAAATGACCTGCAGGGACTTTCCCCAGGGACCACATCCAGCTTTTCTTCGCTCCCAAGAAACCAGCAGGGAAGGCTCAGTATAAATAGCAGCCACCGCTCCCTGGCAGGCAGGGACCCGCAGCTCAGCTACAGCACAGATCAGGTGAGGAGCACACCAAGGAGTGATTTTTAAAACTTACTCTGTTTTCTCTTTCCCAACAAGATTATCATTTCCTTTAAAAAAAATAGTTATCCTGGGGCATACAGCCATACCATTCTGAAGGTGTCTTATCTCCTCTGATCTAGAGAGGTAAGCAGGGTCGGGCCTGGTAGTACTTGGATGGGAGAACACCTGGGAATACCAGGTGCTAAAGGCTTTAAGAATAAAAAATAATGATCCTGCTTTGTGTTTATCCCATGTTGAGTTCTGTGCGGGGCAGAGGGAACACACGGTAAATGCGTTATGGGGAATTATAGGCTACTTGAGGGAGTGACAGTCTGGTGGTAACTCCTGCCTTCCTCCATCAGTGCCACGTTGGCATCCTCTTATGCAGTCAGGCTTCAGGGCTGATGGGTTCAGAACCGAGGGCTTCTGGCTCTGAGTGAGGTCCTGCTGCAAGGTTTCCTAGATGAGCCACTGAGACTCTAATAAGATCCAGTGGAAATAACCAGGCTCTCGTCGGAATATAAGTCCCAAGGGAAGCTGTGCCAGTCTTGTGGGCGACTGCCTGACTTCTCCTTTCATTTCAGCACCATGAAGCTTCTCACGGGCCTGGTTTTCTGCTCCTTGGTCCTGGGTGTCAGCAGCCGAAGCTTCTTTTCGTTCCTTGGCGAGGCTTTTGATGGTAAGGCTTCAGAAGGTTTGCAGGATTTCTGAAGAGAAACATCACCCTGGACCTGATAAACTGGGGAAAATGATGCTTTCGGAAGGCTGCTTTTGAACCACAGAGTTGCTAGTGTCTGCGTTGCTGAGGCCTGCCAGGAACTAGGGTTTGCTGGGTTGCCTGTCTCGAGTCTTTCAGAGCTGCTGGGAATATCCCCTTTCCCCGTAGTGCAGCTTCTCAGGATGTGTTAAGTGGATGGATCACATTTCAGAAGCCGCTGCAAGGTGTATCAAAAACACATCTCCTGAGCCGTAAGGGACGGGGCATCCAGTAACAACGCACACGGGGTATTTTTGGGCTTCCTTAAGATTTGAGCCGCTGCCTTAGGTTGTGCTGCCCAATGTGCCTGGGGAGCTGCTAAACAGATTAGAGAGTCGAGGATTGTTGTCAGTTACTCAGAGAAAGAACAATCATCCTTTCCAGGAGCACCTGAGCTGTTTGTTTTGCGTAGAAGATGCAAAATAAGGCCTGCAATGGGTATAAAATGTCCCTCAGCATAAATCGCATAGGAGTATGACTAAGGCTGTTGACTCTTCTGTCTTCTTTCTCCTTCCTCCTTCGATTTCCTAGTTGGATAATGTACAGGGCTCTTTAGCCTCGCTCTGTCAGGGGCTCCCTTCCTGGTTTGTTCTGTTTCCATTCTTCCTTCTCCAGCCTTCTTGACAAGAGCTGGGAACTAACGTGCCTCAAGCCCCCACAAGGACCACAGCATTTTCTCATTTAGTTTCAGAATGACTCTGTGACGCAATCTTCCTCTCTTGGAAGGTGAGAAAGCTGATCTTGGAAGGTGAGAAAGCTGAGACTTAGAGCAGCTGAAGCCAATGCCCAGGGACTTACTGCCAGTCAGCAGGTGGCAGGGCAGAGGTTTGAGCCCGGCTGTGCTTGAGGTCAGGGCTCTTGCCAGGTAGACGCATCACTGACCACCTCCTAGAGGTTGATGGTTATGAATCTCAGGCACACCTTGGCATCACCTGAAATACCCATGCCTTCAACTCCCCAGCAGAGTCTGCAGAAACTGGCCTGGGGTGTGGCCTGGGCACTGGGACTTTCAGTTTCTCTCTGGGTGATTAGAAAGTGCAGCCAAGGCTCACGCCTGTAATTCCAGCACTTTGGGAGGCCAAGGTGGATGAATCACTTGAGGTCATGAGTTCCGGAGCAGCCTGGCCAACATGGTGAAACCCCGTCTCTACTAAAAATACTAAAATGTAGCCAGGCGTGGTGGCAGGCACCTGTAATCCCAGCTACTCAGGAGGCTGAAGCACGAGAATCACTTGAACCCGAGAAGCAGAGGTTGCAGTGACTAGAGATCGCACCAGTGTCCTCCAACCTGGGTGACAGAGCGAGACTCCATCTAAAAAAAATGAAAAAGAAAGTGCAGCCAAGGCAGAGCACCACTGCCCTATTGCTTCCTCAAGCAACCCACAGCATCAGTACAGCCTACTAAGAAAGTATTTAGGGACTTTTATGCTCCTAACAGTCACTGGAACTCACGTCACAATGACGTGTATTCCATTTGCAAGAATATATACTTTAGGTCGGGGTGCGGTGGCTCACGCCTGTAATCCCAGCACTTTGGGAGGCCAAGGCAGGGGGATCACGAGGTCAGGAGTTCGAGACCAGCCTGACCAACATGGTGAAATCCCCGTCTCTACTAAAAATACAAAAATTAGCCAGGCGTGATGGCGCATGCCTGTAATCTCAGCTACTCAGGAGGCTGAGGCAGAAGAATCTCTTGAACCTGGGAGGTGGAGGTTGCGATGAGCTGAGATAGCACCACTGCACTCCAGCCTGGGCGACAGAGCAAGACTCTGTCTAAAAAAAAAAAAAAAAAAAAAAAAAAAAAAAAGAATATAAACTTTAGTAGTCAGGGCAGAAGTACTCTGTGTCTGCCACCTTTCTCAGCATCAGTATTCCATGTCACTACCTCATTCATACACACTCCTGGATCTTATCATAGGCAGCTTCATTCTATAGCAGTGGCTCTTCACCAGGGCACTTGAAGAAGCCAACTAGGATAAAGGAATGTGCTTCTCAACCCATGGTATCCAAGGCTGCTATGATCACAGGCTGAAAGCTTGAAGTCAGTGGAAGATTTGTCCTTCCTCATTCCCCTCTAAGGTGTTGTTGGAGTCTTTATGTTCTCCTGATGTCCCTTCTGCCTTTCCTTTCCTTTCCAGGGGCTCGGGACATGTGGAGAGCCTACTCTGACATGAGAGAAGCCAATTACATCGGCTCAGACAAATACTTCCATGCTCGGGGGAACTATGATGCTGCCAAAAGGGGACCTGGGGGTGCCTGGGCTGCAGAAGTGATCACGTAACTGGAGCTCCTGGGACGTTAGGGCTGGGTGAGCAGAGCTTGCCTGCCTTGGACAGTCAGGAGGGAGACGAGCTCCTTGTGGAGAAGTTAGAGGCTGCGGCCCCTCCTCCTCTTGCCCTCTCTCTGCCTCTGTGCTCAGTGTGAGGTCTGAGTGGATGGTAGGAGTGAGTGATTCCTCATCCTCCCTCTCTGGGTGCTGTTCATCCAGCCTAGGGGTGCCCAGCCTGGCTGAATGGGGTGGTGCCCAGTGTTTTCATCC
This sequence comes from Homo sapiens, assembly GCF_000001405.40. Classification (NCBI taxonomy): domain Eukaryota; kingdom Metazoa; phylum Chordata; class Mammalia; order Primates; family Hominidae; genus Homo; species Homo sapiens. The sequence continues at coordinate 18,269,596 of NC_000011.10, forward strand.
CTCCTTCCTTGGCCTTTCTGGGCTCCTCTCTGAGCCCTCCCTTGGAACAGGGAGAATGGGAGGGTGGGCTATTGCTCACTGGCCTGATTATTAATCTCCTTCTTGCCTGCCTTGATTACAGCGATGCCAGAGAGAATATCCAGAGATTCTTTGGCCATGGTGCGGAGGACTCGCTGGCTGATCAGGCTGCCAATGAATGGGGCAGGAGTGGCAAAGACCCCAATCACTTCCGACCTGCTGGCCTGCCTGAGAAATACTGAGCTTCCTCTTCACTCTGCTCTCAGGAGATCTGGCTGTGAGGCCCTCAGGGCAGGGATACAAAGCGGGGAGAGGGTACACAATGGGTATCTAATAAATACTTAAGAGGTGGAATTTGTGGAAACTGGGTGTTATACTTTGTGGTATAGACTGCCTGTTTAGTATGAAGGGGCGATCCATGCACATCTAAGTGAACGTGGAGGCTGGGTGGGTGGGAGACGACTCCTGGGCACACAGGGCATCCTGGGCATCCCTGAGGCAAGGACATGATGAGTTCAGTGGCCACCCCCACAGGATCCCAGGGGCTTCAGCAGATCCCACCCCTTACCCCATGTGAGCAGCTGCCCAGTGAGTCTGTAGGAACCCGAGCCACATTCCCAGTGAGTTCAACTGCACCCCGGCACGTTTTGCTAGCACCTCAATGGAGAGCTCCTTGCTTGCAGCTTTGGCTTGTGGCACCCAGCAAAAGCTTCCTGCCACCCAGTGGCTACAGCCACACACTCTCCAGCAAGATTTAATCTCAGCCTTGTGAGGAGCCCTTTCCCAAATTTATTTCTTTCTGTGTTTTTTATCCCTTAGTAGCTAATCTCATGTTAGCCATTAATAACTCTCTATGTTAAACCCTTCCTTTTGTATCTGCGGCTACATTGATCAATTGTCTCACACCGCTCACCCACCCCCTCTCCCTGGTCATGCAGAGGCCTCACCAGTCATTTTATTGCTATTCCCAGGCCTCTGTGTGCCCAGATCTCTTCACTGCCCTGTCAGTTGTGTCCTGTCCCCTTCTCGACCTCCTGGCCTTGTCCTCAATGATGTTTCTATGAGGCTTTGGAAAGCCTCATCCCAAGAGTCCTGGCAACTGATACATTAGTCTCACCAACACTAGCCCCTACTCCTGATCTCATTTTAAAATTTTATTTTCTTATTTTATTATTATTATTTTTAGGGACATCACCCTGCTTCTGACTGACCCAATTTTTAAAGTTTCTCTTTATTCTCCTTAAAGAATGGCTCTCCCATTTGTTTCCCTCATCTTTCTTTTCACTGACTTAGAATTCAGGTCCAGACAAAAATTCCACTTCCTTGAAGAGCCTTCCCAGTAGCCATGAACCACACTCTGGGGCAGAGTTTGTGGCTCCCAAGCACTTTGTTCACACCTGCTCGTTCATCTTTACCCCCTCCTCTCAGAATTGGTTTTGTATGTCAGTTCCCCTGCTGGACTGGAAGCCCCTGTAACATAACTAGCATTTGAACAGTTCATAAAAACACTTTCATTTCTATTGTCCTGTGTAACTGTTCACAAGATACATTAGTCTCACTCATTGTCGTTTGACAATGTTTATTGTTCTAAAGAGAAAGCGAGATATGTAGGTAGACACAACACAATAAGAGCCTCAATACAGGCACACACTGGTGGCAGTCCAAACTCTGCTGGAATATGGAAGGCCAGTGAATAGTAACTAGAATCGCTGCCATCTTTTACACTGCAATTGCAAGACTGTGTCCTATACTTTACATGCTTTATCGGATTGACACTGCAGAGAAGCCTTTGATGTTCTCGGTTGGATAAACAGGTTTAGAGGTATGTGTTCAGGCCTTCTCCAAGGTCACACATGTAACAGGTGCAGAGCCAAGACTGCAGGCTGGTTTGTCTGACTCCAGAACCTGTGATACACTGAACAAGGCCAAGAGATTCAGCAGTGGAGACCTCCTCTCTTCTTCAGGAAGATAGGGAACATGGTAAGAGCAGTGAATTCCATAAGCATGGGACCCCGTTATACTTCATTTTTTGTAAAATTAGTTCCTTGATCAGAAGCAACGCCTTTGGGTCTCTCGCTATTGAGTTAAGTGTGGATGTGCCACTCTCCCTAGTACCCCAGAGTGTAGTTGGAGGCTTGCCTAGAGATTAGAGGTTGAGGATCCTTCAGTAGTTCCTATACCAAGCCATAAGTTGTGCTGCATCTGCAGGTAGGGTCAGGGAGCTCCGCTGAACAGATGTGGAGGACATCAGAGTGGGAGGAAAAGGAAGCAAGTCGTGTGGGGAGAGAAGACCCAGCCTGCAATGATGACTGGTTAACTACTGTTTCTTACCTAATACACACTCAGATAACAGACTAAGTCTAGGTGATAAAGCCTCAAAGAATAGCAGACTCTCCCCACTGCACCCGCTTCCCACCTCCGCCACCTTTCCACAATTCTTAGCATGGGTTCTCCTGAAAAGAAAGCGGAAACAAAGTCTTGTGTGTAGGTATTTTATTTGGGGAATGAACACGGGGAGCAGGAGTGAGACAGTGGAGTAAAACAGGGAAGAGCAAGGCCAATACAGGGACACATTATACAGCTGGCCATGCATAAGAGCCACATAACTGATGCCACTGGGACCTTCAGAGGAACATCATAAAAAGTGTCTCAGTGCTCTCCATCAGCAGTCCAAACTGAAAGGCACCTAGCAACTGGCTTCCATCTCCCTTTGGTCAAAGGTGGCCCCACCATTGTTAACTTTTCTGCATTTGTTGGCTATGCACACAAGAGTGTCCAGTGGGTTTACCTGGAGTAGGAAGTAGAAGGTCCACGGAGCAGACCCAAAGCAAGGTGCTGCCAGGTTGTACCTGTGTGAAATGAATTAAAGCCTATGGTGGAACCCATCACTGTAGCAGTGGCTGGAGAAAGGGGAGTGGGCCAACAGGTCTGAAGTAGTTGACAGGCTGCATCTGATACACAGTGCAAAGCTTTGCTTTTTGAAAGTAAGGTCTGGACACAGCAAGTTCACTTGGGAACAAAGGAATGGACTGGATCTTAGACTAAGAATAAAAGAGACAAGAAGAAACTATACTGGGTAGCCAAGATGGGGAAAGAGGCAGGGCGACTGGGAGAGACAGAGAAATGTAAACCACCATGGACTAATGAAACCTGCCATAACCCTTGTGATCCCACACAGATGCCACTCCCAGGGGGAACATGATTTGGAGCACAGTGCTCCACAAGACACTGAAGGAATTTAGGGATGCTATGGGGCTTTAATAGGTTTAGGGACATGGTGACATTCCTAGCAACAAGATTGTAACACACTACATAATCTTTTGCTTGAAATAACTTGTTTTTGTTTTCTTACAATATAGGTACTTTGTTAGAGGCTGCGGTAAAATGAGGGTAATATGATGGCCTTTATGGTTAGGGGATACAAGGAATATATGAATCTTATGCCCAATCAAACCCACAAGGTCCCCAATGGAGATAAGTTCTGAGGACAATGACCAGCACTCTATTGTTGGTTGGGGTTTGGCCCCAAACTTCAAAGCAGAACTCTGGTAAGTTGGGCTGCACTGCATGGTCTGGGATAGAAGTCTAAGAGGACTTCTTTCAAAATCAGTCTCCAACCCCTCAGATCAGAAAGGCCATTCCAGTCAGCCCCCACCAGCACTGGAGGGAGCGAACCAGGGAGCATGAGCTTGTGTTTGACTCACTCAGAGCCAAGTTCCTATTGCACACCTCATAGGCTTTTTCCAAATTAGAAAAGGACAGAAGGACCTGTGAGACCTGCTCTCCTTCACTTCCTTTAGTAGGGTAAGGCTAACTTGCTTCAACAAAGATACTCCAAAATACAGAATGTTAAGGAATATACAAATTTATGTCTCACCTAACAGTTTGTGATGAGTATTTCAGCTGCCAGGGACTTCAGCTCCGTACTGTCTTTCAGGTTCCTTCCAAGTTGTTGGCTCTACCATACTTCAGACTGACCCTTGCTACTCAAAGTGTGATCCAAGGACCAGAGGCATCAGCATCGCCTGGGATCTTGTCAGAAATGCAAAATCTCAGGCTCTACCCTAGATCTACTGTGGCAGTCAGGAGCTCCTACCTAATCTGTAGGAACTACAGCAAAAAATAAAAATAAAAAATAAGTAGGGACTTTGTTGAGAAGCCAAAACAGGGGAAAAAAATGTGGGAACCCTTGTCCATCAATTATTAAGAATTTCAAAACAGTGAAAGCAGAACATTAAACCAAGTGGGGGGCCCTCATAAGCTCAGGGTTCTGACAATTATACAGCCCTCACGTCCATGTGAGGTGGACAGAATCCTAAGGAAATTTCAGCAGGTGGGCAATGGGTGAAAAGCCACGCCAGAATTGAACAGGAACATATGCAAAAAGAGCAAAGTGCAGAACGTATGCAAGGAACGGAGGACCCAGGACAAGGGACAAACTTGGGCTCTGAAACAGAAAAAGTTTGAAAATAGATCACGGAAGGCCTTAAATGCCAAGCCCAAGGGCTTGGGCTGTACTCTGAAAACAGAGGGGAGGCGTTGAAAGTTTCTGACTGGGAAGTGGCATGACTGTGCCCCAAGAAGACAAAGATCCTGGCAGTGCATCTGCAATTAACTTCCCATGAAAGCAAGATAAACAATCTTTCTCATGGACTGTGATGCATCTATACACGAGGATGACTCTATCTAAATCTCAGAACAGTGTGGGGGTCGATGGCAAGTTGAGGGAGGTTAAATTAGTCCATTGAGCCCGGGCACAGTGGCTCACGCCTGTAATCCCAGCACGTCAGGAGGCCCAGGCAAGCAGATTAATTGAGGTCAGGAGTTGGAGACCAGCCTGGCCAACATAATGAAACCCCACATTTACTAAAAATACAAAAATTAGCCAGGCGTGGTGGTGCACACCTGTAATCCCAGCTACTCGGTAGGCTGAGGCAGGAGAATCGCTTGAAACCAGGAGGTTGCAGTGAGCTGAGATCGTGTCATTGCACTCCAGCCTGGGTGACAGAGCGAGACTCCGTCTCAAAAATAAAAATAAATTAGTCCCTTGATCTATAGTTTTCAGGTTTGGGGCAGGGTCTCTACCAATTGTATTTTTTTTTTTTTTTTTGAGACAGACTCTCACTCTGTCACCCAGGCTGTAGTGCCGTGGTGCGATCTCAGCTCACTGCAACCTCTGCCTCCCGGGTTCAAGCGATTCTCATGTCTCAGCCTCCTGAGTAGCTGGGACTACCTGTGTGTGCCACCATGCCCAGCTAATTTTTTTTTTTAACAGTCTCGCTGTGTGGCCCAGGCTGGAGAGCAGTGGTGCAATCTCAGCTCACTGCAACCTCCACCTCCCAGGTTCAAGCGATTCTCCTGCCTCAGCCTCCCAAGTAGCGGGACTACAGGAACCCACCACCATGCCCAGCTAAATTTTTATTGTATTTTAGTAAAGACAGGGTTTCACTATGTTGGCCAGGCTGGTCTTGAACTCCTGACCTCAGGTGATCCGCCCACCTTGGCCTCCCAAAGTGCTGGGATTACAAGTGTGAGCCACCATGCCTGGCCAGCAATTGTATTTTTAACAGGCTCCTGCGGTGATTCTGATATGGAGCCAGGTTTGTGAATCACCTGACTGGGTAATAGTGTGTCCGGAATTGGTGGGTTCTTGGTCTCACTGACTTCAAGAATGAAGCCACAGACCCTCTCGGTGAGTGTTTAAGTGTTACAGTTCTTAAAGGTGGGGTGTCCGGAATGTTACTTCTGGTGTTCGGAGTTTCTTTTCTGGTGGGTTCGTGGTCTCCCTGGCTCAGGAGTGAAGCTATGGACCTTCGTGGTGAGTGTTACAGCTCTTAAGGTGGAGCGTCTGGAGTTGTCTGTCCCTCCCGGTGGGTTCATGGTCTCACTGGCTTCAGGAGTGAACTGCAGACCTTCGCAGTGAGTGTTACAGCTCATAAAGGCAGTGTGGACCCAAAAAGTGAGCAGCAGCAAGATTTATTGCAAAGAGCAAAAGAACAAAGCTTCCACAGTGTGGAAGGGGACCTGAGCAGGTTGCCACCCCAGTTCAGGCAGCCTGCTTTTATTCTCTTATCTGGCCCCACCCACATCCTGCTGATTGGTCCATTTTACAGAGAGCTGATTGGTCCGTTTTGACAGGGTGCTGATTGGTGCATTTACAATCCCTGAGCTAGACACAAAAGTTCTCCACATCCCCACTAGATTAGCTAGATACAGAATGCTGACTGGTGTATTTACAGTCCCTTAGCTAGACATAAAGGTTCTCCAAGTCCCCACCAGAGTAGCTAGATACAGTGTCGATTGGTGCATTCACAAACCCTGAGCTAGACACAGGGTGCTGATTGGTGTGTTTACAAACCTTGAGCTAGATACAGAGTGCCGATTGGTGTATTTACAATCCCTCAGCTAGACATAAAGGTTCTCCAAGTCCCCACCAGACGCAGGAGCCCAGCTGGCTTCACCCAGTGGATCCCGCACCGGGGCCACAGGTGGAGCTGCCTGCCAGTCCCCTGCCATGTGCCCGCACTCCTCAGCCCTTGGGTGGTCAATGGGACTGGGCGCCCTGGAGCAGGGGGCGGTGCTCGTCAGGGAGGCTTGGGCCGCACAGGAGCCCACGGAGTCGGGGGGAGGCTCAGGCATGGCGGGCTGCAGGTCCCGAGCCCTGCCCCACAGGAAGGCAGCTAAGGCCTAGCGAGAAATTGAGCACAGCAGCTGCTGGCCCAGGTGCTAAGCCCCTCACTGCCCAGGGCCGGTGGGGCCGGCCGGCCGCTCCGATGCGGGGCCCGCTGAGCCCACGCCCACCCGGAACTCGCGCTGGCCCGCAAGCACCGCGCACAGCCCCGGTTCCCACCTGCGCCTCTCCCTCCACACCGCCCTGCAAGCTGAGGGAGCCGGCTCCAGCCTTGGCCAGCCCAGAAAGGGGCTCCCACAGTGCAGCAGCGAGCTAAAGGGCTCCTCAAGTGCCGCCAGAGTGGGGGCCGAGGCCGAGGAGGCACGGAGAGTGAGCGAGGGCTGCGAGGGTCGCCAGCACGCTGTCACCTCTTAATAGATCTAAGATTGTTTACATTTATTGTGCTGAGATGAACTGGTGGCAGTGATGGGATGTCAGTGGTTAGAGGTGAAGAGAGGAAGGTCACTTAAGTCTGCTGTAATGGGCCAGGCGCAGTGGCTCACGCCTGTAATCCAAGCACTTTAGGAGGCCAAGGCAGGTGGATCACCTGAAGTTGGGAGTTCCAGACCAGCCTGACCAACATGGAGAAACCCCATCTCTACTAAAAATAATAATAAATAAATAAAAACAACAACAAAATTAGCTGGGTGTGGTTGCACATGCCTGTAATCCCAGCTACTCAGGAGGCTGAAGCAGGAGAATCGCTTGAACCTGGGAGGCGGAGGTTGCTGTGAGCCGAGATGACACCATTGCACTCCAGCCTGGGCAACAAGAGCGAAACTCCGTCTCAAAAAAAAAAAAAAAAAAAAAAGACTGTGGCAATAGTCTAGGCAAGAAATAATGAGAACGTGAGCTGGTGGCAAGAGACAATGGGAAAAAAATGACTAATGGAAAACACCAGCAAGGTAGAATTGAAAGCAAGGTAGAAATGTACCTAGTCATTAGAAGTGAGGGTAGAGGAGGAGGAAGAGGCAAGGATGACTACTACAAGGTTTTGAGCCTTGACCAGGGCAATCACAAATTTAACACATGCAAGGAAATTATTAATTTCAATTTTCGTCTTCCCACTGTCTCTGGCTCATGTAAATCCAATGTCTATGGGTCTGATAACTACCAGGTCCAACAACGACATCCCAAACCTTTCTAACAATAGCTAACATTATTACCTATACGCTACATCACAGGCACTGTGCCCTACCATTTCCGTCTCCTTTAATTCTCACTAAAAAGGAGCTCTAACACCTCAACTCTTTCTTTGTGCTATTATCTCATCTAATCCTCAAAATACCCTGAATCAGAGCTACCATCATCCCCATTTTACAGATGAGAACACTAGAACTTAGAAAAACAAAGGAACTTCCCAAAGTCATGAAGCAAAAGAGAGAGTAGATATTCAAACCAAGGCAGTCAGCCTCAGAACACAAGCTCTCAGCCACTGTGATGCCCTGTAAAACAGCCGGTCAGATCTGTAAACAAAAGGGAAAAGGGAGGCAACCATGAATCACAATCTGCCTAGAACTTTCAGGGAAGCGAAAGAAAGATACAAGTTCTATTTAAAAACTAATACCCAAATAGACTGCAAGTTTAAATGTTTAACTGAAGGAGATTTTTTTTTTCATCTAATGTCATGAAGGTGATTTTTGTTTGTTTGCCTCGGAAAATAAATTCAAGTGACAAGATTTGTTTTTGTTATATTAGAAATTTCTCTCCATACCCTTTATCAAATGAGAATTGCTGTGCCTTGAGAAGGTCTGTGAAGAAATGATTGCACAATTGTGCCAGTTCATGCTGTCTGCTTGTCACGGGACTTCCTCTGGGCCTTCTAGTAGTGACTGTGCTGACAGTGGACAGGGGCTCTCACCCTTATCTCAGTATAGATGCACATTTCAACACAATCCAATATGGCCAAAAGGCAAATTATGCTAGTGGGAAGGTTTTCCATACTTCCCGGAATTCTAAGAATTCTCCTTTCCCTGACAATCTCTCTTTTTTTTTGGGACGGAGTCTCACTCTGTCGCCCAACCTGGAGTGCAGTGGCACGATCTTGGCTCACTGCAAGCTCCGGCTCCCGGGTTCACGCCATTCTCCTGCCTCAGCCTCCCGAGTAGCTGGGACTACAGGCGCCAGCCATCATGCCAGGCTAATTTTTTTGTATTTTTAGTAGAGACGGGGTTTCACCGTGTTAGCCAGGATGGTCTCGATCTCCTGACCTCGTGATCCACCCGCCTTGGCCTCCCAAAGTGCTGAGATTACAAGCGTGAGCCACCGCGCCCAGCCGACAATCTCTTTAACCCATATGGTTGCATCATATCTAGGAGTAATGTGTAAGTTTAACAGTGATTTGTGTCCATATTCTCTGGTTATGTTATAAATGCAAAAAAGAGTTGAATTGTTCAGTGCATCCAACACTTTACTTACTCCACACCTTTCTGCAAAATGCTCATAATAAACCTCCTGTCTACATTGTGTTCCAATGAAAACTTTAGTCATATTTTACATTTATTATTAATATAACATGCTATGTAAATGTACAGGAGCCTGACAAATGACAATCTACTTACATAATTTAAATAACACAAGTGCTTGCTGCAGTCTTTATTAGTACACAGCTTTGTTATGGCTTCTTAGAAATAATTTTAAAAAGTGCATGATTCTTGTGGGCTACTCTGTTTAGGAAAGATTACAGATAACACATTTCTAAGAATGAATTAGTCAGCTGTATATGGGTTCAGATTAGAAAATATTAAATAAATACAGGGAAAAATATTTTTAATTAGCTTAATTTATATATGAAGATATTTTATTTAATTTGTTTTTGAGACAGGGTCTTTCTCTGTCACCCAGACTGGTGTGCAATGGCACAAACACATCTCATTGCGGCCTGGACCTCCTGGCCTCAGGTACTATGCCTAGCTAATTTTTTTTATTTTTTGTAGAGATGCATTCTCACTATGTTGCCCAGGCTGGTCTTGAACTCCTGGCCTCAAGTGATCCTCCCGTCTTTACCTTCCAAAGGGTTGGGATTACAGGCCTGAGCCACTGCACCCAGTCCCATTTTACTTAAATATCAAATTCAAATCTTCAGTGTTCTACTTATTTTGGGTGTTAATTCCATTATACACCGTCTTATTTCAGTAATTTCCATATTGTGCCAGACAAGATATAAAAATAATTCAACTCCAGTCAATAATACCATCTGTCTTCATGTGACCAGGATGAAAAGCTTCTGCTCCCAACATGGAAGCCACAGTAAGAAAAGAATCTGTCTAATCCACTAGCAACAAGCAGTTAATACTGTAGTTCGGAATAATACTAGGACATTAACATTCTAATTCCAGCAAACAAGGACTGACTCTTTTCAAAATTCAACTTTGGTTAAGAAATGCTGAGTACAACTTTGGTTAAGAAACACTGAGGTCATGGATAAAGAGTCACAGATGCCGATGCCAAGGGTACAGACACTGACAAAAGTAGCCCCAATAAGATGGCAGGATTTGGGGGTGGTGTCTTTCCTTCAATAACAAATGCGTTCAGAAGGTTCAGGAGCATGATTTAGTTTTTCTCAAAATGTCATGACATCCTGCTGAATCTTCTCCCACTAGGCCTGCTGGGACCAGAGAAACCGATCGCATTTTTCAAGCATGCTTTGTATCAAGGCCCTGAAATCCCAAAGAAAAGAAACAAGCAAATTTAGTTGTCATTGTTCATTCTTCACAGAAAACTTAAAAACTACAGAGTTTCAGAGGATTCAAAAAGTTGACTGATTCTGTGCATTAAAAGACACAATGCACAGAGTGAAAAGGCAACCTACAGAATGGAAGAAAATATTTGCAAATCATGTATCTGATAAGAGGTTAATATCCAGAATATCAGAGAACTCTTACAGCAACAACAACGAAAACACCCAACCTGATTCAACATGGGCAAAGGACTTGAATAGCTATTTCTCCAAAGACAATTATATAAATGGTCAATAAGCATATGAAAAAATGCTCAACATCTCTAATCATTAGAAAAATGCAAATCAAAACCACAATGAGATATATAGTACCTGACACCCACTGGGATAGCTACTGTTTAACAAAAAACAACAACAGAAAATGACAAGTGTGGGGCTAGCACATGGAGAAATTGGAACTCTTGTGCACTGCTGGCAGGAAAGTAAAATGGTGCAGTCTCTACAGAACAGTATGGTGGTTCCTCAAAAAATTAAAAATAGAATTACCATATGATTCCAGAATTCCACTTTCAGGTATATACCCGAAAGAACTGAAAGCAGTGTCTGGAAGACATATTTGTATACTCATATTCATAGCAGCGTTATTCACAATAGCCAGAAAGTGGAAGCAATTCAAGTGTCTGTCAACAGATGAATGGATAAACAAAAGGTGGCATATATATACAACGGAATATTATTCAGCCTTAAGTAGAAAGGAAATCCTGACACATGCTACAACATGGATAAACCTTTAGGATGCTATGCTCAGTGAAAACAGGCTGGTCACAAAACGACAAATGTATTAATTCCACTGAGATGAGGTATGTAGAATAGTAAAATTAATAAAAACAGAAAGTAGAACTGTGGTTGCCAGGGGCTAGGTAGAGGAAGTAAGTTGCTGTTTAATGGGTGTGGAGTTTCAGTTTTGCAAAATGAAAAAGTTCTAGAGACTGGATGCAAAACAATATGAATAACTTAATACCACTGAGCTGAATATTTTTAAATTGTTAAGATGATAAATTTTATGTGTATTATACCACAAAAAAAAATTACTGAGACATTAGGTATCTGGTACCAGTAATTTTTTTTTTTTTTTTCAGAGTTTTGCTCTTGTTGCCCAGGGTGGAGTGCAATGGCGTGATCTTGGCTCACTGCAATCTCTGCCTGCTGAGTTCAAGCGATTCTCCTGCCTCAGCTTCCCGAGTAGCTGGGAATTACAAGTGTCTGCCACCATGTCCAGTTAATTTTTTTGCATTTTTTTTTTTTTTTTTTAGTAGAGACAGGGTTTCACCATATTGGTTAGGCTGGTCTCGAACTCCTGACCTCAGGTTATCCACCTGCCTCAGCCTCCCCAAGTACTGGGATTACAGGCATAAGCCACCGTACCCAGCCAGGTACCAGTAATTTTTTTGTTTTTGAGATGGAGTCTCGCTCTGTCACCAGGCTAGAGTACAGTGTCATGTTCTTGGCTCACTGCAACCTCCACCTTCCGAGTTCAAGCGATTCTCCTGCCTCAGCCTCCCAAGTAGCTGGGACTACAGGCACGTGCCACCACACCCAGCTAATTTTTGTACTTTTTTTTTTTAGTAGAGATGGGGTTTCACCATGTTGCCAGGATGGTCTCAATCTCTTGACCTCATGATCCGCCCACCTCGGCCTCACAAAGTGCAAGGATTACAGGCGTGAACCACCACGACCAGCCTGGTACCAGTAATATTTTTAAAGAATCAAGGACACATCAGATTATTCAGGTTAATCTGAACAGCATCTTGGTCATGGCTGTGAATGAAATATTACTTTAGCCTCTTCCCTTAATTACCACATCAGTCTCAGTCTCCTCATGTTAGTGATGGGTCGGGACTAAATGATCTCCACATCTACATCTGAAAGTCTGTGGCCTTCTACCTTCTCCAAGCACTATGCAGAGGGTAGGACAAACTGATATTACCTCTGCCTTTTCTCAGCAATCCTCAGGATATCGCAGGTTCTGGTAAACTTCTCTGACAACTCAAGGGCCAGACCACATTCCTGTAGCAGTGACCAAGCCCGATCTGGGCCCATGGCCTTAGCTAACAGAAGTGCCACATTCTCCACATTGATGGGGGAAGGCCCATCACTGAGGCTCCCATTTAGTGACTCCTGGGGGGCTGGCCTCGTGCTCTTGCTCTGTATGAGATGAAGGAGAAGCTTCCATTCCTCCACGGTCTCTGGGATCCAACCTAAACACACACAGGGAAGTGTCAGTTTGACCACTCTTAGCACACTGACTGGATACAGGAGATGGTCAAAACTGTGAAAATGTTTAATGCCAAAACGTAAAAATATTCAAGAACACAATCTCATCACCCTAACACAAGTTGTTTTCTGAAAATTTGTTGTATAAATTGTTCATGAGAAAGAGAAGCCACAAAATTAACTTTAATTTTTTTCTTTTTTTTTTTTAAAGAGAGACAGGGTCTCACTACCATGTTGCCCAGGCTGGTCTTAAACTCCTGAGCTCAAGCAAGCCTCCCACCGCAGCCTCCCAAAGTGCTGGGATTACAGGCATGAGCTACCACACCTGGGCAGCTTCAGAATTCTTTCAACCACTCAGTAATTACCCAGGGCATATCCTATGCTAAGCACTGGATATGTAATGATGAACAGAAGAGACACAATCCCTGTACTCTTGTGGAGCCTACAGTCTAGTATAGGAGACAAAACTTAAACACGTAAGTATATACTTATAAAGTATGCTAAGCACTATGAAAAAAAAGAACAAGGAAGCATCAGAGAGAATGGCTGATTCTGCCTGGAAGATCTGAGAAGGGCTCTATGAGGAAGTGACATTGAAGCAGAAAGCTAAAAGATGAGACAAGCTTAGAGGACATATGCATGGGGCCCACATAATGTGAAAACTTGGAGTAGGAGCCATCAGAAATAAGGGGCCTGCATTTCTGATAAAGGAAACATGGAAGACAATGTGACACAGGAAAGAACTTGACGAATTCAAGGAATTTTTCTTTTCCTTTTTGTTTTGAGACCAAGTCTTGCTCTGTTGCCCAAGCTGGAGTGCAGTGGTGCGATCTCAGCTCACTGCAACCTCCACCTCCCAGGTTCAAGCAATTCTCCTGCCTCAGCCTCTCAAGTAGCTGGGATTACAAGCATAAGCCACCATGCCCAGTTAATTTTTGTATTTTTAGTAGAGATGGGGTTTCACCATGTTGGCCAGGCTGGTCTCAAACTCCCGACCTCAGGTGATCTGCCCACCTCGGCCTCTGAAAGTGCTGGAATTACAAGCGTGAGCCACCGCGCCTGGCCAGAATCATCTTTAATTAATGGGAAATTAAAAAAAAAAAAAAAAAAGAGCCTAAGCACAAATTTTGGAGGAAGTCCTTGGTCTGAACCCCAGCTCCAGCATTTACAATTAGTAGCTGTGTGACTTTGGGCCAATTAACTGTCCCTTCTGTACCTCAGTTATCTGGAAAGTGGAAATAATAGTAACTATCCCCAGAGTTTGTTATCTCATTTAAAACAACATATGGAAAGCACACAGTATAGTGCCTAACACATAGTAGGCACTCATGAAATAGAAAAGTTGCCTATAGTTTATTCTTAATTGTGATTTCATAACATATCAAGGGCTATAGGTAAAAAACAAAAACAAAAACAAAAACTCCACAAATGTGACAACTAAGTGGAATCACATATTAAATATATGATCATTGAAAGGTTCACCAAATTTTTTTGTTGAGAGGTCTGGAGTAACTTCTAAAAATTGACAACCAAGAGTAACCAGTTAGGATTGACATACCATTGTCCCCTTCCATCAGGCTCATATCATTCAGATACACAATATTGGTGAAGGCCTCTCTTCTTCTCTCCAGCTCCAAACAGAGAATTAGATATCCAGGCCAGAAACTTTAAAGAGACCGAAGTTGAAGAAAGGAATAAAAGGCCATGAATTTATCTGGAGCTGTGCTGCCCAAAACAGTAGACACAGTCACATGTGGCTATTTCAATTTAAATTAATTAAAAGTAAATAACATCTGAAAGTCAGTTTTTCAGTTAATATATTCACATTTCAAGTAGTCAATGGCTACATGTGGCTAGTGGCCACCATTGGACAGTTCAGTAGAATATCTCCACTATCACAGAAAGTTCTATTAGATGACCCTGATCTAGGGAAAAAAAAAAAACAAAAAACCTAGCAACAAATGCTGACATTTGAGGCCAAGCTCCAATTATAAGGCATTTAAGCTTTATTCAATTTATAAACTTTAAAATTCAACACAAACCTAGCATATTTCTTCTCCAAATATGTAAACCTTGGAAGTCTTCCTTGACTCTTCCCCCTCCTTCATTTGCTATATCCAGTATCAGCATGTCCCACTGCATTTTCCTTTGAAATGCCCACTGGATGTGCTCCTTTTGCTGCCCTACTAATCACCAATCCACTCATATCTGAATTACTCCAACAGCTTCCTAGCTGGCCTTCTGTCTCCAGCCTTCTCATATATGACATCAGAAATGATCTCTAGAAAGCTCCACTTTCATTACACAATTTTTGCACCAAGTAGTTCAGTCTAAAAGGGTCTCTACTGATAACTAAATTATTCTACCAGCTTTCAAGGTCCTGCATGATCTTGTCACCCACCACCTGGCCAGACTCAGCCCTCATTACAATGAACAAATATGTATCAAGTGCCTACCACTATACAAATTAGATATAGACATTATGAGGGAAAAGAAAGACACAAGTTGCTATCTCCAAAAGATTATAATCCAGTTGGAGCCATAAGCCAGTATCACCAGGCAATAAATAACTGACTGAAGTGTGACATGGATAATAAGCAATGCCAGTTTTCCACGCCCTTGCTCTGTTTCTCTCACCTAACTCACCCTCTCCTGGCTCCTTTATAAATACAAATCCTACCCAGGTTTTAGGTTTTACCTCCAAAATCTCACCTCCTCCTTGAGTCCTTCACCAGCGATGCTATTGAGCCCATTTTGATCTCTCTCTTACTGTATTAATTATAAAAGTCTATCAATTATAATTGGTATCACATAATCTGGTGCTTAATTAAATACTATCTACATGCCTGAGAACTGGGGCTGGCAACTAAGCAGAGGGAGTGGAGGGGAATTAGCTAAGGCTATTTAAAAAAAAAAAAAAAAGAAAAAAGCAAGAAATTTAAATGGAAAAAAGATGTTTAATTTACTATCACTTAAAACAAAAAGGTACTTTTAAATAGCAAAGAGAATCCCCAAATATTAATGTGTATTAATTCAGACCCTTAACTATAAAGTTGTTAACTGAAATGTTTCTAACCTTAACTTCAGTTTCTAAAAAATTCTCACTTACCCACAAGACCTGCAGATGTCTGTCATTTTCTCTTTGGTTATAAAATCTGCAGGAAGTTTAATTAGATGAAGGATCAGCTGACTGTAACCCCAGGAAAGCAAGTGTGAATGAGGCCTATGAAATGAAAAGGAATCAGTAAATTAGATAGGAAATAAACTCTAGAAAATGCTTATTTATCACCTAATAGGTAAGAATAGAGTTTAACTGCATTCTATTACTACATTTTAAAAACATTGCTATTTGGCTTTTGAAAACTTAAAAATAGCTATTTTTCCTATAACCTGTTTATTTTTAAAGATTAGATACTTTAGGTAATCAAAAGCAAAAGAAATAAATTCTTTTTTCTTCTTTTAATTCTATCATTCCATCACTCACAGATAACCACTGCATATCCTTCCAGACTTTTTGCTAGGAATATAAGACAGGCATTTGGGGGTCTTTTAAGAAGCTTCTCCTGGGAGGAAACGCAAGCAATAGTTCTGACACAAGTACCAGTGTGTACTTTAATTTTATTTTATTTTTAAAGTCCTAGATCAGGTTATGTCTAAAAATTCCTTGACACATTTTTAGGAAGAAAACACATACATACCTATCTCCCTAACCCCCACACCCAGTTTTATCCTCTCACAGGCTTAATCACCAAGGTCTCTTAATGTGGGCCCATGAAAAACCTGCAGGCGGTCAGCTGTGCAAAGTTTTGCATGACTGCATTTTTCTAAAAGGAATCATCAGATTCTTATAGGGTGACCCCAAAAAATTTCAGAACCACTAAGAAATATACTTAATCTCATTACTACCATGACTTGGGTCAGTCTCTTCCATAGCTATTTCTAAAGTGAGCCCAGAATGCCATATGTGAATAAACCAGTTCCATTCCAAAGGAACACTGGAGCTTAATCCTTAGAAATAAGACTCCTAGCCAGGCACAGTGGCTCACGCCTCTAATCCCAGCACTTTGTGAGGCCAAGGCAGGTAGATCGCTTGAGCCCAGGAGATCGAGACCAGCCTGGGCCATAAGGCGAAATCTCATCTGTACAAAAAATTAGCCGGGCAGAGTGGTGTGCTCCTGTCTTCCCAGCTACTCAGGAAGCTAAGGTTGAAGGGTTTAATCACCTGAGCCTAGGAGGTCAAGGCTGCAGGAAGCCATGATCTTAGCACCACATTCCAGCCTAGGCGACAGAGTGAGATCCTGTCTCAAAAAAAAAAAGTAAAGAAAAAAACAAAGAAAGAGGACTTCTTCTGTACCTGGGATAACCTTCATCATCCATTGTGCTGGTGCTTGGTGGAGCATCAAGGGACACTGCCAAAAGCAGCCAATCCAACCTTAAAGACTCTGGTTGCAGAAGGGACTCAAGAAAAGATGACCTAAGAGAAAGTTGGGGAAAAAAGTCACCAATCTTCATGCTAAGAAAGGAAGCATAAAATGTGGGGAGTGTGAAGAAAACCTGATTAAGAGATGAATATAGAAGAAGAAATAACTTGAAAACTCTTCTGCTACAAAATGTCTAGAAATGCTGGTGACCAAGCTCCAAGATAACAAAGAAAATGTCAAAGGGCCAAAAAAGAAAAAAAAAAAGGGAGAGAAAGAGAGAGAGAAAGAAAGAGACAAATAAAAACCAGTGTGGCCAGAGTAGGAAGATCACTGAGGCCATAAGTTTGAGGCTGTAGTATGCTATGATCATACCCGTGAATAGCCACTGCATCCAGCCTGGGCAACATTGTGGCAAATGTGAACCAATCAAAAGAAGAAAGGAGGAAGCCGCTAGTCTAATAAGCCAGGGGCACAGGTCACAAGTGTTACAACCATGGGGAGACAGAAAATCAGACATCAGCCTAAAAAGAGAAGAGCTGGAACTGAGATCTATGTCAATAAAAAGGTGGCAGTGAATCTACTCACTGCAAAGACAATAAGAAGCTTATCTTCTTAGTTCAGGCCCTGAATCAAGGGATTAATTTTGCACTGATCTGAGAATCCCTGAGAGGCAGTGAAGAAGTGTGGTACATGCACATTTGTGATGTGTGCTGTGACATGTGGCAGAATGTTACAAGGCCTCCCAAATCCTCCTCTTCCATAGTATGTGCCTCAACCCCTTGGTAATTAACAGTACACAATGTGACACCTGCTTATAAAAGAGAAACAATGCCCTGTCAAAAGAAAGGAGAGTCTGCAAATATGCTCTCCTTCTCACCGCTGATCTTCAGGCCTTGATTTCACCAGACTGTCTAAATAGGCCAAAAACTCAGCAGGATGATGATGACAAAGTTGTATGATATCCGATGGCAAAATGGATGGAAAGAACTTGATTAAGGATCGAAGAGCAGACTCCCCAAACTTTTCATACAACCTGCATTTAAAAACAAAACACTTTAGTCTCTAATTTCAGTGAAATTATATAACTTGGTTACATTTAGGTTACTTATTACAAATGAAAATAAATATACTAACAGAAGCTGCCTCATATGCAAATGAGTAACATGTTAGAGACTAAAATACACAAAAAAATGCATGTGCTTTAGCTCATATAAACAATATACAGGACAACTTACCGGGTAGCATAAACAACCAACAACGGACTATCAAAAGGAACCTCGTCATCTAGTAACTTTAACCTTGTTGGTAGATCTCCTTTTTCCATCTCCATATACACAGGATTGGAACTTGCCATTTCTGAAATATAAAGCATATCCTTTTCCAAACTTTATCTCTTAGGCGGAAATATTCAATTTATGAACATGTTCATTCAGCAATCATTAGTCACGTACCTACTGTGTGGACCTATTATGTGCAAGGCCCAATATTAAGCATTACAAGAGAAACAAATAAAAGTACAAGAGATGTAATTTCTACTTTTAAGAACCTTAAAATCTAATTGGGAGGCAAAGCATATTAAAAGTTTTAAATAAGACGAAGGAACATATAATTAATACATCAGTGACTATTACTCTTAAAATAATGAGTATCTAGGCCTATATATAGCAACTGTCCATATAAGCACACATCAAAAACCAATATACATAGCTATCATCAATGCCAAGTTGCTCAGTTTTTTCTAGAACTAGTATTCCTACTCCATCTTTTAGAATTAAATTCAATGAAATTAATTTTAAAATATTTGACCTTTTTTTAAAGTTACCAGTATAGCAAATACTCATTCTCTGAAGAACAGAAGATTTGACTTTTTGGAATAGCCAAAAGTCACTTAAAATCAAGTCTGGTGAAAGGAGTGATGATCTAAAACTATTTGTGGTTTAAAAAAAAAAAGTATGAATCTAAAGTAAAGTGGGTTTTTTTCCAAGTAGTTTTCTTTTTTAGTTTTTTAGAAACAGGGTCTCATTCTGTTGCCCAGGCTGGAGTGCAGTGGTGATCACTGCAACCTTGAACTCCTGGCTGTGTGTGTGTGTGTGTGTGTGTGCAGCGACGGGGTCTTCCTACGTTGCCTAGCTGCAGTGCCTGTGTGCACACATGCGCACATGCGTGTGTGGAGAGACAGGGTCTTGCTACGTTGCCTAGCTGCAATACCTGGGTGTGTGCATGTGTGTGTGTGTAGAGACAAGGTCTTGAAACGTTGTCTAGGCTGGCATGTGTGTGTGTGTTTATATGTATGTGTGTGTAGACAGGGTCTTGCTACATTGCATAGGCTGGTGTGTGTGTTTTTGTGTGTGTAGAGACGGGGTCTTGCTACGTTGCCTAAGCTGGGCAAGTATTTTTCAACTGCCTCTGAAGACAAATCCCAAATAACAGTTCCAAAAGCTGTTTCCCATAATTATCACATCATTAGAAGGGTGAGGCCTACTCACCAGGTTCTAAGAGCCAACATTCATTTTCTGATACATGCTTTTTTAAAAAAGTCATTTTTTCCCCAGTCTCATTGTTTCCCATTTGACTGTGTCAGGCAATAAGTACTTTAAAGGAATTCAGAGGAGGAGGCCATTCAGAGGTTTGGGGAAGCCTGATGACTGCGCGGGAGCTAAACCAGACATATCCACCTAAATTCAAGTAAGCAGCCATATCACTCAAATTGCCCACCATGCTTCCTCTAGCCAGCACTGGTAGTAACAACTATCACTCTGGCTGATGGAGACTCTTTTCTGCTCTTCTGTGACTGGGTATGATCACATAATAGAGACAGATACAGTAAATTTCCAATGAGTAATAATGTCACACATTTGAACTTACCTGAGGAGAAATAGCTTGTTTCTTATTTCACACAAAAGACAATCTACCTCAACTCAGAAAAAAAAAAATTATTATGCTTTTAACTGCTATATTTGAATTAAAGCAGATCTGTAACTATAGATCCATGTTTCTAGAAAGCTAAAATATCTTTAAGTAAGATGACATAAAAATGTATCTCTATTCACTTTTGGTAATGAATGAAAAGTTGCTTAAAGTCTAAAGTATTAGAAATATGGCATCTGTTATTCAAGTAGGATTTGGAATTAAGAAAATTCACTTCTTCAAAAACATGGGACTATGGCTGCAGAAAGGGCAATGCATATAGTTTTTAGGGTATGATAGCTGGTTTCTATTATATGTCAGGATGACATATGCGACCTTCCGCCAAGGTAGATACTGCGGGCTATGCACCAAAGTCTCTGAGGCAGACATGTAAGCGAGCTCTTCACCTATATTCATTCTTTTCCTCCTGGACAGGTTACATTTCCCAGTTTCCTTTGCAGTTAGTTGTGGCTATATGACAGAATTCTCATCAATGGAAATGTACACAGAAGAGAGGTAAGCCACTACCAGGCCAGGCCTATAAGACAGCACTTTCTACATGCTTTCCCCAGACATAGCAACCCAAACATGACCACATCCCTTAAGGGAAGATGGAGCTGAAAATAATGGAAGGAACTTGGAATGCTAGAATGCTGAATTACCACCTGGGAGACAGCTACCCACTGACCTGGAATACCTGTCCTGGACTGTTACATGAGCAAGAAATACACTTCTATTTATGTATGAGTTACTTCATTATCAGATATTTATTACAGCAGTTTAGCTACCTAAGATCTCTCTCTGCCTCAGACTGCTTATCTATAAAATGGAATAACACCATCTACTCCAAACATTATTGTAAGGATGAAATGAGACAATGCTGAAAAGTGTTTACCATAATATCTGCCACACAATAAGTACCCCATATAGTATTTCTGTATTAGTAAGTTACATGAGAGATTTTCTTCTTTTAATACATCTGCATTTATAAACATTTTACTTTAACCTCAACTTCCCCAGCACTGCTCTACCATTTTCTGAATGTCATTATGAGAGAAATAAAACTAATTTCTAGGGCCAGGCATGGTGGCTCACACCTATAATCCCAGCATTTTGGGAGGCCAAGGTGGGAAGACTGCTTTGAGGTCAGGATTTCAAGACCAACCTGGGCAACACAGTAAGACCCCATCTCTATAAAAAAATGAAGAAATCAGAGGGTACAGTGGCACATGCCTGTAATCCCACGACTCAGAAAACTGAGGCAGGAGGATCGCTTGAACCCAAGGGATCAAGGCTACAGTGAGCCATGATCACACCACTGCATTCCAGCCTGGGCACAGAGTGAGACCCTGTCTCTAAAAATAAAAAATAGGGCCAGGCACAGTGGTTGATGCCTGTGATCCCAACACTTTGGGAGGCCAAGGCAGGTAGATCACTTGAGGTCAGGCGTTTGAGACCAGCTTGGCCGACATGGCAAAACCCTGTCTCTACTAAAATACAAAAATTAGCTGGGCGTGGTGGTGCACGCCTGCAGTCCCAGCTACTTGGGAGGCTGAGGCAAGACAATCACTTGAACCCAGGAGGCGGAGGTTGCAGTGAGCCAAGATGGCGCCACTGCACTCAAACAGAATGAAACTCTGTCTCAAAAAAAATAAAATAAATAAAAATTTAAAAACTAATTTCTTATAATCCAGTTGTGAATTTAACCAATGTCTGAAAGAACTATTAAAAGTTAAAATGAATGGAAAACAGAATAAAGGGTTGACCAGAACAGATGTGATTTTCTACTTAAATCTTTTTTTTAAACCCCAAAATTCAAAACTGCTAATGTTTTTTAATACGAATTTCTATCTTTGATAAGGCAATCTGAGTATTACCTTTCAATCCTTCAATAAAAGTATCCCAAACAGAAGGGCTATTACTGTAACTAAGCTTGATACTCTCCTTCGCTCTTTTCAAGTTCAGGAGAAAAAAGTACTTCTTCAGGAACTGGCAAGCCAGAATTTCAGGAGAGTACTGTTGCAAAGTGTGGTCCACATGTCCACTGGTGCTTTTGATCTTAGAATTCAATACATTCAACTCCAAACATAATGTTGTCAATTCAGCCAGGTCGTTCCGAAGACCACTTGCAATGGCGCATGGAGAACATATTTGAAACAGGTCATCCAAAGACTCCCTTGGACTCCTTACACATTCACATGCTGTTTTATCAACAGATTCTTCATTGCCTAAAGAGTCCCTTTTTTCTTTTTCATTATCTTCATCTAATATTCCCTTTTTTGATTCATTAACTAATAGCACATCCTGGTTCAATTTCATGGATGAGTTGTCAGTATCTGAAACACCTGAAAAGTCCTTCATGGCAAATGTTTTTTCTAAATGTGAAAGCCACTCCTGTAAAACCATTCTCAGAGACTCGGATTCAAATAAAACCAGAGGGTCCTGTAGCTTGGTCCTATACAAGACAGACAAGTATGAAATTCATGTGTCATGTGTTTTTCTTAAAACAAATTAATTCATGCTAATAAATTAACCTAACCAATGTAACATACTCATCTGGAATAAACGTTACTTTTCAACTCTTTAAATAAAAACTATCTCAACAAGATGACAAAACAGAGAACATAAACTTTGTAGTGTTTTACTTTTTTTTTTTTTTTTTTGAGATAGGGTCTTGTTTTGTCACCCAGGCTGGAGTGCAATGGCACAAACATAGCTCACTGCAGGCTCAAGTGATCCTCCCACCTCAGCCTCCTGAGTAGCTGGGAATACAGGTACATGCCACTACACCCACTACACACAGCTACTTTTGGTATTTGGGGTTTCATCATGTTGCCCTGGATGGTCTCAAACTTCTAAGCTCAAGCGATCCGCCCACCTCAGCCTTTCAAAATGCTGGGATTACAGTCATGAGCCACCACGCCCAGCCTACTTCTTCAATTTCAATTCCAAATGAGGCTATCTCTGCCCCAAACTGTCTCAGGACCACTACTGATGGACTCAGAAAGTCATTCCCATTCTGGGCTTGTGTGAAGGCTGCCAATCTTCTCAGTAGTTTTACACACAAAGCTAGGAATACTGGAAGTCAAATACCAAAAAATTAACATGAAGAAAATCTTATTGCTGCCAAGAATGAAAACTTCAGTGCCTGGGTTTTTCCTATTAGTCCTAGGAAGGCAACTTGGACTTAATAAAAGGAAAGACCATTTATAGCAACTTCTCTAATCAACTATATATTTCATACAAGGCCCATAAAAAACTTACAATATAATGATTCACTTCGTTTACTAAACTGCCTTGAGACGTCACTATAAAAGTTTCTCATTATACTCACATTGCTTCTGCTGTTGCTACTTTAAGCTCCTGGAACCTGTCTTCTTCTGGAGGTGGACTAGTTACCTCTTTTTCCTCCCTAAAAAAGTGTGCAAAATAACAATAACATTCACAAGAGTTAGAGGGGATCAGAGCTTTTTTTGAGACAGGGTCTCACTCTGTCACCCAGGCTGCAGTGCAGTGACGTGATCTCGGTTCATTGCAACCTCCGCCTCCCGGGTTCAAGCAATTCTCCCTGCCTCAGCCTCAGAGCTTTCTTAGACAAATATTTCTTTTTTCTTTTTTTTTTGAGACAGAGTCACGCTCTGTTGCCTAGGCTGGAGTGCAGTGGCATGATCTCCGCTCACTGCAAGCTCCACCTCCCAGGTTCACACCATTCTCCCGCCTCAGCCTCCCGAATAGCTGGGACTACAGGCACCCAGCATCATGCCTGGCTAATTTTGTTTTTGTATTTTTAGTAGAGATGGGGTTTCATCATGTTAGTCAGAATGGTCCCGATCTCCTGACCTCGTGATCCACCTGCCTCGGCCTCCTAAAGTGCGTGAGCCACCGCACCTGACCCTTGGACAAATATTTCTCATGCTTACTAACGGCAAGTATTATACTCATGTTACATAAGACAAATAGATGAATAGAAAAGGTGGTCCTTGGCCTCAAGGTGATAAGCTCCAGTAAGCTCTCATTAGAAAGAAAGGCATGCAAACAACTAAGTATAATTTAAAAAAAGAGTAAGTTGAACACCAAAGAGCAGCTCTTTAAAACAGCATTGTGATATGAAAGCAGAGAAGAAGAAATAATTTTTCTGAGTAGGGAAAGGGACATATTCCTAAGGAGGTATTATTTGTCTCACAAAAAATGGCGGGAGAATACTCTGGATAGAAGACATAGCATGAAGAAAGGTAGTGAAGTGTCAGTGTACACACTTAGTTCTCCGATAGGAGTGAAATTTATAGCACTTAGAAGGATGTGGCTAGAAAGGTAGCTAAGGTCAGATAGAAGGCTGCATTAAATGCCATGTCAAAAAATCTGTATTTTTTCTATAAACATATGGATTCACTAAGTTATTCTGAGGATTACAAATCTTTTATTTCATCTGACTGTCCAGATGCACTGGTCCCATGGGTTTCTCTCTTAATTCCTGGGTAAGTGCTGAATTTGTTTGCCTTTAATACCCAGATTCCCTGAACTATAAGGCAGAAGCCAGAGAGACAAGATACTCCACACTATGCCCAATTAAGGGCTCTGCTACAACTCTACTACACAAGGACCAGGCCACCAGCATATTATGGGAAGGTACCTGATAGGACATCAATGCCAACTGCTTGATCAACGTTGCCTAAAGAATCCCTTGTTTTCTTTTTCATTATCTCAATCTAATATTCTCTTTATTAGAGAATAAAGTATTATACTCATGTTACATGAGACAATTAGATAATATAAAAGGTGGTCCTTTTGCTATTGCTTGATGAGTCCTTGACTCATCAAATAATAGCACATTTTGGATCTTACAGGCCAGAGAGCATCAGTGACATTCCCAAAGTCACATACTAGTCATACGCAGAGCCAGGATGAGGTCTAGATCCTTGGTCATCCTACTCTTAATATAATACTCCTGTGAGATCCCAGAAGTTTGAAGAGATTATGGGGGAAGGAGGGGAGTTATGCAGGGGAAAGATGGAAGAAGTACTAAATTAAAACTCTGCTCAATAGATCTGCTTCGGGGTGATGTAATTTTTCAACACTTTGTGGAATTTCACAATTTTTATAAGCTACACAAACAATCTTCAATGAATGCAGACATACATGTGCCTTCTTGAAAAGGACATAGTCTATGGCACAGGTGTCCAATTTTTGGCTTCCCCGGGCCACATGGGAAGAATTGTCTTGGGCCACACATAAAATACACTAACATTAACAATAGCTGATGAGCTATTAAAAAAAAAAATCACAAAAAAACTCATGTTTTCAGAAACTTTACAAATTTGTGTTGGGCCACGTTCAAAGCCGTCCTGGAACACATGAGGCCCACGGGCCACAGGCTGCACAAGGTTGGTCTATGGCTTTCTTAAAACTGACAGCTGGATTCCCTAGAATGTATAGAGATTTATGTGTAAGGGCTTACTCAGTGTCTTCCTCCTTTGGGCAGGTATCTGAACTCACATCCTCTTCACATGATTGCTCATCACCCCTGAGCTCTGGTCTCACTTTCAGATCAGGGCTCGTGTGAAGGGTGCCAATCTTCTCAGTAGTTTTACGCACAAAGCTAGAAACACTAGAAGTCAAATAACAAAAAACTAACATGAATAAAAACTTATTACTGAGAAAACTCAGGTTTTCATTCTTCAGTTTTCTCCCTAATAAGTCCTAGGGAGGCAACTTGGACTTAGTAAAGACTGTTTATAGCAACTTCTCTGTTCAAATAATAGTATTTCACGTATATAAACTTACAATATAATGATTCACATTATTTACTAAACTGCCCTAAGAAATCAGTGTTTCAGCGCTAAAGAAAAGGTCTTTAACTCCAGCTGTATCTGTAATATTTCTGTCAACTTAGGCAAAGCCATGTGATCATCAGCCCCATTCTGGTCACAGAACAAAGAATTGCTTCATGTAAACTCAGCTGTTAACTAGTCACAATATACCCTTCTTAAGCAAAATTTGTATCCAGTAAGACTCAGATGAGCAGTTAAGTAGCTGCACAAAGTCTTCTCTCTTAAACTCAAATGTCAACCCTGGTCCCATGGAGTAGCTAGAAAAGAATTCTGAAAAGACTCCAAGTCTGAGCCCAAACTGACCATTAGAAAGGATCAGCTAAAGACTAATGATACGTGGAAACTATTACCATCAGAGATTTTTAATTTTTGATCTCTTGAGGGTGGGGGCACCTACATCTGCAACAACTCAAATACCAGCTGCTAAAACAGAGGGAAGCTAGACTCTCCCCAAGGTAAATGAGAAGTTAATAGCTCCATATGACAAGTTATATGGAAAACAAGAGACTTCCTTTTTCTCATTTTCCATTCTCAGCACAAATTACCTAATGTGAGAACTGAAATAAGATCAGTAATGGAATTAAATGACAAGACTAATTGGTTTACCTTTCTTTGACAGCCTGAAGAGACACAAGAGGAGATGGAGAACGAAATGGTAATGGAATGCCGAACGGGAGAAAAGTTTCATTCTTATCTGTCTCAAACATCACTGGAGCATGAGAAACATTGTCTAATGAATGGAATCAGGAAAAAAAGAAACAAAATCTAATCACGTGGGAGTTGTTTTAATCTTTAAAAAAATTCTGAAATGAATAAACCGAAAGAAATGAAGGATTCAATACCAAAATCACAACTGACCCAGAAACAAATGAGTGGAACACAGGTTTACAAAATGCATGGGATGGTCCACATAAAACACCGAGGCAGGTACCTTCATTTGCCTACTAACCCTGAGTCCCCATAAGTCAAAAAGGGAGTTTAGGATCTCTATTATTCTCTTCTCACTAGTTCAGCCACAGGAATACTCGCACATCGAAAAAGGAAGGCAATGACCCCCAAAAACTGCAGTAATTTTTCAATCCTGATGAAAAATAATTTGGTTAGTCAGAATAAAATCTTCCCACTCTTTTGGTTAATGACCTTTCTTTCATAACCTTTCCAGCATTTTGATGCATGATCAAAAACAGGCCCTAATGTTAGTCCAAACGTGAGGGGAAAAAATACTAAACATAAACCAACTCTTCTAGTAGGGGGCAGATCTGTAGATCTGGATGGAAAGTTCTATCAACATGTTAAAAATTATTAACACTTCAGAGAAATTCCGTGCACAAGATAATCCTGGTAACAGGAGCTCGTGGAAAATAATGGCTTCACATCAGGAACCAACAACAGACACATTCATCACCTTCATTTCCGTGTGAGCCACAACACTGATCTGGCAGGTCCTCTTCCTGCTGTGAGGTGAATTCTTTAAATCTCTCATCTTCTGAGAGGGTTTGGCTGTGAAGGGAGCAAGAGTCTTCATCTGACTGACTGCCTCTTCTACTACTAATGATACGATAAATACCAGAGTCCAAGATGCTGAAACTTTCCTAAAAATTAAAAGAATTCAAAAAAAAAAAAAGGTAAAAATTTCCTTTATAACGTTAATATAACTTCTGCAGAGAAATACCAACACTCAAATAGAAAGTTAATAACAACCATTATGGCTTATTAGAACAAACTGATGAGCAAGGCTTAGGTGCCTGGCAGCTGGGTCACTCCGTGTGCTAGTGGCATCAGCTGCCATATTTCTCTAGCTTGTCTTCATAAAGCTTGGTAGTGAGAATGGGGATTAAATGAGATAATCCAGACCTGCATTCAGGCTCAAATTAGCATGAAGCACCTAAAATCACATATTAGAGCAACGTAACTTATGCTGGGAGCTATATGAGTATATCAGGGAACAAAAAATAATAAACAATGACAAAACAAAATGTGGCTCCAAGACACACCTAAATGGAGGCTTCACAGAGCTGAGCCACTAGCTGAACAAAAGTTCACCCCTTCCCACCAAAAAACATAAATGGAAAGGACAACAAATTTGGGGATCCTAGAGGTAAATAAGAACAACCGAAGATGGAAAAATCTTACCCTACAAAATCCTTTAAAGGTGAGAATACTTACATGTGATGAAATGGAGCTTCTTCTACTGCTACAAGCTGAATCCAAAGGTTCAAATTTTAAGATCAATTCTTCCAGTTGAGAAATTAGATCATTGTAGGTGCCATGGTCCAGCTGAGATTTCAAATGCTCCAATTTATCTGCAGTCAAAGTTTTTCTTGCCTAATAAAACAACAGCGCAATGGAATAGCTATTTGTAGGTAAATCTATATTCAAATGGCCAATATATTGAAAGAGGTCTAGGCCGGGCACGGTGGCTCACGCCTGTAATCCCAGCACTCTGGGAGGCCGAGGCGGGCAGATCCCCCGAGGTCAGGAGTTCAAGACAAGCCTGGCCAACATGGTGAAACCCCGTCTCTACTAAAAATACAAAAATTAGCTGGGCATGGGGGCAGGCATCTGTAATCCCAGCTACTCGGGAGGCTGAGGCAGGAGAATCATTTGAACCTGGGAGGCAGAGGTTGCAGTGAGCTGAGATCACGCCATTGCACTCCACTCCAGCCTGGGGGACAAGAGTGAGACTTCATCTCAAAAAAAAAAAAAAGAAAAAAGAAATAAGTCTAATATAGAACATAAAACTTCAATGGTGCTTTAAAAAGGCTTAGCAAGCTGGAGAAAGATTTAATGAGAATTTTCTTAGGAATTAAGAATTTAAGGCCATGTGTGGTGGCTGATACCTGTAATCCCACACTTTGGGAGGCCAAAGTGGGCGGATCACTTGAGGTCAGGAGTTCGAGATCAGCCTGGCCAACACGGTGAAACCCCGTCTCTACTAAAAATACAAAAAAAATCAGCTAGGTGTGGTGGCGAGCGCCTGTAGTCGCAGCTACTCAGGAGGCTGAGACACGCGAATTGCTTGAACCCAGGAGGCAGAGGTTGCAGTGGGCCGAGATTGCGCCACTGCACTCCAGCCTGGGTGACAGAGCGAGACTGTCTCAAAATAATAATAATAATAATTTAATTAAAATTTACCATATACGCAATTATCCCCCTTAAAAACAAGTTCTGAAACAAATTTGTATGTAAATTTGATGTTTTAAATGAAAATTGTACCCTCTTTCTTACCCTCTATCCACCCCTAGATATATCTATCATGCTTTCTCTGGGCATGTATTGCTGTATCTGTAGGTCACACAGACAGGGTTAATAAAATCAAGCAACTTTGTAACACAATCTTGCAAGGTAGGAGAGTTTCACCAATCCATGGTAAAGATGTCTAGGTAAGCTCTGACTCACTCTGCTGGCAATGACAGAATTTTGGAAAAGACAGCATGTACGAGCAGCCAAGTTCCATAGGCCTCTTCTTAGCAGGCGTTCCACACAGCGCTCCACAGATATCAGGGAGAGATGTGAGACTTTCCCATTTAGGTGCAAACAGAACAATTCATTCCTACAGACAGCCACATCCTGAATATCTACGAAAACCACAGGTGTGAACATACAAAATGTTAACCAAATACCCCTTACAATTTTAAAAGGGATGCAATTATTCTAATAAATTCATTTCTTACGTAGGGTTTGGCTTGACTGAATTTCATCTCTATTTTTCTACTTGCAGTTCAATGAAGAAATCATATTTTAGAAACTATTCTAAAAAGATCAAGAATAAAAGATGTGAAGAAAGAACTATATCTCTCTGACCTAAAGTCTTATGTTTAAAAATGCTGTTTTCTGTGAAAAGGAATTGGGACATTAAAAGAGGATAATCTACATTAGAGGCCAGACTATAAGGTTCGAGTGTTACAACCTGGTCCTCAATGAATGGATTTTAACATAGTATGTAAATCAATATACAGTTCATGAGAAAATATCTGCCTTCAAGAAAATATCTGTCTTGGCAGAGTATCCTGAAAGGACTTAAAAGACTACTTTTCAAGGGACATACTTAAGAAATTTAAGCCACAAGAAAGTCACTGTTGATGAGACCAGTAAGTAATGATTTCTTTCTCTCTCTCCTTTTTTGGTTTTTACAAACATAGAAAAAGAACCAAAAAGTCAACATAACACTCTCTACTGAGCAGCAATGGTAAAAAAGCTAGATTTCCCCCACTTCTGGTTTTAACCCAAAGAATATAGAGATTGATTTTCTGTCTCAGTCACATATGATGGCTGTTGCTCCCACAAGAACAATTTGAACCCCAAACTATAAAGATACAAAATGGGAGTCAAAGTAAGACTTCTGGCAGGGATAAAGACTCAGGGCAATAGAGGGAAAAATAACCTGTTTGTTCCTTTTCAGCAGTTACTAATGAAAACTGCACTTAAAATTACTCATGAAAACTGGAAGACACTATGTTAAGTGAAATAAGCTAGGAACAGAAAGTTAAAGACCACATGTTCTCATTTATATGCAGAAGCTAGAAAAATGTGATCTCACAGAAGTAAAAAAGCAGAACAGAGGTGACTAGATTCTGGGAAGGGTAAGAGGAAGGAGAAGACAGGGAAAAGACTTGTTAAAGGATACAAAATTATAGCTAGATAGGAGGAATAAATTCTACTGTTCCATAGCATTGTAGGATGACTATAGTTAATAATAATGTCTGTTTTCAAAGAGCTAGAAGGACAATGAATGTTCCCAACATGAAGAGCTAATAAATGTTTAACATGGTAGATATGCTAACCACCCTGATCTGATCAGGGTACACTATACACTGCATGTATCGAAACATATTATGGGGTACATATTTATGTACCCCATAAATATGTACAATTATTATGTGTCAATTAAAAAATAAATAAAATGACTCATGAAAAAATAAATAGCTGAATGCAAATTCACTAATGCATGTTTGGGAAGTAACTTACAATGGGAAATATCTATGGTCAATCTTTAAAAGAAACGTAACTGGGCACGGTGGCTCACACCTGTAATCATACATGTTTGTAATCCCAGAACTTTGGGAGGCTGAGGCCGGCAGATCACCTGAGGTCAGGAATTCGAGACCAGCCTGGCCAACATGGCGAAACTCCATCTCTACTAAAAATACAAAAATTAGCCAGGTGTGGTGGTGCGTGCCTGTAATCCCAGCTACTCAGGAGGCTGAGGCAGGAGAATCACTTGAACCCAGGAGGTGGAGGTTTCCGTGAGCCAAGATCGCACCAGTGCACTCCAGCCTGGGTGACAGAGCAAGACTTAGTCTCAAAAAAAAAAAAAAAAAAAAAAAAGTCATCCCATCCTATTTTTCAACTTCTTAAATTACAAGAGAATGCTCCTACAATAATCAAATTTTCATAAGCATGAGATTAAAAATTACAAAGAAAAATATAATTACCTTTGACTTCACTCCAAAGAAGAACTTGAACATTCTGAGGAATGAAAATATAAATTCCTCTTTCTGTCCAAGTCAGCACACAATGCTCACTGCAAGAGAAGAAGTGAAGAGAATTCAAGTGTGCTAGGATACAAAAGTTTATAATTCCCCGAATTCAGATCCTTGCATTAGCTATTAAAGTAAAATCAAACTGTACAAAGAAAACACAAGAGTGAT
The DNA here is from genome assembly GCF_000001405.40 of Homo sapiens. Lineage (NCBI taxonomy): Eukaryota > Metazoa > Chordata > Mammalia > Primates > Hominidae > Homo > Homo sapiens. Next base: position 18,301,044 of record NC_000011.10, read on the forward strand.
CCAGCTAATCGAGTCCTAACAACTCCTTTCTGTCTGTAACAACAGCCCACTAATAAATAGCATAAAATGATGCCAAATTGGGAAAATTCAGACACATATACTAGATATTTTCCAGAAAAAGAAAAGGGTCAGCTGGGTGCAGTGGCTCACGCCTGTAGTCCCAGCACTTTGGGAGGCCAAGGTGGGTGGATCACTTGAGGTCAGGAGTTTGAGACTAGCCAGACCAACATGGTGAAACCCTGTCTCTATTAAAAATAGAAAAATTAGCCGGGCATGGTGACATGCGCTTGTAATCCCAGCTACTCGGGAGGCTGAGGCAGGAGAATCACTTACAGGGAGGCGGAGGTTGCAGTGAGCCAAGATTGTGCCACTGCACTCCAGCCTGGGTGACAGCCTGGGTGACTCTGTCTCAAAAAAAAAAAAAAAAAAAAAAAGAAAGAAAGAAAAGGCTGGTATCTGGAAAAAGAAAAGCTTAGGGACCTTTACCTGATGTTCGTTAAAGCAGCTGAACTTTCCATACTGGACATGATACGGGCACATTTAAAACAAAGACTAACATCTTACTGCCAATCATTACTCTAGTGAGACACTTTTAAGAACAGTAATATTTTGATGTTGTTAGTTGTGTGTGCGCAACAAAAAGCTGACAACTCCTGCTCAACGATGTGCCAGGAGCTTTATTAAAGGCTCTGTCTATATTACCTAACTTTGTAGAAGCCAGTCAAGGTAGATATACTATTCTTATTAAAAAGAGAAAAAGCTAAGGCTCAGAGAAATAAAATAATATACCAAAGGCCATTCAGCATGAAATGTATACGAGTCAGAATTTATACTGGATATGCAGGATAGTCTGGCTCCAAAACCTGGACTTTTTTCCTATATAACACAGAATCTACTTCCTCCTCCACTTATCTTCACTAACCTACTCACTATTATCTGGAATCCTAACTATTCCACTTAACTGAATTCTCAAAAAGTCACAGATTCCCAAACTGCCAAACCCAATAACCCTTCATCACTTCCCATTTTCTTAACCCCAAGCAGAAGCCAACCCTGCTAACTGTTCTCTGCTTCTTGAACCTCACCTCCTGGGGCTCCTGGACACTGCATTTTCTTGGTTCTCTTTCTCTCCAGTCCTCTGGTCTGGAGGACTCATTTTTTTCTCCTCATCTTTTTCTATACTTACTCATATAAATTTATCTCATATATTTCATTTATTCTCTCAAGGCTGCTACTATTTTTTATATACCACTGGTAATCTCCACTTCCTAATGCTGTTCAGGACATTCTCCAACTTACAATGTTCTTAATCTAGCCACCTCTCAAGGATCAGAAGTTCTACTTCCCTCTGAAATCCTCCCTTACAGCCCACAACACTCACCCTATTTCTTGCACTCAACCTATTTCTTATACTCTGCTCATATGGCACTTAATCATCTACTGCACTGTCACAACTCTTACTTCTTATTGTTGTTAAACTTTTTGGACAAATAAATCATATCTCTCTAATAAATTATACTCTGAAGAACAGGGACTATATTTCTTTTTCCTTTATGTTTCCAAGAGTACTAAAAATGGTTCCATGTGGCTATGAAACTAATTGATTTTTAACAGGAGTTGGGCCCTCATGTAAGTGTTAAACATTTTGTCAATATGAAAGACCAGATCACTATCCCTACAGGAAAGTAATCTTTGTCATAAAATGCAAGAAATGGTCAGAATCTGAATCCAAAGTAAAATTGAGAAGGCTGCCTTCAAGAGTCAAAGGAGAAAAAAAGCGGGGGGGGGGGGGGTGTCAGAGGATCCCTGAGAAAGAGATACAGGATCATAATTTTGATACTGAACCTGACATTCAGCTTGGAAAATTCCTTAGGAATAGCAACCTAGATTAGATGGGGGGCTGAGGACGGGAACTTAGATAAAAGCTGATACTTGTAATTTATACATTCCTTGTCCCCTTATCCCTTCACTGATAATAAATGGGGACATAAGCCTAACAGCATTGTTTTAGAAGTTCCAGAAAGGAATGTGCCTGAAAGGAAACAAAGTACATAAGGATGCCCCCTCTGGGATTTATGGGTTGCAACAGTAAAAGTCCCATAGGGCACAGTGTACGAATGAAAAACATAAACAAACAGGAATGAAAAGAAGCCCTCCTCTTCATGTTTTCGAAAAAACTCTTTGTTGAATTCACTATCATTTGAGGGTTTTCTATGTGTCTAGCACTGCCCATGAAAAGGAGTTGACAATCTGATGCTGGGATGCATACTCATAATACAGTAAGACAGTGGCAATGATAAAGGAATGAATATGGTTTGACAACAGTACATGCACAGAAATAGGTTGTCTAACGTAAGCCTCTTTGAGGAATCAGCAGAAGTTTCAAAGTGGCGTTAATTGTTGCTTTAGCTGAGGAATAGGCAGAGCCAGATCATCAAAGGCTTTTTGTCTACCATGGTAGGGACTATAACAGCAGCTTTAAATAGCTACAGCCAAAAGAATAACTCTACCAGGAGAGCTAAGTGTATTGTGGCCCGACTACTAGAAAACATATTCTTGGGTACTTTGGGAAGCCGATGCAGGTGGATTGCCTGAGCTCAGGAGTTCGAGACCAGCCTGGGCAACATGGTGAAACCCCATCCCTACTAAAATACAAAAAATTAGCCAGGCGTGGTGGCGTGCGCCTGTGAGTCCCAGCTACTTGGAAGGCTGAGGCAGGAGAATTGCTAGAACCTGGGAGGCAGAGGCTGCAGTGAGCTAAGATCGCACCACTGCACTCCAATGTGGGTGACAGAGCAAGACTCCGTCTCTAAAAAAAAAAAAAAAAACTTGGGTAAGGGACTTCCCAATACCCCGCACATCACATCATAGTCAACAAATATTTATTAAGTATCTATCATGTGCCAGGCATTAGGCCAAGCATTGAAAAAATAATAGTCAACAAAACAGAAATAAAGCCCTCATGGAGCTTACTGTTTAGGGTAAGACATGTATAAATATTATATTAATATGTAATTATAAACTGTGACAAGTGCCACAAAGGAAGAATGCTAAAGGAGGAAGAGTTTTTAATATGCTTTATCTAATTATGGGTAAATAAATAAATGTCTTTCTCTAGTAACTTTCATGAAGAATTATGGAGTTACTAAAGTGTTATAATGTCTATAATTCACTTTTTTTTTTTTTTTTTTGAGACAGAGTCTTGCTCTGTGGCCCAGGCTGGAGTGCAATGGCACGATCTCGGCTCACTGCAACCTCTACCTTCCAGGTTCAAGCGATTCTCCTGCCTCAGCCTCCCTACTAGCTGGGATTACAGGAGCATGCCACTATGCCTGGCTAATTTTTGTATTTTTAGTAGAGACGGGGTTTCTCCATGTTGATAGGCTAGTCTTGAACTCCCGACCTCAGAAGATCTGTCCGCCTCGGTCTCCCAAATTGCTGGGATTACAGGCATGAGCCACACCCGGCCTTATAATTCACTTTTAAATACTTCAGTGTAGGAAGTATGACAAATACATGAACTGGTTTTTATCCTTACCCTTAGAGGCAATTAGTTAACACTTCAATTATTTTTAAAAATCACAAAGAGTGGTTAGTTAGCCTTTCAAAGAACTGAATCAGGTGTTCACACTCCAGTGTACCATATGACAACTTCATACAATATTTGCTGAATTTGCATCAGAGATCTTGTTAACTAGCCTAAGGGATATCAGAAGTAATTTTTTATTGATGAAATAGAGTTCAAGATATTGGCTGGAAATCATACACTGGTACTCTTGCTCTTGCAGAACAAGGTGTAAGAATTGGCAGGTCCAGCAGTTTAACAACTTTTAGGGCAGCACTTTGTGCTGGACTTTGCACCTAATCCAACTAGAAGGCTGGCTGAACTCTGACATTAGAATATGGCTGAAACTGCCTCCAGCAGATCTTTCATGCAAGCATTTGTCAGAGTACCTATAGGATAGAGAGCTGAAATTTCACCAAGCTTACAAGAACAAGTTCTACAACTATTTTTGTGCCTGCTTGCTAAAAACACATACATCTGTGTGGCAGATTTTGATCTGGGACTTGCTTTCATTATAGCATCCCATTAGGTAGGAGAGGTTATGAGGCGGTTAGTAGAGCTATCTTAGCTCCAATTGTTAGAAGTTTCTTGGCAATTATAAACTCTCCAATTGGCTTGGAAAGAGAAGTGTATTTCTAGGATCTTTCCATTCCTTTTAGATACAGAACACTTCATGTAACATAATTATTTCCTAACTTTCTATAAGTAATTTAGTGCAAAAATAACCTTAAAAAACTACTTCTGAACAAGAAACAGAGATAAAAATCTAAGTATTCTTTTTCCCCCCCAGAACTAAGGAAAGTAGAAACTTACCTAAGATGTAAGAGTTTGGGGAAAGACAAAGACTGGGAGGATCCAGCTGTATGATCATACTGAGGTTCTGATCTAGAAAGTAAACACATCTGTTAATGAGTTTATCTGTTAAAAGTATAACATAAAATTACACTTTTCCCAATATAGGGAAATTTTTGCCTCCAAAACAAATTCAAGAGCCTAACTGCATCTGCCCTTATTCGCCTGACACTAATCATAGGAGAGGTAATTATCAAAGACTTCTTTGGTTTTTCTGAATCTTTTAATAAAAATAAAAATCCAACTTCACTCTGAAAAGATAGAATAAAATCTTTTTTTTTTTTTTTTTTGAGACGGAGTCTCGCTCTGTCACCCACGCTGGAGTGCAGTGGCACAATCTTGGCTCACTGCAAGCTCCGCCTCCCTTCACACCATTCTCCTGCCTCAGCCTCCCGAGTAGCTGGGACTACAGGCATGCGCCACCACACCCAGCTAAATTTTGTTTGTATTTTTGGTAGAGACGGGGTTTCACCGCGTTAGTCAGGATGGTCTCGATCTCCTGACCTCAAGATCCGCCTGCCACAGCCTCCCAAAGTGCTGGGATTACAGGCGTGTGCCAACACGCCCAGCCAGGTATAATAAAATCTTTAACACAGATAGAATATCAGAGATTTTCACCGAACCTCTATATAGAAGCTCTTCAAACAATCCCAACCAGCCATACAAATCGTTACCTGAGAGTAATCACAGGGAGAGGTGGCAACGAGAGGAGTTTCTTGAACTGATGTGTACTTATAACTTCTCCATCAAAGTTCACTTCCCACATCCTAGAGCCTGGGCGAGCACAATATATCAGAGGTTGCTGGCCCCCAGAACATCTTCCAGGAAAGAAACAAGCTCCATATTCTCCATCTCTTTCCTTGTTTCCAATTTTCCAAAACTTTTCTCTAACATCCAGAAAGGAAGAGAAAGCAGATTTACTTACAAAAAAAAGTCAAAAACAACGGCACTACAAATCAGCATGGGCATAATAACTCCACTCACAATGCCTTCTCCTTCATTCATATTAGCAATATACTGAAAAAAACAATAGAATGGAAAGATCAAAATAGGATTCTGGCTCTGATTGCCATTAGCTATTTCTATGACAGGAAGCAAATCATTTCATATTAGTACTCAGTTTATTATCCACAGAATAAGAGGCTCAGAATTAATGTAAAGGCCCCTTCCAAATCTAAAAGGTGAGTGCTACCAAACTATTTCGTACATCCTTGAATCCTACTAATTGCTTCTAAAGTCACTTTGTAAAATGTTCTTTGGACACTCCATGGAAGCTACTAATCTAGTTCTCCAACCCTGTCTCCAAGTCACTTCCTCACCACAAACACCCAATAAACTTACTTTTTCCTCAAAAACCCAGGTCCTTCTGAAACTCTGCACCTTGGAGCATTCTGTTCCCTTAGGATTACATGAGTTAGATATATAAAAGAGCTTAGTACACTGCCTGGGAACACGGAAGGTGATAATGATGAGGGAGATGTCTCTTCCTAAAAACTCCTGTTACTTACTCTCCATGATTCCATCATTCCTCCTCAGAAACTTATCATTCCTCCTCAGAAACTTTCCTTGATTCCCATATATGGAATTACACGCTTCCTATGCTTTGCTTTCATAGCACTTATGACATGATATATGGCAATTATGTCTATTTAAACAGCAGATCATGACTTTTCAAGGCAAAGGACAATTCTTATTCCTCTTTGGTTGAATTCCCAGTGTGTAGCACAGTGTCAGGCCTACAAAAAGCACTCAATACATTATAGAGTTCCATAAACTCAATCTCTTTTATTGAAGAGTGATCTAATATGCTCTCTAGCATGAATTTACTAGTTAACCTCAGATAATTCAATAACTACTTCTGTACTTAATTGCTTTATGAATAAAATATAACATTTGCTTTACTTTAAGAACATAGGTGTAAGAGTGCTTTGAAATGTATACAGAGCTGTACAGGAAGTAGTGGTTTTATTACTTATACTCCTTATTTGGGAAATAAAATATATTTCTTCATTTTATATTTTCTATGGTACCTAATACAGTGCTAAGGAGCTGGAGGAACATAATAAATGTTTGCTGAGTGAAAAATGTAATCAATTCATTATCATTTGTATACTCATTAATCTTACTTTCTATTATTTTTCAAACAATACGTCACAGGCACAAAGTTGAGTATTTTCACATATGCTACCTTAGTTAATCCTTAACACTAAATTTACATGAAGCAAAGTCATATCTATCACTTTGGCTAGTCACTAGGAGTCTCAGCTTTAAAAAAAAAAACAAAGAAACAAAAAAAACCAAAAAACTGTTTGTTGGGAGGGAAAACAGGTTGAAACAAAAAGATTTTTTAACATAAGTATATATTTTATTATATTACACATGTCCCCAAAAGCTGAATTCTAGCTAACAGAAAGCACGTCTAAACATGTTATTTTTACAGGAGGTTCTATGATACTGTCATCCAACTTTAGTTATGAAATAGGTACACAGGTGTTGATTACACAATTCTCCCTTCTTTTGTGTAGGCTCAAAACTCTCCATGATAAATTTTTAAAAGGAGATGGTCCTGAGAAATATGATAGCTGCCAGGCCCAGTGAAAAAAAGAAATGGCCAGTGAAAATTTCCTTGCAGTGAGAATGGCTGAGAACTTTGGCATAGTGATGCATAATATTCATTTCCAGCTGTCTGCTATTCTGCTCTGGTATTTCACAGCTACCTCTAATGCACTCCTTTGCCATTCATTGTACCTCTGGCTCTATCTACCCTTGAGATTTTGATGAAATACTTATCTTCATAAAGCTCTTAATTATTTTTCATCCAATTTTACCCTTTAGTAAAATTCTATTAAAATAAAACAAATCTTGAAAACAACAAAACTCAAAGAAGACTTCCTGCTTTCCCATCTAAAAACAGGCCTTTAGCCTTCTCTCATGGCACTTAGAATATGTCTCACCAGCAACGGGCTCACGGAATACTTGTCTTAGTCACCCACTGGACTGTCTTAGACTCCTCTACCTCCTCTCTGCTCTCTAACATCAGCTTGCATACAACTGATTCCTTAACATCTGTATAGCCAGGGGCAGTGGTTCATGCCTATAATCCAAGCCCTTTGGGAGGCTGAGGCAGGAAGATTGCTTGAGCCCAGGAGTTCAAGACCAGCCTGGGTAACATGACAAAACCCAGTCTCTAAACAAAATACAAAAAATTAGCAGGGCATGGTGGCATGTGCCTATAGACCTAGCTACTTGAGAGGCTGAGGTAGGAGGATCGCTTGAGCCAGGGAGGTCAAGGCTGCAGTGAGCCATGATCACACCACTGCACTCCAGCCTGAGTGACAGAGTGAGACCCCATCTCAAAAAAAGAAAAAAAAGAAAAAGAAAAAAAATCTGTATAACTGATTGATGGGGCTTGGGGTAGATAACTTCTAAGTTCCTCCCAGTTCTAAAATTCTGCATTTCTGATGACTAATGGTTGGTCAATATACCTCTCAGTGTCACACAAGAAGGATCGAGTAAGTGAAGATATAAGTAGCCTTCCATCCAAATAATCTAACTGTACAACACAGGAGTCAACAGTTGTGATTGTCTGAACAGGAAACATCACAAAAGCAGCAGCTGCCTAAAAGGAATGTGAGAAAGAAATAAAGTTTATTTAATCATAACATACACATGCAATCTCTTCCTCTTTACCTTGTAAATGAAAATAACTTGAATAGCAAAATAAAATTTTCAAATAAGCCAAAACTTAATTTGCTTGTAAGGATATCAAAGTTTTAGTCACTTAAAAGTTGTATTAAATAATCTGGTACGTAACTGCAGAAGAGATTTCTCAAGGATCTGTTTGTGATTATCTAATCTTAGAGGTTAGAACGAAAAAGATGAAGCAAGGTTTAGAACATGTTAGTCAGGCATGGTAGCACACATCCATAATCCCAGCTACTTGGGAGGCTGAGGCAGAAGAACTGCTTGAGCCTAGGAGCTTGAGGCTGCAGTGAGCTAAGATCATGCTACTATATGCCAGCCTGGGCAACAGAAGAAGAACCTGTCTCTAGATAAATAAAGTTTTGGAGTATGTGAAAGAATTTTTCACCTGTAGATAGCACTTCTCCCTTTTAGAAAAAGACAAAATAAGTTTACTAGGGTTTCTATATTTTAGGTCCAAAATATATTAAGAATCAATTGATAACGTTGATAGGTCATGACGGCAAACCAGAAAAATATTCTGATGTGTTCATTAAAATAAAATAATTTAGCCAATAGCCAGGCGCAGTGGCTCATGTCTGTAATCCCAGCACTTTGCGAGGGCAAGGTGATTGGATCACTTGAGCCCAGGAGTCCGAGACCAGCCTGGGCAACATGGCGAAACCCTGTCTCTACAAAAGTTTTTAAAAATTAGCCAGGCGTGGTGATGCATGCCAGTAGTCCCAGCTACTCAGGAGGTTTGAGGTGAGAGGATTGCTTCAGCCTGGGCAATCAAGACTGCAGTGAGCCATGATCTCACCACTGTACTTCTGCCTGAGTGACAGAGCAAGAACCTGTCTCAAAATAAAATAAAATAAATTTAGCCAATAGTAGTTAGAGCCTTTCTTTTCTGCCAGGATCCTAAATAGAAATAAGCCAATGCAAGACAAATCCCTCTACTTCTGATGTAATGGTCGTGGAGGAGCAGGACAATGAGAAGCTGGTCTATTCTGTCTTAATGACAGACTGGAGCATTCTGTTAGGGTAACCTGAGTCTCAACCCTTCTACTTAGCCATAACTGCAGCAAGAAGCCTGAGGACCTGCAGAGCAGAGCAAAGCCAGAAGGTGTCTTCAAGATTCCATTCAAAATAAGTTATATCCATCCTGATAAAAAATATTCCTAGACCTATGAGTTTCTTCTACACAAGAAGCAGAGAAGACCAGAAGCCTGGGCAATTGGTGTCATTTCTATGTTTGTCACTTTATTCACACCAATAATAAATAGATATCTTTTCTTTCTTAATAGCCTTATACTAAAGAATGCTTTAAATGAGCCATGCAGGTGAATCAGGAAGGACTGCAATAGATAATGTGCAAAGTACTGAAGTTAGTTCACAAAAGCCATTCTGTAACGGTATTGAGCTAACAGGCCACCGTGTGTACTATATAAAAACAGGTCTCCTCAAAATCTCCAGGTTTGGACTCCGGATTAGTCTCCCAAGAAATACAGTAGATAAAATCACATCCTTTAATTGGAAGTTTTATAAGACAACACCTTGTATCTCACTACATACACAAAGAATGGGACTGCTTCTCACCTTTGCTTGTTTAGAAGTATTGAGTTTGATAGCAGAAACCTTCCCAGCATGATCACCTACAAAAACTCTAAGAATAGCTGTATCCCAGCAGAGAGCTGTGACTCTTCGGCCTTTGTGTTCTGAAGACACATACATTTGTTCCGGTTTCCCACGACGCTCTTGATTTAATTCCCAAACAACCACAAGACCTTGACTGCAAGAATTGAGTCACAGAGGCAAACGTGGCAACAGTGAACAAGGTACAATTTTGTTGCATCACAGTATCAACTATATCAAATACATATGCAACTCTTGTTCTTCAGAAAAGAGGAAGTATTATAAAAAGTCAAGGTATTAATTTCCTTGTTTTAGTCACCAAACCAGTTTAATAGGAGAAGTTAAATGATCTAAATTATCTCTGTTCCCTTTATCTTTTAAGGCCTTTGAAATGTTGTAACCTTAAATTAGCATTTTCTACAAATACTAGGATGACCAGCTGTCCATTCTGGTTTGCTGGGTACTGAGAGATTTCCTGAGACACAGGAGTTTCACTGTTAAAACCGGGACAATCCTAGGCAAACCAGGATGGTTGGTCACCCTAACAAACACATGTGTCAATTTAAAATGCATTTGAAAAAGGACAGATAGTTTTGGAACAGATTCTTACCTGGTAGCTACAGCAACATAATCATCATCATGTAAACAACAGGCGACTTGAGAAATTGCACCTTCCTAGAGCACAAAAGAAAATACATTTTTTAAATCTCAAGTTTTACATTATTATTATTATTATTTTTTTTTTTTTTTTTGAGACTGAGTCTCGCTCTGTTGCCCAGGCTGGGGAGCAATGGTGCGATCTCGGCTCACTGCAACCTCCACTTCCTGGGTTCAAGCGATTCTCCTGCCTCCGCCTCCCAAGTAGCTGGGATTACAGGCACTCACCACCACGCCCAGCTAATTTTTGTGTTTTTAGTGGAGACGGGGTTTCACCATGTTGGCCAGGCTGGTCTCCAACTCCTGACCTCAGGTAATCCATCCGCCTTGGCCTCCCAAAATGCTGGGATTACAGGCGTGAGACACCGCACCAAGCCAAGTTCTACATTCTTTTATTCCAAATGATTATTTATATTGGAGAAATTTGCATTTATGAAAGAGACTCCAAATGGTGTATGACAGAGCTGCCCTTAATCTTACCCTGTGTGAAAGAAAAAGCCTGTGCTTCCAGCCTTCTTTCTGAATGAGATGGAGTCCTCCTCCTGAACTGCCCAAAGCCAACCATTTCCGAGACACAGCTATGCTCGTGCACTAAAAACATGTGAAGAGAAGTGTGAGATAATCACAGCTACTTAACCAAATAGACTATCCACTGAAAATAAATACTGAGGATTTATGCATCAGGCTCCTTCCCTCACTTTACCCTCTGCCCATATGGACACAATATGACACTTATTCTCTAGTTCTAGAATAGTAAAAAATACTGAAGAAAGAACATTTTGTTTTTAAACTTCTAAATGAATCTCACAAAGGCTGAATAGGCTCCATTGTATGAGTAATTTTCCCTTGGCAAACGCTGGCTGTTAAGACTTCATATTTTGTGTAATTTGGCTAGGTCATTCCAATGCTGACTACAACAATGGAAGACCAAGGAAGTTACCAGAAGATAAAGCAACCAGGTTAAATATTCGTTCATTTAAATCATTTCTAATCTGTACAAACACCACAAAACATCCACAAGTCTTAGGGTAGGTGAGACTCCATCAGAGAATGCAGTGGTCATGCCGTGCCCAATACCCCGTGGTAAAAGTTATTAGTTGATTGACTAAGAGACATTCCCAATCTTCTTCAATTTTGTTGCTTTTCACCATAGAAGTTGGAAAACCTAAATATTCACCTTCCCAGTTCCCTAGTTGCCAAGGGTTGTCATGTAACTCAATTCTAGCTAATAAGACCAAGGCTGCTGAGGCCTTGATGAAAGATGAAAGGCAGAGCCTGTAGAAAGCCTTTGCCCTTTGCCCCCACTTTCTTGAGATGTTAATGAGAACAGTAAGACTGGAGACAGGACACATATTGCAAAAGCAGCTAAAAGCTAACATATGTGCAATGGTAGAACAGGAAAAATGGGAGCCAGTTATATCATTGGGCCACTACACTAAACCCAGAACACTAACCTCCTATGAGATTATAAACATCTTTACCACGTAAGCTCCTATTAATATGTTACACCATACTGTAATTTGCAGCTGAAAAAATGTCTAACTGATATCAAGCCTCAAAATTGTTACTCATATTACTGTCTATCACTTCCTATTTTCCCTTTCCTCAGATGCTAGTATCTCCTTTAGGGCAGTAGCAAAAGTATAAAAATGAAATTACTTTGGTACTGGTTATGAAACTTTGTTTTTTACCACATCATTCCTGAGTTTAATCAAAATAACTCAGAGATTGAAGGAAGTACATAGTTCTTTGAATTCCAAGGACAATCAAAACACATACTTATTGAGGGAAAAAAAAAAATAGCTCAGGGCAGTCTGAGCTATGTGAAGTATGCAGGCCCAGACAGAAATGAATATGAGATATCAGTCATGCACCCACTCTCTGCACCCACGCCTGGGGGCAATTGTTTAAAGTAATTTTGTCACTGACTAGCTGTCTCACCTGTTACCTTCATGTCACTGAAATCTGTGATACAAAGAACAATGTATAGCCAATCAATAGTTTTTGTTATTTTAATATGAGTTTTTGCTAAACAACTCAGAATCTGCCTCTTCTTTTCCTTTAAAAATCCACTTGGGCTGGACAAGGTGGCTCATGCCTATAATCCCAACATTTTGGGAGGTCAGGATGTCGAGACCAGCCTGGGCAACAGAATAAGACTCCAGCCCTAATTTAAACATTTTTATTTTTAAGAAATCCAGGCCAGGCGCAGTGGCTCACGCCTGTAATCCCAACACTTTGGGAGGCCAAGGTGGGCGGATCACGAGGTTAGGAGATCGAGACCATCCTGGCCAATAAAGTGAAACCCCGTCTCTACTAAAAATACAAAAATTAGCTGGGTGTGGCAGTGCGTGCCTGTAATCCCAGCTACTTGGGAGGCTGAGGCAGTAGAATCACTTGAACCCAGGAAGTGGAGGTTGCAGTGAGCCAAGATTGCGCCACTGAACTCCAGCCTGGTGACAGAGCTAGACTCCGTCTCAAAAAAAAAAAAAAAGGCCGGGTGCGGTGGCTCATGCCTGTAATTCCAGCACTTTGGGAGGCCAAGGCAGAAGGACTCACTGAGCCCAGGAGTTTGAGACCAGCTACAGCAACATAATGAAACCCTATCTCTAAAAAATATATAAAAATTAGGCAGGCCATGTGGTGTGGTACATGCCTGTAGTCCCAGCTACTTGAGAGGCTGAGGCAAGAAGACTGCCTGACGCCAGTTCAAGGCTACAGTGCACTGCAGTGTGCTATGACTCAGCTATGATGCCTGTGAATAGCCACTGCACTCCAGCTTGGGCAACATAGTAAGACCGCATCCCCCCTCCCCCGACCAGCCGTCTCAAAAAATAATCCACCCAGCACTTTGGGAGGCCGAGGCGGGCGGATTACTTGAGGCCAGGTGTTCAAGACAAGCCTGGCCAACATGGCAAAACCCCGTCTCCACTAAAAATTCAAAAATTAGCCAGGCATGATGGTACACACCTGTAATCCTAGCCTCTCTGGTGGCTGAGGCATGAGAATCACTTGAACCCGGGAGGCAGAGTTTGCAGAGAGCTGAGATGGTGCCACTGTACTCCATCCTGGGCAACAGAGCAAGACTACATCTCAAAAATAAATAAATAAATAAATAAATAAATAAATAATCCACTTGTAACTGCTGCTAATCAAAGTGTATATTTAAAGCAACTTTTATCTATGTTCCCAGGTTGTAATCCTCAAGCTTGGCCCTAATAAACTGTCTGCTTATATTATTTTCGCCTTTGTCTGTTTTGTTTTCTGGGTTTTTTTATTCCTTTTGAGATAGGGTCTTGCTGTGTCACCCAGGCTGGAATGCAGTGGAGCTATCACAGCTCACTGTAGCCTCAACCTCCCTGGCTCAAGCAATGCTCCCAACTCAGCCTTCTGAGTAGCTGGGACCACAGATACCCACCACCACGTCCAGCTGATTTTTGTATTTTTTGTAAAGATGGGGTTTTGCCATATTTCCCAAGCGGTCTCAAACTCCTGAGCTCAACCAATCCTCCCACTTCTGCCTCCTAAATTGCTGGGATTACAGGCATGAGCCACCAAGCCAGGGCAGCTTCTTCCTCTTAGCTTCTTCCTCTTAGGTCGACATTCTGCCCAGAGCTAACTAACTTTTGCTTTTCTCCCTAAAACGAGGGTTACACCAGACTCCCTGTTTTGGAATGACCTTAGTATAACTACATGTTATTCAAAATGTAAAGGGGTTATTGGGGCTCAGCAACCAATACCCCAAAATAGGGAGCTTTGACATGCTGACAGTTCTTAGAAGCTGCCTCAAAACCAAAGTCCCTTTAACCTTGTCTCGTTTCCACCTCTCCACCAAGCACAGAGTGGGACTCTCTCCAGAGGAATTTCCTTATCTGACCAAGAAAGCTTCTTTCCAAAGTGGGCCAGGCTCAATGGCTCATGCCTGTAATCCCAGCACTTTGGGAGGAGGCAAGAGGATTGTCTGAGGCTAGGAGTTTGGGACGAGCCTGGCCAACATGGTGAAACTCTGTCTCTACGAAAAACACAAAAATTAGCCGGGCGTGGTGGCAGGTGCCTGTAATCCCAGCTACTCTGGAGGCTGAGGCACAAGACTCACTTGAACCCAGGAAGTGGAGGTTGCAGTAAGCCAAGATCGTGCCACTGCACTCCAGCCTAGGCAAGGGAGTGAAACTCTATCTTAAAAAAAAAAAAATAGAAAGAAAGAAAGAAAGAAAAAGAAAGCTTCCTTCCAAAAGAAATGCAATTGTCCTAAACCCTTTCCCTAAGGATCTCATCAAATAACCAGGAAAAATCAACAGACCGGGAGTCATCATCATGCCCAGATAGACTTTTCATTTATTCTTCTGAAGGTAGCTCCAAGAGTTTATCTGGGGGATTTTACCTGCATAAGTCAGATTGTTCCTATGCAGCTCCATCCCTCACCTTCCCATGTCTGCCTCCCACTTGCTAGGTCTATTCATTCTCCATAATGATTTATTGCCACTCAAAACAATCATCTACATTCTCCATATCCCCACTTCCCTATGAAAGAGGGTACACACAGCCAGGCATGGTGGCTCCCTCCTGTTATCCCAGTGCTTTAGGGAAGCCAAAGGCCAAGGCACATGATTGCTTGAGGCCAGGAGTTCGATGTTATCATGAGCTATGGTCTCACCACTGTACTCCAGCCTGGGCAACATAGCAAGACCCCATCTCTACAAAAACTTTAAAAATTAGCCTGGCATGGTATCGAGTATGTTTAGTCCCAGCTGCTCAGGAGGATGAGGCAAGAGAATTACTTGAACCCAGGAGTTTGAGGTTACAGTGAGCTAGGATCTCCCCATTGCACTTAGGCCTGAGCAACAGAGACAACCTGTTTCAAAAGAAGAAAAAAAAAAGAAAGAAAAGAAAATAAGATTTTATATGCCTTTTCTCCTATTAATCTTATTTTTAGTAGCTGATTTTTAGCAAACCTTCAGAAGATGAAGAGACAGTTTTCTCTTGGTCTTTGTGAGATATACTCATTTATACCATTTTATTTTCAATCAAATATATTACTTTCTGAGAGAAGACAGCAAGAACACTAACGGGGAAAAATGAAGCAAGTCAGTATCATGGTTTCCAGGGATGGTAAATTAGAATTCAAAAGATAGCTCAAAAAATAAATCAAGAAAGAGCTATGAAAATTATACCTCTATGTAAAGTGTCAACCTAAAAGGAAGAAGTTGAGGCCAAATTAACATTGACTTTATTTGGGCCAAGGTTGAGGATGCAGCCTAGGACAAACTTCCAAGTTGCCTTGGGGAATGCTCTGGAAAACAAGAAACTCAAGTTTTCAGAAGAGGCTGTTTGTCAGGAATTCTCATTGGCTTACAGCAATAACATTGATTAGTGATTGGCTATACACTTTTGAACTATGAAGTGTACTGCATTTTATCACTACTTGGTGTCAGTTAGTCTAGTGCCCACATAGCAAGTAGCTTCAAGAGGTAATTAATTAGCTCAAACAAAAGTGATAAAACCTGTAATCCCAGCACTTTGGGAGGCCGAGGCGGGCAGATCACGAGGTCAGGAGATCGAGACCATCCTGGCTAACATGGTGAAACCCCGTCTCTACTAAAAATACAAAAAATTAGCCAGACGTGGTGGCGGGCACATGTGGTCCCAGCTACTTGGGAGGCTGAGGCAGGAAAACGGTGTGAACCCGGGAGGCGGAGCATGCAGTGAGCTGAGATCACACCACTGTACTCCAGCCTGGGCAACAGAGCGAGACTCCGTCTCAAAAAAAAAAAAAGAGTGATAAGAGACTACTGTTTCATTCCAATGCTTCTCCGGGCCTGATAAATTTTTTTTTTTTTTTTTTGAGAGAGTCTTACTCTGTTGCCCAGGCTACAGTGCAGTGGCATGACCTCGACTCACTGCAACCTCCACCTCCCGGGTTCAAGTGATTCTCGTGCCTCAGCCTCCCGAGTACCTGGGATTACAGGCGCGTGCCACCTTGCCCGGCTAATTTTTGTATTTTTAGTAGAGACAAAGTTTCACCATGTTGGCCAGGCTGGTCTTGAACTCCTTGCCTCAAGTGATCCACCCACCTCAGCCTCCCAAAGTGCTGGAATTACAGGTGTGAGCCACCACGCCCAGCCTGGGCCTGATAATTTAAAGGGGCTCACACTCCTCAGATAAAAAGTTTATTTTCTTCTTTTTTTTCCCCCACAAAAGTATGACTAGGACAGGTAAGAACACCCAAGATTCCACAAAACGTTAAGGAACTGGAGGGTAGGGGCACAGTAACAGAGAGCACGTGAAAATGAAACTGATACAAGGATCAAGAAATTCACCTTTAGACGACTGGAGTCCAGCCGCAGGGCTGAGAGTAATGGATCCAGAGATTCAAACTCTGCAAGAACATGGCTGTAGGACTCTGGTATCACTGGCACAAAAGCCATTTAGCCAGAAAGCTGAAACTTGTTGAATGATAGATACAGTATTCCTCACCTGAATAAAATCCACAAAAATATAATTTAAGAAGCCCACCATTCATTTAACATGCATTTAACAAATATGTGGGGAACATAGAGAAACATGAGAAAGTCCCCACTATACAGGGACTTAGAAAGAAAACACATAAGGTAACATCGTATGCCACAGTGTGTTTACATTGTGTCATTCCCTGACTCTAAAACTCCCAGAGTAGCAGGTACGGATTCTCAGGGCCCTCCATAAGCCTATCCCCCTGTATTATCTAACAGTGTGAGTAAACAGAATAGGTAGAGTAGGATTTAGGAAAATTGGCATATCACCCTGAGTTAAAACAGCAACCTTGCTGCTGCATTTCTATGAATACTAAATCTTCTGTCTTTAGGAGTCTCTCATTAAAACGCAATCTTCTGTAAAGGCCTCAACTTATTAACTGTTATCAGCAAACCCTACAGTTATCAGCTAACAATTTAACAGTGGTTTATAGGAATAGGCCACTAGACTTCTCTCTTCAACCGAGCAGGGGCTTAGTAAGTATGGTGAATGAATGAACAGATCTACTAAGTGAGAAGGTACAGGGAATTAGAGCACAAAGAAAAATAAGCGCTTCAACAAAAGAGACTAGATAGGACAGAATACGGATAAGAATACAAGGTAACAAATGCCAAATAACCAGTGAGGACTTTGTAAAGTAACACGAAAGTTTTTATGTGTTCACCTACTCTCAAATGCACTTTTTTGTCAACTTGCACCAATCTCCAGAAAAAAAGAAAAGAAAATTCTACTCATTAATTATAACTTTTCTCAATCACTTGTTACCTGCCAAATTTAGAAAGCCAATGAATACAACAGAAAAAGTCATGAACTGTTTATACATTCTTGTTGTTTGTTCATGCTTTACGTTTTTGACTTTTTTTCCAGAAACATATATATTCCATCACTCATTTATTCAACAAATTTGTACTGAGCACCCACCTACGTGCCAGACATTATTCTAGGTCCTGGAGATGATAAAGTTCTAACCCTCATAGAGCATACTTTCTAGTGGCAAAACGAAGACTATATTTTTTATTGCACACACATAACACAATCTTATTTTCTGCTAGTAACACTGTTCCTAATACACCTTGACCTCTGCAAGGAGAATGTTCAGGAAAAAAAAAAAGAAAAAACCCAGAAAGAAACTTTCACATGCCTGTACTCAAAATATTTGAGAATTATTGACCTAAGAAAATCTTCCCTCATTGTTTTCACTCATTCATTTCATTGAGTACCTAGTAAAGTACCAGGCACAGTGGTAAAAATAAGACAAGTAAAATAATTCCAGAAGTCAGTCAGTTTATAATACGGAGGAAAAGACAAATACCACACACACACACACACACACACACACACACACACACACATCTTATAAGGGAAACATAAGCAAACTGCTTTGTTAGAACTTTACAGGACAGAGGGATCACATTGAATTAAAGGGAACTGAAGAAAACGCTCTAAGGAAAGTAGTACTGATGCTGACTAGGCTTTTATCTCAAGGAAAAGGGAAAGGGTAGCAGGTAGGGTAGCAATAAGCAAATATATAGAGAAGAAAAAAATGCAGAATATACTAGAAGAATACAAATTTAGTCTTTGGTTGAAACAGGATACAAGCAACGGAATAATGAAAGATAAAGCTGGAATCTTAATTTGGGCCCAAGTTACAAAACACTTTGAATTTCAAACCAAAGAACCTGAACTTAACTTGGCAGGCAACAGAAAGGAATTGAAGAATTGTGTGTTGGGAGGTCACACAATTTCTGTAAAGTGCTGTGGGTGGTTAGATGCTAGAAAACAAAGACTTGAGAAAACGGGTGGGTGATATGAAAATGAGGATAAAACATTTCAATTACTCAAGAAGTCTGGTGGAAAAGGAGAAAACCTCTCTTGACGTTATTATTGGGGAGACTCTTCAACAGATTTGTAGGTAGTAGCTAAAAGTAGAGTCTAGAACGAAAGGGACTGAAGATTCAAGAAAAAGATAAAACCATGGTACAGGATCCAAGAGATGGAAAGGAATGATAATATCATAGTGTCTCTTCTACTTGTGATCTTGAAACAAAGAAACTCTGAGTAGGTCATTTTGCCTTAATCTCGGTAAAAAGAGAATGTCCTGGAAGTTATAATATAATGCGGGGGTGTGCAGGGGGACACACCTAGTAAGTTCTACTGAAAAGAAAAAAAGAATTTAACAGAAATGAGAATGGAAAATAAAAACAGCATAAGCAATGCCAATTCTCAGAGAAGCTGCTGAATGACAGTGTTAAACCAACTTCAACTTTATACTTTATGTTTACTCTCCCTGAAATGACTGCTTCCCTTCCAGATTTTCTTATCCAAACATACCCAGCTTTCAAGATCGCACATGAGCCCTACTTCCTAGAATTCTCAAGATGGAAAAAGATTCATAGGTAATTCAGTGAACATGTCCACCTAATTCAGAAATTAGTTTTGCCCTAGATCCCTGAACATTTTCAGCCATGGAAAGAAAGCACTCACTCTCATGAAGCTGCCAATTCCAGTCCTCCAAAGGGCTCACTATTATAAGGTTCTTTTTAATACTATGCTGAAGCCTGATCACTTAGAGCTCTACCATTATTCCTAATTGTATGTAGCTTCTACAGCTGAAGGGAACAAGCTGTCTCTTTCCAAAACAATCCTTCTGTATTTGAAAAGCATTATCAGGTCTTCTAAAAATTTAACATTCCCAGTTTCTTCATCACTCCTGACATGACATTTTCCAACCCTCTGTTCCAGTCAACCTTCTACAGAGGCACTGTAGTTTGCCTAAAAATGAGGTGCCTAGAACTGAGCATAATACTCCTTAAGTAGTTAGATGAGCCCAGAATAGAGTAGAAACACTAACTTCCTGGATCTAGACACTAAGTTTCTATATTACAACCTAAAAACAGTATTAGTTGTGTTTAAGTGGCCATGTTACACATTGATTCAACAGAGCAAGTGGTCAACTAAAACCCAAAGAAATTGTTTACATAAATAAAATCTTCTTAGCCAGTAGCTACATACAGTAGAACTGAGCTCAAATTGAAAGCTGCTATTAATCAAATGCAACAATGGATATAAAAAGTACCTAGAAATGTACAAACAGTATAAAGAGGAACAGCAGAATGCTGATAATTGTTCAAGTTGCGTTAAGTGTACATGAGGGTTCAATTTATTATCCTACTTTTGTCTGCGTTTGAAATTTTCCACAATAAAATTTAAAAAATATATACATAATATTGTACAAGCCTTCAACAGCTCTATTTCTTGAAAATCTGTTATCTCCTCCCTGCTTCTTTTTCCAGCCTTATTTCCCATCTTAACCTCTCTATTCTCCAACTACATTGGACTCGACTCTTTTTTTCTTTTTCATTCCATAAACTTGCTGTGCCTCCATGGTTTAATATATGATGTTTATGGAATCTTCCCCCATTTACCAAAACCCTACCTTTCTGCAAAGCTGAGTTTAAATGTTACTTCTGTGAAGGCACTCTACCAAAAACTAAGAACATAGAAGTTGGCGACAAATGCTTAACCAAAGTAAATGAAACAACTTTTGGGAGACTGGCTTGCCCAAGGATCACAGAGTTCATAAATGGTAGAGCTGAGATTAGAATACGCGTCTCCTGAATCCAAATCTCATCTTTCCATTATCGTAAAATAGTTCAGTGTTTGTTGCTCACACATCAAATGCAAACATGTTTCTCTTTTGCCCCAGTAGGTGCGTGGAGGAAGAGGAGAAAGAAGTAAGAAAGATAGCAAAAATTGAAGAAATGAGAAGGGGAAGTTGCAGACTGCCTCATTTTCACAATGGGATCTTTCTATCCAAGAAGAAATGATCAGAAAACAACTCTCTGCCTCAGACAAATGGCGACTGACTCATTTATACATTCATTCATTCAACATTCTGAGTGCCTACTATGTTCCAGGACCTGAACACACCGCTAGAGACACAGGGATGAACAAAACACAATCCCTACCCACAAAAAGCTCCTTGCCTAGTGGAACTACTACCTTTTTAACAGCAGTAACTTTAATATCTTGAGATTTCTTGAGAGGAGACCCAGTAACCAATTTTCAAAGCCAGGCTCACAGACCAGCAGCCCGGAGGTCCCAGCCCAGCTCCACCACATCCAGGGCAGTACCTCGCAGCTCTCAGTAGATCGGATCTTGTCTCCCGGCTTAGCGCCGGGGAACTCACCGCGCACTAAGAGCGGAACGTGAACTTCAGTCTCCCCTCGCGTTCCTCCCCTTCCTTGCTGACGTCATCCAGGAGAGCCGCAGACTGGAAACAACGCTACTAACGGCACTTCCTCATCACGTGACGAGTCACGCCCCTCCTTCCGCGTGGTCCCTCCCCCTCAGGCCGCGGTCGCGATTACGCTCTCTACGGCCTGCGACCGCAGGGCCGTTGCGGGCTGGAGACACGGCGCCGACTGGAACCGGAGGAGCTCTAGGCCAAATGGTTGGGCCAGCCAGGATCCCAGGACCCTTCGCCGCTCGAGACCGGAGAGAGGAAACGAAACAGGCGGGAACCCGTGGGGGAGGGAGGGAACTAGCGGAAGGTGTCATGGCGGCCGCGCTCTTGAGTCACGTGCCCAGGGCCCGCCTTGCTACTTCCGGTCACGTGCCCTCAGACTCCTCGCAGCCAGCGATGGAGGCGAGACCCCCTAGTAACAGAGGCGGTGGCTACTGCTGCGGCCACTGGGTTTCGGCCTCTTCCCAGCAGCGGCTCTAAGAAGCGCAGCGGAACTCGACCGGATCCAACCCAGTTAGTTACTTCCTGTCTAGAGTTGTAGCTTCCACCTGGTAAGTTTAGACCGAAGAATGCAGGCGGGCGGGTGGGTGGGCGGGTGAGGAGCTGACAGGCCTGGGGGCCGCTGGACGGCGTGGATTCTACCCCTGTTCCCAGCGTCGCTGTCGCCGTCCTCCCAACGCCCAAGCCTGGCGTCTTGTTTGCCCTTATCCCGAGGCGAGGAAGAGGCGACCCCTAATCTACTTGTCTAAAGGAAACCTGCTCTTAAATTGAGAGCAGGTTTACCCAAAGCCAGGATCAGATTTGGCTTATGAGAATGAAGTGGAGGCCTCTCCCAGACAGAGAAGCCCTTCCCGTCAGGAAATGTGCTGTTGAGTCTGGGATTCTGTAAGAGAAAAGCTGTCACCTTGTTGTCTGCACACCTTTTGCTTCCACCTGTCAATCTTACCTCTCTTAAAAACCTTAACACGTGCCAGTCCACACACTCCTAGTTTTGGTCATTTGATTGTCGTGTAATGATGAAAAATAGACCATGAGTACCTGGATATATGTAATTATTTTGTAAATCCCCCAGTGTTCTCAAAGGCCAAATTAAATAAGGAGGTGACTTTTCTTATTTTTTTTTAAGAGACAGAGTCTTGTTCTGTCGTCCTGGCTGGAATGCAGTGGCGTGATAATAGCTCACTGTAACCTCGAATTCCTGGGCTCAAGCGATTCTCCTGCCTAGACCTCCCAAAGCGCCAGAATTATGCTACAGTGCCTGGCCCCAAATGACTCCTAAACTCCAATTTTAGCATCAGTAAAATGGGGATGGGGAAAGAAGATATGAAAAATACACCCTTTGTCCATTTGAAGACCCAGTCTTAAAAACAAAAACAAAAAAAAAACTGAGTGGTTTGAATGAAATGTGCTTTGCAGTGAGTATTGACTCCATACAAACCAATATCCAGACTTGTGATTTTCAAACATTTTAAAGGAGTGGAACAATTTCTCCCCATGAATTTTTATCTGGAACCCAATATATAAAGCAGCATGCTCTGGTGGAACTAAATTTAAAAGGGCCAGGCCCCACCACCCCACTTAACTTCTATCCTAGAGGCCACTCCTTGGAACACAGTTTGAAAACCACTGAACTGGACTTAGGTAATTAAGCCAAAGTTGCCAACCTTAAGATTTTTTAAAAGACAAAACCAGAGCAGTTGAGATGGAGAGGTCACAACCGCAGGGAAGGTAACCTCTAGTAGCAGGCCTTGGACTTAGAGAAGGACTAAACTCTGGAGAGAACTTTGTACCTGTTAGCAGGCTTAAGTCCCTCATTCAGAAAGGAGAAAAAAGAGATGGTCTGCTATCCTCACTCAGCCGACATTTTTTTTTTTTTTTGAGACGGAGTTTTGCTCTTGTTGCCCAGGCTGGAGTGCAATGGCGCGATCTCTGCTCACTGCAACCTCCATCTACCGGGTTCAAGGGCTTCTCCTGCCTCAGCCTCCCCAGCGGCTGGGATCACAGGCGCACGCCACCATGCCTGGCTAATTTTTGTATTTTTGGTAGAGACGGGGTTTCACCATGTTGACCAGGCCATTCAGCCGACTTGTAGCAGTGCAACAGATTGGTAAGTTTGAGTCTCTCTTAGGTGATATAAAATACACATTGCAGTACAAATGTGAAAAAAAATCAAAGCAAATTCAGAGAGGGCTTTTGAAAAATACTAGGAAACTTGGTGCAGTGTGGGAGAAGAATCAGTTAAAAGTAGTGAAGCCAGCGACCAGCACCAGTCCTGGGTTGTGAATGCTTCCTGTGTGTACTGCCCTCAAGGCTTGTAACTTCTCCCTGCTGGTACCATGTGTCCTGCCCTCTGATAACCTGCTTCTCTGTGCTATTTTATTCCCTACCATCAGAATGTTGTCTGGCATACCTTGAGCTTTCCTAGCATTTTGGCCACCATTTATCTCTGCCTTATGCATACTGCTGATAGAGATGTCTTTGTGCCCTTCCTTTCTCTTTCCTGCCTTCAGTGTGGCAGTATCAGCCATTGACCTAGTAGTTCCTCTTTTCACCACTTTGATTACCAACTGATTACTCTTCTCTCAATTTTGGTAATATACTCTTGTCAGCATGCAGTATTTATTAATGGATATGAGCATATTTTCTTCTGTCATGCATCTCTGTCGCATTTTCCTCCTGCCTCTTCCCTGCACTGCTGTAAAATGTACAAGTGCTCAGTCCTAAAATTGCCACATCAGTTATTCTCCTTAATATCTTCCTTGTCTGTGAAATTATCCTTAAAACAGTACATTTTGGTCACTCTTTACATACTTATAAAGTTATTCCCTTTAATGCTGAATTGTTCAAACACTTTTGGATTGCTTGATGGCAAGCAGCATTCCAAATCTCCATTTTTGTATGCTGGCAGATATAACAGTGCTCTCTAGTAATCCTTCTTTCAGAAGATTTCTCTTTCACTTGTTGCTCCCTATCTCCTCTCCTCCATTTA
The DNA here is from genome assembly GCF_000001405.40 of Homo sapiens. Taxonomy (NCBI): domain Eukaryota; kingdom Metazoa; phylum Chordata; class Mammalia; order Primates; family Hominidae; genus Homo; species Homo sapiens. The sequence continues at coordinate 18,325,179 of NC_000011.10, forward strand.
TCTCTTGCACATTGGAAAAGGGGATGTAGGTAATGGAAATGCAGAGGTGCAGTAATGTAAAGATTTGTATTCAACCAGTTCATATTCTTCCTTATCACTGTTGCCTTTTAAGAGCAAGATCCAGTTATTAGAATCTGTATGAGAAATGGTACATTGATCTGTGAATTGAAAACTATAGTGGTTCCCGGAGTTTAGGCAAAGATGTATATGCAAAGATTCCTTATTATGTCTTAGCAAGAGATTGTATTCTTTTAACAGCAAGATCTTAAATGATGTCATTGATACTTCTTGGACTCTTCTTATAGGCCAAACACTATATTACTGGGTGCTATATTACAGAGAACCCGACATATATGGCCTCTGCCCTCCCTTATGAAGCTTGCAATCTGTCAGGAGACGTGTACATTAAAAGAATCACATTAAAAATTATGTTGTTGTAAGTGCCATGAAGAAAATAATAGGAGACTTTAGCTGGTAACTTTGAAGCTTAACATAGACTGAAAAAAAAAATGAGTGAAAGTTAGCCAGTTGATGGGAAAGGAAGAGAATGTACAAAGGCTCAGAGCAAGGTATATGAATTTAGATTCGGACAAATACATTTTTAACTGCAAATAAATTAATGCCTTTAATATAGATCTTGCTATTTAAGGAAGTCTTAGACCATTTCATAAGTAAATAGTCTTTTAGTAAAGCGAGATCTTCATTGACCTGATCTGTTTAAATGTAGCCTACACCAATAACTTTCATAAATTTCTATGGCTCTTATAGAGTTCTCCTGGGAAGAAGTGTTTGCCACTCAAGGAATACACTCAAGAAAAACCTGGAAATCACAGAAGGCATTGTAAGATAGCTACAGTGATTCTGTTAAACCTCCTGAAATTGGTCCTTGAACAATTAAGAGGTGCTACAGATGACCAGGAAAATTTACCAGGCAAATTAGCTGTGAGACAATTGACCATTTGTGCCCAATGTTCGGTAATTTATCTCAGATTTATTTTTTAAATTTCCCCATAAATGAATTTTGATATAAATGGTTTTATATGTTATATATAAGAGGTTATGGCTGGGCGTGGTGGCTCACGCCTGTAATCCCAGCACTTTGGGAGGCTGAGGCAGGCAGATCACCCGAGGTCAGGAGTTTGAGACCAGCCTGGCCAACATGGCGAAACCCCATCTCTACCAAATGTAGAAAAATTAGCGAGGTGTGGTGGTGCGTGCCTGTAATCCCACCTATTTGGGAGGCTGAGGCAAGGGAATCGCTTGAATCCGGGAGGTGGAGGTTGCAGTAAGCCGAAATGAGGCCACTGCACTCCAGCCTGGGTGACAGAACAAGACTCCTTCTCAAAAAAAAAAAGGTTATGTTTTTCCCAGTTGCTGTAGTCAGTTCTGTCTCATGATGTATTCTCCACTTTGCAGTTTCTGTCTTCATGCATTTTTTTACCTTCTCAACTCATAAAGGTCTTTGTATTATTTTCCAATACTAACACTTTATTTGTGCCTGTAAGTCCAGTTAATTGGAGACTTGCTCTATCAGCTGTCCTTGCTCACTGCTTTTCTTCCAACTGCTGACATACTTAAAATTATCCTACTTAAGTAGGATAATGAAGTATCAACATACTTAAAATTATTTGCCAACTTCCCCGTCAGATCCTCCCCTCATCTTTCTTAGATTTTAATTCATTTTTCTTAAAACATATGTTTCCTAATTTGTATGGTTTGCAGTCCAGTTTCATATTCTACAGAGTGGGCTTTTTAAAATATGTTCTCTAACTCCCAACCTCAAGTGATCCACCTGCCTCAAAACCTCATCTCTACTAAAAAAAAAATAGAAAAATTAGCTGGGCGTGGTGGCAGATGCCTATAATCCCAGCTACTTGGGAGGTTCTGGCAGAAGAATTGCATAGTTATATGTTTATTGTAAAGAATACTAGAAAATGAATGTTAAAATAAACTATTGAAAATAGAAAACACTGTTTTCAAATTCTCACACTAGCACCCCTAACACTTTCCTGGGTTACCTTTATAAACATTTGGTTTGATAGAGAAGAAACTCTTGGGAAGACTTTTTTTTTTAATAACTGCTCTAGTATAAAATACATAATTATTATAGATCAGAAAAGAGAACATTTAAATCATCTGTATTTTTATCACCCATAGATAATCATTATTAAATTTGGTATCTATCCCTTCATTCGCATATATTTTCAGAGTAACATAGTGAAATTTCAAAGACAGACTGACCCAGATTCAAACCCAGTTCTGCTACTTCCCTGATGGTTTAAGAAAGCCTCTTGATTTCTCAGACCCAGTTTCCTTATCTACAAAATGTAACTAATAATAGAACCTACCTCATGGGATTATTAACTGGGGACTGAGATAATGCCTATAAGAAACTTAGTGCAGAACCTGACACATTATTAAGCATTCAGCAAATTCTAGATGATGGAGAATACTCTGTCACCCAGACTGGAGTGCAGTGGTATCATCACGGCTCCATCTCCCTGGACTCAGGTAATCCTCTCATTTCAGCCTCCCGACTTGCTGGGACTACAGATGTGTACCACCAGGCCCAGCTAATTTTTATAGTTTTTGTAGGGACAGGGTTTTGCTATGTTGCACGGGCTGGTCGCAAACTCCTGGTCTCAGGCAGTCTGTCCGCCTCGGCTTCCTAAAGTGATGAGATTATAGACGTGAGCCACCCTGCCCAGCCTAAATTTTAGATTTTTTTAAATTTAAGAATATGGGGCAGGCCGGGTGTAGTGGCTCACGCCTGTAATCGCAGCACTTTGGGAGACTGAGGCGGGGGATCACTAGGTCAGTTCGAGAGCAGCCTGATAACATGGTGAAACCCCATCTCTACTAAACATACAAAAATTAGCCAGCCATGGTGGCATGTGCCTCTAACCCCTAGTTACTGAGGAGGCTGAGGCAGGAGAATCACTTGAACTGGGGAGGCGGAGGTTGCAGTAAGCCAAGATCGGGCCACTGCACTCCAGCCTGGGTGACAGAGGGAGACTCCATCTCAAAAAAAAAAAAAAAAAAGAATATGGGGCCAGGCACTGTGGCTAACGCCTGTAATCCCAGCACTTTGGGAGGCCGAGGCAGGTGGATCACCTGAGGTCAGGAGTACAAGACCAGCTTGGCCAACATGGCGAAACCCCGTCTCTACTAAAAAATACAAAAATTAGCCGGGCGTGGTGGCAGGAACCTGTAATCCCAGCTACTTGGGGGGCTGAGGCAGGGAGAGTTTCCTGGAACTGGGAGGAGGAGGTTGCAGTGAGCCAAGATCACGCCACTGCACTCCAGCCTGGGTGACAGAGCAAGACTCCATCTCAAAAAAAAAAAAAAAAATTTTATGGAATCATGCCAGGCATGGTGGCTCACACCTGTAATCCCAGCACTTTGGGAGGCTGAGGCGGGCGGATCACTTGCGTCCAGGAGTTCAAGACCAGCCTGGCTAACACGGCGAAACTCCATCTCTACTAAAAATACAAAAAATTAGCCAGGCATGGTGGCACATGCCTGTAGTCCCGGCTACTCTGGAGGCTGAGGCAGGAGAATCGCTTGAACCCGGGAGGCGGAGGTTGCAGTGAGCCGAGATCGCGCCACCGCACTCCTGCCTGGGTGACAGTGAGACTCCATCTCAAAAAAAAAAAAAGAATATGGAATCAAACTACATGCCTTTTTTTTCTGTGTATCTTTTCATGTCATTAAATAGTCTTAAAACAGTTTTTTAAACTTCAAGAAGGGAAAACTCTCAAAGTCTTAAGACATCAAATAAGTCAGTTAAAAGGTGGTATCGTTTATTAAGAATTGTGATCCTTTATCATATTTGATATATGGATATCAAAATGGGATTGTAAGAAAACAAATTCTCAGTGGTGAGTAAAAATCACAAAATAATGGACTTGAATGTATTTTATGATTACATTTGTAAGGTGGGTACAGATAAGGTAAGCACAATTAAAAATGAGGAAAATTGATGTTAGGGTTGTGACATGGAATTTTTTAAATCCCTTTTTAATTAAAAGCAGTCATCTAATCGGGCTTTATTCCAGCGTTTGCAAATGCCTACATAATGCAGACTATCTCCACCTGCATGACTCAGCAGTACCTCACATTCATCATGTCCGGAACTGAATTCCTTATCTTCACTTTCAAATCTGCTCTTCCTTCTCATTAATTTCTGAAAATGGTACCACTGTGCTCATGTCAGTAAGGCTCAGAAATGGGGTATGGGCAAGCAACCATGACGCTTCCTTCAGCACTTTAACAATGTCTGTTCATTCTGCTGCTTCAGTGGTCCTCCTTGTCCCTTCCTCTCCAGTCTCTCCTGCTGCTCACAGATTAATTTCTAAAATACAAATCACTCCCCTATTCAAAAGTCTTCAGAAGTTTTCTGTTGTTTGCCACATGGGGTGGCCTTCTCCACTATATGCCTCCATCTTAACCATCCAACCTCATATCCTACTGATCTCATGAACCTTATGCTATATCCTAAGCAGATTACTCATTCCTAGAGAGTTTCAGTCCACTGCCCCAAACTATTTCCTTTGCCTCTGACACCTGTTTCCCTTTACTTTCTCTGTAGAAGTCGTCTCTTCAAGACCCAATTTATAACCAAACTATGTATTAAACAGAATGAACTGATACATATACAACAATATGGTGGATTTCAAAAAACATGTTAAGCAAAAAACTAGAGACAAAAGGAGTACATACTGTATGATTCCTTTCATATGAAATCCTAGAACAGATAAAAACTAATCTGTGGTGATAGAAATCAGAGTAGTTGCTAGAGGTTGGGGAAAAGAGATTGACCTGAAGGAAACATGAGGGAATGTTCAAGGGTGACTGAAATGTTCTGTCTCTCATTTTGGGTAACTGTAAATGGGTGTGTACTATAGTCAAAACGCATCGAACAGAATGCCTAAGACCTATGTATTTGTTGGTTTGTTAATTATATCTTAGTTTTTTAAAATGGCTTTTTAAAAATTCTGTGGCAAACATTTCTCATGGCTTTCTGAGTGAAGAAACTGCCTCTTGAGTCCTAACTTGGAACATTTTTGTGTCCCTTTTGGGACTTCATGTCGTGGGTAGCAACTGTCTGAAGCTGGTGGCACCAGTAATAAAAAGAATTCACCAAGACAGTTGTAGGTAAAGAAAGGCAGATTTGTTAGAGAAAGTAGGAAAATATGTTGCAAGAAAGCAACGTGCAGATTAGCAAGCGGAGAGCTGACTGCAAGGAGACAAAAGCTTCCAGGGGATTTTATAGGATTGTACTTTTGTTGAAGAGGGCTACATGAAGTACTGCTAACACCAAGGCTGCAGTGAGCTAACTTGCATTTTTCTATCCGCTGAGGTTCTGGTGATAAGTGGGGCACAGGAAGATTGTGAATTATTTGCACGGGAGGGCTATGTGTCCTGGACCATGAAGAAAGGCTGACTTGTAGCTTATCTGCTTTTTCTTTTTGCTTTCCCCTGCTCCCACCAGCCTGACTCCTTTTCCCTAATTAGGAGTCTACACACATTCTAATTAGTATACACTAACAAATAGCACACATATACACACTTGCTCACTGCCCTGGAAGATCTTTGAAAGCAGAAATCAACAGACGTTCATCTTTGGATAGTCCCCAGGCTCCTTGGCTCAGTACAGATTTGTTGGATAAATGTATTCACATTGACCTATTTCCTTTCTGTTCTCGGGATAGAATAGCCTGTAAAGACCTATAAAAGGGGTATCTGACTACTCATACTTGAGATAATCAACTTCAGAGAAAGTAAGGTTTCACTTTTTTCCCTGTATTTTTTATTTCTAACTCATTGTTTGAGCGAATAAGAAGTAATAATTGTTTTAATCCAGTGGTTTGTTTTGTTTTGTTTTGAGGCAGGGTTTCACTTTCATCCCCAGGCTGGAGTACAATGTTGCGATCTCACCTCACTGCAGCCTCTGCCTCCTGGGCTCAAGCGATTCTCCTGATTCTCCCGCTTCAGCATTCCAAGTAGCTGGGACTGCAGGAGCACATCCTTTTGCCCGGCTAATTTTTGTATTTTTTGTGGGAATGGGTTTCACCATGTTGCCCAGACTGGTCTCGAGCTCCTGAGCTCAAGTGATCCACCTGCCACAGCCTCCCAAAGTGCTGGGATTATAGACAGGAGCCACCGTGCCCAGCCATATTTATTAATCTTAAGAGGTGTTGGTTTGCTGGGCGCAGTGGCTCACACCTGTAATCCCAGCACTTTGGGAGGCCAAGGCGGGTGGATCACCTGAGGTCAAGAGTTCGAGACCAGCCTGACCAACATGGAGAAACCCCGTCTCTACCAAAAATACAAAAATAGCCAGGCGTGGTGGCACATGCCTGTAATCCCAGCTGCTCGGGAGGCTGAGGCAGGAGAATCACTTGAACCCAGGAGGCGAAGGTTGTGGTGAGCTGAGATCACACCATTGCATTCCAGCCTGGGCAACAAAAGTGAAACTCCGTCTCAAAAAAAAAGAGGTGATGGTTTAAGTAGTTTTTTGGGGGTTTTTTTTTTGTAACTTTATTACAAGAATTTCTGATTTCTATTGTTTTTAATCCCTGCCGTACTCCCCTTCCTAATACTTATTTTCCCATTATGTTCAAATAGAAGTTCTCAATTATTTTGGAGAACTAATGGCAGATCCAGTATTTCATTGTTCCCATTTTATTTGTTTAGAGACACAGGTCTCACTCAGTCACCCAGGTTGGAGTACGGTGTGGTGATTATAGCTCACTGCCGCCTCAAACTCCTGGGCTCAAGCAATTCTCCCCCTTTGGCCTCCCAAAGTAATTAGACCTATTTTTTGTACAGACGGGGTCTCACTTTGTTGACAAGGCTGATCTCAAACTCTTGGGCTCAAGTGATACCTCCTGCCTTGGCCTCCCAAATTGCGGGGGGTTACAGGTGTAAGCCACATCACTTGGCCTGTTTTCATTAGTTTTAACCCTCAGAAAAATGTTGCGGTAAAGCTTCACTTATTTGCCCAGGGCAAACGTAATTGTTAAATTATATTTTGGCCATTCCTCTGGGGATGAAAACTAAAGTCATAACTTCACCAGAAATGGCATATATGTGGCATTGGTGCCACAACTTTCCCCATCCTGGCCCATGGCAGACAGCACCATCAGTCAGCAGTTTTTCTCACTGAGTCCAGACAGCCACACTCAAGCCTGGAGGATTTGGGTTGGGCATTTAAGATTCTCAGAGGCAGGGGATGGAGGTGGAGGGACCAGACTCTTTCTTAGGTAACTAGTTAGGCATTATACCAATGAATCATGGCCAAGACGTGGAGAGCAGTTGAAGACATTTGAATGTTAAAAGATAAGAAATTAGCATGTGAAGTGTTAAATATTTAGTTCTCTCAGTTTTATTTATACAGAAGAAACAGACCAGAAATCAGGAAACTTTGGTGTGGTTTCAGCTCTGGGAGTGGTTCTGGGAAGTCCCCACATATCTTGCAGACTTTAGTTTCAATTGAAACAAATTTGAACTAAATAATAAATATGACTGTAATTCTACAGTTTTACAATTGTAAATATAGACTATATGAAAGACTACACATTTTCAAATTGTGTGTGTATAAGAATATAACTGAGGAAAATAAATTAATAATACTCATTAGCATATAAGTATTGTATAAATTTACACCTGTGGTATGAGCAAAATGAAATTTAATTGTAGAGGAATGATGCCGTGCAACTTTATCTTCAACTTTGAATGAGAAAAGAGACTTTCTTCTTCCCCGTTAATTTCCTACAGTTTAGATTTTATATTTGAAAGGGACTCTAGAAGTCAACAAATTCAACCCTAATTGATGTGTGGAATAGTTTTTTTCTTCATCTTTTTTTTCTCTCTTAGCACCTTCTAGCCACCATGGCAACCTCATCTGAAGAAGTTTTGCTGATTGTAAAGAAAGTGCGTCAAAAGAAGCAGGATGGAGCTCTGTACCTCATGGCAGAAAGAATTGCTTGGGCACCTGAAGGCAAAGATAGATTTACAATCAGCCATATGTATGCAGATATTAAATGTAAGTCAGCTATACTAAGTTCTGATGTATTTGTATGTCATAGTTGCTAGTAATTTTGTAAAGAGATTATATAAATCTTTATTTTATATCAAAAAATCAACTATGTAGAAATAATTACAAAATGGGGTCACTGAATATATACTGTTTTATAACCTGACCTTTTCACTTAATAACAGAACAGGTACAGGTTTACATATAATATGTAAATCTACCTGACATATAGATCTCCACACACTTTAAGAGTTGCATAATACTCCACTAAATGAATATACAATCATGTATTTAACCAGCCCTCTGTGGTTGGACACTTAGGAAGTTTCCAGAATTTTTTTATTGCAGTGTTTGCACTAATATCATTTCAAGGTTGTATGTGTAGGATACATTTCTGCAAAGAATTTCCTGTTTAATAGTTGATGTGTTTTTTTGTGTTATTGTTGGTAGGGACAGAGTCTTGCTGTGTTGCCCAGGCCGGTCTCAAACTCCTGGCCTCAAGCAACACTCCTGCCTCATCCTCTCAAAGTTCTGGGATTATGTTATAGGCATGCACCACCATGCTTGGCCAGGTTTATGCATTTAAAATGCTGATAGATGATGCCAGATTTTCCTTCACTAAAATTGTACCAGTTAGGCAAGTTGTCTGATCTTTGCTTATGTGGCCATCTTCTGTTGAGAAGACTCAACCTTATAGTGAATGTAGGTGGTGGAATCTCTTTTTATAAATTTCAGGCATGGGCTAGGTGCAATGGCTCACACCTGTAATCCCAGAAGTTTGAGAGGCCAAGGCGAGTGGATCACCTGAGATCAGAAGTTTGAGACCAGCCTGCTCAACATGGTGGAACCCCATTTCTACTAAAAATACAAAAATTAAGGGCCGGGCGCGGTGGCTCACGCCTGTAATCCCAGCACTTTGGGAGGCCGAGGTGGGCGGATCACAAGGTCAGGAGATCGAGACCATCCTGGCTAACACAATGAAACCCCATCTCTACTAAACATACAAAAAAATTCTCTGGGCATGGTGGCGGGCGCCTGTAGTCCCAGCTCCTCGGGAGCCTGAGGCAGGAGAATGGCGTGAACTCAAGAGGCGGAGCTTGCAGTGAGCCAAGATCGCGCCACTGCACTCCAGTCTGGGTGCGAGACTCCTTCTCAAAAAAAGACATATATTTCTGAGAGAATGCCCTACAAATTTCTGTTACTAGCTAATAGCCTTAGCTACTAACATTTCTGTAACAATAGACTTATAAATTAGCAGTATTAGCGTCTCTCTCAAATGGGAAGCTAGCCCCATAGCTTTGTGTAATACACACGCACATTGTGATAACCACAGTGTACAATAAACAGTATGCCCATCTCCAATTTCTCTACAATTCTTCTCAGTTATTGGTGAAAGCAGTGCATACCCAAAACTAGATTTGCACCAGAACAGTTTCAAGTTGAATATTTGAAGGAATGCCCACATCTGAAAGAAGCAATTGAAATTGATTTAGTTCTTATCATAGCTGACAAAGTTACAGAAAATTTTAAAGAATGATACAGTGAAAACCTACGTAATATGCCCCACCTAGATATTAGTTATTATTTTGCCATATTTGCTTTATTATTTGTGTGTGCACTTTTATTGCTTGTAATACCATTATCACACTGAAAACATTTTAATAAAAAATAGCCATTGTTACATTTCCATTGGTTGTCTCAGTAATGTTTATAGTTGTGGTTTTTGGTTTATTTTTTTATTTTTTTATTTTAAAAAAAACGGTATCCAATCTAGGTTCCTGTAGTTGTCATTTCTTTAGTCCCTTTCAGGGTATAGCCTTGTCAAATATCAAACATTCTGAATATTTCTGATTGTCTCCTCAAGGTTTTAATTTATTCCTGTATACCTGTATTTTTTATAAGCTAAAAGTCAGATCTAAAGGCTTGAATATATTCAGCTTAAACATTTTGTGCAAGAGTAATAACATACATAGTGACATTCACTTCCTGTTCCATCACCTCAGAAAGCATATAGTGTCAGGTTGTCTCACTTTTAATGAGGCTAAGTTTGATAACTTTATTAAAGTGGTGACACCAGATTTCTCGAATATAAAATTACATATTTCCCTTGCAAAAAGAAATGCCATGGGCCGCATTTTGCAGTCTTTTGGATCATGATAGGTCATTTTTTATTAATGATAATGTTGATTTGGGGCAGTTTGTTTAAAATACATTCAGGAAGCTTTAAAGAGGTCTGCCCTGCCCTAGTTGAATGGTAACAAAAGCCCATTAATATCTGGAGGTAGTAGCAGTGGGTGAGAAGTGCTGCATGACAAGAGTACCAAAGAAGGAAGCAGAGTGTTAGTGAGTTTGATGAGCATGCTCTGGTTGTATGGGATCATTTAAGAAGAGTGCATTCTACAAAAGCATCAGTATTGGAATAGGGCAGTTAAAGCCCAAAGGAATCCTGAATCATCTTGGGAGAAGTAACTTACTGTATGGTTATTCCCACAGTGTGAGTGTCATCATCTAACTGCCCTCATGCTTCTTTTTAGGCCAGAAAATTAGTCCAGAAGGAAAAGCTAAAATTCAGCTTCAGCTGGTCCTACATGCAGGGGACACAACTAACTTCCATTTTTCCAATGAAAGCACAGCAGTGAAAGAGCGAGATGCAGTAAAAGACCTTCTTCAGCAGCTGCTGCCCAAATTCAAGAGGAAAGCAAATAAAGAACTGGAAGAGAAGAACAGGTGGGAGGAAAAGAATAGCCTTTTGAAAGAGATACTGGGTTCTCTATAGTCTCCTAGTATGCTAATAGCTTGTTAGCTATCCCCACGTTTTTTCGGTTTTGGTTTTGGTTTTTTGTTGTTGTCGTTTTTGTTTTTGTTTTGTTTGTTTGTTTGTTTTGGTGGTGGTGGTTTTTTGTTTGTTTGTTTTTGGATTTTTTTGAGACGGAGTTTCGCTCTGTCGCCTAGGCTGGAGTGCAGTGGCACAATCTTGGCTCGCTGCAACCTCCACCTCCCAGGTTCAAGCAATTCTCCTGTCTCAGCCTCCCGAGTAGCTGGGACTACAGGCATGTGCCACCATGCCCGGCTAATTTTTGTAATTTTAATAGAGACAGGGTTTCACCATGTTGGTCAGGCTGGTCTCGAACTTCCTGACCGCCAGTGATCCACCCACCTCAGCCTCCCAAAGTGCTGGGATTACAGGTATGAGCCACCACGCCCGGCCACCTATCCTCACTTTTGCTATGATACTGTAATGTAGGAAAATATGGGCTCTAGTGTCTTTACCTTGGTGTTTAGTTTTCAGCTTTAAAATCTTACTGCTTGTTTGACTTTGGGAAACGAGAATGTGCAAACCCAGAAGCTGAATTAACTGCATCATGCTTAACATCTGCTTAGGAGCAGAACCGGGATTGGAAGGTGCTGAAGTTCCTTAATTTCTTTTCCCAGTTCTCTGTCACAGAGAAGATGCTAAGCCATTGGAAGTATGCTTATGAACAAGAAACCTAAAATAATTCACACTGAAAAAGTGAGACAGTATGTAAAATAATGAGAATTTTTTTTTTTTTTTGAGACAGAATCTTGCTCTGTTGCCCAGGCTGGAGTGCAGTGGCGTGATCTCAGCTCACTGCAACCTCCACCTCCTGGGTTCAAGCAGTTCTCCTGCCTCAGCCTCCCAAGTATCTGGTATCACAGGCACACGCCACCACACTTGGCCAATTTTTCTATTTTTAATACAGGGTTTCACCACGTTGGCCAGGCTGGTCTCAAACTCCTGACCTCAAGTGATCTGCCTGCCTGGGCCTTCCAAAGTGCTGGGATAACAGGTGTGAACCGCCACACCTGGCCACAATTTCCTTATGAATTATTCCATCACCAATATCTTTCAGGCCAGCAGTGCTTATATCTGTGCATGCTTAGCGCCATGAAAAATCCATTGCTGAAGGCGGGGCATAATGGCTCATGCCTGTAGTCTCAGCACTTTTCGAGGCTGAGGTGGGTGGATCACTTGAAGTCAGAAGTTCAAGACCAACCCAGCCAACATGGTGAAACTCCACGTCTACTAAAAAAAATACATATCTATGTATACAAAAATTAGCTGGGTGTAGTGGCGCATACCTGTAATCCAGCAACTTGGGAGGCTGAGTCAGGAAAATCGCATGAATCTGGGAGGCAAAGGCTGCAGTGAGCTGAGATCATGCCAGTGCACTCTAGCCTGGGTGACAGAGCGAGACTCCATCTCAAAAAAGAAAAAAAAAACTTCATTGCTGGAAAATTTCAAGCATACCTCCTTTTCTGCCCATTTACTTCTGTATATGAAAGAGAATACATTCAGCCTTCCATATCCAGGAGTTCTACATCCACAGATTCAACCAACTTTGGATCAGAAGTACTTGGGAAAAAAATAACAGTACGATAATTAAACATAATACAAATAAAAATATAACTATTTACCTTGTATTTGATATTACAAATAGTTATTATTATAAGATTTATAATATAAGATTTAAGTATATGGGAGGATATGTATAGGTTGTATGTAAATACACCATTTTATCTAACGGACTTGAGCATTTTCAGATACCAACAGACAGTACACTGCAGACATGGTGATCTTTGAATCACTGGGATACGGAGATGAATAAGATCAAACCCATGTCCTCAAAGGGTTTAATCTTTCCTTTACACCTACCTCCATTTATCACCACTTCATTTGTTCCTCCAAAAATGTGGGGTATTTTGCTCTTAATTACTGAAAAGTGAACTGAAGGACCTCTGCTGCTCAAACATCACAAAATAAAAGTTGTGTGTTTCAATGTTTTGTGTTGCCAAAATCTTTTTAAAATGTACCTACATGGTGTTTTATTCTAGAAGTTCAGTTATATTCAGTATATTCTGCTTTACAGAATGCTGCAAGAAGATCCTGTTTTGTTTCAGCTTTATAAAGACCTTGTTGTGAGTCAAGTGATCAGTGCTGAGGAATTCTGGGCCAATCGTTTAAATGTGAATGCAACAGATAGTTCTTCCACATCCAATCATAAGCAGGATGTTGGCATTTCTGCTGCATTTCTGGTATGTGAGCCTTCTAGATTTCTGAAGAAAATAAAAATTCAAACCCCAATATGTGTCTTAAGACCATTATTCCTTTTGTAAAACTTAGCATTTCCTTAAAGGAAAGTAATGGAAAATTGAGTATCCATGGTATTCTTCACTATTATTGAACTATTATTATTATGTTTGTTTGTTTGTTTGTTTTTAAAAGACAGGGTCTCACTCTGTCACCCAGACTGGAGTGCAGTGGCACAGTGATAGCTCCCTGCAGCCTCAAACTCCTGGGCTTAAGCGATCCTCCTGCTTCAGCCTCTCAAGTAGCTGGGACTAGAGGTGTGCACCACCTTGCCTGGCTAAATTTTCTTATTTTTATAGGGCGGGGGGCAGCTCTTTTTGTATTTCCCAGGCTGGTCTCAAATCCCTGGCCTCAAGAGTTCCTCCCATCTTAGCCTCCCAAAGCTCTGGGATTACAAGTATGAGCTATCACACTCAGCCCTCTTCCAAAATGTTTTTAAAATACATATAATTTTTTTTAAATTTATATTTCTTTTTACCAGTTATGTTTTCTTGGCCTTTGGACTTGACCCTAGCATGCTGGTAGTCAAATGGAATTTGAAAATGACTCTTTCAGAGTTTGGACTAATACTTACTTTTTCAAATATTTTCAAATGTAGGGCTTTCTGCTGCCTTTTTAAACCTTTGCCATATTTTACTTACAATACAAGGTTAAATGTATCATGACCATATTATAGAAAATGTAAGATTTGTAAACTATATTAGAACAATTGGGAATACCTTATCTGTGGAATTATGGAATGGAATTCAGTCAGTTGGTATTCTAGTGGAACCAGAATAGTATTAACACATTCAACAAAATTTTGAATACTATTTGTATGTTTGGTATCTTTTTTGGATGTTTATTAGTGAAGTGAATTAATAAGGCCTTTCCCAAAGAAGTCAGTCAGTTAATGTTAATTTAATTATTTACTAACCAAGGTTTGTAGTGATTTTTATGACTATACAAGTTTTATCTTAAAGCTCCACTGCCTCTCTGCCTTCATACTTAAACATGCCTATTTGACCATATTAGACTTCCAAAGGAGCAGATTTTATAGGTCACTTAAGACCGTGAGAAACCAGTCAGGCTTTTTTGAGTCCTGCCTCTGTGCAAAAAGTGAAGGTGAGGGACTTTCTCTGTCTATGCAGTTAGTTCAGAAATTTTTTTTTCCACCTTTGTCCAGTGTCCACTGGGACCTGAGCCATCTTTCCCTGATGCTCTAACGTGTATGTGTGTATGGGCTTTGTTTTAGGCTGATGTCCGGCCCCAAACTGATGGCTGTAACGGTCTAAGATATAATTTAACTTCTGATATCATTGAGTCCATATTTAGGACCTATCCAGCAGGTAAGAAGAATCAGTTCTTTCAGATGGTTAAAATATATGGATATATTCTATAGTATATCAGTGAAAAACAAAAAGCTTCAGATTCCTGATCAAGTGCAATAAATTATGTAAAGTACTTTTTACCCAGTGCCTGACATATGGTAGATACTAGGGGCTCAGTAAATAATGTGTTGTCATCAGTTCACTAATATGACTGCCATTCGAGTCTGTCTGTACTACTAACTCAGATCATTCTTCATTCTGCATCCAGAGTGACCTTCCTAACCCACAAATTACTTCCCGTGCAGATGCCATCCTAAAAGTATAGATTCCTTGACCCCAGCCTCAGTGATTTATTATGTGTAGACAAGGATGAGAGCCAGTGTGTCAGTCATTCTTCTGACTAAGCAGTACTCTCTTAAGCTGTATTCTGTTCTCGCTTCCCTCTTCCCCACTCTTACCCCTTTAGTCCCTTAGGAATCTCTCTCTCAGGACTCAGCTCAAGCATCACCTCCTTGCCACCTCTATGAAATCCTGGCCAGTCCCAGTGGCTCACGCCTGTAATCCCAACACTTCAGGAGGCTGAGGCAAGAGGATCCCTTGAAGCAAGGGGTTCAAGACTAGCCTGGGCAACAAAACAAGACCCTATCTCTTTTTTTTTTTTTAATTGAGACAGAGTCTTGCTCTGTCAACCAGGCTGGAGTGCAGTGGCGCGATCTTGGCTCACTGCAACCTCCGCCTCCCAGGCTCAAGTGATTCTACTGCCTCCGCCTCCCAAGTAGCTGGGACTACAGGCACGTGCCACCACGCCAAGCTACTTTTTGTATTTTTTGTAGAGATGGGGTTTCACCCTGTTGGCCAGGCTGGTCTTGAATTCCTGACCTCAAGTGATCTGCCCGCCTCAGCCTCCCAAAGTGCTGAGATTACAGGCTTGAGCCACAGCATCTGGCTCTTTTGTATCTTTCTGATGGTAACATAATTGTGTAGTGTTTATTATGTGCCAGACGCTTTTCTAAGTTCTTTTTCTATAGTAACTGATTTAATCATCACGTAAACCTATGAAGTAGAGGTACTGTTATGACCCTCATTTTACAGATGAGGAAACCAGGGTGCAGAAAGATTAAGTAATTTGCTCAGGGTCACACAGATAGAAAGTGGCAGACCTGGAATTTTAAACTCAGAGCTCAGCAAACAATGCTGTTGAACTCTATGCTTGCTAGTGTGTAAGCCGCTGGAGTGCTGAGCTGACAGTCCAGTGGATATTGAGATCATTATTACCCCACAAGCTAACACAGTGCCTTGGATTGAGAGTGCACATATATAAATGAGCAAACAAGCAGACTCAGCTCTGACTCCTGAGATTCTTGGTATTTCTACTAAAACTTCAAAACCTTATTCTTTTGGTGCAAATAAGGTTTTGTTTGTAATTTGTAAGATTTATAGAGGTCATACCTCACCTAATCTCTCAAGTTACCCTTCATATTTATAATTAGATTATAACTTATAGTATGTAGAGTTGAGAGCTTTATGGTCTAGATTTTGCTATTTGTATTTCAGTTACCTAATTTGAGAGGTTTTAAAAATGGAAATTCAGTATATAATATTTGTGGGTTTTTTTCCACAGTAAAAATGAAATATGCAGAAAATGTTCCCCACAACATGACAGAGAAGGAATTCTGGACACGTTTTTTCCAGTCCCATTATTTTCACAGGGATCGGCTGAATACAGGGTCAAAGGATCTCTTTGCAGAATGTGCCAAAATAGATGAAAAAGGTAACTGTTTATCTCTGATAGACACTGGTATTTAACTTGCCACCCTCTAGACATTATAAGTGTTAATTTCTGAGACAGATAAGACATGCTGAACTTTTTATTTTGTTGATTTTCTAGGCCTAAAAACAATGGTTTCATTAGGAGTGAAAAACCCACTACTAGATTTAACAGCTTTGGAAGATAAACCATTAGATGAGGTAAGAAGCAATAAAAGAAGTTTTGAGAGAAAAGAGTCTTTTCCTAGTCTTCAACATTGTCTTAAGCGTAGTAGACCTATTCCACTTGTGAGAATGTCAAATAAGCAAAATACTGTTACTTGAAGTGATTTATCGGAAGTGCTTTGAAATAGCGTTGTTTGCCATTAAAATTGCCTAGAAGAAATGAAATTCCTGTGTGAGTTGCTAAAACCTTTTAAAAATAAATTTCTAGCTCCCTCATCCGCAGTTCTCTAGTAATAATAAAGGCTTAATGTGATGAGTTCAGCTTTATGCTCTAGCTAACATTTAATCTAAAGAAATATGGATAAATTAATAAATAAGGAAGATAACAAACATTTGTTGATTGCTTACTATCTGCCAAACCTTAAGCACTCTCATGACCCTTATACCATGCCAACCCCAATGTTTCAGCAAGTAGGCCATCATGTATGACCTACCTACCTCAGCATCATGACCCCAGACCTACAGATTTATCTACTTGCAGAGAAAGAGATGGTTCCTGTTGTGATCAAGGATAATTTTATCACTGCCTCTGTCTTCTAGGCCAGAACTTGTCTTCCTCAGTTATTCCCTTTACTCTGAGTTTTCATTTTCTTGCTCTTATTTTTCTTCTTTTTCTGTCTCTTTTTTTTTTTTTTTTTTTTTTTTTTTGAGAAAGAGTTTCACTCTGTTGCCCAGGCTGGAGTGCAGTGGCGCAATCTTGGCTCACTGCAACCTCTGCCTCCCAAGTTAAAGCCATTCTCCTGCCTCAGCCTCCCAAGTAGCTGGAATTACAGGCACGTGCCACCACACCCAGTTAATTTTTGTATTTTTAGTAGAGACAGGGTTTTGCCACGTTGGCCAGGCTGGTCTCAAACTCCTTACCTCAGGTGATCTGCCCACCTTGGCCTCCCAAAGTGCTGGGATTACAGTCATGAGCCACCACGCCCAGCCAGTGTATTTTCAATTTATACTTTGATCATACAGTGAGTTTTTCAGGACATCACCCTTTCAGAAGTGAAGAAGAATCTATACAAACATGGCCCTCTTTAATTATCCTGAGAAAATAAAGCTTAGTGGCGCTTAGACTTACAACTTAGTATGAAAGGAAGACTTTTTTAGTGCTTTTTTTTTCTTTAAAATAAACATGATGGCATATTGTACATGTACATTTGTAACTTTATCTTCTGTTTAGTATCAATAGCTGTATAAACCATCCCATAGTTTAAAACATAGACTTTAAAACCAAACTAGCTGACTTAGATTCTGATATCTTCTAACATTTCTAGGCCCTGTTTGGTTTTTGTTTTGTTTTGTTTTGTTCTGTTTTTTGAGATGGGATCTCACTCTGTTGCCCAGGCTGGAGTACAGTGGCCTGAGCTCGGCTCACTGCAACCTCTACCTCCTGGGTTCAAGCGATTCTCCTGCCTCAGGCTCCCGAGTAGCTGAGATCACAGGCACATGCCACCACGCCAGGCTAATTTTTGTATTTTTAGTACAGGCGGGGTTTCATCATGTTGGCCGGGCTGATCTTGAACTCCTGACCTCAGGTGGTCCACCCACCTCGGCCTCCCAAAGTGCAGGGATTACAGATGTGAGCCACTGTGCCCGGCCCAAGCCCAGTTTTTTTGTTTTTGTTTTTGTTTTCCTTAGTGAGGCTAATAGTACTTGCCTTATAGGATTTCTATGAGTTAAAAGAGCCTAGTGCGTAATAAGTAGTAGGTAATAGGCATTATTGTTGTTATCTGTATTTTTAGATGCCTGCATAGTATTCCATTGGTATGGGTATATCAACATTTATATAACCAATCTTTTTACTACAAATATTGGTTGATGCCATTTTTCATTTGGTGTTCCTTCTTTCCTTCTCAATCTTCTGGTTATAGTAACTATCACAGGCTATGATCTATGGCCTCCTGAATGCATTCTCTCTATTCCATTGCTTTACTAGATATGGGGAACAGGGGAGGGAGTAAAAATAAAAATAAAAACATTCTTGTTACATAATGATGAATCCTGAATAACCATAGTCTGTCTTTGACTGCAGAGCTCTAGCTGCCTACTTGACATCTCCTCTCAGGTATTTCAAAGACATCTCAACTTCACATGTAAAATGGAATCTTTGATTCCCATCCTCATAAACGTATCTCCATGGGTATTCCCTCTCTTAGTAAAAAGCATTACAATTTGCTCAAGCCAAAAACCTGGGAGTCGGCGAGTCTCCTTGATTCTTCCTCTTCTTTTTTATGACGGGCTCACTCTGTTGCCCAGGCTGGAGTGCAGTGGCACAATCATGGCTCACTGCAATCTTGACCTCTTGGGCTCAAGCAATCTGCCTTAGGCTCCTGAGTAGCTGGGACTGTAGCACAGGCTACCACACCTGGCTAATTTTATTTTTTGTAGAGACAGGGTCTCCCTATATTTCCCAGGCTGGTCTGAACTCCTGGGCTCAAGCTATTTTTCCACCTCGGCCTCCTAAAGTGCTGAGATTACAGGCGTGAACCATTGCAGCCAGCCATGTTTTCCTCCTGTTATGTCCAGCATTCAGTGTATCAACAAGCCTCGTACAATACACCTCTCATCTGTGGGATCTACACAAACGCTTACACCCTTTCATGTTTACGGTATCATCATCTTTGGCCTGTTTGCTTGCCTTAGCCTTCTAACCTTTATTTTTGCTATCTTGTCTTTTATAGTTTATTCTCCCCTAGCAGTAATAATTATAATATAGGCCGGGCGTGGTGGCTCGTGCCTGTGATCGAGCACTTTGGGACGCCAAGGTGGGTGGATCACCTGAGGTCAGGAGTTTGAGACCAGCCTGGCCAACATGGTGAAACCCCATCTCCACTAAAAATACAAAAATTAGCCGGGCCTGGCGGCACATGCCTGTAATTCCAGCTACCCAGGAGGCTGAGGCAGGAGAGTCGCTGGAACCGGGGAGGCAGAGGCTGCAGTGAGCTAAGATTGCACCACTGCACTCCTGCCTGAGTGACAGAGTGAGACTGTCTCAAAAAAAAAAAAAAAAAAAAGGATTATAATATAAATCAGATCCTAATAATCCCCTATGTGAATCTCTTCATTATCTTCTCATTGAGCTTAGAATAAAATCAAAACTCCTACAAGACTGCTAGATTTGGCTCCTGCATACTTCTCAGTTGGGGCCACTTCTACTCATTCATGCTTTAGACATAATGACCATTCACTTCCATGCCACGCTTTTTCTACCTCAGGGCCTATGCACTTAACTGATCTTCTACCTGCTTGTTCCCTAACCAGCTTCTGCCTATCTTTAGATACCTGTTCTAATGTCATTTCTCGCCAGGTGGGGTGGCTCATGCCTTTAATCCTAGCACTTTGGGAGGCTGAGGTGGGAGGATCGTTTGAGTCCATTGTGAGACCACATCTCTAAACTTTTTTTTTTTTTAATTTAAAAATTAGCTGGGCATAGTGGTATACACTTGCAGTCCCAGCTACTCGGGAGGCTAAGGTAGGAGGATCACTTGAGCCCAGGAGGTCAAGGCTGCAGTGAACTGCGATTGCACCACTGCACTCCAGCCTGGGCAACAGAGCGAGAACCTGTCTCAAAAAAAAATAAAAATATAAATTTAAAAATTAAAAATTAAAAAGTTGCGTGCTTCAGAGAGGCTTTCTCTAACCACCCACAAATTCAGTCACTTCATCATGTTACCCTCTGTTTTATTCAATGACATTTTCCACTTTCAAAAAATATTGTGTTTACCTTGTTTTACTTGATAATTGCATTCACACTCCTCTCAGAGTGTAATCTTCATGAAGCTGACTTTGTTCTGTTTATTGGCCTGTTCCTAGCGCATGTCATGTAGTAATAATCACTTAGTAATTATTTGATACATTGATGAACAGCATATGGATCTTTTTTTTTTTTTTTTTGAGATGGAGTCGTGCCCTTTTGCCCAGGCTGGAGTTCAGTGGCGTGATCTCAGCTCACTGCAATCTCTGCCTCCCGAGTTCAAGCACTTCTCCTCCCTCAGCTTCCTGAGTAGGTGGGATCATAGGCACACACCACGCCCAGCTAATTTTTGTATTTTTAGTACAGGGTTTCACCACGACCAGACTGGTCTTGAATTCCCAACCTCAGGTGACCCACCCACCTCAGCCTCCCAAAGTGGTGGGATTACAGGCGTGAGCCACCACACCCAGCACATATGAGTTTTTTTTTTTTTGAGACGGAGTCTTGCTGTCACCCAGGCTAGAGTGCAGTAGCACCATCTCGGCTCACTGCAGGCTCTGCCCCCTGGGGTTCATGCCATTCTCCTGCCTCAGCCTCCTGAGTAGCTGGGACTACAGGCGTCCGCCACCTCGCCCGGCTAATTTTTTGTATTTTTAGTACGGAAAGGATTTCACCGTGTTAGCCAGGATGGCCTCGATCTCCTGACCTCATGATCCACCCGCCTCAGCCTCCCAAAGTGTTGGGATTACAGGCGTAAGCCACCACGCCTGGCCCATATGAGTCTCATGATCTTTCTTTCACCTTTTTAGCCTCACCAATTCCTGGACCACCGTTATTAGTGTATTGAACCATATACAGTCTCATGACACAATATGTACTACATTGCTGCTTTGCTTGTGTTTTGTTTTATTTTTAAATAGAGACAAGGTCTCACTGTGTTGCCAGGCTGGACTTGAACTCTTCGGCTCAACAGTTCTTCTGCCTCAACCTCCCAAATAATCAGGACCACAGTGCCTCTTTGCCTTTGTTTAAGCAGTTTCCTCTCCCTGAAATGTTATTGTCTCCGATCTACTTGGCAAGCACCAGTTTATCTTATGGTTCTCTGTGAACCTTTTTCGAACCCTCTTCTCCAGTAGGATTGATTAGTAATTCTCTCCAGCCCAGCTTCCCACTAACTAGTATTTAAGCTCCTATGGCATGGGGTCTTAATCAATTTTGTATCTACATGGTCTAGCAAGTAGCGTGCACTCAATACATGTTTTAAAATATAATCTCATTTTATTCTCTTTTATCCTACTTTATAGAGCTTGGAAAAGTTTATCTTGCCTAGATTAACGTTAGAAAAAGAATTTGACTCTTTATCTTTCTGAATCCATAGTCAGTGTTTTTCTCACTATATTCTATTCTTTTTATTTACTTTTTTTTTTTTTTTTTTTTTTGAGACAGTCTCACTCTGTCACCCAGGCTGGAGTGCAGTGGTGCAATCTCAGCTCACTGCCACCTCTGCCTCCTGGGTTCAAGTGATTCTCCTGCCTCACTCAGCCTCCCCAACAGCTGGGATTACAGGTGTGTGCCACCATACCTGGCTAATTTTTGTATTTTTGATAGAGATGAGGTTTCACCATGTTGGCCGGGCTAGTTTTGAACTCCTGACCTCAGGTGACTCGCCCACCTTGGCCTCCCAGAGTGCTGGGATTACAGGTATCCTGACTCTATTGCTTTTATTTAACGTTTTGATAACTAGATCCAAATTGTTCTTTAAAAGAGAAATGCAGACCACGCACGGTGGCTCACACCTGTAATCCCAGCACTTTGGGAGGCCAAGGTGGGCGGATCACTTGAGGTCAGGAGTTCAAGACCAGTCTGACCAGCATGGTGAAACCCCATCTCTACTAAAAATACAAAATATTAGCCGGGCGTGGTGGCAGGCGCCTGTAATCCCAGCTTCTCAGGAGGCTGAGGCAAGAGAATCACTTGAATGCAGGAGGCGAAGGTTGCACTCCAGCCTGAGCAACAGAGCGGGACTCCATCTCAAAAACAGAGAGAAATTCAGTTTAAGATGTATTTTGTAATGCTAAAACGAGTTAGTGCTATTTGTTAATCTTTTATGTGCATAATGTCACTTGTTTTTAAATGTTTGTTCATAAATATTTAATGTTCGTGAGAAGTAATAAAAGTCCCATCATCCAGCAAATTTTTTCAGCTAAGCGTGTCTTATAATAAGAAAAGCAGAACCTTTTTAAAAAATTTTTAATCTATTATTTCTCACAGGGCTATGGCATTTCCTCTGTGCCATCTGCTTCCAATTCTAAATCCATAAAAGAGAATAGTAATGCTGCCATCATCAAGAGATTTAACCATCACAGTGCCATGGTCCTGGCAGCTGGACTCAGAAAACAGTTAAGTATAAATGCAGAGGTGCAGTAACTGGGCTTTTCAGGATATCCAGATGGAGTTGTGGTGTTGTTTTGCTTGTGGTTTTTAACGTTAACTTTTTTTTCCCCTTTATTTTAAGAGAAGCACAAAATGAACAAACTAGTGAGCCCAGCAACATGGATGGAAATTCCGGAGATGCAGACTGCTTTCAGCCAGCAGTCAAAAGGGTATGGGCAAAAAAATATGAACCATTTGGGGCTCAAGTTTCTCCAAATACTTTATGTGACTGCAAGTACTGTATACGCTTATTTCCTGTGACTCAGTTCTTCTAACTAAGATGTTAAGCATTTGGCTTAAAGTGTATAGCATTACAAAGAGTATTTCCCCAGCTTTGGCTTGCCAGCCAACTTTCCATTGACTCTAGCCTGTTAGCCATTTTTATTGTTTTTTGTTTGTTTGTTTGTTTGTTTTCCTCACATGTACACATACATACAGATTGTTCTTATATGTGATTTTGTTCTCTGGGAATAAAATCTTCATTCAACAGAGGCAATATGACAGAAAAACCGAAGTTTCATGTATATGATTTTTCAAAGAAAGTGAATTGGCCCTCATGTTAAACCTAGCATTTCAGAGCTGAAAGTGTCTTCTCATTAAATATTGAAGAAATCATTTGAGGGTGTGGAGAAGGATGGACAGAATTAGCTGCTTGTGTATTTATTCTTCTCCTGCAACTTTGCCACGCTATTTTGTACCTCCCTTCCTAATTATGATAAAGCTTTCTTAGAGAGCAGTCAGGCAATGTGTATTAAATGTTTAAAGCTTTACACCCTTAGTTCTACTTGTGGACATTTATTTCTTAAGAAAGATGTATACTAAGATTTAGATAGAAATATTCATTACAGTATCATAATAAAGACAGTAGCAAGGATTCTGTTATCTGTGTTGCATTAATACAATAGAGATTGATGCAACTGTTCATTATTTTGAAAGCATTAATGATAATATTGCATCAAAGAGTTCACTGAACAGATTGTACAGTACAGTTTTACACACAAAAAAAATAGTTTGTGAGCTTTAAAAGGGCCTTCAAATGAATATGCTAAACGGTTATCTTTCAATAAAGAGAGTATGGGTAAGTCTTAATTTCTTTCATTTATTTCAGTAATTTAATGTTTTTGTTGTTGTTATTGTTTGTTTTTTTGAGACAGAGTCTTGCTCTGTCACCCAGGCTGGAGTGCAGTGGTGCAATCTCAGCTCACTGCAATCTCGGCTCACTGCAACGTCTGCCTCCTGGATTCAAGCAATTCTTCTGCCTCAGCCTCCGGAGTAGCTGGGATTACAGGCGTGCACCACCATACCTAGCTAATTTTTGTATTTTTAGTAGAGACGGAGTTTTGCCATATTGGCCAGGCTGGTGTTGAACTCCTGGCCTCATGTGATCCGCCCATCTCAGCCTCCCAAAGTGCTGGGGTTACAGGCATGAGCCACTGTGCCAGCCTATTTCAGTAACTTAATGTTTTTACAGGCATGTATTACCTATAAAATTAATAAAGCCAGTGAGGTATTTCTTTTTTGAACTAAAGCAAAGCTAATAATAAGTTATAGAGAAGTTAGAGAAGAAATCTATTAAGTGATACTTTCTTTGTATACTGTTGGGCTGAGTACCCTTGATTCTTGGTGGTGAACAAGTTATCAGAAATTTCTTGGCCAGGAGCCGTGGCTCACACCTGTAGTCCCAGCACTTTGGGAGTCCAAGGTGGGTGGATCACTTGAGGTCAGAATTTCTAGATCAGCCTGGCCAGCATGGTGAAACCCTGTCTCTATTAAAAATACAGAAATTAGCCAGGCATGGTGACGTGCGCCTGTAATTCCAGCTACCTGGGAGGCTGAGGCAGCAAAATCACTTGAACCTGGCAGGCGGAGTTCGCAGTGAGCTGGGATCGCGTCGCTGCACTCCAGCCTGGATGACAGAGCAAGACTCCATCTCAAAGAAAAAATAAAAAAGAAATTTATTTACTTGTGTGAATTTTTACAATACAGATGCTTCTCGACTTAAATGGGGCTACATCCCAATAAACTCATAAGTTGCAAATACTGTAAATCAAAAATGCATTGAATACACCTAATGTATGGAACACCATAGTTTAGCCTATCCTACTTTAAATGTGTTCCGAACACTTAGATTAGCCTGTAGTTGGGCAGCATTACCTACTATAAAGTGTATTTTCTAATAAAATGTTGAATATCTCATGTAACTCATTGAATACTGAAAGTGAAAAACAATGTATGGGTACTCAAAATATGGTTTCTCTACTGAATGTGAATCACTTTGACACCATCATAAAGTTGAAAAATTCCAAGTCAAACCATTGTAAGTCAGGGGCTATCAGTATTCAGTGGTAAATGCTGGCTCTAACTATTCTTCCAAGTCAGTGGTTGACTGCTGTTTATTCTATAAAGGGTTACAATTTATAGATTCTCTCACTTGTAGAATGAGAGATTCAGAATTAATAGCAGACAGAGTCCCTACCTTGATGGAGCTTTCATTTAAGTGTGAAAGTCAGGTGACCTAACAAGGCCTTGGCATAAGTTTAGGATTTGGATTGTTATGGGAGCTTGGGTAGGGACATGTCATAGGTAAGGCAACAGCAGGGGTAGAGATAAGCTTGACATATGTCAAAAATCATGAAGACATCAGTAATCCTTGAAGTTGGCTGAAAGGTATAGAGTTGAGAAAGTAGTTAAAAAAAAAAAAGTCAGGCTGAGTCTAGGTAAGGATGTGTTTCTCTGAGGTCAGATTTGTTCCTGTACCATAAAGGGACTATTTAGAATCTTAAAGCTGGAGCAATTTAAAACGTTAAGTTTTCAGATTGAGGTCAGATTTGTGACTTCATGTGAGGTCAGATTTGTTCCTGTACCATAAAGGGACTATTTAGAATCTTAAAGCTGGAGCAATTTAAAACGTTAAGTTTTCAGATTGACGTTTTTTGAGGTATAGTTAATAACCTGAATGTTCTGATTCTAGTCTTGGTAGTCAATAAGAGTTGACCAGATGAATTTCATAGCTTTGTAGAGGATGAAATATTTCAAGGCTGATTTGCACAAATGTTTACATAGATCATGTATCTTTCATAAGTAATATGTTTGTATTATTACAAGGCTGTAAAAATTTAAGCAGGTTGTTAATAGCACAGGGGGTAACAGATTAATAAAATTAATGAATAAAATTACTAAAAGAGTCCAGAAGTAAACCCAAATACGTGGAGGAATTAAGCATATGTATGATACACATGACATTTTAAAAATCAGTGGGAAAAGGTAAATTATTTTACAAATGGTGTTAGAAGCACTGATTGATAATTTTGTTAAAAGAAACTTAGATTCCCTATTTTACTCCTAATCCAAAATAAATTCTGAGTGGATCTAAGATTAAGCAAAAATTAAGCCGGAAGCTGAGCATGGTAGCATGTGTCTGTAATCTCCGCAATTTAGGAGACTGAGTTTGGCTGGGGAGGTGGTGATATGCGCCTAGAAAAAAAAAATTTTTTAAGCCACAGATGTATAAGCAAAAAGCGGGCAAAGAGGCGGAATTTTTTTTTTTTTTTTTGATGAAGTCTCACTTGTCGCCCAGGCTGGAACGCAGTGGCGTGATCTCAGCTCACTGCAACCTCTGCCTCCCGGGTTCAAGCGATTCTCCTGCCTCAGCCTCCCAAGTAGCTGGGATTACAGGCACCTGCCGAGGAGAGGATTTTTTTATAATTAAAACAAAACAAAACAAAAAAACACCAAACTGGAAGATAAAGTATTTACAACATGTAAAAGACTGTTTCCTTAATATTTAAAAGTCTTATTTTTTAAAAAGTACCCAATATAAAAATAGTGGAGAGCATAACAGATCATTCATTTGGGGAAAAAATAATAAAATGTAAACTTTCACCTACCAGATTGGCAAAAGTAAAAAGTTCAATAATACTTCATGTGGTCAGAGTGTAAGAAAACTAGTATTCTTAAGTAGTTGTTGAGAAAATTGGTTCAGCCATTTGTAGGACAGTCATCTCTAGGAAGAGAAGCTCATGGTGGGAAGACTTCATTTTTTACCCTCTGTACAGTTTTGTTTTTTCAGTCATGTTTATTGTGTAAGAGAAAGTTGTGACAAAATAAAAAGTACTGTGTTAATAATTATAGGCGAAATTACAAGAGTCCATTGAATATGAAGACTTGGGGAAAAATAATTCTGTAAAAACGATTGCACTAAACCTCAAGAAGTCAGATAGGTAAGTTTGGTCAATATTAAGCAGAATAGCTATGTAACAATTCAGTCCAAAATATATCCTACAAGTATAGCACTCATGTTTTAATCAGTTCGTCACCATCAAAGTACAATATCCTTTTCTGTTTAAAATTTAGGCTTCTCAGGAAGCAAAAATGATCAAACCCATGACAATAAATGTGGATCTTTCTGCTGTTGCTTTCTTATTGCCCTTATGGGAATTAAATTATTTTATTGAAATCTCTTTACTTATCGTTTCTTGCCTTGAGGGGAACTTAGTACTGACTGCTAAAATGTTGCAAAGACAAATGTTGAGCATCTTTACTGTGTGTGATTAGTAATTTCTTCTGTGCTAACCTGCAGGTATTATCATGGTCCAACTCCAATCCAGTCACTACAGTATGCAACAAGTCAGGACATTATTAATTCTTTTCAAAGTATTAGACAAGAAATGGAAGCTTATACACCCAAGTTAACTCAGGTAGGTGACTTCTACTGTTTGAAGGCCAGAATTCCCATAGTTCCTTCCTCAGTTTATGAGCACAAGCAGATTGAACCATACAACTAATATTTTAATTGGGCTTAAAGACATAGTTCTGCTAAATAAATTGAAAAAATCAAGAGGTAGCAAGAAAAGGTGTTTGGCATATTCAAGAGGCATCTGAAGATAAGATGATAATGAAAAAAAATAAGTTGATGAATTTTGTGATTTTTACTTCCATATACTTTTATTGGGAAAATCTCCCAGGTTTCCAAATTCTGTCTGGACATTATTCTCTGAATATTCTGCATGACTCAGGCTTAAAATATGTAAAACAGCTCATCATTGTTCTTTGTTTCTCTTCGTACTTCAGTTGATCAGCAATTTGTCAGTTCTGCCTTCAATAATACTTCTTGATTCTATCACCCTTATTTAGGCAAACCTGATTGATTTTCCATAATGCTACTGCAAGTTGTCTTTCTAAAATCACTTATTTTGGCCGGGCACAGTGGCTCACGCCTGTAATCCCAATACTTTGGGAGGCCGAGGTGGGTGGATCACGTGAGGTCAGAAGTTCGAGACCAGCCTGACCAACATGGTGAAACCCGTCTGTACTAAAAATTTAAAAATTAACTGGGCGTGGTGGCACACACCTGTAATCCCAGCTACTCAAGACGCTGAGGCAGGAGAATCACTTGAACCTGGAAGGCAGAGGTTACAGTGAGCTGACACCGCGCCATTGCACTCCAGCCTGGGCGACAAGAGCGAAGCTCCATCTCAAATAGATAGATAAATATTTAAATATTTAAAAATAAAAACATGTATTTTATCACTGCGGCTTGAAAACCTTCACTGCCTCCCTTCACTGCAGTAGTCTGAGTGCCTTTGTCTGGCCTGCAAAACTCTTTATAGTCTGGCCCCAGCCCACTACTCGAGTCTCATCTTCAGCGATAGTCTCCGCTACTCCCTTCCACACATGGCCAAGGGTTCCAGCCTAACACACTAAGCTGTCCAGAATCTTTTGATCACATTATCTCCTTCATGCTTCCTGTGCTTCGGCTTATGCTCTTTCTCTTTAGAATTCCCTTAGCCCTGTTTCTCCCCCAAGGAACTAATAATTACTCAAGACTCAGCTCCAGTTTCATTGCCTCTGGAAAGTAATCCTTAACTAGTGCAAAGAAGAATTTGTTTTTTCCTTTTCTCCGTTTTTATGAGCACTGAGGCACTGAGTGTATACCTATATTACGTTATTTATCACACATCAAGACTTACTTTTTTACTTTTTATTTTGAAATCTCAGATTTTACAGAAAGTGACAGAAAAATATGTTTTCCAACCCATTTTGAGAGAAGGTTACAGGCATAATTTCCCTTTACCCCTAAATATTTCGATGTATATTTTCAAAAAACTAAGACATTCTCTTAAATAACAGTACAATTATAGAATTAGTAAGTTAACATTGATGATGTGTTATCTAGTCTATATATCTTACTACATTTTCACCAGTTATACCACTAATGTTCTACATAGCAAAAGAAAGCTTTTCTTGGTCCAGCAGACAAGCTGGGTTTATGAGTTGTATTTATTTCTCATGTGTTTTTAGTCTCCTTTAAAATGGAATGATTTGTCAATCTTTGTCTTTTCATAACTTTGACATTGAAAGAGTACTGGGCAATTTTTTGTAGAATGACCTTAAATTTACCTAATGTTTCCTCATGACTAGATTCACATTAGGCATTTTTGCCAGAAACTCCACAGAAGTAATGTTGTATCCTACTCAGTGTGTCATATCAGGAGGCAAATGATTTGTATATATCCTAGCTTGTGATATTAAATTTTTTCACTTGGTTAAAGGTAGTATTTGCCTGGTTTCTCCACCAAAAAGTTAACTATTTTTCCCTTTGTAATTAATACATATCTTGTGGAGCTGTACTTTGAGACTATATAAATACCCCATTTGTCACCAAATTTTTTATTTTTATTTTTTAATATTATTATCTTTAGAGACAGGGTCTTGCTCTGATGCCCAGGCTGTAGTGCAGTGGCACAGTCATAGCTCCGTTCAACCTCAGACTCCTAGACTCAAGCAATCCTCCTGCCTCAGCCTTCTGAGTAGCTGGGATTATAGGCATGTGTCACCACACAACAAACTTACATCTGGTAGTTTTTTTAGAATCACTGATGATTCTTGCCTGGAAGAGCAGTTGTTAAATGATGATTTTCTAATTCCATCAGCCCTTCTATGTATATCAGCTGACATGAAAGGAAGAGCATTCCCTTCTCCTCTGTTTGTTATTTATATCAGCATGGATTCATTTATGAGTTAAACACTGTTGCTATCTTTTTTTCTTTGTTTCTTTTTGTTTTTGTTTTTGTTTTTGAGATGGGGTCTCACTCTGTCACCCAGGCTGAAGTGCAGTGGCATGATCTCGGCCCACTGCAACCTCCACCTCCCTGGCTCAAGCGATCCTCCCACCTCAGCCCCCCAAGTAGCTGAAACCACAGGCACTCACCACCATGCCTGGCAAAGTTTTTGTATTTTTGGTAGAGACAGGGTTTTGCCATGTTGCCCAGGCTGGTCTTTAACTCCTGAGCTCAAGCAATCCACTCGCCTCGGCCTCCCAAAGTGCTGAGATTACAGGCCGTTTTTTTCTTTTTCCTTTTTTTTAAAATTTTTTTAATTTTTCTTTATTTTTTTTTTATTTTTATTTTGTGAGACGGAGTCTTGCTCTGTTGCCCAGGCTGGAGTGCAGTGGCATGATCCCCACTCACTGCAAGCTCCGCCTCCCAGGTTCACGCCATTCTCCTGCCTCAGCCTCTGGAGTAGCTGGGACTATAGGCGCCCGCCACCACGCCTGGCTAATTTTTTTGTATTTTTAGTAGCAACGGGGTTTCACCGTGTTAGCCAGGATGGTCTCGATCTCCTGACCTCGTGATCCACCCGCCTCAGCCTCCCAAAGTGCTGGGATTACAGGCGTGAGCCACCACGCCCAGCCTTTTTTCTTTTTATTAACCAAGGTACAACTTAACATACAGTAAAATAAATAAATAAATTTACTTATTTATTTATTTATTTCGAGACAGGGTCTCACTTTGTCCCCCAGGCTGGAGTGTAGTGGCACAATCTCGGCTCACTGCAGCCTTGACTTCCCAGGTTCAAGCAATCCTCTCACCTCAGCCCTCCAAGTAACTAAGTAGCTGGGACTCCAGGCATGTGTCACCATCCCTGGCTAATTTTTATATTTTTGTGTGTAGACAGGGTTTCACCACGTTGCCCAGGCTGGTCTCGAACTCCTGAGCTCAAGCGATCCACCTGCCTCAGCCTCCCAAAATGAAATTTATCTTTTTAAGTCTGCTATTCTACAAGTTTTGATAAACACATGCTGTTGTGTAGCCACCAACAAAATCAAGATTTTAAAAAACCGGTTCTGTCACCCCAGAAAGTCTACCCATGCCCCTTTACAGTCAAACCCTTCCTACCCACTTCACACAGGCTCTCCTGTGTCTTTCTGACAATATCCCCGTCATTCTTAGCCCCTCCTTACTGAATGGTATAGTAAGATAGATGTTCCAGGCTTATCTTACATCTGCCCTGTCCCAGGCGTGGAATTTTCTTTTTAGCACTGAGTGGATCAAGGTAGGAACCAAGATCTGGGACCGGGCACAGTGACTCACACCTATAGTCCCAGCACTTTGGGAGGCCGAGGCACGCAGATCACTTGAGAGCTCTAGACCACCCTGGCCAACATGGCAAAACCCCGTCTCTACCAAAAATACAAAAATTAACTGGGTATGGTGGTGCGTACCTGTAGTCTCAGCTACTCGGGAGGCTGAGGCAGAAGAATTGCTTGAGCCTGGGAGGCGGAGGTTGCAGTGAGCCGAGATCGCACCACTGCACTCCAGCCTGGGCAATAGAGTGAGACTCTGTCTCAAAAAAAAAAAAAAAAAAAAATCTGGGCACTAGGTATACATTGGGGTGTCATTGTCCCTTCAGCAGAAAGCTAGAAAATACATATGTGTACATAAATGCACACATAACCAACCTGGGATTATTTGACCAATTCTTTCAATGTAGACTATAGTTGTCCAGTATCTGGCCCTTGGGCCCGAGTAGACCCACATAACTTTTGTCTTGGGGGTGGTGGTGTTTGTTTGATTTAGAGGTGAGGTTTCTGTCACCCAGACTGGAGTGCAGTAGCACTATCATAGCTTACTGCAACCTTGAACTCCTGGGCTCAGGCGATGCTCCCACCTCAGCCTCCTGAGTCACTAGGATTATAATTGTAAGCCACCATGCCCAGCTCTCCCCATGTAATTTTTTTACACTGTAGTCAATCTTTGTTTTTTTTTTTTTTTTTTTGCAGTCAGGGTCTTGCTTTGTTGCCCAGGCTGGAGTGCAGTGACACCATCTCAGCTCACTGCAGCCTCAACTTCCCCAGGCTCAAATGATCTTCTCATCTCAGCCTCCCAAGTAGCTAGGACTACAGGCATGCACCACCATGCCCAACTAATTTTTTTGTATTTTTTGTAGAGACAGGGTTTCACCATATTGCCCAGGCTGGTATCTGACAAAAGGAAAATAGGAATAAAGTGAGCTCCAATGTCCCCTTCACTCATGGTTGTCCCATACTGTACTTTTACACTAAGTTGAAAAAATGTTTTCATCCAATCTATACATGGATGGATTTCTACTCATAAAAACTTCATTGGAAAATCTTAGAGATGCTAACCCTGCACTTGCTGTTTCACAAATTATTTGTTCCTCCCTATAGCAGTGCCTCCCTACAGTACCTGGCACTTGATAGGCACTCATCGAATAGATAGGTCAATTTTTTCCTAAATGTTGATGTTGATACAGTGGGGAGTATATTTTTCCCCCTTTTGGCTATATTTATTCACTTCCTTGAAAATTAAATGACAGTTAATAAATTTCTGCTCTTTATTTTTTTTTCCCCCACTCTGTTATCAAGGGTATATGTTAGCAAAGCCAGGTGCGGAGTACACACCTGTAGTCTGTCCCAGCTACTCAGGAGGCTGAGGGAGGAGGATTGCTTGAGCCCAGGAGTTCAAGTTCAGCCTGGGCAACATAACAAGATTTTGTTTCTTAGAAAAATAAATTTAACAGAAACAAAGGATACAGGTTAACATGTTGTTTTACCTGTTTTCTTTCCTTAAACTCAATTTTACCTTCAGTGGTAAGAGTTCTCATATTAAATTGAATTGGTACTTAAGAAAGGGCTTTAACTAGGCAAAACCTTGGGAGTTTTGAGGTCCCTGTGGACTTGCCTGGCATGCCTGGGAGATTTGTAGGTATCTTCTTTCTACACGGATTGTGTTTCTGCCCTCAAGGAAAATAGTTCACTTTGACCACTGTAAATGATGTAGTATTTAAACAAAAGGAAAAGCACTTCATTGTCTGCTCTAAAACTAAAATGTTAAGAAAGAGAGGTGGCAAAAAAAAAAAAGGGAGGAAAACCAGTTTTAATGCATCTTCATTTTTTTCAGGTTCTCTCAAGTAGTGCTGCCAGTAGTACCATCACAGCACTGTCACCTGGAGGGGCACTTATGCAGGGAGGAACACAGCAAGCCATAAACCGTATGTGCCGGGCCATCTTCTACTACTTTCTGCCTAAATCAGCTTTAAAAAGCAAGCTGGGAGGAGTGCTGAACTTTTATTGGTTTTTCCTTGGAATAATCCTGGGATTTCTATTTTGTAGATTTGTTTTTATACATTCAGATTCTGAAACACATCTAGACAAGATCTTAGGTTTCAGAACCGTCTTACTATTACAAATAGTGGTACATTGCTAGTTTCTCTAATATCATAGTAAAAGCTCCTTTCTTCTCCCCTACCTCTTAGAATAAAGGGGAAACCTGAAAGTTTCTTTGAAATCCCAAGAGCTTTTAAATTTTATGATCTCTCAGCCACAAAATTACTAACTTATCTGAAAATAGCACATCCTGGTTTGGCATTGACAAAGAGTACACATTCAAATTTATTCTCTGAGTGGTCATTTTTTTCGAGACTGTATATGTTAAAATAGCTCTTAACCTATGGGCCTTGTTCTTCTTTTGCAGAGATGGTGCCAAATGATATTCAATCTGAATTGAAACACTTATATGTAGCTGTTGGAGAACTTCTACGACATTTCTGGTCCTGCTTTCCTGTTAATACGCCATTCCTAGAAGAAAAGGTTAGAACCAGTTCTGAAGACAGCCAGATAATTGTGGTAGTGACTTACAAGAAGTTTTGAAATTGGAAAGTTTTATTGAGTCTTACCATGTGACAGACACTGGGATAACTCTTTTGCATACATCGTTTCATGTAAACCTCACAGCATCTTTATGGAGTAGCTATTGGTACCCATTTTATAGATTTGGAAACTGAGATCCAGACGAGTTCCATAACTAATAATCATACAACTTAAAACTTGTATCTACCTCCAAGCCACTGTGAATAGAGACCCAAAACAAATTACATCAATAAAGTTATTTATATTTGATACGTTTTTCAGGGATAACAAAATCCAAAATAAGAACTGACAACAAATATAGCACTAGCTTTTTAACACTAAAACCGCTTTAACCAATTAAAGGACAGTTGACAAATGAAAAATGTAACATTAATAGTAATACTATAAATTGCTTTCATAAACTATGATTAAGTAAAAGATAAAGACCTCATTAAGCACAATAGGCAAACACTTTACAAGCAACTCACTAAAGAATGGAGTGGCCTAGGAAGATTAAGGGGAAATGCTCACACTTACCAGTATGCAGATAAATTACAGCTACAGTAAAAGAACATTTTGGCCAAGCACGGTGGCTCACACCTGTAATCCCAACACTTTGGCGGGGCTGAGGCGGGAGAATTGTTTGAGCCCAGGAGTTGGAGACCAGCCTGGACAACATAGCAAGACTCTGTCTCCAAAAAATACATAAATAAATTTTTTAAAAGAATATTTTTTTCACCTACTAATTTGCAGAAGAACAAAAATCTTAAAATGATCAATGTTGACCAAGTAGCCAAGAGTCCTTTCTTCCACTGCTAGTGTTTTTTTAGATGCTTTTACTTCAGCATTCAAATGAAACTTCAAATGAAATTCAACATTTAGAAATTTAGGAAATAATTAGGAATGCAAATACTTAGCTAGAGATGGTCTACCACTCTCTAAGATAGAGGAAATGGCCTAAATATCTACCAGAAGGGGGTTGGTTAGAGAAGCATTTGGTATATTCATACGTTGAAAGACAATAATTATTTTATTTTATTTTATTTATTGAGTCAGGGTCTCACGCTGTCACCCAGGCTGGAGTGCAGTGGAGTGATCTCTGCTCACTGCAGCCGCTACCTTCTGGGCTGAGGTGATTCTCCCACCTCAGCCTCTCTAGTAGCTGGGACTACAGGCATGAGCCACTAAACCGGGCACTTTGGGAGGCCAAGGCAGGCAGATCGCTTGAGCTCAGGAGTTTGAGACCAACTTGGGCAACATGGCAGAACTCCGTCTCTACAAAAATTATGAAAAGTAGCTCAGGTGATCACCTGAGCCTAGAGAGGTCAAAGCTGCAGTGAGCCATGATGTTGCCACTGCACTCCAGCCTGGGTGACAGAATGAGACCCTGTCTCTAAATGAATGAATAAATGAATGAGTGACTATTTAAATGAGTTGGGATTTTTTGTTGTTTTTGTTTTTTGAGATGGAGTCTCACTCTGTCGGCAGGCTGGAGTGCAGTGGTGTGATCTCAGTTCACTGCAGCCTCCACCTCCTGGGTTCAACCAATTTTCCTGCCTCAGCCTCCTGAGTAGCTGGGACTACAGGCGTGTGCCACCACGCCCAGCTAATTTTTGTATTTTTAGCGGAGACGGGGTTTCACCATGTTAGCCAGGATGGTCTCAATCTCTTGTCCTTGTGTTCCGCCCACCTCGGCCTCCCAAAGTGCTGGGATTACAGGCGTGAGCCACCACGTCTGGCCAAATGAGTATTTATGACTGAAAGATATTCACATTGAAGGGTTAACAATGTGATATAATTGGTATATTTTTATTTTATTTTTACATTTAAAAAAATTCTACAAGAAAAGTAACTTTCATATGTAGAAGATTGTTTTTCTGTTGGTCTCTACAGCTTGAGATTTCTCTGTAATTTATTGTTTCTCATCTTTTTTAGGTAGTGAAAATGAAAAGTAATTTGGAACGATTCCAAGTTACGAAGCTCTGTCCATTCCAAGAAAAGATTCGGAGACAGTATTTAAGCACAAATGTAAGGCAGCAATCTGATTTTTGCCTGATCTTCTTTCTCTTTGTAGTAAAATGATGAAATTGATTTTGCTTTCATGTAAATGAGTAGATACTTAATTTTCTTTTTTTTTTTTTTTTGAAACGGAGTCTCACTCTGTCGCCCAGGCTGGAGTACAGTGGCTCCATCTCAGCTCACTGCAACCTCTACCTCCTGGGTTCAAGCGATTCTCCTGCCTCAGCCTTCTGAGTAGCTGAGATTACAAGCGCATGCTGCCACGCCCAGCTAATTTTTGTATTTTAGTAGAGACGGGGTTTCACCATGTTGGCCAGGCTGGTCTCAAACTCGACCTCAGGTAATCAGCCCACCTTGGCCTCCCAAAGTGCTAGGATTACAGGCATGAGCCACTGCACCCGGCCAATACTTTATTTTCTGTTGCTCAAAGTACTGTTTTTTAATATTGAAATGTGTCATGCATTCAGAAGTATATAAAATACATACATATTTTTTAAATAATAAAATAACTGTCTGTTTACTCACCAATCAGGAAAATTAGTAGAATGTTGCCATAACCCATAGATATTCCCTGAGTGCCCCTGTCCAGTTGCATACCACTCTCTCTTCCCCTCCAGAGGTCATGACTAACCAAAGCATTTGTGATAACCATCTCCATGCTTTCCCTTAGAAAAGTTTTACAATCTGGCCGGGTGCGGTGGCTCATGCCTGTAATCCCAGCACATTGAGAGGCCAAGGCAGGCTGATCACTTGAGGTCAGGAGTTCCGAGACCAGTTCTGGCCAACATGGCGAAACCCTGTCTCTACTAAAAATACAAAAATTAGCCTGGCATGGTGGCGCATGCCTGTAGTCCCAGCTACTCGGGAGGCTGAGACAGGAGAATTGCTTGAACCTGGGAGACAGGGGTTGCGGTGAGCCGAGGTCATGCCACCGCACTCCAGCCTGGGTGACACAGTGAGACTCTGTCTCAAAAAGTTTTACAATCTATGTGTATGTTCTGAAAAATACATATTACTAATTTATTAATTTGGAAAAACTGAGTAGCAAGCACAAACCTAGCAGCGTAAGGAAAGATAGAATTGCCACTACTCATAGTAAGCAAAACTGTTCCTGGGTTCTATTTGGCATCAGCTTCCCTGATTGTTTACAGTGGGGAAAGTCAGTGGATGAGGTATTGAGAAGTGTCACTTTATGCCCAGCATTTTTAGCATTGTATTTAAAACAAGGTTAGAGCAACCACATCAGATCATTTGTATGTGCAGTTATACAAGCCCTCCCAGAGGTACCTTGGAAAGAATAGTACAGTCACGTGTTGCTTAACCACAGGGATGTGTTCTAAACAATTCATTGACAGACAGTTTTGTTGTATGAACCTCACAGAGTGTACTTAAAACCTAGCTATATAGCCTACTATACTTCTAGGCTATATGGTGTAGCCTGTTGCTCCTAGGCTACAAACCTGTACAGCATAGTACTGTACTAAATACTGTAAACAGTTTTAACACAATGGTATGTGTGTATCTAAACATAGAAAAGTTGCAGTAAAAATTCAGTATAAAAGATAAAAAGTGGTCCACCTGTAAAGGGCATTTACCATAAATAGAGCCTGCAGGACTGCAGGACTAGAAGTTGCTCTGGGTGACTCAGTGAGTGAATGTGAAGGCCTAGGACATTACTGTACACTACTGCAGAGTTTACTAACACTGTACACTTAGACTACATTAAATTTACAATATAGCTTTTTTTCTTCAATAATAAATTAGCCTTAGCTTACTATAACATTTTTACCTTATAAACTTTTAAATATTTTTAAAGTTTTTCATTCTTTGGAATAACACTTAACCTAAAACACCCATTGTATAGCTGTACAAAAGTATTTTCTTTGTATTCTTATTCTATAAGCCTTTCTCTCTCTCTTTCTCTCTCTCTCTCCCTCTCTCCGTATAGATATATATATTTTTTCTTTTTCTTTTTTTTTTTTTTTTTTTTGAGATGGAGTCTAGTTCTGTCGCCCAGGCTGGAGTGCAATGGCATGATCACAGCTCATTGCAACCTCTGCCTCCTGGGTTCAAGCGATTCTCCCGCCTCAGCCTCCCGAGTAGCTGGGATTACAGGCACCCACCACCACGCCCAGCTAATTTTTGTATTTTTAGTAGAGACCGGGTTTCACTGTGTCGGCCAGGTTGGTCTCGAACTCCTGACCTCGTGATCCACCCACCTCGGCCTCACAAAGTGCTGGGATTACAGGCGTGAGCCACCACGCCTGGTGCCTTTTTTCTATTTTTAATTTTTTTTTTCTTTTTAAACTTTTGTTAAAAACTAAGACACAAACACACATTAGCCTAGGCCTACACAGAGTCAGGATCATCACTATCACTGTCTTCCACCTCCACATCTTGTCCCACTGAAAAGTCTTCAGGGGCAGTAATGCACATGGAGCTGTCATCTCCTGTGAAACAATACCTTCTTCTGGAATACCTCCTGAAGGACCTGCGTACGGCTATTTTACAGTTAACTTTTTTATATATATAAGTAGGAGTACACCGTAAATAATGATTTTAAAATACAGTAAATAGATAAACCAGTAACATATTCATTATCATTATCAAGTATTAGGTCCTATACATAATTGTACATGCTATACTTTTATACAGCTGGCTACTTAATAGGTTCGTTTACACCAGCATCCCTACAAACGAGTGAATAATGTGCTGCTGTATGATGTTACGACATCACTAGATGATGGGAATTTCTCAGCTCTATTATAATCTGATGGGACCGCCATCATATATGCACATTATGTGGCACATGACTCTAGTTACAAATTTAAGATTCAGTATTCAATAAGTAGGATAAATAAAAGGGGAGTTTTACAATTGAAAGCTGAAAAATCATCAGCAAGATTTTTCATATTTATTTCCTAAATATTCTAAGTGGGTTTTCTTAAAATACAAAACAGCATTACTTATAATCAGATAGAAGCTTGGAGTGTCTTCTCACAGCAGGGCAAGGATGGCAGATAGGTTTCAGGTCATGTGCCTTCTCAATTGATTATAACTGCTTGGAGTGCTGTGTTGGAAAGGATGCTGAGGGCCAGGCGCGGTGGCTTACACCTGTAATCCCAGTACTTTGGGAGGCTGAGGCGGGTGGATCACCTGAGGTCAAGAGTTCGAGACCAGCCTGGCCAACACAGTGAAACCCCATCTCTACTAAAAATACAAAAAATTAGCCGGGCGTTGTGGCAAGTGCCCCTAATCCCAGCTACTCGGGAAGTTGAGACAGGAGAATTGCTTGAACCTGGGAGGCGGAGATTGCAGTGAGCTGAGATCGTGCCATTGCATCTAGCCTAGGCAACAAGAGTGAAACTCCATCTCAAAAAAAAAAGAAAAGGATGCTGAGGCCATGCATAGCCTTGCAGAAGGATATGGTGTTCATGTCTTCCAATTGATAATATAGATACTGCTGCCCATCAAACAGAATAAGTAATTTTTATAGTTTCCAGACAGAGCTAAATATTACTATCCCCCATAATGATAAACAGGTATGGCAGTAAGGGTAATTTTTTTAACTCTGTACCCCTCAGACCTAAACATTGACATGCCAAAGGAATTTAGGACTTCCTGATCTCCATCTCCATCCTCCCAGACTTGGCAAAACTTTACTTCTAAACACATAAACACTGTCCACCTCCAAGGAAACATATTCCAGAGACTTCTACCTCAAAAGTCAGTATAAGCCAGATGCGGTGGTATGCACATGTAGTCCCAGCTACTCAAGAGACTGAGGCAGGAGGATCACTTGAAATCAGGAGTTTGAGACTATAGTAAACTAAAATTGCACCTGTGAATAGCCACTGCACTCCAGCCTGGGCAACGTAGTGAGACCATGTCTCAAAAAAATAAAAAAGATTCCATATGATCCTGTTGACTTCTAGCTATGTCCATGATGAGGGCAAAATTCTTAATCTACTCAAAGATCTATAGTCCTGACCCAAGACATGACATAGCACATTGTGTGAAGCATTGAAACCATTTAGGTTTTCTGTAATCTGCTGAGTTGTATTGAACTCCTGAAATGCTGGAGTTGGAAAAACCCTAAAAATAGCAAACTGTTTCACAAAATTATGCAGAATTAACTGCAGGAGCTTTTGAAAATCAAAGATTCTTGGGTCTCATCCCAGGCCTGTTGAATCAGAATCTTCAGGAGAATAAGGCATTTTTCCAGTGTTCTGCCAAGATGTATATACGGGGCTGGGCACAGCAGCTCACGCCTGTAATCCCAGCACTTTGAGAGGCTGAGGCAGGAAGATTGCTTGAGCCCAGGAGTTCGAGACCAGCCTGGGCAGCATAGCAAGAGTCCATCTCCACTATTTAAAAAAGAAAAAAAAAAAAAACCTGGCCGGGCATGGTGGCTCAGGCCTGTAATCCCAGCACTTTGGGAGGCTGAGGTGGGTGAATCACTTGAGGCCAGGAGTTCAAGACCAGCCTGGCCAACATGGTGAAATCCCATCTCTACTAAAAATACAAAAATTAGCCAGGTGTGGT
The DNA here is from genome assembly GCF_000001405.40 of Homo sapiens. Classification (NCBI taxonomy): domain Eukaryota; kingdom Metazoa; phylum Chordata; class Mammalia; order Primates; family Hominidae; genus Homo; species Homo sapiens. Next base: position 18,365,244 of record NC_000011.10, read on the forward strand.
GGCTCATGGTTGTAATCCTAGCTACTCGGGAGTCTGAGACATGAGAACTGCTTGGACCTGTGAGGTGGAGGCTGCAGTGAGCCAAAATCACACCATAGCACTCCAGCCTGGGTGACAGAGCAAGACTCTGTCTCAAAAAATAAAATAAAATAAAATAAAGTTTATACTACCATCCTGGCCTTAGTTGGCTGACCAGTATTCAAATCTAGAAAATCACAGATATAGTTCAGACCCCTCGTTTGACAGAAGGAATTGAGGCCTGGAGCACAATTGTGACTTTCATATTGTCCTATTATTGGTTAATGACAGGACAGCCATTACAACCGCAGCCTTTTCACTGCCCCCTACTTTCTGTCTTTCCTTTCCACACAAAATGTGTCTGACAGCACCTTCTCAGAGGGCTTGCACATTACCTCATTGACTGGGGAAATACAGAGGAGCTCCGAAACTACACTCTGAAGTGTGTGCCAGATTTGGGTTGGAAGGATTAACTTCCCCTGCTTTTGCCCAGTTGTTAAGTGTCTTGCTGTGTTTTTCAGTTGGTAAGTCACATAGAAGAGATGCTCCAGACAGCCTACAACAAGCTCCACACATGGCAGTCACGGCGTCTGATGAAGAAAACGTGAGGTGGCCATGATGCTTACAGGTTTTGTGAGATTGAGAGAACTATGACCTGCAGCAACTCTGGAAACCTGGCCTGACAGACAAGCAGATGACCTCACAGGAGTGATAAGAAACATCTGCTCCACGCCAACTCCCAGAGCTGATGCTATTGTACTTGCACATTGGAGACTGAAAGGAAAGAAGGGACTAAATGCTGGGGAGGTAAATTAAGACAGAACCAAATGAGCTAAGTTGCAAATATATATATATACACACACACACATATATGTACATGTGTATGTACATATATATTTTAAAAGACTGTTTACTGCAGTTGCTCAGGAACTGCTTTTGATTCACATTAAGCTGCTTTCAGAAATTAAAAAAACACTTTTTAAAGGGTGCATTGATAAAATCTGAGGTTTTTTGGTTGTCGTTTTTTTCTGTGTACATTTTTTTCCTAAGTTTATGGCACAGGGTAGACCTTAAGTATTCCTCCTCCATCCTTCATTCTTCACCCTCCATTGGATCCTCAAGTTTTAATGAATTCCAATTATACCTTACATCAGCAAGTTAAAAAAAGTACTTTAAAATAAAGCAAAGGGAGACTGTTGCTCAACCATCAGGAAACAGTTGTCAGAAGACATCATTGGTTCTGTGTTTCCTACGGAAATAAGAAACGATAAATATTGCACTGAATGTTTGTGGTTTGGAGTCCCTGAATAATAAAGAGGGAATATATTTGCAGAAAGTCGCATAGGGTTTTTTAATGCAGAATTTTGTCAGAAGACAATGGCGCTGCATGTTTTTCTTTGAGTGCAAATGTACATTGCTAAGATTTTTTTAAGATGGCATGTGCTTTGAAAAGAAGATATTGCATTTTTAAGAGTTTAAAAATCTTATGAGTGAGAAATATTAAAAAAATCTTATTTTCACCTCTTTAGAAGAAATAAAAGATGTTTCTCCTATCTCCTTTTCTCTAGTATTTGACTGTTACTGTCCTTGGCGAATCGATAATCATTGCATAGTGACTGAAAAGCCTAAGTGCAAAAAAAAAAAAAAAAGATGTTCTTGTTTCTGAACTTCGTGCCATATTTTGTTCCTGATGGGATCAACTTAATGTTTAAGACTTTAGATGTCTTGTATTAAAAATTACACAAAAAAAGTAAAACTTTTTATACTTACCCTTTTAACTCTAACACATCTCTGGTTTCTCATTATGTGTGAATTTCCTTGGGTGGGCTGCCTGAGAACTGTTCATTTTATTTTAGGCCATGTTACAAACTGGTTATCCTTCATATAATGACTGCTAAGGTCAGAATCTAAGCCAGGCATGGTAGCACATGCCTGTAGTTCCAGCTACTTGGGAGGCTGAGGTAGGAGGATCACTTGAGCCCAGAAGTTCAAAAGTCCAGACTGAGCAACATAGTGAGACTCCATCTCTTTTTTTACAGAAAAAAAAAGAAAAATTTATGAAGACCTTGAACTGGTAAAGGGAAAGAAGCCACATCATTTTCTGCCTTCAGTCTTCCCATTTCTCTTTCAGATCAGTATATGTACTGGTATAATCCCTTAAAATTTACACTTTCACAAAGTACTTTCAAATGTGTTACTGCTACAGTGGGGCAAATAGAAAAATGATTGAAATAAAAAAAAGTGGCTATTGGGCAAGGCAGACATAAGAAATAGAATGTTCTGTTGAGTGCTGTGTTGAAAATTAAGTTGTAAGCTGGGCATGGTGAGTCATACCTGTAATCCAGCACTTTGGGAGGCCAAGGCAAGAGGATCACTTGAGCTCAGGAATTCAAGACCAGCCTGGGCAACATAGCAAAACCTCATCTCTACTAAAAGTAAAAAAAGTTAGCTGGGCGTGGTGGTATGTGCTTGTAGTTCCAGCTGCTCTGGAGGCCGAGGCGGGAGGATTGCATGAGCCCAGGAGATTGAGGCTGCAATGAGCTATGATCACACCACTGCACTACAGCCTGGACAGTAAGACAAAGCCCTGTCTCAAAAAAAAAAAAAAAAAAAAAAAAAATATATATATATATATATATATATATATATAAAGCCTGAAGGAAAGACTTCATTTAAAAGAGCGTTTTAGCTAAGTCTTGAAGGTTGAGTAGGATTTTGTGAGGTAGAGAAGAAAGTCATCTCTTCTAGACTGAGGGAAGAGCATGATGATGAGAAGGTTTGAAAGACTGAAATATGTTAGAAGAACAGGAAAGATGTGTTAGATTGGAGAGTTGGAAGTGACAAGTAAGGCTCAGAAAACCATGTTAATTCAGGTTGTGAATGGCCTTGTATGCTAAAGTAAAATACTCAGACCTTACCTACTAGGCATGGGAGACTTGAGAGAAAGTTTTAAGCAAGTTGCTTTTATGGGGGGGTTTTCTGGTGGTGGGGGGTTAGGCAGGGGTTAAATAACTTGGCAATTAGGACAGATTTAGAAGACTTTCTGAACAAACCACACAGGAAAGCGTCTACATTAAAATGAAGTCCTGGTAAATAGGAAGGGCCTGAGTAACAGCATTTCTACAGTGTATGTGACTAACTCACAGGGAGTGAAGGAATCAAGGGTGATTCACAGAGATAGCTGTGAATTTCATGTCTAGCTTGCACTTGAAATATTTGAGCCTTGGATACCTTTAGCAATGAACTTCAGCAGCTGTATAGGCCTTTTATGGCCCTTCACCTTCTTGCGGAAAATAATAGCACCACTGATGGTTGAGGGCTGCTGTAAACCAGCATTGTGCCAAACACTTTTTCTGCTGTATCTCCCTTCCCACAACTGAAGAAGCAAGTAGATACTACAAGATTTTGTACAGATTAGAAATGGTTTAGAGGTTAAGTAATTTACCCAAATTCACACAGCTAGTAAGTGTCAGAGCTAGGATTTACCCTAAGGCTTCTCTAGTCTGGAGAAGGGATGAGATGTCTGTGAAGTTGCAAGTTGTTATTCCGCAGCCCAGGCTTCCATTGCCTAGTTTTTCCTTTGACTCCTTTGTCATTCCTGCCTGACTCTATTCTGTGCTTTACTTGTGGCAAATCGCATCATGGGATTAGTCTGCCTAGTAGGCCCTGAGGGCTATAAAATGTAATAATGTAACAACAGCATGTCCTGCCTTAGGAGAATGAGTCTTTTCTGGAAAGAAAGTCAGTAGTGGCCTAGCGCAGTGGCTCACACCTGTAATCCCAGCACTTTGGGAGGCCGAGGCGGGTGGATCACCTGAGGTCAGGAATTCGAGACCAGCCTACCCAACATGGCGAAACCCCATCTCTACTAAAAATACAAAAAATTAGTCAGGCGTGGTGGCAGGCACCTGTAATCCCAACTACTCAAGAGGCTGAGGCAGGAGAATCGCTTGAACCTGGGAAGTGGAGGCTGTGTCGAGCCGAGATCAAGCCACTCTGCTCCAGCCTGGGCAACAAGAGCGAAACTCCATCTCAAAAAAAAAGTCAGTAGTGTTAGTCTGCTTTAGACATACTACAAAGTGGGTGAGGTACCTTGTAAAATCCACTTCAGGATGGAAAACAAAAGAATGTTTTAACATCTGTAACTAGAAAGGTAACCCCACTCATCGAGTCTGAAGAGTTTAATCCAGAAAGTGATTTCCTGTTGCATATACCATCTTTCTAGAGCTGACAGTGTCTGGAATGGAAAGCTGTGTGTTTCAAACTTAGGTTTGCTGTCTCCAGTGTCAAGACTTGCATGGGATTCCTTAGGATTACCTCTGCCCTTTCCCAATTTAGCTCCCTCAAGACTCAGCTGTTCTCCCAGTTCTTGAGGCCAGGGGAGTCTTAGTTATTTTCAGCTATTAAAATGTCCAGAACTGGAGTATTGCCTGGAACCTGGTTCAGGAGTGACCAGCCTGAGTTAGTAGTCCATCTCCTTGTTTGGGTGTATATTAAAGTCACAGAAGAGACTGGAAATCTTGTCATCTCGTGGCCACTACTGACTTTCTTTCCATCCTGGGTGGAGTTACATATGTGTGTGTGTGTGTGTGTGCATGCTATATATATGTGTGTGTGTGCAATACATATAGTGAAAACATAATTCGTGGGGTTTTTTTTTCCCTGAGTTTTGAATAGTGCTGAAGTATATAAAATAGAAAGTGTCTCTGTACCCTTACTTCCAAGTCTTTCCTGAGGTGATGGTCAGTGCATCTTCTTCTGGACATTTGTCTATGCCCTTAAATTCTTTTCTAACCTGCAACCTGAGATTTTTCTAACAAAGAGATACCTGTGCACCTGAACATGCCCTTTAAGATAATCCTTTTAGTTAGGCATGGTGGAATGCACCTGTAGTCAGGAGGTAGGCAGGAGAATCACTTGGGCCCAGGAGTTTGAGGTTGCAGTGAGCTATGATCATGCCACTGCACTCCAGCCTGGATGACAGCTAGACCCTGCCTCTTAATTTTTTTTTTTTTAATTTTTAAAAGTTAGAAAATGACCGGGCATGGTGGCTCACACCTGTGATCCCAGCACTTTGGGAGGCCAAGGTGGATGGATCCCTTGAGCCCAGGAGTTCAAAACCAGGCTGGGCAACATGGTGAAACCCCCTTTATACAAAAAAAAAAAAAAAAAAAAAAAAAATTAGCCTGGCATGGTGGCATGTGCCTGTGGTCCCAGCCACTCAGGAGACAGGAGATTGAGATGGGAAGATAGCTTGAGCCTGGGGGGTTCAGGCCGCAATGAGCTGTGTTCACGGCACTGCACTCCAGCCTGGGCAACAGAGCAAGACCCCGTCTCTAAATAAATGAATAAAAAGATAATCCTTAACAAAGGGGCTCATATCCTTAGAGAAGAATCCATTAGTGATCCTATTTCTGCCAAATTCTTGTAAATTTTGGTCCTACCCATTTGTATCTGTTTCTGACACATGGTTATTCTTTTCCTTTTTCTTTTGTCTTTTTTTTTTTTTTTGAGGTGGAGTCTTGCTCTGTCACCCAGGATGGAATGCAGTGGCACCATCTCGGCTCACTGCAACCTCTGCTTCCTGGGTTCAAGTGATTCTCGTGCTTCAGCCTCCCAAGTAGCTGGGATTACAGGCACCCGCCACCATGCCCGGCTAATTTTTGTATTTTTAGTGGAGACGGGGTTTTGCCATGTTGGCCAGGCTGGTCTTGAACTTCTGACCTCCTTCTGATCCGCCTGCTTCAGCCTCCCAAAGTGCTGGGATTACAGGCATGAGCCATCATGCCCGGCCACCTGGTTATTCTTGAGAACAGGTTATATACCTGTGCTGAATACACATCTTCAAGACTTCACATATATCAACCATATCCTTACTGCCCTTGAACATTTAGACCTACAGAATAAGGAATGGAGAGTAAGTCAAGTGTTCTGACAGCCCCTTCACAGGATTTATCCACATCCCTGCAGCAGTGGACACATAGTATAGCATGTGTCTGTTGGATGCTATACTTTGGTACTAGGCTGTTTGGGTTCAAATCTCACCTGTCTAAAACACTAGCTGTAAACCATTTGCTTAATCTGTGTCTTCATTTCTCCATCTACAAAATAGGTCTAGTAGTAGCATTTAACTGATAGGTTGTTGTGAGGATAGCTGAGATGTCTATAAGCCACTTAGAGCAGAGTCCAGCACACCACAAGTGCTATGCAAGTGTTTGCTGTAATGAATGTTGATAAGGCTTCCCCTGAGTCACGCAGTGAAAGACTGCAGCACCTTCTTGTTTTTATTGTTTAACCTTAGAAACCTAAATGGAGGAAAATTCCCTCAAAGAAAAGTAAAAGTGCTTTCTTCTGTGCCTTCATTTTCCCCACAAAACCTGTACGTATTTGATTTTCTTAGATCATCTTTACTAGATTGATTAGTAGACACTTTTTTGTGGTGACCTGCATTCTCCAAATTTTGAGCTCTTTTTTTTTTTCTTTTTGAGACAGGGTCTCAGACTGTCACCCAGGCTGTAGTGCAGCCACATGATCATAGCTCACTGCAGCCTCCAACTCCTGGGCTCAAGTGATCCTCCCAGCTCAGCCTCTCAAGTAGCTAGGACTACAAGCTCGCACCACCATGACTGGTTAATTTTTTGAATTTTTTTCATAGAGATGGGGTCTCACTATGTTGACCAGGCTGACCTTGAACTCCTGGGCTCAAGCAGTCCTCCCTCCTCAGCCTCTCAAAGTGCTGGGATTACAGGTACAAGCCACTGCACCCGGCTTAAAATTTTTTCTTTAAATAGAAGTTGGGATCAAACTTGAGTTAAAAGAAAAAGCCATTTAGAGTATGCTGAGTTAGCAGGAGAGCAACCTTAAAACTTGATTCAATAGGTGCGAAGGGTTTATCTTCAAAACAAAGTCACTAACAGGTTTCAGTTAGCATGTCCTAAATATGGTGGTTTGGCATTGTAACAGTTACATATCACAATTATAACTTAGATAAGAAGGAATTTCCTTAAAAAATACAACAGCGATCCATTTTCTTTGTCAGATGAATAAATTAAGAGAAGTCTAACTTATATGATGAAGCACTCAAGATGTAAGGTAAGCTGCCTGGGTTCAAATTCCAGCCCTGTCATTTACTAGCTGGCTAGCTGTGTGATTACTTATCTCTCCATGCTTCAGTTTTTCTTTCTCTTTCTTTCTTCTTTTTTTTTTTTTTTTTTTTTTTTAAGAGACTAGGTCTCACTCTGTGGCCCAGGTTGGAGTGCAGTGGCACAATCACAGCACTGCAGCCTCCACCTCCCGGACTCAAGCAATCCTCCCACCTCAGCCTCTGGAGTAGCTAGGACTACAGGCACATGCCACCATGCCTGGCTAATTTTTGTATTTTTTGTAGAGACAAGTTCTTGCCATGTTGCCCAGACTAGTCTTGGACTCCTGGGCTCAAGCAATCTGCGTGCCTCGGCCTCTCAAAGTGCTGGGATTACAGGCAGGAGCCACTGCACCCTCTTTCTTTCTCTGTCTCTTTCTTTCCCCCCGCCACCACCACCCCCCGACCCGACTTTAGTTTCTTAATTTGTAACATGAGCATAATAGTAGTACTTACAGATTTACCGTGAAGGTTAAATGAGCTAATATAGAATAGTGCCTGGCTCAAAATGACCGTTCAATAAATGTTCTTTCTTTTTTTTTCTGAGAATAAATGTTCTTTCTATCATTTATTACTATTACAGTCATATATCACTTAACAATGAGGATATGTTCTGATAAATGGATCGTTAGATGAGTTCATTACTGTATGAACATCACAGACTGTACTTATACTTATTCCTCCCGCCTCGGCCTCCCAACATGTTGTAGGCTATACCTCCTGGATGGTATAGCCTACAAAACATAGAGGCTATGTGGTACAGCCTATTGATTTGAAGCTATAAACCTGTACAGCATGTTACTATACAGAATAGTGTGAAGAAATAGTAACACAAGAGTATTTGTGTATCTAAACATAGGAAAGATACAGTAAAAGTATGGTACAGTATTATAACCTTACAGGACCACCCTTGTATATGCAGTCCATTGTTGACCAAAACATTATGAGGCTCATGACTCTATTATTATTACTTACCATTACCAGGCTTCAGTTCAAAGCTTATTGACTTAGGGCCAGGCGCAGTGGCTCACGCCTGTAATCCCAGCACTTTGGGAGGCTGAGGCTGGCGGATCACGAGGTCAGGAGACCGAGACCATCCTGGCTTACACAGTGAAACCCCGTCTCTACTAAAAAAAAAAATTAGCAGGGCATGGTGGCGGGCGCCTGTAGTCCCAGCTACTCGGGAGGCTGAGGCAGGAGAATGGCGTGAACCCAGGAGGTGGAGCTTGCAGTGAGCCGAGATTGCGCCACTGCACTCCAGCCTGGGTGACAGAGCGAGGGGAAAAAAAAAGCTTATTGACTTAGGCTGCCATATAACAACATTGGTAAAAAGCTGAGGTAGAGATCAAGGGAAAGAAACTCTTATTAGTTAGTTTACTACTATCTACTATCTATTAGATCTGTTTGCCAAATATTTGCCATGCTATATGACCATTCTTATTTCATCCTCAAGATTCATTCAATAATTATTAAGCTACTGTGCATCAGTATACAGCCTTCTACTTATAAAGTCTCAAATTGACTGGGTACAATGGCTCACACCTGTAATCAGCACTTTGGGAGGCCAAGGCAGGCGGATCACCTGAGGTCAGGAGTTCAGGACCAGCCTGGCCAACATGGTGAAACCCCATCTCTACTAAAAATACAAAAATTAGCTGGGCATGATGGCTCATGCCTGTAATCCTAGCTACTCAGGAGGCTGACGCAGGAGAATTGCTTGAACCCAGGAGGCAGACATTGCAGTGAACCGAGATCACACCACTGCAGTCCAGCCTGGGCAACAGAGTGAGACTCCATCTCAAAAATAAATAAACAAATAAATAAATAAATAAAAGTCTCAATTTATTGGTCAGGTGTGGTGGCTTTATGCCTGTAATCCCAGCTCTTTGGGAGGCCAAGGCATACGGATCACTTGAAACCAGGAGTTCGAGACCAACCTGGGCAATATGGGGAGACCCCTGTCTCTACAAAAAATAAAAATTAGCCAGGTGTGGTGGCACATGCCTGTAGTCCCAGCTTCTCCAGAGGCTGAGGTGGTAGGATCACTTGACCCGGGAAGTTGAGGCTGCAGTGAGCCATGATCATGCACTGTAAGGTGGACAACAGAGACCCTGTGTCAAAAGTAAAAATAGAAAGCCTCTGGTTATTAAAAAGCATTGTCCTGGCCAGGCACAGTGGCTCATGCCTGTAATTCCAGCACTTTGGGAGGCCAAGGCAGGTGGATCACTTGAGGTCAGGAGTTTGAGACCAGCCTGGCCAACATGGCAAAACCCTGTCTCTACTAAAAATACAAAAATAAGCTGGGCGTGGTGGTGCACACATGTAATCCCAGCTACTCGGGAGGCTGAGGCACGAGAATAGCTTGAATCCAGGAGGCGGAGGTTGCAGTGAGCTGTGATCGCACCACTGCACTCCAGCCTGGGTGACAAATAAACAAATCACTGTCCTAGATGATGGGCAAAATGCCCTCGTGAAGCTTACTTAAGAATAAACAGGCTTGGAGAGATGAAAAGCCCCTGCATCCAACTCGGGATTGGAGAGCTAAGATTCAAATTCAGCTCTTGAATGCAAATTCTGTGCATCTACTGACCTCTCTCTCCCTACCCTCCTCACTCTCTCGCTAACCTCCTCACTCTCTCCCTAACCTGATCTTGCAGGCTGGAAATTTTTCTTCTACCTGATATAAATAATTGGGAGCAGGAGAGCTATTTTATTTCTATCAGGCCTCACACTGACAAGCACAGATGGCTCTGAGGCTGAGACTGCTTTATTCTCCAAAAGTGCAGTGAAGGAGATGGATTACTGGATCTGAAGTCACTAGGGAGGCTTGAATTCTGCTGTTGGTACCGCTAAGCATCCATTATGCACTAGGCCCTCAAAAGAATTCAAAGGGCCATTACTGTGTTTTTTTCTCTTGGCTTTAGACTTTTCAAAAATTAATTTTGTTTTTTTTAGCAACATTTTATGTGCTCATAATTTAAAAAGTGAAAAGCACTAGAAGGCACATTTCAAAATACCACGTCCACTATCCCACTCACTGCCCCCTACCCTTTATTCTCTCTTCACTGAATCAATTACTTTCCACTCTTTTAGCTGACAGTATACCATTCTTATTAATTTTGTTATTTTCTACTGACTTTCTATTATGGTAGTTGAAGATTTAGTGTTCTTATAATACCATTACTCCTTTCCCCTCGACTCCAGGCTCCTGATATAGTTATTTCACAGTTTTTCGATAATTAATAGTGTTTACATTTTGATTATGTGAATATTGTTTAGTGGTTGAGACAGGATCCTGGCAGGATACAAATGGCACCCTTAAACTGGGTTATTTGAAGAGATTAAAGGGACAATTTACAAAGGTGTGGGCGGCATGTCCAGAAACCAAGCAAAGGCCTGATGAGGGAATGGGAAGAAGTTAACAGGAGAGAAGAGAGACCCCTGAGAAGAGGTAAGGGGCAGGGTCTGCCCATGGTCCTGCAGAGAGGGTGCAATCTCACTCTTCTTCCTCACTCCCAGTCTTCACCAGTGAAGGTGGAGGACAGGAGACACCATGGCTGTGTGGTCCATTCAGGTCAACCCCCAGAGCCCAGAGCAGTATGGCAAAGAGAAATGTAGACCTGCAAGGCAAAAAGATGTTCAGAATTACAACCAGGCAGAGTCAACTATAAAACCCTCAGCTGGGCTGGGCATGGTGGCTCATGCTTGTAATCCCCAGCAGTTTGAGAGGATCACATGTACCCCAGGAAGGTTGAAGCTACAGTGGGTGGTGATCACACCTCTGCATTCCAGCCTGGATGACAGAATGATACCTTGTCTCTAAAAAAAAAAAAAAAAAAATAGTATTTATGGGACTTTTCTCTGAGGCTGTTCAGTCTCTCCAAAGAAGGGACCTCCAGGTTTCGGGAATGTAAGCCTGGATGCCACCCTTCTGGGAATCACCTGGGGAAGGGAGCTCTCTGTATACAGACAATCTCCTATGCCCCAGCGCTCTCACCATTGTGCTTGGGCCCTGATTGCATTTCCTCAGAAAATAAACCTGTTCTCACTTAAGGTGGAGGCAGGAGGTAGCCATTTTGTTTCAGGGTGGGAATAGAAGTCTGAGAGCCTAGCATTTCCTTATAGCCCCTGTTACAGCCCCACACTTTACCCTTCCCTTCCATGGTACCTGGTACCTCCAATTCCTGAGACTGAACAGTGCTCTTCAGAGCAAATCAGCTTCCATCTCTTCACTCCCTCCCTGTGTGGGCACTTGAATTTCACTATGGTCTCAGTCTCCACTGATTTCTACTTTCCAAAGCATTGCTGGCAGACTTCTCATCTTCCAGTCCCTTCATTTTTGTGTGTTATTTTCCTATCACTTTAGTGGGGCTTGAGGAAGGAGTTAAGATAAATGTATCAGGTCAATTCATCATGTTTAACCAGAGGTCCACTAGCATTGAGTTTTGGTAATGTTTTATTTTTGTGTTTAGGCGCATGCTCACCATTTCATGACTGAAAGCCCCATAAGATGGTTGCTGTAAACTGATGTTCTCCATCCTCTTATTAGCTAGTCACAGTGCCTTGTGATATACCAAGCCAAAGTTTCCGCGTGAGCATGTCACTGTCATTCCACTACCAAGTTCTTCATTAGCCCAGTGTTTTTTCTTTTTAAAAAAAATTTTTTTTTTGAGATAGGGTTTTACTCTGTCGCCCAGGCTGGAGTGCAGTGGGGCAAACCTGGCTGACTGGAGATCAGGTGATCCTCCTTGCCTCAGTCTCCCAAGTAACTGAGACCACAGGCACATGACACCATGCCCAGCTAGTTTTGTTGTTTTTTTTTTTTTTTTTTGAGACTTGCACTGTCGCTCTGGCTGGAGTGCAATGGCACGATTTCAGCTCACTGCAACCTCCGCCTCCCAGGTTCAAGCAATTCTCCTGCCTCAGCCTCCCGAGTAGCTGGGATTACAGGCGCCTGCCACCATGCCTGGCTAATATTTTGTATTTTTACTAGAGATGAGATTTCACTATGTTGGCCAGGCTGGTAATTTTTTTTTTTTTTTTTTTGAGACGGAGTCTCGCTCTGTCACCCAGGCTGGAGTGCAGCGGCACAATCTCGGCTCACTGCAAGCTCCGCCTCCCGGGTTCACGCCATTCTCCTGCCTCAGCCTCCTGAGTAGCTGGGACTACAGGCACCCACCACCACGCCCGGCAAATTTTTTGTATTTTTTTAGTAGAGACGGGGTTTCACCGTGTTAGCCAGGATGGCCTCTATCTCCTGACCTCGTGATCCACCCGCCTCGGCCTCCCAAAATGCTGGGATTACAGGCGTGAGCCACCACTCCCGGCTGGTAATTTTTTAATTTCTGTGGAGATGGGGTCTCACCATGTTGCCCAGGCTTGTCTCGAACTCCTGGGCTCAAACATTTTTCCTGCCTCGGCCTCCCAAAGTGCTGGAATTACAGACATGAGTCACTGCGCCCAGCCTAACCCATTGTTTTCTAAAGTGTGGTTAGCACACCTCCAGGAGGTTGAGAGAGTAAATTTCAGATGAATTAACTTTTTTTAATTGTAAAACTTATATATTTTAATGTATATGTGTTTTTAAACATAACTGGCATTAGCCAGACACAGTGGCACACACTTGTAGTGCCAGCTACCTGGGAGGCTGAGGCAGGAGTTCACAGCTATAGTGCATTATGATCGCACCTGTGAATAGTCAGTCACTGTGGTCCAGCCTGGGCAACACAGCAAGATCCCCATCTCCAAAAAAAAAAAAACCCAGGTGCGGTGGCTCACGCCTGTAATCCCAGCACTTTAGGAGGTCGAGGTGGGCAGATCACGAGGTCAGGAGTTTGAGATCAGCCTGGCCAACACAGTGAAACCCCATCTCTACTAAAAAAAATACAAAAAATTGGCCGATTGTGGTGGCAGGCGCCTGTAGTCCCAGCTACTCACGAGGCTGAGGCAGGAGAATTGCTTGAACCCAAAAGATGAAAGTTGCAGTGAGCTGAAATCATGCCACGCCACTGCACTCCACCCTGGGGGAGAGAGCGAGACTCTGTCTCAAAAAAAAAAAAAAAAATTACAGTCCAAAATAGATGAAACAAACTGTCAGAACAGGAACCACAAACTCGCCTCTTCCCAAGTCATTTTCCTGCAATAGGAATATGGTTTATTGGGCAATCACCCTGTGCCAAGTACTTTTGTTTGCATTAAACCTTTCACATGGGGGCTATCATTTTTTTTTATGTCACAGACACTTAAGGCTTCAAAAGGTTAAGTGACTTGTCCAGAAGCATTCAGGCAGTAGGAACAGAGTCAGGATTTGAACCCAGGTCTGTGTGGCTCCCAAACCTGAGGTTCCCACTGCACAATGATTACTGTCTGGGACCTTCTTGCTGGAGGACAATGCAGAGCAGCTGGAGGCCCTGCTTTCTGCACCTCCATGTCCCTAGGAGAGGTGAAGAGCTTCTCTCCAAGTGGTGCAAGTAGGAGGGAGATGTCAATTTTCTGAAAGGCCTGCGCAGAAAGATAGAAAAATAGGGCTTCCTAGGCCAGGCACAGTGGCTCACGCCTGTAATCCCAGCACTTCGGGAGGCCGAGGTGGGTAGATCACCTGAGGTCAGGAGTTTGAGACCAGCCTGGCCAACATGGTGAAACCCCGTCTCTACTAAAAATACAAAAATTAGCTGGGCATAGTGGCAGGTGCCTGTAATCCCAGCTACTCAGGAGGCGGAGGCAGGAGAATCACTTGAACCTTGGAGGTGGAGGTTGCAGTGAGCCAAGATCGTGCCATTGCACTCCAGCCTGGCGGACAAGAGTGAGACTTTGTCTCAAAAAAAAAAAAAGAAAAAAGAAAAGAAAAGAAAAATAGGGCTTCCTCAGAGAGAGTCACTCTCTCTGTGTTTCCCCATCCCCTGCCTCTGGGACTTAACAAAGCAGCACAGAAACAGGCTGGCAGGAGCTGCTACAGATGGTCACCTGGGCTCCAGCACATTCCTGGTGCTCAGATTTGTGAGGGAGCAGCCTCCGAGCCACAACGCCTCATGTAAATCTCTTTGATTTTCTGCTTCATCAGATCAGTAAGAACCCTCTTCAGCATGGCCTGGCAATTTTCTTGGGAGCTTACTGAGAGGAACACCCTGTTTTCTCTGCTCTTAGAGGTAATGGCAGTTCCTGGTCTCCATGCAGGGAGCCTACCCAGCTGCTAAGCTGCTACCTGGATCTCAAGCTGCTACTTGGATTTCATTTTCTTTTTTTTTGAGACGGAGTCTCGCTCTGTGGCCCAGACTGGAGTGCAGTGGCACGATCTCAGCTCACTGCAACCTCTGCCTCCCAGGTTCAAGCAATTCTCCTGCCTCAGCCTCCTGAGTAGCTGGGATTACAGGCACATGCCATCACGCCCGGCTAATTTTTGTATTTTTAGTAGAGACGTGGTTTCACCATGTGGGCCAGGCTGGTCTTGAACTCCCTACCTCATATGATCCACCGCCTCGGTCTCCCAAAGTGCTGGGATATACTTTGGGATATACTTTGGCGTGAGCCGGCACACCCAGCCTCTGGATTTCATTTTCTTTGAGGCCTGGCTCCAGCACATATGCCCAAGTGACTTTAGGCATGTTACTTTACCTCCCTAAGACTCAGTTTCTGTTTCTGTTAAAATGTGTAATTGTGAGGATTAAATTAGATAATGAATTTGTAGGATTTAGTACATATTAAGGCTGGACGCGGTGGCTCACACCTATAATACCAGCACTCTGGGAGGCCGAAGTGGGTGGATCACTTGAGGTCAGGAGTTCAAGACCAGCCTTGGCCAACATGGTGAAACCCCATCTCTACTAAAAATAAAAAATTAGCTGGGCATGGTGGCATGCAACTGTAATCCCAGCTACTCAGGAGGCCGAAGCAGGAGAATCGCTTGAACCCAGGAGGCAGAGGTTGCAGTGAGTCAAGATCACACCACTGAACTCCAGCCTGAGCGACAGAGCAAGACTCTGTCTCATAAAAATAAATAAATAATGGCCAGCCTCGGTGGTTCACGCCTGTAATCCCAGCACTTTGGGAGGCCAAGGCAGGCAAATCACCTGATGTCAGGAGTTTGAGACCAGCCTGGCCAACATGATGAAACCCTGCCTCTACTAAAAATACAAAAATTAGCCAGGCGTAGTGGTGCACACCTGTAGTCCATACTACTCGGGAGGCTGAGGGATAAAAATTGCTTGAACCCAGGAGGCAGAGGTTGCAGCACGCTGAGATCATGCCACTGCACTCCAGCCTGGGCAACAGAGTGAGACTCGACCTAATAAATAAATTAATTAACTAATTAAATATAGGAGTAATTATTATTGCAATTCTCACAAAGTCTGGAACCATGAGGTTTTGTCTCCCAGCACTGTCTAAGAAGCACCTGTCAGCAATCCAAAGTAATTTCAGGCCAGGCTTACTGGCTCATGCCTATAATCCCAATGCTTTGGGAAGCCAAGGCAAGAGGATCACTTGAGCCCAGGAGTTCAAGACCATACTGGGCAACATAGCAAGACCTCATTTTTACATAAAAATTTAAAAATTAGCCAGGCGTGGTAGCACACGCCTGAAGTCCCAGCTACTCAGAAGGCTGAGCATGGCGTATTGCTTGAGCCCAGGAGTTCAGGGCTGCAGTGAGCTATGATCATGCTACTATATTCCAGCCTGGGTAACAGAGCAAGACCCTATCTCAGGAAAAAAAAAAAAAAAAAAAGGAAGAAAAAGAAAAGTAATTCCAAAATAGCTCAAATCCTTAGCTTCACATTTGGCCAAGTGATAGTGGAGATTCCAATGATGTCTACAACAGCACTAAATGAGAATAGCTAGAGGCCTCATTCCTCTACAGTTCACTCTGATCACAGTCCACAGAAGTTAAGGCATCTCTTCAACTCTCCCACCCTCAGTGCCCCCCAAATTCCTTTGAGGTGTTCTCTCTCTCTCTTTATTAGATTAACAGCCTAAGGACCCAAATTCTTCTCCCTGCTGTCATTCTATACAGTCTTCCCCAACATGGTATTCTTTTTTTTGAGACAGGGACTCTGTTGCCCAGTCTGGAGTGCAGTAGCGCAATCTCGGCTCACTGCAACCTTCATCTCCCCCAGGTTCAAGCAATTCCCCTGCCTCAGCCTCCCAAGTAGCTGAGATTACAGGTGCCCGCCACCATGCCTGGCTAATGTTTGTATTTTTAGTAGAGACAAGGTTTCACCATGTTGGCCAGGCTGGTCTCGAACTCCTGGCCTCAAGTGATCTGCCCGCCTTGGCCTCCCAAAGTGCTGGGATTACAGGCATGAGCCACTGTGCCCAGCTAACATGATTCTTTTTTTTTTTTTTTTTTTTTTTTTGAGACAGAGTTTTGCTCTTGTTGCCCAGGCTGGAGTGCAATGGTGTGATCTCGGCTCACTGCAACCTCCGCCTCCCGGGTTCAAGCTATTCTCCTGCTTTGGCCTCCCGAGTAGCTGGGATTACAGGCATGCACCACCATGACCAGCTGATCTCGTATTTTTAGTAGAGACAGGGTTTCTCCATGTTGGTCAGGCTGGTCTCGAACTCCTGACCTCAGGTGATCCACCCACCTTAGCCTCCCAAAGTGCTGGGATTACAGGTGTGAGCCACCGCGCCCACTGGTATTCTTGATTATATATCACAGAAGTGCAAACACCTAACTGCCCTCCAAGGAGATTTGGAAAAGAAGTTGAACATGAAAAGAACGATTATGCAAGGCTGGGCGCGGTGGCTCACGCCTGTAATCCCAGCACTTTGGGAGGCCAAGGAGGGCGGATCACTTGAGCTCAGGCGTTTGAGAGCAGCCTGGCCAACATGGTGAAACCCCGTCTCTACAAAAACATACAAAAATTAGCAGGGTGTGTTGGCTGGGCGCCGTGGCTCACGCCTGTAATCCCAGCACTTTGGGAAGCCGAGGCAGGGGGGATCACGAGGTCAGGAGATTGAGACCATCCTGGCTAACACAGTGAAACCCCGTCTCTAATAAAAATACAAAACAATTAGCTGGGCTTGGTGGTGGGCGCCTGTAGTTCCAGCTACTCGGGAGGCTGAGGCAGGAGAATGGTGTGAACCTGGGAGGCGGAGCTTGCAGTGAGCCGAGATCGCACCACTGCACTCCAGCCTGGGCGACAGAGCGAGAATCCGTCTCAAAAAAAAAAAAAAAATTAGCAGGGCATGGTGGCATGCGCCTGTAGTCCCAGCTACTCTGGAGGCTGAGGTGGGAGGATTGCTTGAACCCAGGAGGCAGAAGTTGCAGTGAGCCGAGATCACACCACTGCACTCCAGCCTGGGCAACAGAGTGAGACTCCATCTCAGAAAAAAAAAAACAAAAAAACAAATACGCAGGGGTCAGGGAAGGCTGTGAGCTTTGGTCTGCTACAATGAGTTTCAGGCTCACTCCCATGCCCTGCCTCCTAGTACTGCGGTTGGAAGCAGAGGAGATGTGCTTAGAGGACGGAGATGAGAAGCAGGAGGAACAGCAGCAGCTGCAGTTTGTATTCTGGTTTGCTTTTCTCCTGGAAACAGAATCTCTCAGAAGATACCTCCTCAGTCCTCAAAAGGGTGCATTTCAGGTTGGCTCTCCTCTTGTTGGCCCTCGCTGGCCCCCGTCTCACTCTGGAGTCTTTGATTCCACATGGATAAACAGCCCCCCTAGTTGAGAGCTCCTCAACTGCCCCAGGGGACATTTTATGGAGTTAGGGGTGGCAAGGAACTGGAATTATTGCCTAATCAATTGCAGTCTCTCTCCTGTACCCCCCAAGAGAGCAAAGTCTAAAGCCAACTCACAAACTCACATTTTCAACTTTCACCCATGCCCTGAAAAAGTGTTAACACTGGAACCCCACAGCCTACCGTGAAGAATCGATTCCACAAAGAAGGGAGAGCCTTCCCAGTCTGCCCCCTTTCAGACCTTCCTCAAAGAACTCCTGAGCTGTGCTGCCTCCCTAAGCTGTCCCCATGCGAGGATGATAGTGAGATGTGTAATGGGCCTACTGTGACAGCCAGCCCTCCTTGCAAGGGAGCCCTGCCACGGGTGCAAGCTCTGGATCAAGGCAGGAAGCTGCGGCCCATGGTTACCATGGAGATGCTGGCACAGCCTATACCCATCTGTGGTTGACAGGCAGCCTTCCTGAGGAAAGGGGAGGAATTTGGGTGCTTGAAAACCAGCTTGTGGTGGGGGTCGGGTCGGGGTTGTCTGTGACATCATGAGTTTGCAGCCAAAAGACAACTGGAGAGGAAGCTGAGGCTGGGAGCTCTCCACTGAGGTAGCCTTCAGCCGACGCTGTAGCTTTAAAAGCTGGGGTGTGGCCTCCTGCAGAGTGAGGCCAAGCTACAGAGCTGTCAACTCCAAGCAAGGGCTGTTGGAAGAAGCTCTGGTACAGTGGAAAAAACCCAGGAGTCAGAGACTAGAGGGAGAACCACACCCACAGTGCCAGGCATGTTGTGAAGGTCATGGTACATGGTGCAGAGAAGAAACCTCTAGGGTGCTTGGGAAGTTCTAGGCCCTGAGTCACCACCACTGAAACACTAGGGCGGACCAAGAAAACTTCCCGTCTCTTCTCTGAGCACGAAGTCTCCACTGTGTGACTAATGTCTGCCCTGTGGGCTAGGCAGGGTTACTGAGAGGCCCTGCAGCATAAGTGAGGCAGGGGCAGGTGTCAGGGGCTGGTGATCTCCCTCTGATTCAGTGGGTAAAGGAAGACCAAGGCTATGAGGATTTCTCTGAGGCTTTCATCCCTTCTGTGGCTAAAACTGGAGTATGAGCTCAGTGAAACTGTCCTTTGAGAGAGCCTGACGCTGCAAGTGTGTTTGTACAAAAGGCAGAGCTCGGCCTTGTACACCCAAGGGCCATGCAAGGCTAATGCAGCACCAGGGAGAGGGAGGCTAATTAGATAAAGCCCTGAAGTAGCCCTGTGAGCCAGAGGAGCTGTCTGGACCTTCCTGTAGCCTTGGGCAGGGGAGGGAGCTAGGGAGTATTTATTACTTTTGCCCTTTGAAATCCAGGAAGCAAAGGGCTAAGTACTTGCTTACTATCCTCCCAGACTGTGAGACAGGAAGTCAGAGGTACAGAGTGGTGAGTTTGAAATCCACTTGGCCACTTTCCCGCTGTGTGGCCTGGAGCAATTCAATGTTTTGTGTTTTGGCAATATCACCAGTTAAATATTAAAGCTCCTGCTTTCCTCTTCTGGTCAGGGTGAAAACACCCTGAGAGAATGCTTGTGAAAGCCACCACAGCTACACGCAAGGGAAGGACCTGATGTCCTTTATCTGGCCACAGAAGAAGCCTTCTCCACATCGGCACCGGCCCCCCACAGCCTGAGCTCCCTCCTGAGCATCTGAGGAGTTTTCTTTGACTCCTCATAAGAGAATCTCAGGCTTCCCTTCTAGCACCCTACAGAAATGAGTAGGGCTGCCTTTTCAGGGCAGTGTCCTCTGAGCAGGCTCAAAGAACAGGGCAGAGAGCCCCCTTGTCCAGCAGAACCTAATTTTTAAAATTTTTTGTAGGGACAAGGTCTTACTGTGTTGCCCAGGCTGGTCTTGAACTCCTGGTTTCAAATAATCCTCCCATCTAGGCCTGCTAAAGTGTTGGAATTACAGGCATAAGCCACTGTGTTGGGACAAGAGATATATATATATATATATATATATTTTTTTTTTTTTTTGAGACAGAGTCTTGCTCTGTCACCCAGGCTGTAGTGCAGTGGCACGATCTTTGCTCACTGCAACCTCTGCCTCCCAGGTTCAAGCAATTCTCCTGTCTCAGCCTCCCGAGTAGCTGGGACTACAGGCACCCGCCACCACGCCTGGCTAATTTTTGTATTTTTTAGTAGAGTCGAAGCTTCGCCATGTTGGCCAGGCTGGTCTTGAATGCCTGACCTCATGATCCACCTGCCTCAGCTTCCCAAAGTGCTGGATTACATGCATGAGCCACCACGCCCCGCCAAGTTTTTTTGTTTTGTTTTGTTTTGTTTGTTTGTTTGTTTGTTTGTTTTTTATTGGGAAGGAGTCTCGCTCTGTCTTGCCCAGGGTGTAGTACAGTGGCATGATCTCGGCTCACTGCAACCTCTGCCTCCCAGGTTCAAGCGATTCTCCTGCCTCAGCCTCCTGAATAGCTGGGATTACAGGAGCCCACCACCACACCCACCTAATTTTTGTATTTTAGTAGAAACAGGGTTTCTCCATGTTGGCCAGGCTGGTCTTGAATGCCTGACCTCAAGTGATCCACCCGCCTCGGCCTCCCAAAGTGCTGGAATTATAGGCGTGAGCCATTGCGCCAGGCCCAAGATAGTTTTTTTTTTTTTTGAGACAGAGTCTTGCTCTGTCGCCCAGGCTGGAGTGCAGTGGCACGATCTCGGCTCACTGCAAGCTCCTCTTCTCAGGTTCACGCCATTCTCCTGCCTCAGCCTTCCGAGTAGCTGGGATTACAGGCGCCCGCCACCACGCCCGGCTAATTTTTTAAATTATTATTATTTTTAGTAGAGACGGGGTTTCACCCTGTTAGCCAGGATAGTCTCAATCTCCTGACCTCGTGATCCCCCGGCCTCGGCCTCCCAAAGTGCTGGGATTATAGGCGTGAGCCACCGCGCCTGGCCAAGATAGTTTTTGTTAACAAATTTAACAAACACCCACCAGTGTACTGGGCATTTGGGATCCTGTTTTGGAACTAATATGGGGGACAAGAGGATGGCAGGCATAGGTTTCCTGTCGCCATAGGCATTTCTCCCTTATCTCAGGAGCAGTCCTGATCACTTCCCAAAATGGGGAGCGCTTTGCCTCTGAGTCCTGAGCATTGTAAAAATGAAGGTGTGTTGTGTGGAAGCTGGACTCACTACCGCAGAGCCTCCTTGGACATTACAGCTGGAAGAAAGAGGCCCTTTTTTTTCTTTTTGAGATGGAGTCTCGCTCTGTCGCTCAGGCTGGAGTGCAGTGGCGCTGTCTGGGCTCACTGCAACCTCCGCCTCCTGGGTTCGATGCTCGTACCTCAGCCTCCTGAGTAGCTAGCATCACAAGAGCCCACTATAGAGCCCGGCTAATTTTTGTATTTTTAGTAGAGATGACATTCCGCCATGTTGGCCAGGCTGGTCTTGAACTCCTGACCTCAAGCGATCCACCTGCCTCGGCCTCCCAAAGTGCTGGGATTACAGGCATGAGCCACCGCACCCGGCCAAGAGAGATCCTTTTATGTTTGCAGTCAAGGGTGCTGAGGCTACAGAGGGAATGCAACTGCCACAATGTTACCCAGGTGTCCATGACATAGCTGGGGTAAGAATACATGTTTCCTGACCCCCAGGCCAGTGTCCCCTATCCATCAGCTGCCCCGTCGTCTCTGTCCCGCCATGCCCATCACTGTCCTTGCCACCCAAGGTGTCAGAGGGAAAGGCTATCACAACTTTTCATGGTCCTCCCCTGCTGTGATTAGACAACAGACAGTTTCTGCTTGTGGGTGCCACTGGTGACTGTCTGGCTTGAAGGGGCCTTGGGACTCCCTCTGCAGCACTGATTTTGGGGGCCCTGGGTTTGGAAGTCACTTAAATTCTGGTGACAGTCTTTGCTCTGGAACTTCTCAGTGGGATGGGAAGCTTGAGGCCCAAATCCCAGCCAGGGAAAGAGGGAGAGAAAGGACACAGCTGCTACTTATTTCCTGGGTTAGGAAGTGGCTGGGAAGGAATCTAGAGTTTTTGAGATGGATTTTATTAGGGAACAGTGTGAGGAATGAATTCTGGAGGGAATGATGGTCCAAGCCAAAAGAGGAAATGCAGGCAGCATCTTGTGCCTGAGGATGAGCCTTGCCTGGAGGAGGAGCGGGTGAGGAGGAGGAGACAGGCATTAGGGGACCAGGGGTTGTCACCCAGGAGAACCTGAACAGTCAGGGTGGAGTCTTCTGGCATCCATTCCTGTCATCTGAGAGACAGATGGGGCTTGGGATGAGGAGAGGGACATGAAGGAGTTTCTCAGGAGCAGGTGCCTGCTCTCATGCCAAAGAGAGGAGCCTCTACTTTGGTACGTACATAGTAGGCCCTGGTATCTCAGGAACAGAGACTGATGAGGTTGTCTGCATCTTGGGCCCTGCAACTCAGGAAAGCCATCAGTTTTGCAACCACAGAAAAGGTAAAAAAAAGAGTCAGGCTGTCAGTGAGGGTTTGAAGGGACTGTGGGGCTGTCTAGGGTTGTATGAGAAGTGTATGTTCTGAACACATGTGGTTGGAGCTGTATATGGTCTGTACATGTTGTAGATCTGTATGTTGTGTATTACTAAAAAAAATCCTGGTGCCTTCCTTTCCTTACTCTGTTGCCCAGGCTGGAGTTCAGTGGTGTAAGCATGACTTACTGCAGCCTCAATCTCCTGGGCTCAAGCAATCCTCCTGCTTCAGGCTCCCAAAGTCCTAGGATTACAAGTGTCGGCCACGGGCTGGGCACAGTGGCTCACGCCTGTAATCCCAGCATTTTGGGAGACAGATCTGGGTGGATCACGAGGTCAGAAGATCGAGACCATCCTGGCCAACATGGTGAAACCTCGTCTCTACTAAAAATACGAAAAAATTAGCTGTGTGTAATGGTGCGCGCCTGTAGTCCCAGCTACTCGGGAGTCTGAGGCAGGAGAATAGCTTGAACCCGGAAGGCGGAGCTTGCAGTGAGCGGAGATCGCGCCTCTGCACTCTGGCCTGGCAACAGAGCGAGACTCCATCTCAAAAACAATCAACCAACCAACCAAACAAACAAGAACAAAAAAACAAGTGTTGGCCGGGCGCGGTGGCTCACGCCTGTAATCCCAGCACTCTGGGAGGCCGAGGGGGGCGGATCATAAGGTCAGGAGATCGAGACCATCCTGGCTAACACGGTGAAACCCCGTCTCTACTAAAAATACAAAAAATTAGCCGGGCGCGGTGGCAGGCGCCTGTAGTCCCACCTACTCGGGAGGCTGAGACAGGAGAATGGCGTGAACCCCGGAGGCGGAGCTTGCAGTGAGCCGAGATTGCGCCACTGCACTCCAGCCTGGGCGACAGAGTGAGACTCTGTCTCAAAAAACAAAAAAAACAAAAAAAAACAAATGTCAGCCAGCATACCCTGTCTCCCCCAAATTTCTTAGCCTGGCATTTAAGGCTAAAGATTAACCAGACTCACCATGTATTTTCCTGCCCCTGTGCATTTTATTCATGCTTTGTTCTCTGCTTTCTCAGCCCCTGATCTTTACCAATTAAAATCCTCTTCTAGCTGCAGCTCAGATGCTACCTCTTCCAGGAAGCCTTTTTTGGTATCCTTACCCAAATGCCCTCTCTCCTCTGAATGGCAGAGCACTTTTCTCTACCTCTTTTGCAGTAGTTACATTCTCTTATGCATTCTGACTATTAAGGGCGAGGCTGTCAGTTTCCTCCACTAAATACGAAAGTCTTCGAAGGCTTATAAGTTTGTTGTATTCATTTTTGTATCCCCAATACCTAGCACAGTCCCTTTACATAGCAGGCATTTAATTCAAAATATATTTGTTAAACAAATAAATGTATGTGTTGGGTTATGGAGATAAATGAGAAACTTGTGGGGTTTTTTTGTTTGTTTTCTGAGATGGAGTCTTGCTCTGTCACCCAGGCTGGAGTGCAGTAGCGCAATATTGGCTCACTGCAACTTCCGCCTCCTGAGTTCAAGCAATTCTCCTGCCTCGGCCTCCCGAGTAGCTGGGATTACAGGTGCCTGCCACCGCACCCGGCAAATTTTTGTGTTTTTAGTAGAGACAAGGTTTCACCATGTTGTCCAGTTTGTCTCGAACTCCTGACCTCGTGATCCGCCAGCCTCGGCCTCCCAAAGTGTTGGGATTACAGGGGTGAGCCACCGTGCCCAGCCTTTTTGTTGTTGTTGTTGTTTGTTTTTGAGACAGGGTTTCACTCTGTCTCCCAGGCAGGAGTGCAGTGGAGCGATCATAGCTCACTGCAGCCTCAACCTTCTGGACTCAAGCAATTCTGCCACCCTAGTCTCCCGAGTAGCTGGGACTACAGGCACACGCCACCATGCCCAGCTAATTTTTTTTTTCTCGTAGAGATGAGGTCTTGTTATTTTGCCTAGGCTGCTCTCAAACTCCTGGGCTAAAGCGATCCTCCTGCCTCAGCCTCCCAAAGTGCTGGTATTAGAAGGATGAGCCACTGTGCCCGGTGCTAGGAAAACTTCTTGCCCTGTGCTAGGAAAACATTTTTTCCTAGTGGAAAGAAAGTTTCCCAGTGGAAAAAAAGTTTATTTGCACTAGGAGCTTACAGTTCAGTGACAGAGACATATACAAATATGAATTAATTTATTTGGGAGGCTGAGGTAGGCAGATGGCTTGGGCCCAGGAGTTCAAGACGAGGCTGGACAACATGGAGAAACCCCGTCTCTACTAAAAATATAAAAATTAGCCGGGCATTGTGGTGCACACTTATAGTTACAGCTACTCAGGAGGCTGAGGTGGGAGGATCACCTGAGCCTGGGATGTGGAGGTTGCATACAGTGAGCTGAGATTGCACTGGGTCACAGAGGGAGACCCTGTCTCAAAAAAAAGGAATATATTGAGTGCTGGTTATGTGGGGCTCAGGTGGGTAGGGATGATGGCAAAGGAGAGGGCACTCAGAGTGAAGGAACTCCCTAGGTGGAAGGCTTGAGGTGAGAGAGTACATGGCACATTTGGAGAATGTGGTGCGTAGCCCTGGGACTGGTACATAGGAAGCATGAAGGAAAATAGATAAAACCAGAGAGGGGATGTGGGCGCTGGATCACAGGGGTTTGGCTGTGTCTTTCCAAAGTGTTTGGACTTTATTCTTGAGGCAATGAGGGGCCACCGAATGCTCTTAAGGAGGCGTATAATAAATACAAGATGAAGGAATGACTCAGCACTATGTTTTGGATGGACAGCATCCTGCAGCCAGGGCCATTTTAGGAAAATCTTACAGTGGGTGCTAAGCAGCATCTATTCTCTGAGGCCAGCTTGTCCCTTGGTTAAACCACCTCTTTATGGGATTTTCCCTTTAAAAAAATTTTACTGATA
This sequence comes from Homo sapiens, assembly GCF_000001405.40. NCBI lineage: Eukaryota > Metazoa > Chordata > Mammalia > Primates > Hominidae > Homo > Homo sapiens. The sequence goes on from NC_000011.10 coordinate 18,390,419, forward strand.
CATAATAGTTGTACATATGCATGAGGTACATGTGACATTTTGATACAAGCATAAAATGTATAATGATCAAATCTGGGGAACTGGTATATCCATCACCTCAAATATTTGTGATTTCTTTGTGTTGGGCACATTCTGAATCTTCTAGCTATTTTGAAATATACAATAAGTTATTAACTATACTCGCCCTATCTAACTGTATTTTTGCACCCATTAACCAATCCCTCTTCATCCTTCATCCCCACTATCCTCCCCAACTTGTGGTAACCACCATTCTATTCACTACCTCCATAAGACCAAATTTTTTAGTTCCCACATGAGTGAGAACATGCGATGTTTGCCTTTCTGTGCCAGTTTATTTCACTTAACATAATGACCTCCAGTTCCATCCATGTTGCTGCAAATGACAGGATTTCATTCTGAAATAGCTGAATAGTATTTCACTGGGTATATACAGCACATTTTTTTCTTCTTTTTTTAAATTTTTTTTTTTGAGACAGGGTCTTGCTCTGGATTGCAGTGGTGACATCACAGTTCACTGCAGCCTGGACCTCCCTGGGTCAGGTGATCCTCCCACCTCAACCTCCTGGGTAGATGGGACTACAGGCATTTACCACCATCCTCAGCTAATTTTTTTTTTTGTATTTTTTGTAGATATGGGGGTTCACCATGTTGCCCAGGCTGGTCTTGAACTCCTGGGCTCAATCTGCCTGCCTCAGCCTTCCAAAGTGCTGGGATTACAGGCATGAGCCACCATGTCCAGCCCCTCTGCTTCCTGGGTTCAAGCAATTCTCCTGCTTCAGCCTCCCAAGTAGCTGGGGATTACAGGCATGTACCACCACGCCCGGCTAATTTTTTTATTTAGTAGAGATGGGGTTTCATCATGTTGGTCAGGCCGGTCTTGAACTCCTGACCTCAGGTAATCCGCCCACCTCGGCCTCCCAAAGTGCTGGGATTAGAGGCATGAGCCACTGCACCTGGCCAACACATTTTCTTTATCATCCATCCATTGATGACACTTAGATTGAGTTCATCCATACTTCAGCTATTGTGAATAGTGCTGCAATAGTCATGGGAGTGCAGATATCTGTTTGATATACTGATTTCGTTTCTTTTGGATATATACTCAGATTGCTGGATCATATGGAAGTTGCAGTTTTAGTTTTTTGAGGGGTCTCCATACTGTTTTCCATAGTGACTGTGCTAGGGGTTTTCCCTTTTGAAGAGGCCACATCCAAAGAACACTTGGTCAGATTAAGAATTCTGTTCTGTCCCCTGAAAGTGTTTTCTGACCTGTTCCAAGGGTTCCACATTCTTCTCTGGCTTTAGTACAGAAGTTCTACTGTTTGGATTGTATTAGTCAGGGTTCTATATTAGTCAGGGTTCTCCAGAGAAACAGAACCAATGGAAGAATATATATAAAGAGATTTATGAGGAGGAATTTACTTATGTGTTTATGCAGGCAGAGAAGTCCCATGATCTTGCCATCTGCAAGCTGGAGACTCAGGAAAGCTGGTGGTATAAATTCCAGTTCGAGCCCAAAGGCCTGAGAATCAGGAGAGCCAAGGGTCTAAGTCCCAGTCTAAGGGCAGAATACCAAGGTCTCAGCAGATACACCCATTGGCACCCACAGCCTCTTCTGAGCCTGGGACTGGTTTGGGCCCCCTAGATAATTTCTTGCCCTTTGTATGGAGTGATGTGGGACAACATCCTATAATAGAGAGAAAATCATAGGCTTTGGGGTTAGTCAGCACTGGGTTAAAGTCTCAGCCAAAATCACTTACTAGCTGCACTACCTTAGCAAAGTCACTTACCTTTCTGAGCCTTGGTTTCCATATCTGAAAAATGGGGATAATTATGCCTACTCCAAAGGATGAGTATGGGGATTACCTAGCTGGCTGCCAGCACCATAGCAGGTGCTCAGTAAATGGTATTTGTTTTATTCATATTTGTGGAGTCAAATACTGGCTGTTGTTCTGCCTAAGAAGCCTGAAGCTGTGCTTGGAGCAAGCTGTTGCTAGGTATCATAAATTAGGGGAATGAAGACTCTACCTAGTTTATCTTCACAGGTCATCTCAGAGTGCCCCAACCCAAGCCTTTCAGGTGAAAATTCTTCGTCTCCCCAGCCAACTTCAGCTCTCTGCCTTCTGCACACCTCTTCCCAGCAGCAGTGGTCACATTTGGTAGGCAGGCAGGGGCCCAGCCCTGACTGAGAACACTGTTGCAAAGACTGAGAAACCGGAAAACACTGTGGCAATCTGCCCTGCCCTGAGGTACTCTGAAGAATCAGTGGCCCACCCCTAAACTTTCCAGCTGTGTGTTTGAGGTGAGAGCCCCATTTCAGAACCTAGAGTGATCTTAGAATCTAGAGTGATGGGAAAACTGTTAGAACATGCAAGCATGCCCTGCTATTTTTTTTTTTTTTTTGAGACAGGGTCTCACTATGCTGCCCAGGCTAGTCTCGAACTCCTGGCCTCAAGCAGTCCTCCCACCTCAACCACATTGGTGCTGGGATTACAGGCATGAGTCACTGCACCTGGCCCCTTGTGCTATTTTGGAGCTGAGGTTAGAGTTTTCCGTCAAAACCAAGAAACTCAGTTATGGATCTATCTCAAAGCTGCACTGGGCTGCTGCTGTAGGTTCAGGGAGTAAGTAAAGCCATCCACCCCTTTGGGCTGAAAGTTCCAGCCCTCTAATTCCCTAATCATTTGGTCTTTCCCATGACTGGCTCCTTCCTGAGGCTATCTAAGACTCCTCATTCATTAACATTAAGTCAGGGAAAAAGGCTCTTTATAAATAACAAAAGACATTCCTATCAGAAAATTCAGGAAATTTTGGCATACTCAAGGGCTTACCAAATATATTTCATAATATACCCCACAGTGGGGAAGTATTGGTACAAATTAAAGAAGAGATGGAGGAGGGCGGGCTAGGCAATGGAATCAGCAAGAATACAGGCCCAGAGGTAAGTATGATAAGAAAACAAAAAATTGAGCTGGGCACGGTGGCTCACGCCTGTAATCCCAGCTCTTTGTGAGGCCGAGGCGGCCAGATCACTTGAGGCCAGGAGTTTGAGATCAGCCTGACCAACATGGTGAAACCCCGTCTCTACTAAAAATTACAAAAATTAGCCGGGCGTGGTGGCGCCTGGCTGTAATCCCATCTTCTCAGGAGGCTGAGGCAGGAGATTCGCTTGAACCCGGGAGGCGGAGGTTGCAGTGAGCCGAGATCAGCCCACTGCACTCCAGCCTGGGCGACAGAGCGACTCCGTTTCAAAAAAAAAAAAATTAATAATTAAAAAAAAAATCGCAGGGCAAGTGGGCGCGCTTGTAGTCCCAGTCACTTCGGGGAGCCGAGGTGGGAGGATCGCTTGAGCCAGAAGGTCGAGGCTGCAGGAAGCCATGATCACGCCACTGCCCTCCAGCCTGGGTGACAGAGTGAGACCCTGTCTCGAAAAATACCAAAAAACAAATAAACAAACAAAAAACCAAAACCAAAAAAACAAGCCACTGACAGTTCTTGGGTATGGTTGAGACTCGAGATGAGATGCCAGTGGGGTGGGCAGTAGAAAGTGCAGAATAAAATGTACATTTGAACTGAGTCACCCTGCAAGGCCTGAGAGGCCAAGGCTTCACTGTGAGTGGGAGCTGGTAGGCTTAGCAGCAGAGGGAAAAGCAGCGTCGAGTTTTGGAGGTCACTCGACTTAGGTAAGAACAGACTGACTGACTGCTAGGCATTTTCTTCCTTTCGTTCAACAAATATTTGTGGAGTGCCTATTACGTGCCAGAAGCTGTTCTGGACACTGAGAAACAGGGATGAAGAAGAAACAGATCCAAGCCTTCCTGAGAGTAACCTCCCCAGGTTTCATGGATGAGGAAACTGAAGGTCGTCCTGACTCAGGCTCATGGCTCCGACCCCGGCTTCTGTGGTTGGAGGGCAGCACCTTACTTAGACTCCCAGCGCACGTGGAGCAGTCTGCCGGTCGGTTGTCTGGCTGCGCGCGCCACCCGGGCCTCTCCAGTGCCCCGCCTGGCTCGGCATCCACCCCCAGCCCGACTCACACGTGGGTTCCCGCACGTCCGCCGGCCCCCCCCGCTGACGTCAGCATAGCTGTTCCACTTAAGGCCCCTCCCGCGCCCAGCTCAGAGTGCTGCAGCCGCTGCCGCCGATTCCGGATCTCATTGCCACGCGCCCCCGACGACCGCCCGACGTGCATTCCCGGTACGGTAGGGCCCTGCGCGCACGGCGCCAGAGGGATGGGCGGGTAGAGCCAACTGCCTCTGGTTCTGCTGGCCTCCGCTGCTCGCGAAGGGATTCCTGCTCCCGGGAGGTGTAGGAGCCGCTTTCCAGAAGCACAGCCCAGAGACGTCTGGGCGGCGGCCCACACAACGCATGTGTTCGGAGCTCGCCGCGCTCTGCTTTTGCTCTAAGCGGGAACCATGGCTTCTGGCCACGCTGGGGAACCGAGGAGGTGGCCGCACCCAAGCAGGGGTCGAAAGCCCGGGTGGATGCGGAACAAGGATATGATAGGCCTTAAGGGTGGGGGATACCTCTGGGCTCGAAATCGGCGGGCGGTGCAAAACTCGAGGTCCAGTTCTCGGAGCCCATAGAGCCAAAAAAGCCTCAGCTTGTCCGGGGCGGGTTCTTGAAAGACGGAAAGCGGCTGAGTACCACGCGGCTTGCATTTTTCTCTTGGGACGCTCGAGAGGTGGGCTCCGTGAGGGCAGCTGCTGCCTGCAGATTATAGGGAGCCCTTTGCGCATTTATTAAGAAGCTACTGGTGTATCTCGGGCTGCGCTAGGCACGGCGCATGCAAAGATGAAGCAGGCAGCATCCCAGCCCTTCCGCACCTCAGACGGTCAGTTGAGTAGGATCCGCCGGTACCAACTCCTCCTTTTAACAAATAGGGAGACCGAAAGCTAGGAGACAGTCAGGGATCTCTAAGTTCCCAGTGAGTAGGAGGCAGAGGTGAGGTGTAGAACTCGTTTTTGCATGTCTCTCGCCTCTAGACGCACCCTTCCCTCATCCCATGCCCTCCCACCTCCGCCCCTACATTAAAGGTAGCATTGGATCCCGGGGCCGTTCAGTGAAGCTAGCAGGTGTCCGCAGGAACTCCCTTCCCCCTGCCAGGCTAGAAACCTTACAAGGCTGTCTAGAAATAGCAGTGATTTGTAAGGAGAGACCCGGCTCCAGCTTGGTGACTCTGGGCTGACTGCCTGCCTAGAGGTCCTCTCGGATTTTTGCCCTTTGGAGTGGTGTCAAAACTAGACGTGATACTTTGGGGATGCAGCCTGTGATATTTCCTCCAGCGAATGCAGTGCAGGGTTGGATTAACAAGGTGGAAAGAATTCGAGGGTTCCACCAAGTAGCTATTAACTCTAGGGCTGCAGGCCTCAGGCCTTCTGCAGCTATTTCTACACTCCCTGTACTGAAACTATTTCTTCATACTGGGCCTGACAGGCCTTTGCAACAAGGATCACGGCCGAAGCCACACCGTGCGCCTCCCTCCCGGTTGGTTAACAGGCCCTGGTTTCTAGTATTGCGATTTAAAGTCTGGCGCTGGCTGCGCGCCAGACCTGGGAGGCTGCCAGCTAGGCTTCACGTTGCTGGCGTCTGCTTCGGGGCATTCATTAGGTCTGAAGTCTGAATCCCAGCTCCCTCCCTCTCACCCACTGAGCTGCATAGCTCCAGATTGCCTCTGCTTACGGGCGGGGCTTCTCAGCCTTCTGCCTTCTGGCCCGATGCCCGCTTCCCAACGGCCGGAGGCCGCTAGACTAATCGGCTTCGCCCTGCGCGCTGTAATGCGCATGCGCACGCGCACAAGTTCCTGGGCCCGCCCATCTTCCGGACTTGGGCGGGGCGTAAAAGCCGGGCGTTCGGAGGACCCAGCAATTAGTCTGATTTCCGCCCACCTTTCCGAGCGGGAAGGAGAGCCACAAAGCGCGCATGCGCGCGGATCACCGCAGGCTCCTGTGCCTTGGGCTTGAGCTTTGTGGCAGTTAATGGCTTTTCTGCACGTATCTCTGGTGTTTACTTGAGAAGCCTGGCTGTGTCCTTGCTGTAGGAGCCGGAGTAGCTCAGAGTGATCTTGTCTGAGGAAAGGCCAGCCCCACTTGGGGTTAATAAACCGCGATGGGTGAACCCTCAGGAGGCTATACTTACACCCAAACGTCGATATTCCTTTTCCACGCTAAGGTATGGGCCTTCACTCTTCACAGACCCTGTCATTAGGCCTTTCAACTCTCTTTTGGCAACCATTAGGTTTTTTCCCCTCCCTTTTTAGTCATCTCTAGTGATTTATAGTGGCAAATACCCCCAAAGGAAGTAAAATAGCTTAAAAAAATCTCTTGGTTAATAAACATTAAAGAAGCTGTAGTGACACTAAATGTTTTTCCTCCTATAGATTCCTTTTGGTTCCAAGTCCAATATGGCAACTCTAAAGGATCAGCTGATTTATAATCTTCTAAAGGAAGAACAGACCCCCCAGAATAAGATTACAGTTGTTGGGGTTGGTGCTGTTGGCATGGCCTGTGCCATCAGTATCTTAATGAAGGTAAGTGAGAGTCTACCACACTGGAAGCCCATACCTTGACCCCATCCTCTACCCCCACTCCTACCCCTAGAACTGTATTATTACATTTCATGTAACAGTATTTAGATTTATGCACTCATTCGGATAACTTTCTGTGAAACAAACTTTTGAAATATGATAATACACCAAAAGTGTATCTGAAATTAAAAAGAATCAAAGGTTGTCAGGCTGGAGACCCAGTTCCTAAAATTCATTATTCTGTATTAACATGCATGGATTGACTACCAATGAAAAGGAAGGGTCCATGATTTTAAATGAGCCAAAATTCTTTTAAAGTGATTTTTGAATTGAAAATGACAATTCAAAAATTGTCATTTATTGGTAAAATTATATGGGAAATCATAAGTTCTCCCACTCAAATCTCATTGCCCCTGTGCCTTGGATAGCAATTTTGTTATCAATTATGGAGCTAAAATTTAATTAGAAAAAAGAAATTGTGAGTAAAGCACTCCTTATTACACTATTGAAAGCTGATTTATATTTAAAAGAAATTGAGGCAGCTTACAACATTAAAATGTCTGAGGCGGGGCACAGTGGCTCATGCTTGTAATGCCAGCACTTTAGGAGGCTGAGGTGGGTGGATCACGAGGTCAGGAGATGGAGACCATCCTGGCTAACACGATGAAACCCCATCTTTACTAGAAATACAAAAAATTAGCCGGGCGTGGTGGCATACGCCTATAGTCCCAGCTACTTGGGAGGCTGAGGCAGGAGAATTGCTTGAACCCAGGAGGTGGAGGTGGCAGTGACCCGAGATAGCACCACTCCACTCCAGCCTGGGCGACAGTGAGACTCCATCTCAAAAAAAAAAATCTGAAGTTAAGATGTGGAGTGTCTAATAAAAGTAAAATGATGAATTCTGGGTTCTAAATAGAAATGGATTCAAGTGAGAAGGGACTAAAGACAGAAATGAGCTATGAAAAGGCCTCGTAACAACACAGGTGACTCTACATATGTTCTTAGGAAAGGCCACATAATACACCAACTTTTATTCCTTACCCACTAGATGAGAAATTGATGCTGTTTTCCCCACACCTACAAACCGCCTATGTTTTTTCTCTGTGATGGCCTCTGGCTCAGGTGTGGGTAAGAAGAGTAACTGACACTCATTATATTGTGGATGATTTAGGGATAGATCTGCAGCTTGAATAACTTTTGGTAACGATAGACCACATCCAGTTGTATTAAAGCTGTTATTGGTGCTCCTGGCCTGAAATGGACCTATGAACTTTGAGTTGCAACTATAAGGATATTTTTTGCCAGTATTATACACTGCACAAACCTATTTATCCATAACTGTTAGTATTGGTTCATATATGGAATCAACCAGGGAATAGTTCAGATTCCATCTCTGAAAGATGGGCGGAAATCAGACTTTTTAACTTTTTAAGTTTTTTTTTTTTGAGACGGAATCTCGCTTTGTTGCCCTGGCTGGAGTGCAGTGGCACGATCTTGGCTCACTTGACCTCCTGGGTTCAAGTGATTCTCCTGCCTCAGCCTCCCGAGTAGCTGGGACTACAGGCACCCACCGCCACGCCTGGCTGATTTTTGTATTTTTAGTAGAGACAGGCCTTCACCATATTGGCCAGGCTGGTCTTTTTTTTTTTTTTTTTTTTTTTTTTCTGAGAAGGAGTCTCGCCGTGTCGCCCAGGCTAGAGTGCAGTGGCGTGAACTCCGCTCACTGCTAGCTCTGCCTCCCGGGTTCATACCATTCTCCTGTCTCAGCCTCCCAAGTAGCTGGGACTACAGGCACCCACCACCACGCCTGGCTAAATGTTTGTATTTTTTAGTAGAGACGGGGTTTCACCATGTTAGCCAGGATGGTCTCGATCTCCTGACCTCGTGATCCGCCTACCTTGGCCTCCCAAAGTGCTGGGATTACAAGCGTGAGCCACCGTGCCTGGCCTGGCCAGGCTGTCTTGAACTCCTGACCTCAAGTGATGTGCCCGCCTCGGCCTCCCAAAGTGTTGGGATTACAGATGTGAGTCACTATGCCCGGCCAGAACATTTCTTACTAATTTCAAGTCTTGATGCTGGTCAATATCACCTAGTTAAATGAATAACAACCTAAAATTGGTGTGTAGGATGGAATTTGAGAGAGTAGACAGAGCAGTTTTATATAATTGGAAGTTATTCTAGCAACTGCCAGTCCAGTGTTCTGCTTCCACATCTGCAGTGGTGGAACTCCTATAGAGCTCGCTTCAGTGGGGAGACAGGGCTGGAGAGAGGGTCAGTGCTATCTATGTAGGGTGTAATCTGTAAGTCAGCTTTTGAAATGGGGTGCCCTCTACTTTGAATATCTCGATACTGTACTAATAAAGTAACAGAACTCTCCTATGCCAGAAATATAGAAATTTTTCATGCTCTTCTAAAAATCTAGAAGTGGCAATTTTCCATTTAACTAAAGATTTGATGTCTTTTAGGACTTGGCAGATGAACTTGCTCTTGTTGATGTCATCGAAGACAAATTGAAGGGAGAGATGATGGATCTCCAACATGGCAGCCTTTTCCTTAGAACACCAAAGATTGTCTCTGGCAAAGGTTGATTTCAACAAGTTTATATTATAATCCATGCTTGACTTAAATTCTTTTTCCAGATGGTCTCCATTTGTTGCTTAGGGTAGAGTGCAGTTGCACAATTATGGCTCACCACAGCCTCGAACCCTGGGCTCAAGCAATCCTCCTTCCACTTCATTACCCCCTCCCCCTCACAAAGAAACTGGGACTATAGGGTATGCTACCATGCCCGGCTAATTTTTTTACTTTTTGTAGAGATGGGGACCCACTGTGTTGCCCAGGCCTGTCTTGAACCACTGGGCTCAAGTGATCCTCCCTCCTTAGCCTTCCGAAGTACTGGGATTGCAGGTGTGAACCACTGTGCCCGGCTTTAGACTTAAATGTTTTATCAGGCTTGAAATCCTAGCTCTTTAAAGATTTTGTTTTAAATGCCGGGTGCAAGAGCCTGGGAACAATTTCACTTAGGTGCCTGTGAATATCAAAGTTTCAATTTCTGGCAAATGGTTTAAAATAGAAATCCAATTTGTCCATGCTATGCAAACCATCTGAATTAGAATGTAATGAGTAAAGCTTAAACCTTAGGTCTGTATTTAACCACATTGTGTTACTTACTTGCCCCCACATCCTTTCACACACGAAGTTGAGAATAGGGTAAATAAATGAGCCTGTTCAGCTAATACTCTTGGCTTGACCCTTTCACACTTAACAGCACCAGCCAAGAAACCTGAATGTGAGCCCAAATAGTGTCTATTTTGATACCTGAAAATCACTGGCCACCTTGCTGATGGGCAACTCCCTTCATCACTGGTTTAACTCTCTTGTGCCATAGGGTATCTAGAAGCAAAATATGTTTGTTAAGTGTAAAGCTGTCTCTGCTTAAAAACAAGTCCCCCTACCACCACCACCACACACACACACACACACACACACACACACACACACACACACACACACACACGAAATTGCCTGTTCCTGGGCTGATAGGACACCAGTTAAGTAGAAACAGGAGTATGGAAGAGTGTGAACGTTGAGCTTGGGGATCAAAAATTTGAGGATATGTAAGAAATTAATAGGAGAATCAAATAATAAACTTGATTTCCTCCAGCTCTCCCTAATTGTAGTTACATAAAGTTACAACTTGACTAAAACTACAAGGAAGATGTTGACATGCTCTTCCTCCATTTAAGAAGCCATAATGATAAAACTCTAAGAACAAGAAAGGTTTGTGGAGCATTTATGGAACAAATTTTTGCTGCCTAGGTAAAATTTATTCTAAAGGCCTTAATCTGGTCATTATTCCCCTTTTCTCTAGACTATAATGTAACTGCAAACTCCAAGCTGGTCATTATCACGGCTGGGGCACGTCAGCAAGAGGGAGAAAGCCGTCTTAATTTGGTCCAGCGTAACGTGAACATCTTTAAATTCATCATTCCTAATGTTGTAAAATACAGCCCGAACTGCAAGTTGCTTATTGTTTCAAATCCAGGTGAGGCTTTTGACTGCATAAAAATTGACAAGCTATAGTAAAACTGATAGTATATGATATATATATTATATATATTTTAAATATTTTGAAATATTTTAAAAAATACATTTTTAAAAATATTTTCGAATATTATTTTAAAATATATATATATATTTTGAGGCGGAGTTTTGCTCTTGTCGCCCAGGTTGGAGTGCAGTGGCGCAATCTGGGCTCACTGCAACCTCTGCCTCATGGGTTCAAGCGATTCTTTTGCCTCAGCCTCTCAAGTAGCTGGGATTATAAGCGCCTGCCACCACACATGGCTAATTTTTTATATTTTTAGTAGAGACAGGGTTTCACCATGTTGGCCAGGCTGGTTTTGAACTCCTGGCCTCAAGCAGTCCATCTGCCTCCCAAAGTGCTAGGATTACAGGCGTGAGCCACCGTGCCCAGCCACGCATATTTATTGATTCATTTATTTTTCTTTTTTTTTTTTTTTTTTTTTTGAGACGGAGTCTTGCTCTGTCACCCTGGCTGGAGTACAGTGGCTTGATCTTGGCTCACTGCAAGCTCCGCCTCCCGGGTTCATGCCATTCTCCTGCCTCAGCCTCCCGAGTAGCTGGGACTACAGGTGCCCACCACGACGCCTGGCTAATTTTTTGTATTTTTAGTAGAGACGGGGTTTCATCAGGTTAGCCAGGATGGTCTCGATCTCCTGACCTCGTGATCTGCCCGCCTTGGCCTCCCAAAGTGCTGGGATTACAGGCGTGAGCCACCGTGCCTGGTGATTCATTTATTTTTCATGTTTCATTTCCCTTCTAAGGAGATTTGTGTGTGTGTGTTTTTTGTTTTTTAATAATTTTAAAACATTAAAGGGAATACAATGCCTTTAAATGTAGTTGGAGCTTAAAATTACCTGCCCAAGATCTTGGATAAGGGATAAGTTTGTGAATAATTGTTATTCTCTTTTTTTTTTTTTTTTTTTTTGAGACAGTCTCACTTTGTAGCTCAGGCTGGAGTGCAGTGGTTCGATCTTGGCTCACTGCAACCTCTGCCTCCTGGGTTCAAGCAATTCTCCTGCCTCAGCCTCCCAAGAGCTGGGATTACAGGCACGTGCCACCATGCTCGGCTAATTTTTGAAGTTTTAGTAGAAAGGGGTTTCACCATGTTGCCCAGGCTGGTCTCAAATTCCTGAGCTCAGGTGATCCATCTGCCTCAGCCTCCCAAAGTATTAGGATTACAGGCGTGAGCCACCGTGCCCGGGCCCATAATTGTCTCTTAGTTGATAAACAGTTTATTTTCATAAAACTGTTACTATACTTTTTTTTTGAGAGCATGTCTCACTCTGTCGCCCAAGCTGGAGGGCAATGGGATGATCATGGCAGCTTTGACCTACTAGGCTCAGGTGATCCTTCTTCCTCAGCCTCTTAAGTAGCTAGGACTACAGGCGTGCACCAATATGCCTGGCTAGTTTGTTAAAAGTTTTTTTGTAGAGATGGGGTTTTGCTATGTTGCCCAGGCTGGTCTTGAACTGCTGGCCTCAGGCAGTCCTCCCACCTCAGCCTCCCAAAGTGTTGGGATAACAGGTGTGAGTTGTCATGCCCAGCCAAAACTACTTTTTGAATAATTAATGGACTTGATATACATAGTGTAGAGGCTTAAAAATATTAACAAAATTATTGGTTAGCCATGATCAATATCAAGATCCTGAAAAGCCATATATCTGGAGTAGCCTATTATTATCTAATGATCACCTAGTATCTGGTTAAGTGTTTTCTTCATAGTAGGTATATCTTTTTTGTGTGTAGGGAGAGGATAATGGGTGATTTTTATTTTCTCCTTTTTCATAGTGGATATCTTGACCTACGTGGCTTGGAAGATAAGTGGTTTTCCCAAAAACCGTGTTATTGGAAGCGGTTGCAATCTGGATTCAGCCCGATTCCGTTACCTAATGGGGGAAAGGCTGGGAGTTCACCCATTAAGCTGTCATGGGTGGGTCCTTGGGGAACATGGAGATTCCAGTGGTAAGCATAAGTTATTTTCTTTTTGTTTTTGAAAAGATTATATAAAAAGTCGATGGGCATTATATTATTCAATTAGAGCCTAATCAAATATCCATTCAGTAGGATGGAATGGTTTCCCGAAATCTAGCATTTTGTATAATTATATGTTAAGAATTGTTAAGATTGTTGCCATTTTATATGGCATTTTATGGCGAGGGGGACGGGAAATGAAATTTCTCTTCTTACCATGGATATCTTAAGACTGTAGTTCTTAGGATGTCTTCAGTCATTTAATATCACAGCTGTTTATACCTGACTTGTACTGCCTGGCCCTGAAAAGATGAGCAAATCCAAATGCACAAAAGTTATATTATCACAGTTGAAAAATGTTATGATTAGGTTCTGTATGCTAAGAAAACCCCCCTTATGTTCTCATACTATCTTTATATTTCAAATATACATGGGTTAAACATTTCAATTGGCTAGAGAAACAGGTTAGAATACAGTTAAAATTCTTAGTTTTACATAATGTAAGTAAATGAAAATCTAATCTAAAAGTGAGTAATGACTACATTAGTAGTCTTGACCATCTACCAAAATTGAGTATTCTTCCTCCGAAGATAAGAGAATTAGGAAAATGAATCACAATTACTAATCTGTTGGTACATGAAAATAAATGTAGTCTGTACTATTTCTTTTAGTGCCTGTATGGAGTGGAATGAATGTTGCTGGTGTCTCTCTGAAGACTCTGCACCCAGATTTAGGGACTGATAAAGATAAGGAACAGTGGAAAGAGGTTCACAAGCAGGTGGTTGAGAGGTAATAAATCTTTCAATTTGGCAACACAGAATATTAACATTTACTATTTTTATTTAAAAGGTTAAAATTGTAATAGTATTTGCATTTGAGAACTTTTTGTTAGAAAACTTGTGTGGTTTTTTTGTTTTGTTTTGTTTGAGACAGAATCTTGCCCTTTCGCACAGGCTGCAGTGCAGTGGCGCAATCTTGGCTCACTGCAACCTCTGCCTCCCGGGTTCAGGCGATTCTCCTGCCTCAGCCTCCTGGGTACCTGGGACTACAGGCATATGCCATGACGCCCGGCTAATTTTTTGTATTTTTAGTAGAGATGGGGTTTCACCATGTTAGCCAAAAAAAAAAGAATGTGCCTCACCTTGCAAGGCCCAGGCCCTAGGATCACTTGAGCTCAGGAGTTCAAGGCCAGCCTGGGCAACAGGGCAAAACCCTGTCTCTACAATAAATACACAAATTAGCCAGGCATGGTGGTGAGCACCTGTGGTCCTAGCTACTTGAGAGGCTGAGGCAGGAGGATCGCATGAGCCTGGGAGGTCAAGGCTGCAGTGAAGCGAGATCCTGCCACTGCACTCCAGAGCCTGCTAGCCTGGGTGACAGAGTAAGAGCCTGTCTCAAAGGAAAAAAAAAATTATTGAAATAGGGAAGCTTTCAACTTGGTGGCATTATTTACCTTTGTGGTCCTGTGTGGACCTCAGGTCTATAGAATTAAAAAATGAATCATAGCCGGGCATGGTGGCTCATGCCTGTAATCCCAGCACTTTGGGAGGCCGAGGCAGGCAGATCACGAGGTCAGGAGATGGAGACCATCCTGGCTAACACGGTGAAACCCCGTCTCTACTAAAAATACAAAAAATTAGCCGGGCGTGGTGGCAGGCGCCTGTAGTCCCAGCTACTCGGGAGGCTGAGGCAGGAGAATGGCATGAACCCGGTAGTTGGAGCTTGCAGTGAGCCGAGATCGCGCCACTGCACTCCAGCCTGGGCGACAGAGCGAGACTCCGTCTCAAAAAAAAAAGAATCATAATCTTTAGTTCATAACATATTCTTGTGATTGGTCAAGCAAGGCCCTCTTGTTTGTATTTGTTTAATTAAATAAAACCTGTGAACCCACCACCCAGCTCAAGAAAGAAACACAATATCTGTCAAATAACATTGTTGAATCAGAATTTAGTATTCTGCTGGTGTTTGGAAATAAGTGGATTCTGTGCTCTTTCCCCCAGCTATCCCTCTGTCCCCCTCACGCTCCCACTTGAGATAATCCTGAGTTAAGGATGCTATGTTATCTTGGATTTCTTTTTAAAATTCAATATTATATTTTTAAGAATTATCCAATTTTTTTTACAAGTAGCTATAGTTTATTTTTTGATAGCTGTGTAATATTCCATTGTATCAGTATACCATGATTTATCCATTCTTCTGTTGGAGGACATTGGAAAGATTGTCATGTTTTTGCTGTTACTAACAGTACTGTTAATGAATATCCCTGTACATAATATCCTAGCATACATGTGTGCAAGGGTTATTCTTGGTATAATGCAACATTGTGGCATTATTTACTGTAAAATGTGTATTAATGAAAACTTTGTTTTTCTTTCTTTCTCCCACCCTGCTTTTTCTGCCTTTACCTATGGTTTCCTATCATACAGTGCTTATGAGGTGATCAAACTCAAAGGCTACACATCCTGGGCTATTGGACTCTCTGTAGCAGATTTGGCAGAGAGTATAATGAAGAATCTTAGGCGGGTGCACCCAGTTTCCACCATGATTAAGGTAGGTCTATGTAGTGATACGCTGCATTTGAATGCTTTTTGCTGGCTTTTTAAAAAAGATTCTTCTGAGAAAGATTAATACAAGTCTTCCATTACTGACTTAAGTGAAATAAATTAATGTACCCACAGCTTACCTTTTTTGAAAGAAATGGTTGAGCTTTAGGATTAATGTCCATTAGGCCTGTTCAACACATAGATACTTGATAATTTGACTACAAAAAAGTCTTGTTCAATTATGCTGAGGTAGGTGGAAGACTATAAAAGAAATAAACTATTTCTCCATTGGGGAAAATAGAAATTATATTCAAGTTAGCATTATGTTACTATTTTTAATGACTTTCTTTTATACTATTAATTAAATCATAACTGAACACCTGGAAAGGAATTTCTACTTATCAAAGTTTTTTATTTTTTTGAGACAGTCTCCCTCTGTCACCCAGGCTGCAGTGCAGTGGCCGATCTCGGCTCACCGCAACCTCTGCCTCCCAGGTTTAAGCGATTCTTCTGCCTCAGCCTCCTAAGTAGCTGGGACTACAGGTGCGTGCCACCACGCCCGGCTACTTTTTGTATTTTTAGTAGAGATGGAGTTTCACCATATTGGCTAGGCTGGTCTCGAACTCCTGACCTTGTGATCCACCCGCCTCGGCCTCCCCGAATGCTGGGATTGCAGGTGTGAGCCACCGCACCTGGCCTCAAGTTGTATTTTAAAATCTTCATAATTAGGCCACACACAGTGACTGACAGCTGTAATGCCAGCACTTTGGAAGGCCAAGGGCAGGAGAATTGCTTGAGCCCAGGTGTTTGAGACCACCCTAGGCAGTATAGTGAGATCTTGCCTCTGTTAAAAAAAAAAAAAAAAAAAAAGGCCATGTGCGGGCAGCTGATGCCTGTAATCCCAGCACTTTGGGAGGCCAAGGGGTGGATCACCTGAGGTCAGTAGTTCAAGACCAGCCTGACCAACATGGTGAAACCCTGTCTCTACTAAAAATACAGAATTAGCCAGGTGTGGTGGCAGGCGCCTGTAATCCCAGCTACTTGGGAGACTGAGGCAGAAGAATCACTTGAACCCAGGAGGTGGAGGTTGCAGTGAGCTGAGATCGCACCATTGCACTCCAGCCTGGGCAACAAGAGTGAAACTCCATCTCAAAAGAAAAAAAAAAGCGGCTGGGCTCTGTGGCTCATGCTTGTAACCCCAGCACTTTGGGAGGCCAAGAGGTGGATCACCTGAGGTCAAGAATTTGAGACCAACCTGGCCAACATGGTGAAACCCCATCTGTACTAAACATACAAAAATTAGCCAAGTGTGGTGGCGCACGCCTGTAGTCCCAGAAGGCTGAAGCAGGAGAATTACTTGAACCCTGGAGGTGGAGGTTGCGGTGAGCTGAGATCGTGCCACTGCACTCCAGCCTGGGCGACAGAGCGAGACTCTGCCTCAAAAAAAAATTAAAAAAAAAAAGCTTTATAATTATAGAGACTGTAAGTCTTGGGAAACCTGGGAATGCATAGACAAAATGTGAGATTTTTTTTTTTTCATTTCATCTTCAGGGTCTTTACGGAATAAAGGATGATGTCTTCCTTAGTGTTCCTTGCATTTTGGGACAGAATGGAATCTCAGACCTTGTGAAGGTGACTCTGACTTCTGAGGAAGAGGCCCGTTTGAAGAAGAGTGCAGATACACTTTGGGGGATCCAAAAGGAGCTGCAATTTTAAAGTCTTCTGATGTCATATCATTTCACTGTCTAGGCTACAACAGGATTCTAGGTGGAGGTTGTGCATGTTGTCCTTTTTATCTGATCTGTGATTAAAGCAGTAATATTTTAAGATGGACTGGGAAAAACATCAACTCCTGAAGTTAGAAATAAGAATGGTTTGTAAAATCCACAGCTATATCCTGATGCTGGATGGTATTAATCTTGTGTAGTCTTCAACTGGTTAGTGTGAAATAGTTCTGCCACCTCTGACGCACCACTGCCAATGCTGTACGTACTGCATTTGCCCCTTGAGCCAGGTGGATGTTTACCGTGTGTTATATAACTTCCTGGCTCCTTCACTGAACATGCCTAGTCCAACATTTTTTCCCAGTGAGTCACATCCTGGGATCCAGTGTATAAATCCAATATCATGTCTTGTGCATAATTCTTCCAAAGGATCTTATTTTGTGAACTATATCAGTAGTGTACATTACCATATAATGTAAAAAGATCTACATACAAACAATGCAACCAACTATCCAAGTGTTATACCAACTAAAACCCCCAATAAACCTTGAACAGTGACTACTTTGGTTAATTCATTATATTAAGATATAAAGTCATAAAGCTGCTAGTTATTATATTAATTTGGAAATATTAGGCTATTCTTGGGCAACCCTGCAACGATTTTTTCTAACAGGGATATTATTGACTAATAGCAGAGGATGTAATAGTCAACTGAGTTGTATTGGTACCACTTCCATTGTAAGTCCCAAAGTATTATATATTTGATAATAATGCTAATCATAATTGGAAAGTAACATTCTATATGTAAATGTAAAATTTATTTGCCAACTGAATATAGGCAATGATAGTGTGTCACTATAGGGAACACAGATTTTTGAGATCTTGTCCTCTGGAAGCTGGTAACAATTAAAAACAATCTTAAGGCAGGGTGCAGTGGCTCATGCCTATAATCCCAGCACTTTGGGAAGCCCAGGTGGGCTGATCACTGGAGGCCAGGAATTGGGGACCAGCCTGGCCAACACAACAAAACCCCATCTGTTAAAAAAACAAAACAAAACCAAAAAAAACAAGTAACCTTGGTGGATGTCTACTCAAGTTTTCTGCACATTTTTCTGAAAATACAACTGTGACCCTTATCCAGGCCTGAAAACCATACTTGTAAAGGTTAACTGAACAACATTATTGTCATTCCCAACTCCAGGATCTTTTTCCAAAGATTCTTTCCTGAGAGCTAGTTAAGGGAAGGAATTATCTTAAAGCCTGGTTGTCCAATCTTTTGCTTTCCCTGAGCCACATTGGAAGAAGAATTGTCTTGGGCCACACATTAAATACACTAACATGTGCCAGCTGTGGTGGCTGACACCTATAATCCCAGCACTTGGGGAGGCTGAGGCGGGTGGATCAGGAGTTCAAGACTAGCATGGCCAACATGGTGAAACCCCATCTGTACTAAAAATCGAAAGATTTGCCAGGTATGGTGGCCTATGCTTGTAATCCCAGCTACTTGGGAAGCTGAGGCACAAGAGGCTGAGGTGAGAGGATCGCTTGAACCGGGGAGGCAGAGATTGAAGTGAGCCAAGATGGCACCACTGCACTCGAGCCTGGGCAACACAGCGAGACTGTCTCAATAAAAATTAAAGAAATTAACACTAATGATAGCTGATGAGCTACAAAAAAGTTCATGATCTGGATACCTGCTGCCACCTAAAGAGTCCTCACATTCAAAGGGTTGGACACAGCTATAAAGCGTATCGTTCTGTGGATTTTTAGTGTATTCACATAGTTGGCAACCATCACCAGTATCTAATCTTAGAATATAGGCTGGGTGCAGTGGCTTCAAATTCCCAGCACTTTAGGAGGCCAAGGTGGGTAGATTGCTTGAGCCCAGGAGTTCCAGACCAGTCTGGGCAACATGGCAAAAGCCTGTCTCTACAAAAAAGAAATTAGCTAGGCGTGGTGGCAGGTGCCTGTAGTCCTAGCTGCACAGGAGGCTCAGGTGGGAGGATCCCTTGAACCCGGGAGATAAAGGTTGCAGTGAGCCAAGATCCCACCACTGTACTCCAGCCTGGGTGACAGAGTGAGACCCTGTTTCAAAAAAAAAAAAAAGAATATTTTAATTAGCACAAAAAGAGGCCTGTACTTAATCCTGTAGCCTTTTGTAAACTTTGAGTCACCTTCAGTCTTTAAAATTTTTAAATTTACATTAATTTTATATTATTTGATACAATAAATTAGTCAATACCAACATGACTGAAAAATAATATTTAAGTGAAATAGACTGATTCTATTAATCTTTCATGAATTTTCAAATGCAATCTTGTAAAGTTTCCTTACTTATGGGCAAAATAAATGTTCCAGGTTCAGTTTGTACCTTCCTGCCCCAGGCAAGGAATAGGCCAACTCTGCAAAGAAACTTGATTTTTTTTTTCCATAGTAACCTTGGGAACTAAATTAAGCAGGCCTTATCCCCATCTCACAGAAGTTGCCAGTTAGTGTAGAAGCAAATGTGATGCTCAGAACATGGTTCTACTTCCTTTTTTTCCCCCACTAAAGCCCATGTTGCCAAAATAAAACTCAGTACTTCAAAGCCATGTTCTTTAAAAATTCTTTAAATTTTTTTTTTATTTTGGCCAGGTGCGGTGGCTCACGCCTGTAATCCCAGCACTTTGGGAGGCTGAGGCGGGTGGATCACAAGGTCAGGAGATTGAAAACATCCTGGCTAACATAGTGAAACTCCATCTCTACTAAAAATACAAAAAATTAGCTGGGCATGGTGGCGGGCGCCTGTAGTCCCAGCTACTCGGGAGGCTGAGGCAGGAGAATGGCGTGAACCCGGGAGGCGGAGCTTGCAGTGAGCCGAGATCGGACCACTGTACTACAGCCTGGGCGAGACTGCGAGACTCTGTCTCAAAAAAAATTATTTTATTTTATTTTGTTTTTATTTTTGGGGGTAGAGATGGGGGTCTCCCTATGTTGCCAGACTGGTCTTGAACTCCTGGGCTGAAGCCTCGGCCTCCCAAAGTGCTGGGATTGCAGGAGTGAGCCACCATGTCTGGCCCAAAAATTCTTTAGTGAGTACCTACTATGCTTTGGTAAATGTTGCAATGTACAAGAATAAATAAAGACAAATTTTGGTTCTAAAGTTACTGCAATCAAGTAAGCAAAATGTTAAGTAAGTTTGGAGTATTTGGGCAGGCATGGATGAAGAGCCAGTTCTAGTCATCTAGCATCAGTTTGGCCACTACCAAGCTGATACCTTCCTTGGCCGCCAGGGGCCTGAGGCAGGTGTAGAGCTTAAATTTCCAGTCCATCCAGGCCAGCAATCTCCCTCTCAGCCCGGGGATAAATGAGGTTGCTGTGGAGGTATAGGACCAAGTGGTTGCTGCTCCTGTCTGCTATAGGAGGCCTCTAGCTTCAGGCTAGTTGCTGGTTGAGAAAAGTGCCATAAGAGAGAGATATACAGGAAATGATGGTAGTTGACATTTGTCAAGGAAAGCCAGAGTATGTATGTGCAAAGCTGAAAATGAGGAATTAACCTTGAGAAGGGCTGGGGAAAGAGCTTTCTTGGTTTAAAGAACAGCAAAAAGTCCTGATCCAAAAAAGCTGTCCAAAGCCTAGTTGGAAGGAAGTGTATTGAGTGTCCTGAGATGATATGGGAAGTGGGGGTAGGAGGCCAAATCTTGAAGATCTAGGTTGTGGTAAAAGTGGGTTACTCTACCTGTAATGGAAAGCCACGGAAGAGTTTAAAGCAGGGTTATTGCATAATCTGAACCATATTGAAAACAAATACTGACTGGGTGCGGTGGTTCACGCCTGTAATCCCAGCACTTTGGGAGGCCGAGGTGGGTGGATCACTTGAGGTCAAGAGTTCGAGACCAGCCTGGCCAGCAAGGTGAAATACAAAAAAATACAAAAAAATTTGCCCGGCGGCTGGGCACGGTGGCTCAGCACGGTGGCTCACGCCTGTAATCCCAACACTTTGGGAGGGCGGATCACTAGGTCAGGAGTTGGAGACCATTCTGACCAACATGGTGAAACCCCATCTCTACTAAAAATACAAAAATTAGCCGGGCGTGGTGGCGCACGCCTGTAGTCCCAGTTACTTGGGAGGCTGAGGCAGGAGAATTGCTTGAACCCAGGCGGCGGAGGTTGCAGTGAACTGAGATTGTGC
The DNA here is from genome assembly GCF_000001405.40 of Homo sapiens. NCBI lineage: Eukaryota > Metazoa > Chordata > Mammalia > Primates > Hominidae > Homo > Homo sapiens. Next base: position 18,411,461 of record NC_000011.10, read on the forward strand.
CACTGCACTCCAGCCTGGGCGACAGAGTGAGACTCTGTCTCAAAAACAACAACAATAACAACACTACAGGCTATTATAAGAAAAATAAATTATATTTTGGATTTTGAAAAAGGTTCAAATGCAAATACTCTACAAAAGATGGAGTAGGTTGTGTCCCCTTCTGTGAGATATATATCTCTCTCACAAAAAAAAAAATATATATGTAAATTTTTTTTGAGATGGAGTTTCTCTCTTGTTGCCCAGTCTGGAGTGCAGTGGCGCGATCTTGGCTCACTGCAACCTCCGCCTCCTGGGTTCAAGCGATTCTCCTGCCTCAGCCTCCCAAGTAGCTGGGACTACAGGCATGCACCACCATGCCCGACTAATTTTATATTTTTAGTAGAGACGGGGTTTCGCCATGTTGGCCAGGCTGTTCTCAAACTCCTGACCTCAGGTGATCCACCTGCCTCGGACTCCCAAAGTGCTGGGATTACAGGTGTGAGCCACCGCGTCCGGCCATGAGTTATAAATATTAACAATTTCTTGCTGTAAATTGAAAGCATCCTTCGCGTCTTTGCGTTTCATTACCACCCTCTGTTCTCTCAAGAGAAATTCTAACTTTATTTCAGCACTCAGTCCTGAAGTTACAGAAGTTAATAATTTTTTAAAATCCTGCAAACAATGCATGGATATCCCCGTCTTGCACACTCTTTGGGCCAGTCTAGAATTCTTCCCATCAGCATTTCGGTGATCTGGACCGCCGCCACCCACACTGCGCTCCAGGGCAGAAAAGACGCCCCATGCCCGCGCCTGGGCCGGCGGGGGGCGGAGCTTGCGTGCTGACGCATAAGAGCCGAGCGGGGGAACGTGCGTGTCTCGAGTCGCACGGAGGGCAACCGTCGACGGGCTTAGCGCCTCAACTGTCGTTGGTGTATTTTTCTGGTGTCACTTCTGTGCCTTCCTTCAAAGGTGGTGCTTTGTCCCTGTGGGTCATCTGTACTGATTGCGCCAAGCAAAGCATTTGTGAGCGTGTGGTGCTGGGGTGAAAGTGGTGGCTGGGGGCAGGGAGAAATCCAAAAGCCCGCTGGTGCCCCAGCCCTCCCATTGCCTGGTAGACTGGGCCTTGCTTTACCCTCCCCGCATCCTTTGACCAGGAAATTCTTTCTTTGGCTTCCCCCCATCCCCGGCTCCAACATTCTGCAAACTGAAGAGGTAGTTTCTTAGATGTTCAGTGTGGTTAATCCAATGAAATTGCATTATCCCTATCAGGTTCTCCAAATGTCAACTGTCAAGGAGCAGCTAATTGAGAAGCTAATTGAGGATGATGAAAACTCCCAGTGTAAAATTACTATTGTTGGAACTGGTGCCGTAGGCATGGCTTGTGCTATTAGTATCTTACTGAAGGTGAGTGAGAAGCCCATCCTGTGGCTGAAAATCAAGTGAGCACTTCAGAGTGTTGTATATGTCGATGTATTCAGGGTTGCAAGGTTAATCCCTTGAAAGCAATTATGTATCCTTTGACCTTTCCTCCCTCCCTCCCTCCCTCCCTTCCTTCCTTCCTTCCTTCCTTTTTCTTTCTCTCTTTCTTTTCCTTTTTTTTTAAACTTCTTCTTTCTTTTCCTTTCTTTTTTTTTCTGACTTTCCTTTTCTTTTTCTTTTTTTGAGACAGGATTTGTCTGTTACCCAGGTTGGAGTGCAGTGGCGCGATCTTGGCCCACTGCAACCTCCACCTCCCGGGATCAAGCGATTCTCCTGCCTCAGCCTCTTGAATAACTGGGGCCACAGGCATGCACCACCAGGCCTGGCTAATTTTTTATATTTTTAGTAGAGATGGGGTTTCTCCATGTTGGCCAGGCTGGTTTCGAACTCCTGACCTCAAGTGATCCGCCTGCCTCGGCCTCCCAGAGTACTGGGATTACAGGCATGAGCCACCACACCTGGCTGCCAATAGGTATTGTTTTTAACCCTTGTGCCCTCCTCCCTCTCTGCTTTTGGAGTCCCCAGTGTTTATTGTTCTCTCTTTTTTTTTTTTTTTTTTTTTTGAGACGGAGTCTCGCTCTGTTGCCAGGCTGGAGTGCAGCGGCAGGATCTCGGCTCCCGGCAACCTTTGCCTCCCGGGTTCAAGCAGTTCTCCTGCCTCAGCCTCCTGAGTAGCTGGGACTACAGGCATGTGCCACCACGCCCAGCTAATTTTTATATTTTTAGTAGAGACGGGGTTTCATCATGTTGGCCAGGATGGCCTTGATTTCTTGACCTCGTGATCCGCCTGCCTCAGCCTCCCAAAGTGCTGGGATTACAGGCATGAGCCACCACGCCTGGCCTTAAGTAGGGACTTTTACTTCTTTCCCTTACTGTTCGCTTTTGGAATCTGGCTATTGAAATCTGAATGAATACACTCCTTGTATATAGTTCCGTACTCTGTCACATGTGACAAAAACCCAGTTTAAATTAGGGTAAGCAGAAAAAGACGAAATATTGTTCATGTAACTGGAAATAGGGCAAAACTGCTTCAGGTACTACCGGATTCTGAAGTTCACACATATCAAGACATAGTCTTTGTATATCTTGGTTTAGATTTTCTCTGTTGGCTTAATTCGTAGAGCCTTTCTATGTGGTGGTAAAGATGGCTGTACAGTTTGTTCTTAGATTCTTGTTTTTTCTCCAACTCTACAGTCCTTACTAATGTTCTTAGATTTGCATGTTATTCTTAGAGCTTATGATTCCAAAGAAAAGTGAGATGTAATCTTCCGTCTTCCATTTTCAAACTTCATAGACATGCTTGTTTCTTATACCTGGGCCATATGTCCACTTATGAACTGATTTCTGTGACCAGAAGGAAAGGATGGAACAATTGGCTAGGTCTGGTTTTATGCCCATCTACCCTAAGCTTGGAAAACCAATGTTAATTGTACTGCACTGAAACATATGGAATGGGTTCCCATGGAAAAGAGAAATTCTATTACCAGAAAAAGGGACACTAGACAGATGAAAACAATAAGTGTTCATCAGAGGTGGTTACCTTCCTGTTTGGGCCATAACGACGCATACTAAAAGCAGCTTTAGCCAACTCAGAAATTAGGGTTAAGGTTAAATATAATAAAATCCTGGCCGGGCGCAGTGGCTCAGGCCTGTAATCCCAGGACTTTGCGAGGCTGAGGTGGGTAGATCACTTGAGGTTAGGAGTTTGAGACCAGCCTGACCAATATGGTGAAACCCCGTCTGTACTAAAAATACAAAAATTAGCCGGACATGGTGGCGGGCGCCTGTAATCCCAGCTACTCGGGAGGCTGAAGCACGAAAATTGCTTGAACCTGGGAGACGGAGGTTGCAGTGCCCGAGATTGTGCCACTGCACTCCAGCCTGGGCGACAGAGTGAGACTTCATCTCAAACAAAACAAAACAAAAAACACAAAAATAAAGGCTAAATATAATAAAAGCCTTTGAAATCATTTTATTTTCCTTGGTTTCAAACTGTTATCTGAATGGCAAAAAAAAACAAAAACAAAAAACACCCAGCTCTAAAAAGTTCTAACAATTATATGAAGTCAAACAATTTTTGCTACATCTTAATATTTACTTACCTTGACTTTCGGTCACCCAGGCTCATTGAAAAACTATTTTTATATCATTTTTCCCTATTAAAATATGAGATTCCTTTAATTATCAAGTAGCCACATGAAAATTCTTCTTATTCTCCTAAAACTTAAGTAGGAACATTTTATTCAGAACTTTTGTATATTTTAGGATTTGGCTGATGAACTTGCCCTTGTTGATGTTGCATTGGACAAACTGAAGGGAGAAATGATGGATCTTCAGCATGGCAGTCTTTTCTTTAGTACTTCAAAGATTACTTCTGGAAAAGGTTAATTTTAGTTTTATAAAGTTATTTTCAAAGCTTTTTAAAAAAGTAATAAATTTTACCAAACAGATGTCAATAAATATAAAATTAAAAATAGCACCATGCCATTGGGCCATATAATTTAATTTAGTTGATCAATTTTTTTTGTTTTTTGAGAGAGTCTCACTCTGTCACCCAGATTAGAGTGCAGTGGCGCGATCTTGGCTCACTGCAACCTCCACCTCCCAGCTTCAAGTGATTCTCCTGCCTCGGTCTCCTGTGTAGCTGGGATTACAGGCATGCGCCACCACGCCTGGCTAATTTTTGTATTTTTAATAGAGACGTAGTTTTGCCATGTTGGCCAGGCTGGTCTCGAACTCCTGACCTCAGGTGATTGGGCCATATAGTTTATTTTTATTTATTTATTTATTTTGAGATGGAGTCTCGCTCTGTTGCCCAGGCTGGAGTGCAGTGGCACAATCTCAGCTCACTGCAACCTCCGCCACCTGGGTTCAAGCAATTTTCTTGCCTCAGTCTCCTGAATAGCTGGGATTACAGGCATGCGCTACCACACCCCGCTGATTTTTGTATTTTTAGTAGAGATGGGGTTTCACTATATGTTGGCCAGGCTGGTCTCGAACTCCTGACTTCAGGTGATCCACTTGCCTCGGCCTTCCAAAGTGCTGGAATTACAGGTGTGAGCTGCGGTGCCCAGCCGGGCCATATAATTTAAAAAGTTAATTTTTTTAAAAAGAACACTTCGATATAATTGGAGCATATTTGGAAAACAGAAAGTATAAAGAAAAATTGAATCTCTTCTATTAATGACTTTATGTAGGTTTTCTAAGCTTTTGTTTTCTTTACATAACTGATGTATAAATGCTTTTAAGCTTGTCATTTTGTCTTATATATTTTCCCAAGAATATACAATCTTGAAGAGTTTCTGTAATATTATTAATACATTTATCCATATTCTTTAGTTTTCTTTCTATGTTTATAGTGAACCAGGTTTCAAGGCATAGCATGAGGCCATAGAACATAAGAAATTTAGAACTTGGCCTCATTGGTGTTAGCATCATCTGTTGACCAACTAAGAAGCCTCAGATAATTAGGAAACATAATTATTTTATCATACACTAAAGTATATGGTGCACTGTTTGGTAATGTGATTCAACAGATATACTTTCTACTAGAAGCCCTCTTATCTAACATGATTGAGATTGAAGGCAGTTACCTAATTTAAACATGCTTCTTAGAAAGAGCCATGATAAACATTTTATATCGACCTAAAACATACACATGTAGATAAAAGTTCATTTGCTGATTTTCTGGTTGTAGGGCAAGGCCTTTGAGTACGGCTCAGCTGATTAGAGTTTTGCAGTGCCTTCCCATCCCTTCCCCCTTCCCTTCCATCTTCCCCTTCCCTTCCTTTTCCCTTTCCCCTTCCTTCCCCCTTTCCCTTCTCCGTTCATTTCATTCCTCCTTTCCTCCTCTTCCCCTTTCCCCCTCTGATCCTCTCCCCTCTACTCACCTCCCCTACCCTCCCCAGCCCTCCATCCTTTCCTTTCCTCTCCTCTCCATGTTGCCCAGATTGGAGTGGCTATTTATTTACTTATTTATTTTTGAGACAGAGTCTTGATCTGTTGCCCAGGCTGGAGTGTGGTGGTACAATCTCAGCTCACCACAACCTCCACCTCCGAGGTTCAAACGATTCTCCTGCCTCAGCCTCCCAAGTAGCTGGGACTATAGGTGTGTGCCACCATGCCTGGCTAATTTTTGTGTTTTTAGCAGACACAGGGTTTCACCACGTTAGCCAGGCTGGTCTTGAACTCCTGACCTCAGGTGACCCGCCTGCCTTGGCCTCCCAAAGTGCTGGGATTACAGGCGTGAGCCACCGCACCCGGCCTGGAGTGGCAATTTATAGGCATGGTCTTAGCACACTACAGTCTTGAACTCCTGGGCTGAAGGGGTCCTCCTGCCTCAGCCTGGCAAGTACCTGGAACAACAGGTGGTGTCTTTCTGAAAGCACATCAATAATGATCATTTAGATTGCTTTAAAGTACTACAAGAAATTTAAAAGTGTTCATGAAGCAGTCTGGTTATAAAACCTTACTAAATTTTATGACTTTATTTATTTTATTTTTGGAGACAGTTTCACCAGGCTGGAGTGCAGTGGCATAATCATGGTTCACTGCAGCCTCGAATTCCCAGGCTCAGGTGATCCTCCCACCTCACCCTTCTGTGTAGCTGGGACTATAGGTGCACAGCACCACACCCAGCTAATTTTTAAGAAATTATTATTTGTAGAGATGCGGTGTCACTCTGTTGCTCAGGCTGGTCTCAAACTCCTAGGCTCAAGCAGTTGCAGGTGTGAGCCACCACGCCCAACCCATTTTTATCCCTTTCTCAAACCTAGAAGGACAATTTTTAAACAATTTGCTTTTAATGTCTTCCCAGGGATTAACTTACTTTTCATAGAAACAATTATTTTTAATATTAATTATGGAATACTTGATAGAGAAAAAGAGATTAACAATAATGTAACATTGGGAGGCTGATGTAGGAGGGTCGCATGAGGCCAGGAGTTTGAAATCAGCCAGAGGCAACATAGTGAGACCCTGTCTCCATTGTGCCTGTAGCCCTAGCTTTGCGAGGCTGATGCAGGAGGATTGCTTGAGTTCAAGGTTGCAGTGAGCTATGATTGTATCACTGCACTCCAGCCTGGGCACAAAGGAAGATCCTATTGCTAAAATATATATAATAATATAACAAACATCAGTGCATCTACCACTCAGCAAAAGAAATAAAACATTACCAAGTCAGTTGATACATTCTGTATATTCATATCTTCCTGTCCCTAAATCTCAATGTTGAATGTGGTGTTTACCTTTACCAAACATTTCTTTCACACTGGTATTTAGTGACTTATATTATCTTTAATTATATATATAATAATAAATACATAATTATATTTGGGTACAAATATGACTAATTCTTGATATGTAGCAACTAATGAGCAGAAGTACATAGACATACTAGATAGTAGTTTACTAGTTGAGAGTGTTTAGTATGTCTGGGGTATCAGTATGTTTTGTATCAGTTAATTTGGTGGATTGGTTAAATGGAGTCAAATTAAAAGAGTATTACTATTTTATTTTATTTTATTTTTTGAGATGGAGTCTTGCTCTGTCACCCAGGCTGGAGTGCAGTGGTGTGATCTCTGCTCACTGCAACCTCCACCTCCCAGGTTCAAGAGATTCTCCTGCCTCAGCCTCCCAAGCAGCTGGGATTACAGGTGCATACCACCATGCCCAGCTAATTGTATTTTTAGTAGAGACGGGGTTTCACCATGTTGGCCAGGCTGGTCTCGAATGCCTGACCTCAAGCGATCCACCTGCCTCGGCCTCCCAAAGTGCTGGGATTATAGGTGTGAGCCACCGCACCTGGCCATATTTTAAAATACTTGAAAACATATTCAACTTTCAATTTCTAATAATATGGCAGGATAAATACCTGGATTAATCTTTTGCTGTAAATGAGAAAACTCCTGCATAAAATATGAAATAAAAAAATCAATCCTTGAGAAAGAATATGTTCTTAACAAAAAAGTAAGGCATTTTCACAACAGGTACTGAATGAAGTGAGAAAACCAGAGAGTTAAGCAGAGCACTGCAGCTCTGATTGCTCTTTTTACCCTGATAGCATTTGCCAAACATGGTGGACATCAATTTTGGTTTTCACTGACTCATAAAATTTAGGAGACCAGAGACAGAGCTTGGGGATTTGGGGAGATCACCCCACAAACCTGGTGCCCTAGTGGACTAAGCCAGGGGTTACTAAACTTTTTCTGGGAAGACTCAGATAGTAGATATTTTAGGCTTTTCCAGCTATGTAGTTCCTATTATACCTACTCAACTCTGCTCTTACAGTGCAAAAGGAAGCCACAGACAATAATACATAAGCAAGTGGGTGTGGCTCCAGTGAGACTCTATTTACCAAACACAGGTGGTAGACCAGATATCGCTTGTCTGCCAACAGTAGTTTACCATTGCCAGAACTATACCGTTAATGTAATGATGATCTACAAATAATTATTCTCTCCCTGCCTTTGGGGACTACAAGTAAAATTGAATGTCTTAGACACTTTAGTGGGGGAATATACCTGCTAAGGATTTGGAACCACAAGCTGGCTCTTATTTGAATTCCAGAAAACCTTAAGCAATCAGATGGTAGCTAGAGGAAACTCACTTTATTTCAGGCCTCAAAGAACTTCCACAAATAAACTTCCAGAGAAAATGAACATCTCACAATAGAAATAATTAAATCTGCAAGAAAAGGCATGAGCAAGAACCAGCATAACAGAAACATGCCACTATAGATTTAAAAATTATCAAACACAAATTATAAAATTAATATGATTATTCTACATAAAAAATAAAGAACAGACTTGAAAATATCAGCATGAGACAGGAGGCTATAAAAACATTAAAAAAGGAACAAAATATAACTTATAAATGTGAAAAACTCAATGGAGCCAGGCATAGTGGCTCAGTCCTATAATCCCAGCACTTTGGGAAGGTGAGGCAGGTGGATTGGTTGAGGTCAGGAGTTGGAGATCAGCTTGGCCAACATGGTGAAAACCTGTCTCTACTAAAAATACAAAAATTAGCTGGGTGTGGTGGTGCATGCCTGTAGTCTCAGCTACTCAGGAGGCTGAGGCAAGAGAATCACTTGAACCAGGAGGCAGAGGTTGCAGTGAACTGAGATGGCACCACTCCACACTCCAGCCTGGGCGACAAAGTGAGACTCCGTCTTAGAACAACAACAACAACAACAACAACCTCTATGGATACAATGATAGATTAGACACATTTGAAGAGAGAAGTGGCAAATCTAAGGCAATTACCCAGAAGACAAGAAGTAGAAAATATAACAGGTTAAGAGTCATGGAGGATAGAATAATCACATTTGAAGAGATTATGATTCAGCATTTTTGAAGACCACTGAAAAATATCAACCCACAGATTTAAGAAGCCAAATAATCTCAAGAAGAATAAATATAATATCCCTACCTGGACATATTCTTGTGAAATTAGAGAACACTAAAGGCAAAAAGAAGTTCTTAAAAATTGTCAGAGAGAACATAAATTACCTACAGAAAAGGGAGAGGGTGACAATAGCAGCAGTGAAACCAGAAGACAATGGAATATTTTTAATGTGCTGAGGGAGGAGTAAGTGTCAATCTGGAATCTACCCAGCAAAAACATCTTTCAAGAACAAGGACAAAGCTGGGCCTGGTAGCAGGCTGAGGCAGAAGGATCACTTTGAGACCAGCCTGGGCAGCATAGTGAAATCTTGTCTCTTAAAAAAAAAAAAAAAAAAAAAAAAGGAGAGTGAATGAAGGTGTTTTCAGAAACAGACTGAGACAATTACTGTCAGGCCCTCCCTAAAGGAAACACAAAAGTATATATATCAGGCAAAAGAAAAGTGATCTCACATACAAGATCTGTGATGCAAGACAAAAAATGAAGGACAGAGAAAATGGTAAATATGAAGGCAAATCTAAATAAATATCAATTGTATAAAACTGTAGTCTTGGGGGATTAAAAAATTTTTGAATATAGCATATAAATATACGGGCGAGGGGTGATAGTGATGAATGAAGTAGTGTTCTAAGTTTCCTGTGTCATTAGGGAAGCAGGAAGTGTGGTGATTAACTTTGAACTTTGATAAGTTAAAAATGCACGTTGTAATTTCTTTTTCTTTTTCAAATTTTTATATTTTATTTTTATTTTGAGACAAAGTCTCACACTGTCACCCAGGCTGGGTGCAGTGGTGTGATCTCAGCTCTCTGCACCCTCCACCTCCCAGGTTCAAGTGATTCTCCTGCCTCAGCCTCTCGAGTAGCTGAAATTACAGGCACACACCACTGAGCCTGGCTAATTTTTTGTATTTTTAGAAGACATGGGGTTTCACCATGTTGGCCAGGCTGGTCTCTAACTCCTGACCTCAGGTGGTCTGCCCGCTTCGGCTTCCCAAAGTGCTGGGATTACAGGAGTGAGCCACCATGGCTGGCCTCAAATTTTTAAATAATTTTTAAAGAGGTGAGGTGTAGGTCGGATGTGGTGGCTCACGCCAGTAATCCTAGAACTTTGGGAGGCTAGACAGGCAGATCACTTGAGGTCAGGAGTTTGAGACCAGCGTGGCCAACCTGGTGAAACCCCATCTCTACTAAAAATACAAAAATTAGTTGGGCGTGCTGATGCATGCCTATAATCCCAGCTACTCAGGAACCTGAGGCAGGAGAATCGCTTTAACCTGGGAGACGGAGGTGGCAGTGAGCAGAGATCATGCCATTACACTCCAGCCTGGGTGACAAGAGCAAAACTCCATCTCAAAACAAACAAAAAACACAGAGATGGGATCTCGCTATGTTGCCCAGGCTGGTCTCAAACTCCTGGGCCCAAATGATCCTCCTGCCTCACTCAGCTGGGATTACAGATGACATGATCTAACTTCTGTGACAGCTAACAAAAGAACAGAAACCTTTAAATTCTTAAAGGTGTCTGGGCATGGTGGCTCATGCCTGTAGTCTCAGCACTTTGGGAGGCCAACGCGGGCGAATCATTTGAGGTCAGGAGTTCAAGACTAGCCTGGCCAACATGGTGAAACCCTGTCTCTACTAAAACTACAAAAATTAGCTGCATGTGGTGGTGCACACCTGTAGTCCCAGCTACTCAGGAGGCTGAGGCAGGAGAATCACTTCAACCCGGCAGGTGGAGGTTGCAGTGAGCCAAGATCACTGCCACTATACTCCAGCCTAAGCGATGGAGCAAGACTGATACAAAAAAACAAAAAAATTAGTAAAGAGAAAGAAGTAATATTAGATAAACATACCTAATGAATTAAAAAGAAGATAGAAATATAAGAATAGGACAGCATATAAAACTAAAAGTTTAGCAAGGATGACAGACAAAGTTAGTAATCAGAAATCAAGGCCGGGCACGATGGCCCATGCCTGTAATCCCAGCACTCTGGGAGGCTGAGGTGGTGGATCACTTAAGGCCAGGAGTTTGAGATCAGCCTGGGCAACATGGTGAGACCCCTGTCTCTACTAAAAATACAAAAATTAGCCAGGCGTAATGGTGCACACCTGTAATCCAGCTACTTGGTACGCTGAGGTAGGAGAATCACTTGAACCCGGAGGTGGAAGTTGCAGTGAGCCGAGATTGTGGCAGTGCACTCCAGCCTGGGCAACAGAGCAAGACTCCATCTCAAAAAAAAAAAAAAATCCATTGTATTTCTGCATGCCAAAACCAGGCAAAAGAAATCTAAAGCTATTATTTACAATATCATAAAAATAGGAAATACCTGGCATAAGAGCTTTTGTGCAGAAAACATACCACCTCATTAGAAGATGTTAAATGTCAGGCTGGGTGTGGTGCCTGTAATCCTAGCACTTTGGGAAGCCGAGGCGGGAGTATCGCTTGAGTGGAGGAGTTTAAGACCAGCCTGGGAAACACGGTGAAACCATGTCTTTACCAAAAATACAAAAATTAGCTGGGCGTGTTGATGGGTGCCTGAGTCCCAGCTACTCAAGAGGCTGAGGTGGAAGGATGGCTTGAGCCTGGGAGGTAGAAGTCACAGTGAGCTGAGGTTGCGCCATTGCACTCCAGCCTGGGTGACATGTCTCAAAAAAACCAAAACCAAAAAAAAGAAAACAACAAAAAACTCAAAGAATATATTATCTAAATAAATGAGGGGAGGCTGGGCGCAGTAGCTCATGCCTGTAATCCCAGCACTTTGCGAGGCCGAGTCAAGTGGATCCCTTGAGGTCAGGAGTTCGAGACCAGCCTGGCCAACATGGTGAAACCCTGTCTCTGCTAAAAATACAAAAAATTAGCCAGGCGTGATGGCACACACCTGTAGTCCCAGCTACTCAAGAGTAAAATAAATAAATGAAGTGATATTCCTTGTTCATAGAAGTCTCAATATTGTAAGCTATCCATTCTTCCCATATTGATTATATGCAATCCTAGTCAAAACCCCGCAGGTTTTGTTATTATTGGACATTCCAAGCTAATTCAAGACTTATTATAAAGCACTAATTATGTGCAGAGACTTAATTAGGAGACAATATAAAAGATTGTTATATAACACTGATGATTTTCTAGATAAATAGGAAATTTATGGACCTTTAGAATTGTTCTTATGGCAGTAGTTATCATTATGGAAAAAATAAATTGATACCACACACACACCCTACCTGATACCACACACAAAAATCAAAGCCAGGTTGGTTGAAGACTAAAATGTGAAAAGCAAAACTTCAAAATTTCCTTTAGAAGATAACGTAGAATATCCTTATGACCTGAAGGTAGGGACTGATTTAAACACAAAGACACAAAAAGCATAATCAATAAAGAATACAAAGTTAAGAGTGTTCACAAAAATATAATATAAAAGAGCAAAGAGACAAGCCATAAACTGAGAGAAGATATTTGCAGTGTTAACATCTAACAAAGGAATAGTGTTCAGAATAAAAATACTTGTATTAATATAATACCTAAAAAAAATGCACAGCTCAATAGAAAAATGAGAAAAGCCTTCAATAATTTACAAAAGAAGACACTCAAGTGGCTTATAAATAGGGGGAGAAAACTCAATAACCAAGCACAGGAAAATAAAAACCATATCAATATACCATTACACACCCACTAGATTGGTAGAAGTGTGATAGTAAGTGTTTGTGAGGATGTGGAACAATAAGTGCTCTCACACACAGCATATAGGAGTGTAGTAAAACCAGTTAAAAAAACAAGTTTGGCCGGGTGCGGTGGCTCACGCCTGTAATCCAGCACTTTGGGAGGCTGAGGTGGGCGGATCACGAGGTCAGGAGTTTGAGACCAGCCTGACCAACATGGTGAAACCCTGTCTCTACTAAAAATACAAAAATTAGCCGGGCATGGTGGTGCGCGCCTGTAATCCCAGCTACTCAGGAGTCTGAGGCAGGGGAATCGCTTGAACCCAGGAGGTGGAGGTTGCAGTGAGCCTAGATCGCGCCACTGCACTCCAGCCTGGGCCATGGAATGAAACTCTGTCTCAAAAAAAAACAAAAAAACCCCACGAGTTTGTCATTACCTGGTGAAGTTGAACATGAACATATCCCACAACCTGGAAATTACACTTCTAAATATAGTCCCAAGAAAACTTTTGCACATGCGCACTAGGATACATGTACAAGAACGTATTGTAGTAGCCCCAAACTGTAAACAAGTCAATGAATCCCAGTACTAAATTGTAAAATTATGCAGTGTAATATTGCACAGCAGTGAAAATGAAGAAACTACAGGAACACACATTAACATGGATAAATATCAGATACATAATATTTAGTTAAGGGAATACATGCCTTATGATTCAAAAACAGATAAAATGTACTATGTAATGCTGGGCATGGTGGCTGACGCCTGTAATCCTAGCACTTTGGGAGGCCGAGGTGGGCGGATCACTTGAGGTCAGGAGTTCCAGACCAGCCTGGCCACCATGGCGAAACCCTGTCTCTACTAAAAATACAAAAATTAGCTGGGTGTGGTGGCACGTGCCTGTAATTCCAGCTACTCGGGAGGCTGAGGCAGGAGAATCGCTTGAACCTGGGAGGCGGAAGTTGCAGTCAGCTGAGATCGTGCCACTGTACTCCAGCCTGGGTGATAGAGCCATCTCAAAACAAAACAAAACAAATAAAAAAACAATTAATATGTAATTTAAACATGCATAGGTAGTAAAGCTTTTTTAAAAGTAATGTGATTTTTTGCCAGCCACAAGAGTGGTTGATAGACATAATCTGTTAGAGGCATGCAGGGGCTTCCAAGGTGTTGACAATGTTCTATAAATTTGGGGATTTTTTTTTTTGTTTTGAAAAAGGGTCTTGCTTTGTTGCCCAGGCTAGAGTTCAGGGGTGTGATCATAGCTCACCACAACCTCAAACTCTTGAATTCCTGGGTTCAAGCAGTCCTCCCACCTCAGCCTCCAGAGGACAAATGTGAACTAGATGTTTATTGTGCAGTTTTGGCAGAGTTAATATTTTTAATTTTTTTCATTAAAAAATTATTATATTTTAGAGACTAGGTCTTGCCCTGTTAACCCAGGCTGGAGTGCAGTGGCACGATCTCAGCTCACTGCAATCTCTGCCTCCCAGGTTCAAGTGATTGTCGTGCCTCAGCCTCCCCAGTAGCTGGGATTACAGGTGTGAGCCACTGTGCTTGGCCTTTTGTGTGGTTTTAACAGAGTTGTTTAATGTTTTATAAATTGAGTGTATATTTCTTATATGTTATTGTATATGAAATATTTCACAATAGAACATTTTAAAAATACATTTTGTGCCAGGCGTGGTGGCTCACGCCTGTAATCCCAGTACTTTGGGAGGCTGAGGTGGGTGGATCACAAGGTCAGGAGATCAAGACCATCCTGGCTAACGCGGTGAAACCCCTTCTCTACTAAAAATAAAAAAAAATTAGCCAGGCGTGTTGGCAGGCGCCTGTAGTCCCAGCTACTCAGGAGGGCTGAGGCAGGAGAATGGCATGAACCCAGGAGGCGGAGCTTGCAGTGAGCCGAGATCGCGCCACTGCACTCCAGCCTGGGCAACAGAGCGAGACTCTGTCTCAGAAAAAAAAAGAAAAAAGAAAAAAGAAAATACATATTGTGAGGTCTAATGGGGAAGAGCAATGATGGAACATCGTTGATTAGCCACAATTTTTTTTTTTTTTTACTTTTTAGTTTAGAGATGGCTGTTCATGGGCACAATCACAGTGCACTGCAGCCTCTAACTCCTGGGTTCAAGTGACCCTCTTGATTCAGCTTCCTAAGTAGCTGGGACTACTATGCCCAGCTCCACAGATATTTTAAATTATCTCATATGTACAGTGAGTCCAGGTGCATGGAACATAGAGGCTGCTAAGATATTTATGGACCAGGTGTGGTGGCTCACGCCTGTAATCCCAGCACTTTGGGAGCCCGAGGCAGGTGGATCACCTGAGGTCAGGAGTTCAAGACCAACCTGGCCAACATGGCAAAAGCCCGTTTCTACTAAAGATACAAAAATTAGCTGGGCATGGTGGCGGGTCCCTGTAATCCCAGATACTTGGGAGGCTGAAGCAGGAGAATCACTTGAACCAGGGAGGCATAGGTTGCAGTGAGCCAAGATCACGCCACTCCACTCCAGCCTGGGCAACAGAGCAAGACTCCGTCTCAAAAAAAAAAAAAAAAAAGATATTTGTGGAAAGAAGGGAGTAATGTGAAATCAGTGAAATCAGAACCTATTATTAATATTATGGTGCTTATGATTAAGTTAGGGGTTTAAATAAGACATAACCATGAGAAGATAACATATGCTCTTATAAGGACTTTTTCATAATTATAGGCAGTAAGTGCTATAAAAAAATTCTGTGAAGAAAGTGGTATTTATGAATGATATGATAAATAATGAATGATATGATGGCTTTATGTCTTATTTTTATGTCAGATTTTCCAGGTGCCCTGATCCTGTTAATGCCATCATTTCCTTACCTGTTGTTTATTTTTCTTTCAAAATACAACCACATATCATTTATGAATGATATGATAAATACTTGGGGATATCTAGCAGAGGAATTGGTATTCGAAGAAGTACTTGACTAATATAATAATAATGTTAATTGCTAACATTTATTGAACATTTAATACACCCTGTTGAGTACTTAATGTATATTAACTCACTGAGTTATCTTCTTAAGAACCATATTTTTTAAAAGGCTATTAGCGGCTGGGCGTGGTAGCTGATGCCTATAATCCCAGCACTGTGGGAGGCTGAGGCGGGTAGATCATGAGGTCAGGAGTACAAGACCAGCCTGGTCAAGATGGTGAAACCCCGTCTCTACTAAAAATACAAAAATTAGCCGGGCATGGTGGTGGGCTCCTGTAATCCCAGCTACTTGGGAGGCTGAGGCGAGGTATTGCTTGAACCTGGGAGGCGGAGGTTGCAGTGAGCTGAGATTGCACCACTGCACTCCAGCTTGGGCGACAGAGCAAGATTGTGCCTCAAAAAAACAAACAAACAAAAACAAAATAACAACAAAAAAACGCTATTAGCTTGATCTTGTAGATGAGGAAGTGAGAGTTAGAGGGGTAGGCAAAGTAATTGTCCATGGTTACACAGCTAGTAAGTGGCAAAGTTGGGAATACTGGCAGTTAGACCTCAGAGCTTTTGCTCCAGACCACTGTAGTTTATGGTCTCTTTGTGGTTATATTTACAAAGAAAAATAAATAACAGGTAAGGAAATGATGGCATTAACAGGATCAGGGCACCTGGAAAATCTGACATAAAAATAAGACATAAAGCTAGTAAAGATGATTTGGAGCCAGATTTTTTTTTTTTTTTTTTGAGATGGAGTCTCGCTCTGTCACTCAGGCCGGAATGCAGTGGCACAGTCTCGGCTCACTGCAACCTCCACCTCCTAGGTTCAAGTGATTTTCCTGCTTTACCCTCCTGAGTAACTGGGATTACAGCACGTGCCATCATGCCCAGCTAATTTTTGTATTTTTAGTAGAGATGGGGTTTCACCATGTTGGCTAGGCTGGTCTTGAACTCCTGACCTCAAGTGTTCCACCCATCTCTACCTCCTAAAGTGCTGGGATTACAGGTGTGAGCCACTGTGCCTGGCCAGAAATGTCATCTAATTCCTAAGTTTGCCTTTCTAGTTAAAATCTTTATTGGGGCAGGAAAAACAACAGTGTTCATATTTCATAAGTTATCTTCTCTTTTGGATTAGAAAGATACAAGAATCACCATAAATGAAGATGTGATATTTTAAAAATTAGGTAGATTTCATTTTCTTTTCTTTCTTTCTCTCTCTTTTTTTTTTTTTTTTTTTTTTTGAGACAGAGTCTCACTCTGTCACACAGGCTGGAGTGCAGTGGCATGATCTGGGCTCACTGCAACCTCCGCCTCCTGGGTTCAAGCCATTCTCCTGCCTCAGCCTCCTGAGTAGCTGGGATTAAGATGCACGCCACCATGGCTGGCTAATTTTTGTATTTTTAGTAGAGACATGTTGGTCAGGCTGGTCTTGAACTCCTGACCTCAAGTGATCCGCCAGCCTCAGCTTCCAAAGTGTTAGAATTACAGGTGTGAGCCACCACGCCCAGCTATTAGATTTCATTTTCTAAAAGAACATGAAAAGTCGAGATGAGATAGATATAGAGGATATTTTAACTAATTTTTTACATCCACATGGTAGATAATCTTCAGCTATATAGTGCTTTTTAAAAAAGTCCAGTATGAAGCCACATGTGGTAGCTCACGCCTGTAATCCCAACACTTTAGGAGGCCAAGGTAGGTGGATCAGTTGAGGTCAGGAGTTCAAAACCAGCCTGGCCAACATGGTGAAACCCCGTCTCTACCAAAAAATAAAAATTTAGCTGTGTGTGATGGTGCATGCCTGTAGTCCCAGCTACTCAGGAGGCTGATGTGGGAGAATCTCTTGAACCTGAGTGGCAGACGTTGCAGTGAGCTGAGATGGCACCACCATACTCCAGCCTGGGCAACAGAGTGAGACACTATCTCAGAAAAAAAAAAAAAAAAGAAGACCAGTATGAGTTAGTAAGTGCTTCATAGTAGTGACATTGTATTCAACAGGTGAAACAACTGGTCATTTAGTACGTAGTTTATTTTCTTGGGTGGGTCAAGAACTTGTTTGTGATTTCAAACCCAGTCCCTTACAATATTAGAAGTAAATACATTCTCACTCTTAGACTCCTGAAACAGACACATAAATTCTCAGAGTTCTAAGTCTATTCATTTTGGTCTTTTTTTTTTTTTTTTTTTTTTTGAGACAGAGTCTTGCCAGGCTGGAGTGCAGTGGCGCGATCTTTGCTCACTTCAACCTCCGCCTCCCAGGTTCAAGCGATTCTCCTGCCTCAGCCTCCCAAGTAGCTGGGACTACAGGCATGTGCTGCCACTCCCAGCTAATTTTTGTATTTTTAGTAGAGACAGGATTTTACCATGTTGGCCAAGATGGTCTTGATCTCTTGACCTCGTGATCCGCCTGCCTTGGCCTCCCAAAGTTCTGGGATTACAGGCGTGAGCCACTGCGCCTGGCCTCATTTTGGTGTTTCTAAGAAGGCAGAGAGCTGACTTTCATTGCCTTGGGCCTTCATAACACAGGGGAATTTGGGCAAAAGGGGATGTTAGTTTCTATTGTTATAAAAATTTTTGAGGTAGCTATGTGAAATTTGGCAAGTCATAGTGACAAGGCTTCCTTCAGATTATAAAGGTTAGAAAAGTCCGTTCATCTCCAAAATGCCAGACATAAAGGTACATGGATACTTTAATATAATACTAAGAACATACAATAGAGTTTTAAGGAGTTAAGGCACAGTGGTTATGGTAATGTTGATCCAAATATAGTATTTTGTTTCCTTTTTAGATTACAGTGTATCTGCAAACTCCAGAATAGTTATTGTCACAGCAGGTGCAAGGCAGCAGGAGGGAGAAACTCGCCTTGCCCTGGTCCAACGTAATGTGGCTATAATGAAATCAATCATTCCTGCCATAGTCCATTATAGTCCTGATTGTAAAATTCTTGTTGTTTCAAATCCAGGTGAGTCTTCTCTCTTCCATTCTATTGCATAAGGATGATCTTTCCATACCATTCCTTTAAAAGAATCAACTTCATTGAGTTAACATTTATATACAATAAATTGCACTCGTTTAAAGTATATAACGCGATGAGTTTTGATAAATGTAATCACTCATGAAACTACCGCCATGATCAAGATACAAAACATTTCAGCTACCTCTGAAAGTTTTCTTGTGCCTCCTTGCAGTTCATCTCTCATTCCACCCCTGGCCCCATTTTCTGGAATTTTATATGAATGAAATCATGCTGAATGTAATTTTTTCTGCCTGACTTCTTTCACCCAGCATAATTATTTTGGGATTCATCCATATTAGTGAGTGTATCATATTGTTCCTTTTTTAGTGCCAAAGTATTCTTTTGTTTATACATTTTTTTGTTTGTGTGTTTGATATGGGGTCTCACTCTGAGATGGGGTGTCATTCAACCTCTGTCTCACTCGAGGTTGGAGTGCAGGGCGTAATCTTGACTCACTGTAACCTTTGCCTCACATTGATCCTCCCACCTCAGGCTCAATTGATCCTCCCACCTCAGGCTCCCCAGTAGCTGGGACCACAGGCATGTCCCACCACACCCAGCTAATTTTCATATTTTTGGTAGAAGTGGGGTTTCACTATTTTGTCCAGTCTGGTCCGGAACTCCTAAGCTCAGGCAGTCTACTCGCCTTGGCCTCCTAAAGTGCTGGGATTACAGATGTGAGCCACTGCACCCAGCCATTGTTTATACATTTAAAATGCTATTTTGTTTATTCATCTGTTGAAACATATTGAGGTTATTTCCAGTTTTGGGCTATTATGAGTGAAACTAACATCATAATTTGTATGTAAGTATTTGTGTGGTCATATGTCTTTATTTCTCTTGGATAAATACCTGGGAGTAACATACGTGGGTTATATGGTAGGTATATGTTTAACTCTATCAGAAATTACCAAACAGGTTGGGCATTGTGGCTCATGCCTGTAATCCTAGCACTTTGGGAGGCTGAGGCAGAAGGATCGCTTGAGCCTAGGAGTTTGAGACCAGTGTGGGCAACATAGGGAGACCTTGTCTGTACATAAAATAAAGTAAAAAAGCTGGGTATGAAGATTGCATAAGCCTGGGAGATCTGGGCTGCAGTGAGCTGTGGTTGTGCCACTGCACTCCAGCCTGAGTGGCAGAGTGAAACCTTGTCTCAAAAAAAAAAACCAAAGCAAACAAAAAAAAAACAGTTTTAAATTTTAGCTAATCCAGGCCAGGCGTGGTGGCTCACACCTGTAATCCCCGCAACACTTTGGGAGCCTAAGGCAGGTGGATCACCTGAGGTCAGGAGTTCAAGACTAGCCTGGCCAACGTAGTGAAACCCCATCTCTACTAAAAATACAAAATTAGCCGGGTGTGTGGTGGTACATGCCTGTAATCCCAGCTACTCAAGAGGCTGAGGCAGGAGAATCACTTGAACCTGGGAAGTGGAGGTTGTGGTGAGTTGAGATCGCACCATTGCATTCCAGCCTGGGCAACAAGAGTGAAACTCTGTCTCAAAAAATAAAAATAAAAATAAATAAATAAAATAAAATACATTTTAGCCAATCCAATATCATTGTGTGTGTTTTTGTTTTGTTTTGTTTTGTTTTTTTGTTTTTGAGATGGAGTCTTGCTCTGTCCCAGGCTGGAGTGCAGTGGCATGACCTTGGCTCACCACAATCTCCTTGTCGCAGGTTCAAGCGATTCTCCTGTTCAGCCTCCCATGTTGCTGGGACTGCAGGTGCACACCACCACGCCTGGCTAATTTTTGTATTTGTATTTTTAGTAAAGACGAGGTTACACCATGTTGGCCAGGCTGGTCTCAAACTCCTGACCTCAGGTGATCCACCTGCCTCGCCTCCCAAAGTTCTGGGATTACAGGTGTGAGCCACTGCACCCGGCCTGCTCTCTTCTTTTCTTGGTTAATCTTGCTAATAGTCTATCAATTTTATTTAGCTTTTCAAAGAACCAGCTTTTTGTTTCATTTATCTTTTGTATTTTTTTGTTTCAATTTCATTTAGTTCTGCTCTGATCTTAGTTATTTCCTTTCTTCTGCTGGGTTTGGGTTTGGTTTGTTCTTGTTTCTCTAGTTCCTTGAGGTGTGACCTTAGATTGTCTTTTGTGGTCTTTCAGACTTTTTGATGTAGGCATTTAGGGCTATGAACTTTCCTCTTGGCATCACCTTAGCTGTATCCCAGCGGTTTTGATAGGTTGTGTCATTACTGTCATTCGATTAGAAGAATTTTTAATTTCTATCTTGATTTCATTTTTGACTCAATGCTCATTCAGGAGCAGGTTATTTAATTTCCATGTATTTGCATGGTTTTGAAGGTTCCTTTTGGAGTTGATGTCCAGTTTTATTCCACTGTGGTCTGAGAGTGCTTGATATAATTTCAATTTTCTTAAATTTATTGAGGCTCATTTTATGGCCTATCATATGGTCTGTCTTGGAGAAAGTTCCATGTGCTGTTGAATAGGATGTGTATTCTGTGGTTGTTAGATGAAATGTTGTGTATATATCTGTTAAATCCATTTGTTCCAAGGTATAGTTTAAATTCACTGTTTCTTTGTTGACTTTCTGTCTTGATGACCTGTCTATTGCTGTCAGCGGAGTATTGAAGTCCCCACTATTATTGTGTTGCTGTCTGTCTTATTTCTTAGGTTTATTAGTAAATGTTTTATAAATTTGGGAGCTCCATTGTTAGGTGCATATATGTTTAGGACTGTGATATTTTCCTGTTGGACA
Source organism: Homo sapiens (assembly GCF_000001405.40). NCBI lineage: Eukaryota > Metazoa > Chordata > Mammalia > Primates > Hominidae > Homo > Homo sapiens. The sequence goes on from NC_000011.10 coordinate 18,432,693, forward strand.
AGGCCTTTTACCATTATATAATGTCCCTCTTTGTCTCTTTTAACTGCTGTTGCTTTAAAGTTTGTTTCGTCTGATATGAGAGTATCTACCCCAGCTCGCTTTTGGTGTCCATTTGCATGAAATGCCTTTTTCCACCCCTTTATGTGAGTCCTTGTATGTTAGGTGAGTCTACTGAAGACAGCAGATAGTTGGTTGATTAGTTCTTATCCATTCTGCAGTTCTTTATCTTTTAAGTGGAGCATTTAGGCCATTTACATTCAGTGTTAGTATTGAAATGCAAGGTACTGTTGTATTCATCATGCTTTTTGTTGCCTGTGTACTTTGGGTTTTTGTTTGTATGTTTGTTTTTGCTTTTTAACTTGTGTTTTAGTTTTATAGGTCCTGTGTGATTTATGCTTTAAGGAAGTTCTGGGCCAGGCACAGTGGCTCACACCTGTAATCCCAGCATTTTGGGAGGCCAAGGTGGGCGGATCACCTGAGGTCAGGAGTTCAAGACCAGCCTGCCCAACATAGTGAAACCCTGTCTCTACTAAAAACACAAAAATTAGCTGGGCATGGTCGTGGGCACCTGTAGTCCCAGCTACTCGGTAGGCTGAGGCATGAGAATTGCTTGAACCTGGGAGGCAGAGGTTGCAGTGAGCTGAGATCATGCCACTGCACTCCAGCCTGGGCAACAGAGCAAGACTCCATCTCAAAAAAAGGAAATAAAAAAAAAAAAAAGAGGTTCTGTTTTGATGTGTCTCCAGGATTTGTTTCAAGATTTAGAGCTCCATTTAGCAGTTCTTATAGTGGTGGCTTGGTAATGGCAAATTCTCTCAGCATTTGTTTGTCTGAAAATGACTGTATCTTTCCTTCATATATGATTCTTAGTTTCACTGGATACAACATTCTTGGCTGATAATTGTTTTGTTTGAGGAGGCTGAAGATAGGGCCACAATCCTTTCTAGGTTGTAGGGTTTCTGCTGAGAAATCTGCTATTAATTTGATAGGTTTTTCTTTATAGGTTACCTGGTGCTTCTGTCTCACAGCTCTTAAGATTCTTTCCTTTGTCTTAACTTTGGGTAACCTGATGACAGTGTGCTAGGCAAAGGTCTTTTTGCGATGAATTTCCCAGGTGTCCTTTGTGCTTCTTGTATTTGCATGTCTAGGTCTCTAGCAAGGCCGGGGAATTTTTCCTTGATTATCTCCCCAAATACCAAATATGTTTTCTAAGCTTTTAGAATTGTCTTCTTCCTCAGGAACACCGATTATTCTTAGGTTTGGTTGTTTATTGTAATCCCAGACATCCTGGAGGCTTTGTTCATATCTTCTTATTCTTTTTCTTTGTCTTTGTTGGATTGGGTTAATTTGAAGACCTTGTCCTCGAGCTCTGAATTTCTTTCTTCTACTTGTTCAGTTCTATTGCTGAGACTTTCCAGAGCATTTCACATATCTAAAAGTGTGTCCAAAATTTCCTGAATTTTTTATTGTTTTTTCTTTAAGCTATTTATTTATGTGAATATTTCTCCCTTCACTTCTTGTATCATTTTTTTTTTTTTATTTCCTTGCATTGGGCTTCGCCTTTCTCTGGTCCCTCCCTGATTAGCTTAATAGCTAACCTCCTGAATTCTTTTTCAGGTAAACCAGGGATTTCTTCTTGGTTTGGATCAATTGCTGGTGAACTTATGTGATTTTTGGGGGGTGTTGACGAGCCTTCTTTTGTTATATTACCAAAGTTGGTTTTCTGATTCCTTCTTAGCCTCCCAAGTAGCTGGGAATGCAGGTGTGTGCCACCACATCTGGCTAATTTTTGTATTTGTTGGTAGAGACAGTTTCACCATATTGGCCAGGCTGGTTTCAAAGTCCTGGCCTCAAGTGATCCACCTACCTAAGCCTCCCAAAGTGCCAGGGGATAACAGGCGTGAGCCACCGCACCCAGCCAGTGATTTGCTTCACTTTGTAATAAATCTGTATTTGACTCTAAAACAATTCATCTATGTATTCAGGAAAAAAAAAATTTTTTTAAGTTATGATGAATCTTTTTCTAACACAAAATTTTTCTTCTTAGTGGATATTTTGACATATATAGTCTGGAAGATAAGTGGCTTACCTGTAACTCGTGTAATTGGAAGTGGTTGTAATCTAGACTCTGCCCGTTTCCGTTACCTAATTGGAGAAAAGTTGGGTGTCCACCCCACAAGCTGCCATGGTTGGATTATTGGAGAACATGGTGATTCTAGTGGTAAGTATAAATCTATTATTATTACGTGACTACCCTTCTTATCTCTACTAGTGCTTATTTCCTTTAAAGTTTTTTCCCTGATATTAATATAGTTGTATAAGTTTAATTTTTTTGGTATTTCCCTGGTGTAACTTTTACTATTCCTTTAGTTTCAATCTTTTGCATCATTGATTTAGCTATCTTTCATAAAATAGTCCACAAAGCATATAGCTGTTTTAATAGTCAATATGAGTGTTTCTCTTATCTGTAATACTTTTTTATTTATTGTGATTTTTTAAAACAGCTTTATTAAGACATAATTCATGATATGGTTTGGATCTGTGTCCCTGCCCAAATCTCATGTTGAATTGTAATCCCCAGTGTGGGAGCTGGGGCCTGGTGGGAGGTGGTTGGATCATGGAGGCAGGTTGTCATGGTTTAACACCATCTGCCTTAGTACTGTTTTCACAATAGTGAGTTCTTGTGAGATCTGGTTGTTTAAAAGTGTGTGGCACCCCCCTCCCCGACCCCCGCTGTAGCCATATAAGACTCTCCTGCTTCCCCTTAGCCTTCTTCTATGATTGAAAGTTTCCTGAGGCCTCTCAGGAAGCCAAGCAGATGCCAGCATTGTGCTTCCTGTACAGCTTGCAGAATTGTGAGCCAGTTGAACCTCTTTTCTTTGTAAGTTGCCCAGTCTCAGGTATTTCTTTATAGCAATGTGAGAATGGACTAATACAATTCATGTACCATAAAATTCAACCAGCAAATTACAGAATTCATGAGTTTCTGGTATATTCACAGGGTTGTACTAACATCACCACAATCTAAATACAGAATCTTTTCATCAGCCCAAAATGAAATCCGCATCTTTTTCCCCTACCCTAGCCCCAGGCAACCACTAATCTACTTTCTCACTCTGTAGATTTATTTATTCCAGATTTTTCATATAAATGAAATAATATGTGATTTTAACTATTGAGGCCACACCAACCTCTCTCTTTACTGAATTTAAACATTTAGTCTCTGCTACATGGTTAGAACTTTATACTTTTTACAGTGTTCTTTAATTGTGTCATGTATGTAAATCTTCTTTCCATAATGGCAATAAACCAATTGAGAATAAAGACCATTTGTTCAAACATTCATTTATTTATTCAAAATATTTAGAGTGCCCTTTTCTTTATAATCCAAGAGCCATAATATAACAAATACTTTATTTGATTTGGACAAATATTTCTTCAGCCAGAGCCTTACTTTGACCCTGTTGGCTTGTGTTATTTTTCCTGAAGTTCATTAAAACTAATTTTCTCTGGTATATTTTAATTTCTCACATTTAATATTCTATAACTTTATTTTTAGAAAACAGTATATTCTGATTAGTATTAATTTGAACATGTTTAGTATTCTATTTAGCATGATTTTTCGGTTTCCTTCCTCTTTTTCTGTTTTCCATTGGATCTACTTTCTTTAATTTCCTCTAATACTTTGAATTATACACTTACCTTATAAATGGTTATCTATAAATTTTTAACATTCATACTTGACCTCAGATGATAAATTTATTTACTCTCCTTTGGGATAATACAAAGTTTTTTTTTTTTTTTTTTTTTTGAGACAGAGTTTCGCTCTTGTTGCCCAGGCTGGAGTGCAATGGTGTGATCTCGGCTCACCGCAACCTCCGCCTCCTGGGTTCAAGCGATTCTCCTGCCTCAGCCTCCTGAGTAGCTGGGATTACGGGCATGCACCACCACACCCGACTAATTTTGTATTTTTAGTAGAGACAGGGTTTCTCCATGTTGGTCAGGCTGGTCTCGAACTCTTGACGTCAGGTGATCCACCCGCCACAGCCTTCCAAAGTGCTGGGATTATAGGCATGAGCCACTGCACCCGGCCGGGATAATACAAAGATCTTAGAATGCTTTTAGTTTGATCATCCCCTTTTTTTGATGTTGACACCATCCTCTTTCTGTCATACATGTAATTATTAATTCCTTTTCTGTATCCATACTGTTCTTATATCCCCCAAACTAGTTATAATTATTATTATTTGAATAGTTAATACTTGTTCAGATTTATTTACAGGTTGGCCAGTTGTGTTGCTTATCTTTATTTTCTCCATCTAATTTCTTCCCCTGGATTCAATTTATTTCTTCCTGAACTCTATCCTGTTGGTGTTGTTTATATGACTGTTTTAGTCTCATCTTATTCTGGAATGACAGGTTAATTGGATGTGAGATTCTAGATTGACAGTTATTCCTCCTTGGCTCTTGTTTACTATTGAGAAGTATGGTATTAATTTGACATTCTTTTCCCTCTCATTGCTTATATTTTATCTTTCTTATCAGTCTTTTTCTTTGTTTATACTGCATTTTGCATATTGCTTAAAAATATGTATGTTGCTTAAAAATGCCTCCTATACCACACAATTATAAATAAATTCTACTACATATTTTCTAACAACCTTATAATTTTATTTCTTACATTTCCCTCTTTTATACATTTGAAACCTATTTTTATGTATGGTGTAAGGTGGTGTTTTAGGCCATTTTTGTGTTGCTGTAAAGAAATACCTGGCCAGGGCCGGGCACGGTGGCTCACGCCTATAATCCCAGCACTTTGGGAGGCTGAGGTGGACGGATCACGAGGTCAGGAGATTGAGACCATCCTGGCTAACACAGTGAAAACCCGTCTCTACTAAAAATACAAAAAATTAGCCAGGCGTGGTGGTGGGCACCTGTAGTCCCAGTGACTCGGGAGGCTGAGGCGGGAGAATGGCGTGAACCCGGGAGGTGGAGCTTGCAGTGAGCCGAGATCGCGCCACTGCACTCTAGCCTGGGCGACAGAGCAAGACTCCCTCTCAAAAAAAAAAAAAAAAGAAAAAGAAATACCTGGCCAGGAGTAGTGGCTCATGCCTGTAATCCCAGCACTTTTGGAGGCCAACGCGTGTGGATCACTTGAGGCCAGGAGTTTAAGACCAGCCTGGCCAACATAGCGAAACCCCATCTCTACTAAAAATACAAAAAAAAGCTGGGTGTGGTGGCACACACCTGTAATCCCAGCTGCTCGGGAGGCTGAAACAGAAGAATCCCTTGAACTTGGGAGGTGGAGGTTGCAGTGAGCTGAGATCAAGCCACTATGCTACAGCCTGAGTGAAAAAGAAAAAAAAAACAAAAGAAATACCTGAGGCTGAGTAATTTATAAAGAAAAGGGGTTTAATTTAGCTTGTGCTTCTGCAGGTTGTACAGGCATGGCTCCAAGATATGCTCTTGATGAGGACCTCAGGAAGCTTGCAATCATGGCAGAAGGCAAAGGAGGAGTAGATGTGTCACATAGTGAGGGCAGAAACGAGAGAGAGGAGGTGCCATATACTTTTAAACAACCAGATCTCACATGAACTTAGAGTGAAGACTCACTCTTCAACAGGAGATGATGCTAAGCTATTCATGAGGGATCTGCACCCATGATCAGACACTTCCCACCCCCAACACTAGCGGTTACATTTCAACATGAGATTTGGAGGAGACAAACATCTGAACCATATCAGGTGGCAACTTAACTTAAAAAAACAACACTGAACTCAAACTCCTGATGCCATATTGGGAAGAAGAGTTTATTTTGAGATCTGTATTTTTTAGTGCCCTTATGGAGTGGGGTGAATGTTGCTGGTGTTGCTCTGAAGACTCTGGACCCTAAATTAGGAACGGATTCAGATAAGGAACACTGGAAAAATATCCATAAACAAGTTATTCAAAGGTAATAGTACCTATTCAGTTTCTTAATGCCTTAATAGTCAGTCTTAAGAATAAATATCACGGACAAAAATCAAGTAGTTGATCCTTGCTTTTTGTGAGATAAATAACTCTAGGCTCCTGAAAACCACTAAATTCAGACTTATACATAGCTTTCTTTTTGGGGGCATTTTTCAAAAAGAAAAAGTACTTATTATTTCACAACTCATATATTTGAGAGTAATAAAAGCATAGTGATTATGAGCATGGACTTTGGACCCAGGTTGTCCAGGTTTGAAACCTGCTTCATCATTTATTAGTGATATGATATTGGGAAATTACTTAAAATATCAGAAGTTGTTTACTTATCTTCGAAATGGGGATAATTATAGAACCTACTTTACATAATAGCCTTATGGAGAGTAAATAAGTTAATACTACATGTAAAATGCTAGAACCATGCCAAGAACTTATTAAATGTTCATCATTTGAGTAGATGAAACATTAAGCTAATGCAGATGATCAGAAATCAATATGGTTTTCTTATAAATGAAGCATCTGACTCCATATATATTAGCCTTAACAGCACACAGGATTATTCTTCATGGTTTAGTCAAGAGTCAAGTTACATATTAGTAGAAGTTATAGAACTTAAAAATTGGCTGGGCGGGGTGGCTCACGCCTGTAATTCCAGCGCTTTGGGAGGCCAAGGCGGGTGGATCACCTGAGGTCAGCAGTTCGAGACCAGCCTGAACAACATGGTAAAACCCCATCTCTTCTAAAAATACAAAAATTAGCTCGGTGTGGTGATGGGCGCCTGTAATCCCAGGTACTTGGGAGGCTGAGGCAGGAGAATCACTGGAACCCAGGAGGCAGAGGTTGCAGTGAGCCAAGACAGCGCCATTGCACTCCAGCCTGGGCAACAAGAGTGAAACTCCATCTCAAAAAAAAAAAAAAAAAAAAAGAACTTAAAAATCACTTTTGGATATTCACAGCTTGGAATATTGAACTTAACAAAAACCACAAGTCTACTGTATGTATACTTAAAACAACCCTACAAAAATGTGTAAGAGGCCAGGCATGGTGGCTCACGCCTATAATCCCAATACTTTGGGAGGCCAAGGTGGGCAGATCACCTGAGGTCAGGAGTTCGAGACCAGCCTGGCCAACATGGTGAAAACCGTCTCTACTAAAAAAAAAAAAAAAAAAAAAAAAACAAAAATTAGCCAGCTGTGGTTGTGCGTGCCTGTAATCCCAGCTACTTGGGAGGCTGAGGCACAAGAATTGCTTGAACCTAGGAGGCAGAGGTTGCAGTGAGCCAATATTGTGCCAGTGCAATCCAGCCTGGGCAACAGAGCAAGACTCTGTCTCAGAAAAAAGATAAATAAATAAAATAATAGGCTGGGCGCAGTGGCTTATGCCTGTAATCCCAGCATTTTGGAAGGCCTAGGTGGGCTGATCATGAGGTCAGGAGATCAAGACCATCCTGGCCAATATGGTGAAACTCCGTCTCTACTAAAATACAAAAAAAAAAAAAAAAAAAATTAGCCGGGTGTGGTGGTGTGCCCCTGTAATCCCAGCTACTCAGGAGGCTGCGGCAGGAGAATCGCCTGAACCTGGGAGGCGGAGGTTGCAGTGAGCCAAGATCACACCAGTGCACTCCAGCCTGGCAACAGAGCAAGACTCTGTTTCAAAGAAAACAAACAAATAAATAAATAAAATAAAATAATAAAACAAAAATGTGTAAGAATTAGGGCAGAGACTAAAAAGTCATAATATAACAAGTGATCATGGGTGAGTTTTTATTCTCTTAAATGCCTTTTAGTTTTAAAAGTTTATATTATTTTATTTTTGGTTATAAAAAGTAACATGGCAATGTGTATGAGTACAGAGCTACAGTTTGGGAAGATGAAAACATTTGAGAGAGGATAGTAGTAATGACTGCACAGCAGTGTTAATGCACTTAATGCCACTGAACTGTAATTGTTAAGATGATAAATTTTACCGTAGTTAAAAAAGCAGTTAAGGCTGGGTGCAGTGGCTCACATCTGTAATCCCAACCCTTTGGGAGGCTGAGGTAGGAGGATTGTTTGAGGCCAGGAGTTTCAGATCAGCTGGGGCAACAGAGTGAGATCATGTCTCCACAAAAAATTTTAAAAAATTAGCCAGGCATGGTGGTATGTCTGTAGTCCCAGCTACTGGGGTGGTTGAGGCAGGAAGATCACTTGAGCCCAGGCGTTTTAGGCTCAACTCAAACTCGCAGAGGTATGATCACACCACTGCACACTAGCCTGGACAGCAGAGAAAAATCCTGTCTCTAAAAAAATAAATAAATAAAATAAAATAAATTAAAAAATTAACTAGTTGTAGTGTTGCATACCTGTAGTCTTAGCTACCTGGGAGATTGAGATGGGAGGATTACTTGAGCCCAGGAATGCAAGATTGCAATGAACAACGATAGTCCACTGCATTCCAACCTGGGCAACAGAGTGAGACCTCATCTCTTAAAAAAAAAACAAAAAACAACAACAACAATATTAAAAGTATATAGCCACGAATTGTTGTCTGAAATTCAGACTGTCCGACTCACAGGACATAATAGGTTTTCACCTAGCATTAAGTTTATCTAGCATGGTGAAAGGATACCAGGAAGAAAACACAGTATAGCATATCAGTATCTTCTTTAGAAGGTATTTCTTTTCTTTTTTTTTTATTTGAGATGGGGTCTTGCTTTGTCGCCAGGCTGGAGTGCAGTGGTGTGGTCTCTGCACTCCGCCTCCCGGGTTCAAGCAATTCTCCTGCCTCAGCCTCCTGAGTAGCTGGGACTACAAGCACGCGCCACCATGCTCAGCTAATTTTTGTATTTTTAGTAGAAACGGGGTTTCACCATGTTGGCCAGGAGTCTTAATCTCTTGACCTCATGATCTGCCCACCTTGGCCTCCCAAAGTGCTGGGATTACAGGCATGAGCCACCACACCCGGCCCTTTAGAAGATATTTCAATGCGGCTGGGCGTGGTGGCTCATGCCTGTAATCCCAGCACTTTGGGAGGCTGAGGCGGTTAGATCACTTCTTAAGGTCAGGAGTTCAAGACCAGCCTGGCCCAACATGGTGAAACCCTGTCTCTACTAAAAATACAAAAATTAGCTGGGCTTGGTGGCGGGCGCCTGTAATCCCAGCTATTTGGGAGGCTGAGGCATCACTTGAACCCAGGAGGTGGAGGTTGCTGTGAGTTGAGGTTACGCCACTGCACTCCAGCATGGGCGACAGAGGGAGACTCCGTCTAAAAACAAAACAAAACAAAACAACAGTATTGCAATGCTTAGGTGTAGCTTCTAGGCCCTATCACTGCTTGGGGCACACTCAGTTACACAGAAGGAAGCTGACATGGGGGCAGACTTCCCCAGCACAGGAAAGCGGCTGCCTTTAGTTCTCAACAGTTTTGTTTTTTGTTTTTTTTTAACTGCAAAAGTGGGAAATTCTCAACAGTTCTTAATGCACTTCCTGTCACATAGCCCTCAGGGTCTGCATACTTGATCCCAGTACTGCTAGTCCTGATACAATGCACAAATCAATGGTTTCATAAAATCCAGTGCTGATAACCTAGTTCTATGATAGTTAATAGTCCACATTTATCTTAACTAATTTTTATATCTAGAAAACTATGTTGCCTGAACTCAAACTCAAGGTTATCTTCCCAGTTACTTCTGGCTTTTTCGAAAGGGCTCAAATCCACTGTTAACCCTTTACCCTTGGTACCTTTCCATGACCTCAGATTATTATCTTTGTATCATATATTCTTCAGAGTTCATTTGACAAACATTTCTTCAATATTTTATAAATAGAAAAGACAAGTTAGTACATCTACAACCACTAGACTCTATAAGACACAGTAGGTAAACAGAATCCTTCACAATGTTTTGGTAATTCTTAACCAACTAGACTGTTTTTTTCCCCCCTCTATCATTTACTATCACTTGCGTCTTATTAAAGGTATTGATACACGCATTCAATCACATGTTTTATCTCTTTCTCTCTCTCTTTTTTTTTTTTTTTTTTTTGAGACAGAGTCTTGCTCTGTTGCCCAGGCTGGAGTGCAGTGGGGCAATTTTGGCTCACTGCAACCTCCGCCTCCTGGGTTCAAGCGATTCTCATGCCTCGGCCTCTTGAGTAGCTGGGACTACAGGAGTGTACCACCACACCTGGCTAGTTTTTATATTTTTAGTACAGATGGGGTTTCACCATGTTGGTCAAACTGGTCTCCAACTCCTGACCTCAGGTGATCTGCCCGCCTCAGCCTCCTGAAGCCACCACGCAGTTTTTATATTTCTAAAGCAAATGTATTTCTTTTTTTGGCCAAACTATTTCCATAAGTATCACATCAATTGAAAGTTTTAGGTCAATTTACCAAAATATCTTTTACTTTGAAAATCATTATTGGTATGTTTTATTTTCTTAAATTCTCTTAAGGGAACCTACAAATGCTTTGTTTCACCAAAAAGCTTTGAATGAGAGGTTAAATTAATCCCTAGAAAACACAATATGTATTAATATTACAGTATCTTTTCCTGTCCTTCTCAACAAAACTGTCCCTTATGCCCATATATTTTCAGCTATAGGGGCCAGGAGACCAGTCTCCAATAAATGCAGGGATCTAACTGGTCTGGAGGCACATCCATACCCCCCACCCACTAAGGAACTTGTTTTAACCGATAGCGGTTTCCAAGTGTTATGGAGCAGCCCATCTACCTCCCATAGGGCTGTCACAGTGTTGGTCTTTATCTACCCAGTCACTAATAATTGTACCACAGAGAATGGTAGTTCTTTCTTTTCTTTCTTTCTTTTTTTTTTTTTTTTTGAGACACAGTCTGGCTCTGTCATCCAGGCTGGAGTGTAGTGGCATGATCTTGGCTTACTGCAACCTCTGACTCCCAGGCTCAAGCCATCCTCACACCTCAGCCTCCTGAGTAGCTAGGAATACAGGTGCATGCCACCATGCCTGGCCACTTTTTGTATTTTTGGTAGTGATGGGGTTTCACCATGTTGCCCAGGCTGGTCTCAAACTCCTGAGCTAAAGCAATCTGCCCACCTTGGCCTCCCAAAGTGTTGGGATTACAGGTGTGAGCCACTGTACTCGGGCAGTTCCTTTTTAATTTGAGACACTTGCTTTAAGGGAACAAGGATTAAGATCACATTTCCCATTGAAGTCCTGTGTGATTTGAATACCAAATATTCCAATGTGTTTCAGATCAGTACTTATCACTATTGGTCCTCTCAACTCTGCAGTATCTAAAATTAAATTATTTGCCTCTTGATCATTTAGCAGAGGATCTATAATTATAAATAATCCTCAGGGTGCTGCTAATATTTATCTAAAAACTACTCAGCTCTTTTTACACAACAGCTTCTGATTTGCTGTTGTCTAACCACCAATTGCAGAGGAATGACATCATGATTTAATAGGATGTCCTTACTTGTTCCCAAGAGGGCATTTGGTTTACAATGTGTATCAGTTTTTGTCTTAAAGTACCATCCTTGAAACTATTTCTTCTATTTGCTCCCTTTACCCTTTCTTTTACACCAGCAATTTTATTTTCATCAGGATGGTTAATAACAACTAAAGGATTATGTTTTTAGCTATTCTCAACTTTCTTCTGTTTCTCAATCTATTTTATTAATACCTGAGAGGATAAATCTGTCATCCAGATTCAACTGGTGAGATTTGTCCCCAGTAATCTACTGTAGAGCTTTCTTTTCTTCAACTCATAGACAGTATGCTGTCAATCAAGTGCCAGGCAGACCCTCTTTCCCTTTCCTTTTACTTACCCCCGGAGTCTTGGCCGTACAGAATTGAGGGTCTAAAAGTACTTTTGTCATCAAAAGTATTGCATGGCCTCTGATAGTGGCCCTGATTTTGGACTGATAGTCAAATCATAGGACACTACTGTAGGAACAGTCCAGGCCCAACCTGCTGTGTTCAGGTGGTATATATATATATATATATATATATATATATATATATATATATATGCCTTATCTTGGCAACCAAGTGTGTTATGTGCATTCTTGGGGCTTTAAAACGGGGTAGTTGTAAGACCTCCTGATATGAATGATATATGCTGGACAGTCTTTGCTTCTTGTCCTGTATCCTTTCTAAAAGTTAAATAAACTTAGTGCTAAATTAAACCCTCTTTGTCCAGTGAAGTTGACTGTCAATCCAAACCTGAGACCACTATTTGTAGCAATGCAAATATATAATAAATATTAATTGTAGGAAATAAGGAAATTCAGACAGGCATAAAGAAGACTCACCTGTAAGCCTGTCTTGTAAAAATAATCACTATTAATAACTTGGTAGGTTGATGCAGCTCTAAAGTTTGTATAAAAATTTATATTTTTTACAAGCCAGAGATAAGAAAATGCATAATGTTTAGTATTGTGCTATTTTCCTTTGAAAATGTATCATGAATATTTTCCATATTCATTTATTATTGATTTAGTGATATATTCTTAGGAAAGATATATACACACAGCTTACAACTGTATAAATTTACATTGGCAAGCTAGTAACAATTTTTTTTTTTTTTGAGACGGAGTCTCACTCTGTCACCCAGGCTGGAGTGCAATGGTATAGTCTAGGCTCACTGCAACCTCTGCCCACCAGGTTCAAGTGATTCTCCTACCTCAGCCTCTCCAGTAGCTGGGACTACAGGCATATACCACCACACCTGGCTAAGTTTTGTATTTTTAGTAGAGATGGGGTTTCGCTGTGTTGGCCAGTGTTGGCCAGGCTGGTCTCGAACTTCTGACCTCGTGATCCACCCACCTCGGCCTCCCAAAGTTCTGGGATTACAGATGTGAGCCATTGCCCCTGGCCACTAGTAACAATTTTAAATGGTCCAAGAGATTTATATGGTAACTTTCAAGGTGATTAGTTTCTATGTTGCATATTTAAGCAACAATACAAAAAATATTAAAAGCTAGTTTCATCTTGAGTGGCACATTTGTCCTAGTATTCTGCCTTTATGATTTAAAAAAAGGGTAAATTAATTTTTACTTAAAAAAAGTAGGCTGGGCACGGTGGCTCACACCTATAATACCAGCACTCCAGGAAACTGAGGCGAGCAGATCGCTTGAGCTCAGAAGTTTGAAACCAGCCTGGGCAACATGGCGAAACCCTGTATCTACAAAGAACACAAAAATTAGCCAGGCATGGTGGCTCATGCCTGTACTGTCAAGTAGCTACTTGGGAAGCTGAGGAGGGAGGATCGCATAAGCCCAGGAGGTGGAGGTTGCAGTGAGCCATGATCACACACAACTGCCCTCCGGCCTGGGCAAGGAAGCAAGACCCTGTCTCAAAAAATAATAATAATAATCAATAAAAAAGTAATAAAGTATGTAGTGAAGTTTTATTAGACCAGTATAGAAAGTTTTGTTGCCTGTTTATAAATTCTGTAAGAAATCTATGGGAAAATTCTAATACAATTGCATTGACATGTAGATAACTTTAAAATGGATGCTTGAAGAATATTATGTTTTCTCTGGGTTGACTTATTATGAATTTGATTTTCTTACTTTCTACAACTGTAGTGCCTATGAAATTATCAAGCTGAAGGGGTATACCTCTTGGGCTATTGGACTGTCTGTGATGGATTTGGTAGGATCCATTTTGAAAAATCTTAGGAGAGTGCACCCAGTTTCCACCATGGTTAAGGTAGGCTTAAATTAAATCTTCATTTATCATTCTTTCCTTTAATATTTATTGGGTCACTACTATATGCCAGGCAGTGTACAAGATGTTGAGGATATAATAGTGAATAAAAAATACAAAGACCTTGACCTCAGGTCAGGTCAAAAAAATACAGATACCTTGACCTAAGGAAGGGAATCCTGAAAGAGAACCAGGTTTGAAGATCACATTTACAGTTTTGGACACAGTTTTGAGCCCTGGCATATAAACAGTGTGAAGCCAACTCAAACTAGCTTATGCAAAAAGAAAATTTATTGGCTTATGTAACTGAAATGCCAAGGAGGCCTGATTCTGGTACTCAGACAATATTATGAGAGCTGTCTTTTCTCTCCATTCTCTTGGCTCATCTTTTTCCTCTATTGGCTTCCAACTCATGCAGACTTTTTCCATGGGGCAACAAAGATGGGTCACAGTAGCTGCAGGCTTAGATCCTATAATACCTCTGGCTGAGAACCACTTGCGTAGACTGAGGAAATTAAGACAAGTGTAATAGCTATTTTTAGGAATTTGGTTGTGAAGGTAAGGAAAATCAGGGCAAGAAGTTTGTTTGTTTGTTTGTTACACAGATAAGATGCTTATAGTAAAGATCAAGTACCAAGGGAGAGGATGAAGACAGAAGTGGTAAGCAGAGGGGGATGCAGTCCAGAGCATAGTTGTAGGCATTACCCCTAAAAGGAGGAGGGGCAGGAGTTAACAAAAAGAGAATGTGTACTGATGCATGTAGATTTGTATATTTGACATTGGAAGCATCTGATGACTTCTCTATTTTTTTTTTTTTTTTTGAGACGGAGTCTCACTCTGTCACCCAGGCTGGAGTGCAGTCATGCGATCTTGGCTCACTGCAAGCTCCACCTCCCAGGTTCACACTATTCTCCTGCCTCAGCCTCCCAAGTAGCTGGGACTATAGGCACCCACCACCACACCCGGCTAATTTTTTTTGTATTTTTAGTAGAGACAGGGTTTCACTGTGTTAACCAGGATGGTCTTGATCTCCTGACCTCGTAATCTGCCTGCCTCAGCCTCCCAAATTGCTGGGATTACAGGCGTGAGCCACCACGGCCTGTCGATTTCTCTATTTTTAGTGAAAGGAGATAGTGAAAGGAGTAGGATAACGGGAGTGGGAGCAGAAGGTTTCATAAGTGAAAAAAGTCTAGAGAGTGGAAAGAAAGGGAATTTTGGTTGGATTATTCATATGTATATTGAAGTTAACAAGGATAATGGCAGAAATTGAGATAGACAGGGAAGACTGTGAGCCATGTGTCAGTCTGTGAATGAGATTGAATAACTAGGAGGTTAGTCCTTACAAAGGGAAGAAGAGCTGAATTAGATGATCTTCAAAAAATAGGGAGAATATGTTTTGTTTTTATAAGACCAGGGGATTAATGATTTGGAAGAACGGGGCAGGTGCAGTGGCTCACGCCTGTAATCCCAGTACTTTGGGAGGCTGAGGCCGGTGGATCACTTGACGTCAGGAGTTTGAGACCAGCTGGTCAACATGGTGAAACCCTGCCTCTACTAAAAATACAAAAATTAGCTGAGTATGGTGGTGCACGCCTGTAGTCCTAGCTACTTGGGCAGCTGAGACAAGAGAATTGCTTGAACCCAGGAGGTACAAGCTGCAGTGAGCCAAGATTGTGTCACTGCACTCCAGCCTGGGCAACAGAATGAGACTCTGTCTCAAAAAAAAAAAAAAAAAAAAAGATTTGGAAGAGGCAATAAAGAGTACACAATGGATACCACACACCCCTTCTTTTCTGAGGCTGCAGAACCTATGGGAGAATAAGCAACTGCCTCTCTAGGACTCTGGAGAAAGAGTCAGGGAAGTGTCAAATGAGTAATCAGTGAAGAAACTGAGTAATATGGGAATTTAATAGCCTTTACCGAACAAGTCAATGGACATTATATTTTAATTTAATTTTAATGTTTTGGGGAGGGATGAAGTCTTACTCTGTTGCCCAGGCTGGAGTGCAGTGGCGCAATCTCAGCTCACTGCAACCTCTGCCTCCTGGGTTCAAGCGATTCTTGTGCCTCAGCCTCCTAAGTAGCTGGGATTACAGGCACGTGCCACCACGCCTGGCTATTTTTTGTATTTTTAGTAGAGAAGGGGTTTTGTGCTGCTGCCAGGCTGGTCTTGAACTCGTGACCTGAAGCGATCCAACCACCTCGGCTTCCCAAAGTGCTGGGATTACAGGCGTGAGCCACCGCGCCCTGCTGAGTTATATTTTATAGGGAACATTTAAACATTTGACGTTACAAGCAGAGTCATTTGTATATTCTTATTTTTTCTTTCTTTCCCACTTACTTCACTTTTACTACTTCACATTTTCACCAAATCAAGGTGTGCAGAGTTTATTTCACATTAATGTATTAATTGGATTTTTTTTTTGTGTGTCAAATAGGGAATTCTCTTTAAACAATCTCTGTATTTCACAGCTGGTCCAAGAGCAAATGAGAACAAATTCTAATATATCCAGGGGAAATTATCACTAACCAGGCATAAAGCTTAAAGGGAAGAGGGTAGGCTGAGGAGGCTAGTGGCAGGTCACAGTTAGCACACAGGGCCAGGCTTGGTCCCAGGATTCAGGCAGGAGCCCTTGTTCCCAGCCCACCCAGCAGTCCTCAGATGGCATGATGGGTGGACATGAATTCTCGAATTCCAGTCTGAGGTGCCTCTTCTAGAGAGAAGAGAGATGACAGGAGGTAAAGGGAAACAAATTCTGGAAATAACCAGTAGGGAAGCAGAGGGACTTCTTCCCCTGCCACCATCAGAGGCCTTGCCTCTGATTACACCCATGGAAGCTCATGTTAAAGCTTCAAATGTCACAGAGGTGGCAACAGAATGATCAAGGATCAGAGAGGGAGTTGGAGACCAACCTGGGCAACATAACAAGACTCCATCTCTATAAAAAATGAAAAGAAAAATAGCCAGGCATGGTGGTGTGTGCTACTTGGGAGGCTGCAGTGGGAGGATTGCTTAAGCCCAGGAGGTCCAGGCAACATTGAGCTATGACTGCACCACTGCACTCCAGCCTGGGTGACACAGCGAGACACTGTCTCCTAAAAAAAAAAAAAAAAAAAAAAAAAAAAAAAAAGAGGATAGGGAAGTGAATTGCGAATTTCAGTATGACTGTGGCTGGAGCCTGGCTGAATAGAATGTGGGTTGACAGTCTGAAAAGACAGTGGCTTTCCATAGCTAGGCAGATGCCAAAGTGGAAGGAATGTAAGTAGTTCTTGGCGGGGCACCCTCAGGGATGACACTTGGCTGATCTGATGGTGCTTATGAGGGTGAGTGTAAAGTGGCTACCAAAATGAGGGAGCTGGACTATGGTAGAGGAGGTAACCAGAGAATCCCTCTGTGGGGAGAAGTTACTAGAGCAAAACAGGAACAAGGGGCACACCTTGTGCTCCTGAGTAGAGCCCCAGAGATGGTGAGAGGGAAGAATGGCTGAATAGTGCCCATGGGCTCTGCAGCATGGAAAGCTGTGAGGCACTGCTCCAGAGTCAAGGAGCCTCCCCTCTTCCTTCAACGCCATTCCTGGTAACTGTTTATAATCAGTCCTGGAGAAGAACAATGCCCTCCCTTCTCCCACAACCCCAGACTCAGCCCCAAAGAGAGGGGTAAAGAGTGATGAGTGGTAGGAGGCAGGGAAGTGTGAGGGATCTACTGGGTGTCTTTTTTTTTTTTTAACTGGGTGTCTTTTAACATTTTTTAAATTTTAATTTTTTGGGGGTATATTGAGTTTTCCTATCTTCCAAGACCAGGGAGGATAGTATGGAGGTGGTGGAGGCTGGTACCTATGCATGTAGATGTTATGTGAGTTGCCCAGGTTGTAATAGGCTCTGGCAGCTGCTTCTCGGCCTTGGCTGCAGGAATGGAGGGAATTTTGGGGCTTCTGATGGGAGGTTCCAGGGGCCCAGGATAGGGCAGTGCCATGGGGCTGCACCTGTTTCATGGCCCTATCCATGATGGGAGGTCCCAGATAGAACTCAGGCGGAGGTAGTGGATAGGAGTACAGAAGGGCAGGAGTGCATTCCATTGCAGCTGGTGATGAGAGGCACAGGCCCCACCGGGCATGTAAGAGCATCTATAGGCTCCACTGGGGGTTTACCTCTGGAGGCTTAAAATGCCACCCGTAGCACCCATTGTCCAAACTCAATGATGCTCCCTGCTGTAAAGGTATGAAGCAGAGCCTTCCCAGTCACCTCCTGCTTCACTGTTGCCTCGATGTAGTTTGGACTACACACAAGTTACTTGATTCTCATAGTACTCCTTTTGATAAAATGGCATCATGAAAGACCGCATGGCATCCTTTCCCGTGGACCAAAAGATGACCTGGTAAGGGATAAGGTAAATTGTATGTTTCTGGGTCCTTCTAAAGGCCTCTGGCATCTTCTTCATGTCACTGAATGTAAGTTCCACATGGTTATAGGACATAAGGATGCTCTTGCTTTTGCTGACCATCACTCTGCCACCCTCTGAGCGATTCTTGTTGAATGCTTTAGTCTCTCCTGTATACTCTCATTTTGATGCCCTTTTGCATAGCTGCTTTTCCATATCAGGTTATTTGAACAATATCTTATCTTGCCTTTCAGGGATTATATGGAATAAAAGAAGAACTCTTTCTCAGTATCCCTTGTGTCTTGGGGCGGAATGGTGTCTCAGATGTTGTGAAAATTAACTTGAATTCTGAGGAGGAGGCCCTTTTCAAGAAGAGTGCAGAAACACTTTGGAATATTCAAAAGGATCTAATATTTTAAATTAAAGCCTTCTAATGTTCCACTGTTTGGAGAACAGAAGATAGCAGGCTGTGTATTTTAAATTTTGAAAGTATTTTCATTTGATCTTTAAAAAATAAAAACAAATTGGAGACCTGTGACATAACTCTAGTCTCTCAAGATTAGAACGAGCAAATGGTAAAGAGATTTTCCTCTTTAAGAATCATTTATAGCTCTATTCTAATGATACCCAATCTGTACAGGTGTAAGTTATACTTCTGAGGTATGTCACATATGTTAGAGTGCCTTCAGATGTAGTAGAATATGTATAATCACTATAATACAGAGCTTTGATTCTTTTCACAAACCAAGCCCTTTTTCTAGTATTACAATTTTATCTTGTACTTTCATCCGTTAGAGTACCAGCATATTCACTTCATTACATTAGCGTCATATGTTTATGTATAATCATTATAAATGTGGCCGGGCACTGCAGCCTGGGTGAAAGAGTGAGGCTCTGTCTCAAAAAAAATCATTATAAATGCTTATTTTTAAGACCATATATATCAAAAAGAAATAAAAAGCTGAGTGCTGTGGCTCATGGCTGTAATCCCAGTGCTTTGGGAGGGTGAGGCAAGAGGATCACATGAGTCCAGGAGTTTGAGACCAGCCTTGGCAACATAGCAACACCCCATCTCTACAAAAATAAAGAAATTAGATGTGGTGGCCTGCATCTGTAGTCCAGCTACTTGGGAGACTGAGACCAGTAGATAACTTGAGCCCAGGAGTTCAAGGCTATGATTGTGTCACTGCACTCCAGCCTGGGCCACAGAGGAAGACTCAGACTCAAAAGAAGAAGAAGAACACAGAAGAAAAGCAGAAACAAGAAGAAGATACAGATGTAACTTTACGATGTAAAAAATCTAAATAAGATTGTATTCAACTCTGCAAGTATTATACTAGTCATATAAACTCAAATAGTTGATTTGGTGTCTCAATTGAAATATCACCTGGGGAGCTTATGCCATCCTCAGTTATTTGTGCAGCAGACTATTACTATGCTTGCTATGGTATAGTTATGAAATCAGTATGACATTATCTCTGCCCTCAAGTATCCACAGTGAGTATTTAGGGTACCTCAACGAATTGATTTTTGACTAATTTTTTTTTCCTTTTTGAGATGGAGTCTCACTCTGTCACCTAGGCTAGAGTGCAGTGACACGATCTGTGCTCACTACAACCTCCACCTCCTGGGTTCAAGTGATTCTTCTGCCTCAGCCTCCCAAGTAGCTGGGATTACAGGCACCCACCACCACGCCTGGCTAATTTTTTTATTTTTAGTAGAGACAGGGTTTCACCATGTTGGCCAGGCTGGTCTTGAACTCCTGACCTCAAGTGAGCTGCCCACCTCAGCCTCCTAAAGTACTGGGATTACAGGTGTGAGCAACTGCGCCCGGCTGATTATTGACTAATGTTTGATAATAGTCATTAATAGCTCCCTGTTGGTGTCTAAAGGTGAAAATGCTTCTACTGATTTATATAGTATATAGATACATATGAAGTATTTCCTTGATTCCACAAGAAATTTAAGGCAGCTATAGGAACTATACAATAAAACAAAAACTAAGAAATCAGTATCAAGGTAATTTACAATTTTTTTTCTTTTTTTAGACAAGGTCTTGTTCTGTCACCCAGGCTGGAGCTGGAGTGCAGCGGGTAATTGTGGCTCGCTGCAGCCTCGAACTCCAGGGCTCATCAGATCCTCCCACCTCAGCCTCCTGAGTAGCTGAGACTACAGGCACATGCCACCACGCCCTGCAGATTTTCGTATTTTTTGGAGACAGGGTTTCACCATGTTGCCCAGGCTGGTCCTCAACTCCTGGGCTCAAGCAGTCCTCCTGCCTCGGCCCCCCAAAGTGCTGGGATTATAGGCATGAGCCACCACTCCTGGTCAATTTACAAATTAAGACTAGAACTGGACCAATGGGAAAGATCAGAAGGTAGATATGCAGCCCCTGAGGACTCGCATGACTAGTGAAGGCTGACTCATTTGGTCAGAGAGTCATGGCTTACCCTCTGAGTCTGTTATTCTTGCTCTCTTGATAGCTTTCATTCTGGTCATCTACTCCTGATCATGATTAGTGTCCCATTATTTTATTATTTCCCCTTTTTCTTCAGCATCTTCCCTTGAATATATACAATTATTATCAGTTGAGTTAGGATGAGGGCAAGGGGAGTCTTCTGTGGGTTTTGGCTTTTTTAAAAGCTCGTTTGTACATCAAAACTTCATTTTAGGAAATTCTTGCAGAGATTAAAAGGCTGAAAAATTGATACAGTTTCTACAGGGAACATTCTAGTAAGTAAAACTGCTCTACATGTCCCCAAGTGGCTGAAAATTGGTTCTGGGTATGGGGGAGGGAGGAAAAGGTAAAAAAAAACTTAGATATTACAAGAGTTTGGCTCTCCAGAGCTCAACCTTGCCTGACAAATAAACGTATATGTATATGTGTATGTGTGTGTATATATATATATATATATATATATATATATATATATATATAGGTTTTTTTTTTTTTTTTTTTTTTTTAAGAGATGGAGTCTTGCTCTGTCACCCAGGCTGCAGTGCGGTGGCGCAAGCTCCACTCACTGCAACCTCCACCTCCCAGGTTCAAGCAATTCTCCTGCCTCAGCCTCCTGAGTAGCTGGGACTACAGGTGCCTGCTACCACGCCCGGCTAATTCCTTTCCTTTTTTTTTTTTTTTTTTTGAGACGGAGTCTCGCTCTGTGGCCCAGGCTGGAGTGCAGTGGCACGATCTCGGCTCACTGCAAGCTCCGCCTCCCCGGTTCGCGCCATTCTCCTGCCTCAGCCTCCCGAGTAGCTGACGCCTGGCTAATTTCTTTTATATTAGTAGAGACGGGCTTTCACCGTTTTGCCCAGGCTGGTCTCGAACTCCTAAGATCAGGCAATCCGCCCGCCTCGGCCTCCCAAAGTGCTAGGGTTACAGCCGTGAGCCACCGCGCCCGGCCAACTCCTTAATATTTAATTTCATGATGGGGGTGCAAAACAATTAGGGGGAACATATCTACAAAGACTCTTGAGGGAGTGATAATGAAAAAAGATTGAGAAACACTGCTCTACATTTTATAAAAATTTGTCAATATGTATTACTGTATTAGGGTTCTCTAGAGGGACAGAACGAATAGGATAGCTATATATATAAAGGGGAGTTTATTGAGGAGTATTGACTCACACAATCACAAGGTGAGGTCCCACAACAATAGGCCGTCTGCAAGCTGAGAAGCAAGAAAGTCAGTCGGAGTTCCAAAGCTGAAGAACTAGGAGTCCAATGTTTGAGGGCAGGAAGCATCCAGCACAGGAGAAAGATGAAGGCTGGAAGACTTAGCCAGTCTAGTCCCTCCACGTTCCTCTGCCTGCTTTTATCCTAGACGTGCTGGCAGCTGACTAGATGGTGCTCACCCGGATAGAGGGTGGGTTTGCGTCTTCTAGCCTACTGACTCAAATGTTAATTTCCTGTGGCAACACCCTCACAGACACACCCAGGTTCAACACTTTGCATCCTTCAATCCAATCAAGTTGACACTCAGTATTAACCATCAAAATTACGTATTATGATTCACAAATGAGAAAACAATTAGGTAAAATGTGGTGGGAGAAGTAGAAACCTTGGTTTATTCCAGACTGATTTTCAATTCTACATTTTTGTTTTTTATTTTTGAGACGGAGTCTCACTCTGTCACCCAGGCTGGAGGGCAGTGGCATGATCTCGGCTCACCAAAACCTCCGCCTCCCGGGTTCAAACGATTCTCCTGCCCCAGCCTCCTGAGTAGCTGGGATTACAGGTGCGTGCCACCACACCCGGCTAATTTTTGTATTTTTAGTAGAGACGGGGTTTCGCCATGTTGGCCAGGCTGGTCTCGAACTCCTGACCTCAGCTAATCCACCCGCCTCGGCCTCCCAAAGTGTGGATTCTACATTTAACCACTTAATAATGAATTGAGCTTTCCCTTCATCTTGTAAAAATGGTTATCAATTGGCACTGCATTCATCAAATTCTTCAGGTTTCATATCTTATTTCCAAATTCCTTTTGCATACAGAGTTTTGTTGTTGTTTTGAGACAGGGTCTCACTCCGTCACCCAGGCTGGAGTGCAGTGGCACAATTTCGGCTTACTGCAACCTCCGCCTCCCAGGTTCACAAACAATTCTTGTGCTTCAGCCTCCCAGGTAGCTGGGATTACAGGGGTGCACCACCACGTCCAGCTAATTTTTGTATTTTTAGTAGAAACGTGGTTTCACGATGTTGGCCAGGCTGATTTCGAACCCCTGACCTCAGGTGATCCGCCCGCCTTGGCCTTCCAGAGTGCTGGGATTACAGGCGTGAGCCACCACGCTCGGCCCAGAGTTTTAAAATTTTACTTTTTCTACTTTAGCTCACATTTGAGGTGGTAAAAGTTAATCTTGAGGTCCCTTTCTCCTACAGGGCTGGGGGAAAATTTTCACGTGAGAGTCAAACAGTCCTTTTCAGATACATCCAGACAAGGTTTGGTTAGAAATAAAATTACTTGGGCTCTCTGGTGGATGGGTTCTAGGCAAACAACTCCGCCCAACAGCAGAGGCCCTGCACTGCGTTGTGCCTGCAGCACCTCGTGCGCCTTCTGCAGCCGGCCAACCACCTACACCGCAGCCCGCCCACCCGCACGCGGGGGCGGGGCGGGCAGGCAGAGGCGCAGGCGCGGTGCTTCGCAGCCCGCTTCCGGCCTCACACCTGCCAAGCATCACACCTGCCAAGCATCACACCTGCCAAGCATCACACCTGCCAAGCATCACACCTGCGATGCCTGCACGAGCTGGGTGCGGTCCGCGCAGCTGCAGTAAGGGGGCGACCCGGCGTCTGTTAGTCGGCGGTTCATCTCCTTCGTGCCTCGATGAGCTTTAACGCCATTTTCCTCCATTCTCTTTCTTCACCTCTTGAGTGAGTGGCCATGAGCTGGGCTGCAAGAGTCCTGGGGAGCAGCCAGAGAGCGGGCGCCGCGGGAGCGAATTGTTTTTGCCCAAGGATGGTTCTGTGTCTCCGCCAGGCGGCATGTGACCTGCTCGGGCGCGGGTGGCCCTTCACCCCTGTGAGTGTGGCCAGAAGTACCTCTCACCTGGACCTGCGGACCCCGGGCGCAGTCCTGGAGCTGAGAACTGGAGGTTGGGGGAACAGCAGGGTAAAGGGGAGAGAAAAGGGGGTCAGCTGCGGGACGGAGTGCCGTCCCAGCTGTAGTTTCATGTTTGGTGGAGCAACCCCTGTTCCTTTCCTCTCTCTCTCTCTTAATTCCTCTTAACTGTACTCACGCTTCCTTCTCCTTCCCCTGGTCCGCTTCATGGATGCTGAGCTGCCTGGCCAGAACCTACCCAGCTTCTTTGCTGGTCAGATTTGTCGGTCTTTTGTGTGTCTGCAGCACCTCCTTCCACACGGGCCCAGGAGTTCTCTATACGCGCTCTCACCGCAGGTCTTGGAATTCCAAGCCATTTCCAATTCCAGGTCTTGGAAATGGCTGTGCAATTTGTCTTCACTGTTAGGTTTCCAAGATGGCAACTATCAAGAGTGAACTTATTAAGAATTTCGCGGAAGAGGAGGCCATTCATCACAATAAGATCTCCATTGTAGGAACTGGATCGGTTGGTGTGGCTTGTGCTATCAGCATCTTATTAAAAGTAAGTTGTGTGCTCTGCACCACAGGGTTCACCTCAGTTGGAGGCGAGGCCACAGCGTATGGTTGTGGAGGTTGTGTCCAGTTCAAGGTGGTGAGTGGGGAGCCAGTGTGAGGGGCATCAGAGGAAAAGGTGCCCTTTTTTTAGTTGTTCACCCAGAGGGCGCTCCTTTTTAAAAATTGTATGATGATATCATGTGGGTTAGAAGCATCTCTGTGAAAGTATGTTGACATTTCACTTTCACGTAATGACAATATGAGGTACCCCTTTGCTTGATTTGGAAACTCAGCTCACAAAACAAACTGGAGAGAAATAGGTGGCAGAAAAGAGTATACAAGCGTGTCAGTGATGGTAGGCAGCCTACGAGTACCAAATACAATAATCTTTTTTCATTTAAATATCTCTCTCCCATTTCCTAGTCTGTATATCTTTATTTCCCTTCGTTCCTTATTCATGTTAGGTTAGTTTTAGTGTTTAGCTGTTCTTAGTATTGATACAGCTGATAAAGTTTTATGGCTATAGACAGAGGCCAAAAAAAGATTCTGACCCCTTTCTAAGAATATTACCCTGATATGAACTTTATTACCATAAAGTTTTAATAAATCATAAGACACTCTGAGCTATACTTTTATTAATGAAATATCTGTAAAATGTTTTAGCCATCTTTTATATAACCTTTAATCCTGGCATGAGTCATTGGATTTAAAGGATTGCCTCTGGGTTTCATATCTAGATGACATAGTGACCTTATGGCACTAAGGACAGCAGCCACAGCCAACTGCTGCTCCTGCCAGCCATACAAATTCCCCATGATTCATTTTGTCCTACCTATTGTAATGCCTTTATCAGCAGTGTCCTCACTGCTAATGAAGAATACACACACGTGAAAACCAACACATCTGTGACTCATTGATTGTTTGATGGGGCCTCCACGTATTGCCCAGGCTGCTCTCAAACTCCTGGCCTCAAGCAGGAGGTCTCGGCTTCCTAAAGTGCTGAGATAACAGATGTGAGCCACCTTGCTTTGCCCAACACATTTTTTTTAACATCAGTAATAATGATAACAGTATGTTTGTATGCATTATCCAATATTACAACCCTGGAAAGTAAATATTAGACCTACTTTTTAGAGGAGAAAAAAGGAATAGACTATCTCTAATTGCATGAATAGATAAGTATACAGGTAATATATATAGAAAAGCTTGAAATAAAAGATTTATTTATCACCTCTGCTTTGAAGGGCCATTCAGGGAGGGACTGAGCCATATCCCTGGAACTCCTACCTCTGCCAGCTGCTGCTTGGCTTTGGTTGCAGGAGTGGAGGGAATTTTGGGGCTTCTGATGGGAGGTTCCAGGGCCCAGGATAGGGCAGTGCCATGGGGCTGCACTTGTTTCATGGCCCTATCCATGATGGGAGGTCCTAGATAGATCTCAGGTGGAGGTGGTGGATAGGAGTACAGAAGGGCAGGAGTGCATTCCATTGCAACTGGTGATGGGAGGCACAGGCCCCACCGGGCATGTAAGAGCATCTGTAGGCTCCACTGGTGGCTTACCTCTGGAGGCTTAAAATGCCACCTGTAGCACCCATTGTTCAAACTCAGTGGTGCTCCCTGCTGTAAAGGTATGAAGCAGAGCCTTCCCAGTCACCTCCTGCTTCTAGAACTTGAATTCTAGTATGTTGCTAACTATGGCATTTGTATATCTTAGGAAATAGGGTACACAATCCCCCTATAAAGCCTCAGGTTAAGGCTCACTTTAATCTTTCCCTGTCCTGGCCCTAGACACTGCAACTTCTGTCATTCAAGGAGGTGGTGATAGCCTAAAAACTCCTTGCTGATAAGGAATTCTCAATATGAATTGTTCAGGAATTTATTGTCAGGAATTTGTGGTATGAACCTTGTAGAGAAACAGTAATGTCTTTAAAAATTACTGAGTTTTACCATAATACATAAACTTTAATTAGTATAATGCGAGATCCACTTTTTCTTTTAGTGTTGTATCTGGAATCTAGAAGAGTGCCTCCTGTAATTGATATTTAGTAGTTGGATGAAAGAATTGCTAAAAGATGCCCATTAAAATGGAATGCACTGGATTGTGAATATAAAGATGGGATATTCTGTTTACTTTCATTTTTATAAATAAGGAAAGGGAGTCCAGAGAGATTGTTAGGATATATTTTTATAGACTTTATTTTTTAGAATAGTTTTAGATTTACAGAAAAATTGAAAGGATAACAGTTTATACCCCACATTACACCTTAGTATGGTGTGGTGGTTAATATTGTCAACTTGATTGGATTGAAGGATGCAGGGTATTGTTCCTGGGTGTGTCTGTGAGGGTGTTGCCAAAGGAGATTAACATTTGAGTCCGAGGACTGAGAGGCAAACCCACCCTCAATCTGGGTGAGCACCATCTAATCAGCTGCCAGCACGTCTAGGATAAAAGCAGGCAGAGGAACGTGGAAGGACTAGACTGGCTAAGTCTTCCAGCCTTCATCTTTCTTTCGTGCTGGATGCTTCCTGCCCTCAAACATCAGACTCCAAGTTCTTCAGCTTTTGAACTCTGAGACCTACACCAGTGGTTTGCCAGGGACTCTCGGGCCTTTGGCTACAGACTGAAGGCTGCACTGTTGGCTTCCCTACTTTTGAGGTTTTGGGACTTGGACTGGCTTCCTTGCTCCTCGGCTTGCAAATGGCCTGTTGTGGGACTTCACATTGTTATCATGTGGGTCAGTACTCCTTAGTAAACTCCCTTTCATATCGACATCTATCCTATTAGTCCTGTCCCTCTAGAGAACTCTAATACATATTGTATACCTTAGTGTGGTACATTTGTCACGATGAAAGAATGGATATTGACATATCACCTTTAACTAAAGTCCACACTTTACTCAGATTTCTTTAGTTTTTACCTGTCCTTTTTCTGTTCCATGATCCCATCCAGGATGATACCACATGACGTTTAGTCACTGTATCTCCTTGGGCTCCTCTAGGCTATGACAGTTTCTTTAGATTTTTCTTGTTTTTGATGACTGAGCATTCTGAGGAGTACTAGTCAAGTATTTTGTAGAACACCTTTCTCTTGGAATTTGGTGGGGTTTTTTTTGATGGTGAGACCGAGGTTTTGGGTTTTGGGGAGGAAGACATAGGAATAAAGTGCCACTTTTCATCACATCATATCCCGGCTACATACTGTCATGATTTATCAGTGTTGATGTTGACCTCAGTTACCTGGCTGCTTGTAATGCAGCTTAGACTTCTAGGTTGATCAGTTGTACAGTCTAGTTTAAAATGTAAAGCGCTTGGCTTTGAATTTCCAGTAATTCGAATAGAGTAAAAAGATCCAGGCTGGATCCAGGCAGTGGCTCATGCCTGTAATCCTGCACTTTGGGAGACCAAGGCAGTAGTATCACTTGAGCCTAGGAGTTTGAGACCAGCCTAGGCAACAAAGCAAGACCCTGTCTCTAAAATATAAATAAATGAATAAAAATTAAAAATTGGCTAGGTGGCCGGGCACGGTGGCTCACACCTGTAATCCCAGCACTTTGGGAGGCCAAGGCGGGTGGATCACCTGAGGTCAGGAGTTTGAGACCAGCCTGGCTAACATGGTGAAACCCCATCTCTACTAAAAATATAAAAAACTAGCTGGGCACGGTGGCATGCATCTGTAATCCCAGCTACTTGGGAGGCTAAGGCAGGAGAATCGCTTGAACCCGGGAGGCAGAGGTTGCAGTCAGCCAAGATCGCACCATTGCACTCCACCCTGGGCAACAAGAGCAGAAACTCCGTCTCAAAAAAAAAAAAAAAAAATGCCAGGTGCGGTGGTACATGCTAGTAGTACTAGCTACTTGGGAGGCTGAGGCAGGAAGCTTGCCTGAGACCAAGAGATTAATGCTGCAGTGAGCCATGAATGTGCCACTGTACTCCAGCTTGGGTGACAAAGTGAGACCCTGTCTCAAAAAAGAAAAAAGGTAAAAAGCACTAACAATGTGAATTGGATATGTGCTTAAATTATGGATGCTTGGTTATTTCTTTCCTTTTCTTTTTTTTCTGAGAGGGAGTCTCACTCTGTTGCACAGGCTGCAGTGCAATGGTCAATCTGATAGCTCACAGCAACCTCCGCCTCCCGGGTTCAAGTGATTCTCCTGCCTCAGCCTCCCAAGTAGCTGGGATTACAGGCATGTGCCCCCATGCCCAGCTAATTTTTGTATTTTTAGTAGAGACAGGATTTCACGATGTTGGCCAGGCTGGTCTGGAACTCCTGACCCCAGGTGATCCGCCCGCCTTGGCCTCCCAAAGTGCTGGGATTACATGCGTGAGCCACCGCGCCCGGCCTTGGTCATTTACTTGTTTTTTTTTTGAGACAGAATCTCGCTCTGTTGCCCAGGCTGGAGTGCAGTGGCGCGATCATGGCTCACTTCAACCTCTGCCTCCTGGGTTCAAGCGATTCATCTGCCTCAGCTTCCCGAGTAGCTGGGACTACAGGTGCATGCCAACACGCCCGGCTAATTTTTGTATTTTTAGTAGAGACAGGGTTTCACCATATTGGCCAGGTTGGTCTCGAACTCCTGAGCTCATGATCCGCCCACCTTGGCCTCCCAAAGTGCTGGGATTATAGGCGTGAGCCACCATGTCCCACCTTGATCATTTACTTCTAAGCACTAACACAAAGGCGTTATTTTTCCTCCAAGGAAAAATTTATTATGTAATAAAGATAAAAAGAATATGTAGTTAAAAGGTAATACATTTACAAGATTTGAAAGTAAGGCTGGGTGCGGTGGCTCAAGCCTGTAATCCCAGTACTTTGGGAGGCCATGGCAGGCAAATCATGAGGTTAGGAGTTTGAGACCAGCCTGGCCAACATGGTGAAACCCCGTCTCTACTAAAAACACACAAAAAATTAGCCGGGCATGGTGGCAGGCGCCTGTAATCCCAGCTACTCAGGAGGCTGAGGCAGGAAAATCGCTTGAACCCGGGAAGGTGTGGGTTGCAGTGAGCCGAGATAGTGCCACTGCACTCCAGCCTGGGCAACGAGCAAGATTCCGTCTCAAAAAAAAGAAAAAAAAAAAAAAACTAGGCTGGGCATGGGCTCACGCTTGTAACTTTGGTAGGCTGAGGCAGGCGGATCACTTGAGTCCTGGACTTTGAGACCAGCCTGGGCAACATGGTGAAACCCCATGTCTACAAAAAATACAAAAATTAGCCAGATGTGGTGGCAGGCTCCTGTGATGTGGTGGTAGGCGCCTGTTGTCCCAGCTACCCAGAAGGCTGAGGTGGGAGGATCATCTGAGCCTGAGAAAGTTGAGGCTGCAATGAGTCATGATCATGCTACTGTACTCCTACCTGGGGGACAGAGCAAGCCCCTGTCTCAGAAACAAAAAGTAAAAGTAAAATTCAGAAAGATACATACAAGGCCGGGCGCGGATTAAGGCTTGTGCCTGTAATCCCATCACTTTGAGAGACCGGGGCAGGTGGATCACTTGAAGTCAGGAGTTTGAGACCAGCCTGGCCAACATGGTGAAACCCTGTCTCTACTAAAAATACAAAAAAATTGGCCGGGTGCGGTGTCTCATGCCTGTAATCCCAGCACTTTGGGAGGCAGAGGCGGGCGGATCACTAGGTCAGGAGATCAAGACCATCCTGGCTAACACGGTGAAACCCCGTCTCTACTAAAAATACAAAAAATTAGCCAGGTGTGGTGGCGGGCGCCTGTAGTCCCAGCTACTCGGGAGGCTGAGGCAGGAGAATGGCGTGAACCTGGGAGGCGGAGCTTGCAGTGAGCCGAGATCACGCCACTGCACTCCAGCCTGGGCAACAGAGCAAGACTCTGTCTCAAAAAACAAACAAACAAACAAAAAAAAAAACAAAAAAAACCCAAAAATTAGCTGGGCATGGTGGTGCATGCCTGTAATCCCAGCTACTCAGGAAGCTGAGGCAGGAGAATCACTAGAACCCAGGAAGCGGAGGTGGCAGTGAGCCGAGATTGCACCACTGCACTCCAGCCTGGGGAACAGAGCAAGAGACTCCATCTCAAAAAAAAACAAAAACAAAAACAAAAAAACATACATGGAGAAGTCATACTGGTTTCCATCCAATCTTTCCTTAGCATCCACTTTAGGCAATTATTTGAATCAGTTTCTTGTATTTCTAGTGTTTTTTTTTTTTCAAATAGAAGTATATTTTCTCTCCTTTCTTACATATAAAGTAGCATCATAGAAATTATAGTATGAATTGATTTCTGTAGGTAATAACTGTCTGATTATAGAACTAAAATATTTTTGAGTTGGAAGGAGCCCTATATTTTAATCCATTTGCTGTGGTTTGAATGTTTGTCCCCTCTGGAACTCGTTTAAATTTAATCCTCAATGTGGCAGTATTGAGAGGTGGGGCCTTTAAGAGTTGACTGGGTCATGAGGGCTCTGCCATGGATTAATCTATGGATGAATGGGTTATCAGGGGAGTGGGAATGGTAGCTTTATAAGAAGAGGAAGACAGACCTGAATTTAGCAATCGCAGCCTCCTTGCCATGTGATGCCCTGTGCTGCCTTGGGACTCTGCAGAGTCTCCTCCAGCAAGAAAGCCCTCACCATATGGCGGCCCCCTGACCTTGGACTTCTCAGCCTCCATAACTGTAAGAAATAAATTCCTTTTCTTTATAAGGTACTCAGTTTCATGTATTCTGTTATAAGGAACAGAAAATGGACTAAGATACCATTTATTCAAAAAACTTTTACTGAGCTCCTCTGTGCCAGGTGGATGATAAGTAAGCACCAGATGGCTGGGGATGAATGACTTCCTAGTCTCAAGAAGCTCAAGGTCTGGTGAGAAATTCCTTCAGCAGAAGCACTACTTTATCACTGTGCAGCCTCAGCTGAAATTGAAAATCGGGGTGTTCACTACTTTCAGAGATTGTTCTATTTACTAAGCAGTTTCTGTTTTTGTTTTCCTCATGATGAGCTGAAATGCTCCTCTTTGTAATTTGTATTTTTTCTGGTTTAGACTTTTATATCATGACAAAATGATGAGATCATTTATTATGTTTCCTTTGATTTTGATAATTCACAAGCTAGACATAGATCACCAATATAAGAATTTTCTTTCATTCTCCAGTTAATCAAGAGATACACTCACACCCATTGGACTAACAATGTTTTTCAGGGTTTGAGTGATGAACTTGTCCTTGTGGATGTTGATGAAGGCAAACTGAAGGGTGAGACAATGGATCTTCAACATGGCAGCCCTTTTATGAAAATGCCAAATATTGTCTCCAGCAAAGGTTAATGTCATAGTTAAATACTATAAATATTCTAATATACATGAACAAGTATCTAAGAAAATCATCTTTATTTCTTTTGACCTCCCCAGTTTTTATAGATAAGGCTGGTTGCTCCCTACTCTGTACTCTCATAACGTGTTCAGATTCCTTGGGTTGTACTTTGCAAGGTTTCCCACGGCACCAGACTGAGTTCCTTGTGAGCAGCAGTAACAGCAGTTATCATGACAGCTACAATGAACTGACTGCCTATTGTGTGTGAGACATTGACCCAAGCACTTTATATAATTTAATCCTGAGCACAACTCTATTTTAGAGATGATGTACCTCTGAACTAAGGTTAATTAAAAGTGATAGGACCAGGCATGGTGGCTCATGCCTGTAATCCCAGAACTTTGGGAGGCCAAGGCAGGTGGATCACCTGAGGTTGGGAGTTCGAGACCAGCCTGACTAACATACAGAAACCCTGTCTCTATTAAAAACATAAAAATTAGCCGGGCGTGGTGGTGCATGCCTGTAACCCCAGCTACTCAGGAGGCTGAGGCAGGAGAATCGCTTGAACCTGGGAGGTGGAGGTTGTGGTGAGCCAAGATCGTGCCATTGCATTCTAGCCTGGGCAACAAGAGTGAAACTCTGTCTCAAAAAAAAAAAAAAAAGTGATGGAGTAGGGATTTGAACTCAGTTCTGTTTGATTCCAAAGCCTAAGCTCTTCACTACTGTACTTTATTCACTTGGCACCTGGGAGATAATTATTTGAACAAACGAATGAACCAACAATTTGCTATTCAAAGGTCTGTTCACACCACATCTATCTCTAAATATTCTTGCCAGAGTAATCCATATTTTGACCTCTTCATCTAAATAATACAAAAGGTATTTTAGGAGGTGAGGTGTTTTTTTTGTTTTTTTTTGTTTTGTTTTGTTTTGGTTTGTTTTTGAGACAGTGTCTTGCTATGTTGGTGCAGGCTGGACTTGGACTTCTGGGCTCGTGTGTGATCCTCTTGGTCTCAGCCTCCAAGTAACTGGGACTATAGGAGTGCACTACTGTACCCAATTTAGGAGGTTTTTGTTTTTGGAAACGGAGTCTCGCTCTGTCACCCAGGTTGGAGTGTCGTGGTGTGATCTTGGCTCACTGCCTCCATGTTCAAGTGATTCTCCTGCCTCAGTCTCCCTTGTAGCTGGGACTACAGGCATCCGCCACTGTGCCTGGCTAATTTTTGTATTTTTAGTAGAGATGGGGTTTTGCCATGTTGGCCAGTCTGGTCCTGAACTCCTAACCTCATTTGATGGACCCACCTCGACCTCCCAAAGTGCTGGGATTACAGGGGTGAGCCACTGCACATGACTTACGTTTTTTTTTTTTTTTTTATTATTAAAAAAAATGTACAAGGGAAACTTAGTGCTAATTTCCTGAAATTAAAAAGTAGTCTAGGCATACTAGAAGATTTAAGGGAACCCACTCTTTGGTAAACATAGTGTGGTGATTGAAGTGAACAGGAAGTATACTTAAATGCCAGATGTTTTCTTTCATAATCGATTGTTTATTCTAATCTTTCCTCAGATTACCTGGTCACTGCAAACTCCAATCTAGTGATTATCACAGCAGGTGCACGCCAGAAAAAAGGAGAAACACGCCTTGATTTAGTCCAGCGAAATGTATCCATCTTTAAATTAATGATTCCCAATATTACCCAGTACAGTCCTCACTGCAAACTGCTTATTGTTACTAATCCAGGTCAGCTTTGTTGTTTTAAATTTTCAACTTTTAGATTCGGGGGTACACTGTGTAGGTTCATTACATGAGTATACTGTGTGATGCTGAGGTTTGGGGTAGGATTGATCCTGCCACCCAGGTACTGAGCAAAGTACCTAATAGTTTTTCAGCCCTTGCTGCTCTCACTCCCTCCCTCTCTAGTAGTCTCCAGTGTCATTTGTTCCCATCTTTATGTCCATGTGCACCCACATGTTTAGCTCCCACTTATAGTGAGAACATGTATTTGGTTTTCTGTTCCTGCATTAATTAGCTTGGAATAATGATCTCCAGCTGCATCCATGTTGCTGCAAAGGACATGATTTTGTTTTTTATGGCTGCATAGGACAGCTTTATTTTCACTGTTCAGTGAAGGAGTTTTTGGGGGTGGGTTTAGTAACTTTGAGGAGAAAAAGAATTTAATGAATATTAAATCGTAAACCACCAGTATAATTCCAGAATCTCTGTTTTGTTAGTGTAATATGTACTTTGCACAGTGGTAATCAGTGTATATACTATAATGACTTTAAAAAATACTAGTGTGAGGCCAGATGCAGTGGCTGAAGCCTGTAATCCCAGCACTTTGGGAGCCCAAGGTGGGTGAAGTGCTTGAATCCAGGAGTTTGAGAATGGCCTGGGCAACATGACAGAACTCCATCTCTACAAAAAAATACAAAAATTATCAGGGCATGGTGGAGCATTCCTGTAGTCCCAGCTACTCAGGAGGCTGAGGCGGGAGGATTGCTTCAGCCAGGGAGGTCAAGGCTGCAGTGAGCCATGATTGCGCCACTGCACTCCAGCCTGGGTCACAGTGAGACCCTGTCTCAAAAAAAAAAAAAAAAAAAAGTAGTGTGTATGGGAAGATAATATGCTTAATCATATGAGTTCAAGGTTTATATTCTAAAGGCTGAGGTTTGTTTTCCAAATTACTGTTTGAGAAGTGAAAGTAGGGCTATAGTTTACTGCCTGACTCTCCAAAATTGTACTAGACTCCTCACTGGTGCATTTACAAGGTGGACAAACTGAAAATAGACTTCGGAGATAAAATGTGCAGGACTGCTGATAGATTATGTCTAGTGAGAGAAAGGGAGGAATAAAAAATAACTTCGAGAGTTTTTCCTTTGAGTAACTGAAGGGATGGTAGTTCCATTTAACTGGGTTGGTAAATTTACTGATCGGGTGGGAGTCAGTGAGGGAAGGAGGCAGGGATGTTACATATAGAGGGGAAAAATCAAGATACCTGAAATGATACTCAAGAGGAAATGTCAAACAGCTAGAGATTATGAGTCTGGAGCTTAGTAGTTTAGGGATATTCAAATTACTGTATTCTAAAATTATTTGGAGTAGTTTTTCTCTGTGCAGACCAACAGTGAGTGCATGATTAAGTTTATTCATTTTAATTTCGATGCTGAAGAACTATTTAACTTTTGTTTCACAGTTTTATAAAATATTCACATGGCTCCAACATCAATTCTAGAGAACAGGAATTATTCAAAGTGGTCCAGCTTCTGTCCCTGTGCCCTTTCCCCTATAGCCTCCATCCTTTTATAGGTAACCATTTACACTTTTTATGGTTTACAGCTTTTTGTTACTACATACGTTTTTCTCCATCTTCTTTCATTTTTAACTTAATATATCATGAAGCTCAACTCCATAGTAGTATTTATAAATATGTTGATTACTGTAGCTTTGTGGTAAGTTTTGAAATCAGGATGTATTAAGTCTTCTGACTATTCTTTAAGATTATTTTGGGTCAGGCGTGGTGGCTCACACCTGGAATCCCAGCACTTTGGGAGCTGAGCCAGGTGGATCACCTGAGGTGAGGAGTTCAAGACCAGCCTGGCCAACATGGCAAAATCCCATCTTTACTAAAAATACAAAAATTAGCTGGGCATGGTGGTGCACACCTGTAATCCTAGCTACTTGGGAGGCTGAGGCAAGAGAATCGCTTGAACCCAGGAGGCAGAGGCTGCAGTGAGCTGAGATCGCACCACTGCACTCCAGCCTGGGCAACAGGGCAAGACTGTCTCAAAAAAAATATATATATATACACACATATATATATATATATATATATATATATATATATATATACACACACATATATATATACACACACATATATATATACGTATATATATACGTATATATATACGTATATATATGCATATATATACGTATATATATACATATATATACGTATATATATATACATATATATACGTATATATATATACATATATATATATATATTTTGCTTGTCTGGATCTTTAGCATTTCCATATGAATTTATGTATCAGCTTGTCAATTTCTGAAGTAAAACCAGCAAGGATTTTGATAGGGATTACTGCTGATTCATTTTGGTTCTTTTGTATTTAATAAGTTGTTTTTCTCTTGCTGTTTCCAGTATTTTCTCTTTGGCTTGTAACAGTTTGACTATGATGTGTTGAAGTGTGAATGTCTTTCAGTTTATACCACTTGGCATTCATTGAGCAGCTTGGATGTATAGGTTTTTTTTTTTTTCTTTTTTTGAGATGGAGTCTTGCCCTGTGGCCCAGACTGGAGTGCAGTGGCATGATCTCGGCTCATTGCAACCTCCGCCTCCTGGATTCAAGTGATTCTTGTGCCTCAGCCTCCTGAGTAGCTGGGATTATGGGCACCCACCACCACTCCTGGCTAACTTTTTGTATTTTTAGTAGAGACGGGGTTTCTCCATGTTGGCCAGGCTGGTCTTGAACTCCTGACCCGAACTGATCTGCCCACCTCAGCCTCCCAAAGTGCTGGGACTACAGGCATGAGCCACTGCACCCGGCTTGGATGTATAATGTTTTTCTATTTGGGAAGTTTCAGCTGTTACTTCTTTGAATAATTTTCTGCTCCTCTCCCTTCCTTCTGGTCCTACCATACATGCATATATATGTTGGTGTGTTTAACGGTATCCCATAAGTTTGAGGCTGTTTTTTCTTTTTTAAAATAGTTCATAGATTATCAAAAGTTCTTTTTGTATGGCATTGAGATTTATTTATATATTTAACTGCATGCATATCTTTAGCTTTCACATAAATTTTGCTTCATACAGGCTATTGGTATAAGCATTTCCTCTTTTAAGAGTTTGATTCTTTAAAAAAAATACCAAATCCAAAATTCAGAAATGGTAGTCCGGCGCTACAAGGAAGCACACTGAAAATAACAAGCTGATGATACATTATCACATTGTACAATAGTATTTTATATTTTCTTACACACTTTCCAGTAAGTTTTTTCACATCCTGAAATGTCACGGTGTCATTTTTGAAAGGAGAGCTGTGGAGAGATTCTGATATGACTCAGAGTTGTGAAGGCACCTGGTGGAGCTCCTTCATTAATTTCTCTAACCGTTCAGGGCACTGAAGTCTGTGGGGACAGTAAGTTCACATTTACTGTTTGTGTTAAGTGAATCCCCAACCTACTTTGATTTGCACTAAAACGCCTCTACCCTCAAAGTACCGCGTCATTAAGGTTATATGATAACAAATTAGGAAAAACAAATTAAGCATCACTTGCTTGGCAACATTAACTGGCCCACCACACTCCCACCACAGATTTTAGAAGTGTACATTAGCAAAAGATGCTTCTCTATGCATTATGGCAGAAGTCTATTAAAGAATATTTAATTTATTGACTAATATTTCTAATAAGCACATTCAGAGGATACTCTTTCTACATTTTATATACTGGCTGTCTGCCATTAACAGCAGTAAAAATAAGGAAAAATAAAAAAATCTCAATCTCAAATGATTTAACAGCTTAGTTCTGTATTTGCTTGACAGTGTATGCAGTTATAGTACACACTATCAAATATATCTTCCATATCTATTTAGAAAACTTATTCTGATATTAGAACCATGTGAAGAAAGTCTTCTCCATTATTTTAGTGAGTCTGTTAAAATGGTCCACTAAGAACCATCTTCAAAATTTCAGGTGCTTCAAAAGTTAAGAGAAACAATTAACTTCATTACTCTAATACAAAACAAAAACAAAAACAAAAACTGACAACTTTAAATTAGTATTAAGCTACCAAAAATTGATACCACTCAGGAAAGATTTTTTCCCCCCCGAATGATAATTTTATTTATTTTTTTGAGACAGAGTCTCTGTCTGTCACCCAGGCTGGAGTGCAGTGATGCAATATCGGCTCACTGCAATCTCCGCCTCCCAGGTTCAAGCAATTCTCATGCCTCAGCTTCCCAAGTAGCTGGGATTACAGGCATGTGCCACCATGCCCAGCTAATTTTTGTATTTTTAGTACAGATGGGGTTTTACCATGTTAGGCTGGTCTTGAACTCCTGGCATCAAATGATCTGCCTGCCTTGGCCTCCCAAGGTGCTGGGATTATAGGCGTGAGCCACCGCGTGGCACTGAATGATAATATTTAGCTAAAATTTTAGTGAAAGAAAAGGCAATTCTGAGAGCAATCTGGGTAGAGAGGGGTTTCTCAGGCGTAGGTACTAATTCCCATGCAGGACTGCCTTCAGATGCAGCTCCCGTGTCTCCACAGTCCTCAAGGCCTGGTTTTGGTGGTTCTGTAGTAAAGGCTTCACACATGTGTAATATGTATAGGTAGCATCACTACAAAATGGAGTGCAAGTTCAAATCAGAGTTTTAAGGTCAGGAAAAGTAAGTATCATTTAAATGAATCACCAGAGACACTTTTAGAAGTTCTTAAGTTCCTTTAGAAATCTCCCTTTCAAGGATGTGCCAATTTTTATTTTGGCAAATCATGGATAAAAACTAAATGTATTAATAGTTATGATGATTGTGGTGCTATTTTTTAAACATTACTAACTTTATAGCAATACTCACATTTACCTATTTACCTAGCACACTTTTTTTTTTTTTTGAGATGGAGTCTTGGTCTGTTGCCCAGGCTGGAGTGCAGTGGCGTGATCTCGGCTCACTGCCACCTCCACCTCCCGGGTTCAAGCAATTCTCCTGCCTCAGCCTCCCAAGTAGCTGGAATTACAGGCGTGCACTACCACGCCCAGCTAATTTTTGTATTTTTAGTAGAGACGGGGTTTCACCATGATGGCCAGTCTGGTCTCAAACTCCTAACCCCAAGAGATCCGCTCACTTCAGCCTCCCAAAGTGCTGGGATTACAGGCGTGAGCCACAGCGCCTGGCCACATTTCAACAGTGTTTTATTTTCAGTAACTGACCTACTGCAGTCTATTTTCAGACTTTTAGTTTATATATGATATTTTATTATGCTGATATGAATGTGAAATTTTAAAAATTAAAACAAGCAATTAGTAAGGGTTTCTTATTTATGTTAAATATTA
This sequence comes from Homo sapiens, assembly GCF_000001405.40. Classification (NCBI taxonomy): domain Eukaryota; kingdom Metazoa; phylum Chordata; class Mammalia; order Primates; family Hominidae; genus Homo; species Homo sapiens. The sequence continues at coordinate 18,471,144 of NC_000011.10, forward strand.
ATTTATCTTACCTAAGTGCATAATTTTGTCCATGTAGTGGTAGAATTGTAAAACTAAACTTTAGAAGTTTTTTTTTTTTTTTTTGAGAGAGGGTTTTGCTCTGTTGCTCAGGCTGGAGTGCAGTGGCGCAAACTTGGCTCACTGCAACCTCCGCCTCCTGGGTTCAAGTGATTCTCGTGCCTCAGCTTCCCAAGTAGCTGGGATTGCAGGCGCACACCATCATGCCCAGTTAATTCTTGTATTTTCAGTAGAGCTGGAGTTTTGCCATGTTGCCCAGGCTGGTCTTGAACTCCTGGCCTCAAGTGATCTACCCACCTTGACCTCCCGAAGTGCTGGGATTACAGACGTGAACCGCCACGCCTGCATACAGATCTTATTTCAGTTACAAAAACACACTGTTGACATTATTTTAATATAGCATTTTAGTTTATTACTGTGGAAATGTGGAGCACAAGACATGACAAATACTAGGTATTAATTTCAAAACTGTTCAGAATGAGGCTGGGCGTGGTGGTTCACACCTGTAATCCCAGAACTTTGGGAGGCTGAGGCGGGAGGATTGCTTGAGCCCAGGAGTTCAAGACCAGCCTGGGCAAAATGGTGAAACCCTGTCTCTATTAAAAAAAAAAAAAAAAAAAATTTTTTCCAAAAGAACAAAAATCTACCCAGAATGGCTTATGAAGGTTTGTAATTGTTGATTTAAGAGTATTTAGGATTTTTTTTTTTTTTTTACAAATTAAAAAGTTCCAGTAACTATTTACATGAACTAAATGACCAAATGGAAGTGGAAAATGGAAAATTTAGAGGGCAGTACGGTAAGGGAGGGGATGTAAAATAATACAGGAAGATAACCTAAACAATTGAAGATCAAAGATTTAGGAAAAGTTTAACCTTTTCTTCAAATCTATAGTCATTTACCTAGAAAATGCGGTTGGGTACCCTGGGACACAGCTGAGTTACTTGCTCTGTTTTCAGTTTACCAATTAAAACAGGTCACATTCTCTGTTCCAGACCCAGGGCCTGGCAGAGGTCCCCCAATCCCCTTGAGTTTCAGTGGCAGTTGACGAACCTCTTAAGGCCCAGGATGACTAACCGAGGTTCTTCACTTGACAGCTTTATGTATGAGGAAACTTAAAGACATTTCTACCATACTTCTCTCCATCTCAGGTATTAGAATGAATGCTTACCATTTAAAATAGTGGTATGATCAGACTGTTTCAGTATCACTTTTTACCATCAATGGATATTAAACAGGGAACAGAAGCTCTAACTTTTACATTAATGGAAATATTACCTGTTTAGAAAACACTGTTTCAGAGGACAAAAGATGTCATCTTCATATCTTTTTAAAGTGTCTAATTTCTACTATTTGAGTACTTAAATCTGCCATAAAAAATATGGATTTACAAAAAAGACAAATTAGAAATTATGTCCTTCACAGAGATCCACTACAGGATTCTGAATCTTAAATTGTCTTCATATGTTTAGGATAGAATTTGATGCATTTATTATTTTTAAAGTATGAGTTATTACATAAAGCTAAGTTAAAAGTTCAACCAAATGGAAAAGGTACCAACAAATGCCTAAAATACTATTCTAATCATCTAAAACAAGAACAAATAGATTTTTCAAATAAGAGTTGAATCAATATTTATTTTAGACACTTCATTTACTTGAAAGCTGCTACTTTATTACTTAAAGACTGAGCCTGTAAGAAAATAAAAGAGGTTTAATTCAAATAATATGAAAGTGAACTCTTTACCTTACCTGTTTTTCCCCAAATAATTTTGACTTCATTAATGGAAATTTATGTGAATGGCTCTAAAAACCACCTATTTTGAAACTGCAGAAATAGCAGGACAATCACTTTGTAGAATGATTTGTGAAATATTGTCCTACTACACTTAAAAAAAAAACCCAACACATTTCCTCACTTACGAGTATTTTCTTATTTTTGATATTGCAAATTCTATACATAGAACACCTCTTCATTGTCCTGCTGAAACCCTCAGAATGTAGAGGTGGTTCAAAAGTAATTTATACCATTTTTACCCAGGCTTTGTAAACATGTATCAAAGAGATAGCAAGGTATTCAGTTTTAGTAAACAAAATAATTGCTCCTATAGTAGCTCCTCAAAGTCCCAGGCAAGTAGGCATTAGCAGTTTTCTATTAGATAATTCTACCATCTCCAAATAAGGACTTTGGTCTGTTTATAAAAACTAATTGATAGATGAAGGTAGGTAGGTAGACAGACAGACAGACAGACAGACAGATAGATACAGGCTTTTGCTTTGTTACCTATGCTGAAGTGCAGTGGCACAACCATAGCTCATTGTAACCTTGAACCCCTGGGCTCAAGTGATCCTGTCTCAGCCTCCCAAGTATCTGGGACTAAAGGTGCATGCCACCACACTTGACTACTTTTTACATTTTGTAGAGACGCGGTCTTGTTATGTTGCCCAGGCTGGTCTCAAACTCCAAGTCTCAAGTGATCCTCCCACCTCAGCCTCCCTGTAAGAATTGGGATTACAGGTGTGAGCCACCGTGTCTGGCCTTGGTTTATTCTTGGTAGTTTTTTTCTCCCTTGTCCTATTGCATAACCTAGAAGACTCTCCAGTATAATGTTAAACAGAAACAGTGATAGTGGGTATCCTTGTCTTGTTTCTGACTTTAATGAAAAGGCTTCTAAGTTTTCTTCATAATGTATGTTTGCTTTGGATTTTGATAGATACCTTTTTAAGATAAAAAGCAGTTTCCTTCTGTTCCTAGATTTAGTTTTATTTTTTAATCCCTGAATGAGTTTTCCTACAGTTAAAATGATCATATCTATCTTTTTCTTTAAATCTCATCTGATGTAATATGTTGACAGATTTTTTGATATTGAACCACCTTTGCATTTCTGGGGTGAAGCTTCTTCTTAAAGTATTTTTCTTTCTCATTTTCTTTTCTTTTTGAGACGGAGTCTTGCTCTGTCGCCCAGGCTGGAGTGCAATGGTGTGATCTCGGCTCACTGCAACCTTCACCTCCCGGGTTCAAGCAATTTTCTGCCTCAGCCTCCCAAGTAGCTGGGATTACAGGTGTCCACCACCACGCCTGGCTAATTTTTTTATTTTTAGTAGAGATGGGGTTTCACCATGTTGACCAGGCTGGTCTTAAACTCCTGACCTCGTGATCCACCCGCCTCGGCCTCCCAAAATGCTGGGATTACAGGCGTGAGTCACCACGCCTGGTGATGACGTATGTTTCTTTTCTTTTCTTTTTTTGAGACGGAGTCTTGCTGTTGCTAGGCTGGAGTGCAGTGGCACGATCTCGGCTCACTGCAACCTCCACCTCCCGGGTTCAAGCAATTCTCCTGCCTCAGTCTCCCAAATAGCTGGGACTACAGGCGCGCACCACCATGCCTGGCTAATTTTTTTATTTTTAATAGAGACGGGGTTTCAGCATGTTGGCCAGGATGGTGTCAATCTCTTGACCTCAGGTAATCCACTGGCTTCGGCCTCCCAAAGTAATGGGATTACAGGCGTGAGCCACTGCACCTGGCCTCTGATGCTGTTTTAAAAAAATATATTTTTTAGGCTGGGCATGGTCACTCATCTGTAATCCCAGCACTTTGAGAGGCTGGGGCAGGAGGATTGCTTGAGGCCAGGAGTTAGATCAGCCTGGGCAGCACAGCAAGACCCTGTCTCTATTAAAAAAATAATTTTTTCCTACTATTCAATGCTCTTTGCTTCCTTCTATTTTATGGTTAAAATAACACTTGTCATTGATTTTTTAAAAATCTTTGTTTTAAAAATGCATTAAAGAATATAAACTAGGCCAGGCACGGTGGCTCACGCCTGTAGTCCGAACACTTTGGGAGGCCAAGGTAGGTGAATCACCTGAGGTCAGGAGTTTGAGACCAGCCTGGCCAACATAGTGAAACCCCACCTCTACTAAAGATTACAGATGTGAGCCACTGCGCTCATCCCTCTCTTCCCCTCTTAACTATGCTTTTTGTTGAAAATGGGTTATTCTCTAAGCAAAATTATTTGAAAGACTTGATAAGAGAGTATTTGTTTATTCATATTTCTCAGAATTTTCTGTGGAGTGAACATTCTGTGTTTCTGCATACCAAGCTGTGCAAAGTATCAACGAAAAGGTTTTTCATTACTTCTATTTGGTAGATATTCTTAAGAGTTGGCGTATAGCTGGGGTTGGATAGAGAACCATGTTTCTTGCCTCCTCCACAAAACATCAGATTTACTAGTTTTAAGTTAGGTAAATCTAAAAAACATATCCTTGTAGATGAGGACATTTCTTGATATGAACTTTTTCTTCTTAGTGGATATCTTAACTTATGTAGCCTGGAAGTTGAGTGGATTTCCCAAAAACCGTGTTATTGGAAGTGGTTGTAATCTGGACTCTGCTCGTTTTCGTTACTTTATTGGGCAAAGGCTTGGCATCCACTCTGAAAGCTGTCATGGGCTGATCCTTGGAGAGCATGGCGACTCAAGTGGTAAGCCTGAGGCACGATTGAGCCTCTGAAATATCTATTTCCTATCAATCATACAGACATTTAATGTAAAGTAGCTCCTGGGAGGGGAGAAAAGACTTTATTCCACTTTAGGCCCTTTTAGTAGCGTTTAATTTTTACCACACTTATTTTTAAAATAACCAACAAAAAATACAGATTTGAAAAATGTGAGATTGATACTATAATCCTACATATGGATGGCTAGGATTATAACGCTTTTCTTAAATAGAGAACTAAGTAACATGATATAGTTTGTATTTAATTTGGGACACTCTAGTTCAGAAAGGTCAGCAGTGTACTTCATGTAGTAGGCAGTCTTCAGATTAAGGGATGGGTATAACTGAAGATATAAGAAGGAAGAGAAAGAGTGCTGTGGTAATAGCAGTCTTTTTGTCCCCCCTTAGTGTCTTCTGGCTAAAAACCTTTGAAATCTATTTAATGTAAACCTTGGCTATGGAAAAAGACTTAAAGGGAGAAAAACTAGAACTTCCTAGTGGAAAGTTTAAAACTGCAATTTTCTTATTTGGAGAATCTTTGCCAAGATAATAGAATTGTGGATCCCCATCTGTGGAGATCTAGATTTAGAATATCTGGAGTGGGGCTCAGATATCGGAACATTCCTAGTTGGAAATCACTCAGGGCAATTATAACAGTTTTGCTGAGGTCAAAAACCAAAACCCTGCTAATACCATGTAAGAAGTGGGATTTTGGGTGTCTCTTTCTTAGTTCCTGTGTGGAGTGGTGTGAACATTGCTGGCGTCCCTCTGAAGGATCTGAACCCAGATATAGGAACTGATAAAGATCCTGAGCAGTGGGAAAATGTCCACAAAAAAGTGATTTCCAGGTAATATGCTAGTTTCACATTTTCAGTACCTTAGAAGTTGTGAGCCTGAACTCTGTTAGAAGGTTGAGATTAGTCCCTTAAATATATGTTGTTGTATTTCCCATATTTTTATTTGCACTTCTGCTTTTCTGTGTGATCATATTCACCAGATTATAAATTCTTCAACAGTCAGGAACTGATTCTGTGTTGCTTATTCCTGAGCCTAACCCAGTATTGAGCACATGGTAGGGGCTCACTTGTTGACTGACAATGTATTTTTTCAAACACTTGCTATATAGTGTTTATTGTAGTGGTGGAATTGATTCCATATTAATTTCTGCATCTCTGTACTTGTAACTCAAATGTTTAACCACTGTGGCAGGGCATGGTGGCTCATGCCTATAATCCCAGCACTTTGGGAAGCTGAGGTGGTAGGATCACTTGAGCCCAGGAGTATGACACCAGCCTGGGCAACATAGGGAGACCCCATCTCTGCTGAGGTGTGGGAGGATCACTTGAGCCCAGGAGTATGAGACCAGCCTGGGCAACATAGGGAGACCCTATCTCTACAAAAAAAATAAAAAATTAGCTGAGCATATGGTGGCTTGCTTGAGCCCAGGAGGTCGAGGTGAGCTCTGATGATGCCAATGCACTCCAGCTGAGACCCTCTCTCAAAAATGCATATATATGGCCGGGCGTGGTGGCTCATGCCTCATGCCTCTAATCTCAGCACTTTGGGAGACCAGGGTAGGTGGATCACTTGAGATCAGGAGTATGAGACCAGCCTGGCCAACGTGGTGAAAACCCGTCTCTACTAAAAATACAAAAATTAGCCACGCATGGTGGCGCATGCTTGTAATCCCAGCTACTCAGGAGGCTGAGGAGGGAAGATTGCTTAAACCTGGGAGGTGGAGGTTGTAGTGAGCCGAGATCACACTACTGCCCTCCAGCCTGGGTGACAGAGCAAGACTTAAAAAAAAAAAAGAAGAAAGAAAAAATGCATACATACTACAAGTAATTTCTAGAAGTTGTTGATGGAGTCACTGCAGTTTTGTGGCATTGTTAGATACATTGCTACAAAGTGGAAGTTCAATGACAAGTGCATCTTAACTTATGTTTATGGTTTCTTCTATCTACAGTGGCTATGAGATGGTCAAAATGAAAGGTTATACTTCTTGGGGCATTAGCCTATCTGTAGCTGATTTAACAGAAAGTATTTTGAAGAATCTTAGGAGAGTGCATCCAGTTTCTACCCTAAGTAAGGTAGGACATTCATGTTCGAAAAATCATTAACTCAACATAAAATAGGGGGGTAAAGAACATTTTTGAGGCACTCTGGTTTTGGGTTTGATCTCGTGGGAAGCACCTCTCTTCCTGAAGTCTGTTCTTTGCTGCTGAAGAGTGGGGAGATTGGGGAAAGAGCCTATCTTTGTAGACCTTTGTCCTGGTCTAGTGTGACATTTCTTTTTATTAGATAAAAGTAAGTGTTTTGGCATCTTTATTATTTAACTAAGTGAACTGATTCTACCAGTATCTAGAAACATTGGGAACCACTATGGGCAGACCTTGGTACCTTTGGAGTTGTTCTCTTACAGTTTCAGTTATGTCCAATGATGAGATCTAAGAAAGCAGCACTAGACACAAAATAATTAGCAGTTAGTCTCCTGGGGAAAGGGGAGTTGGGGCATGGGTGAGATCCCTCTGCTAGTCTAAATGGGAGAGGTTATACAACAAGACAGATCTAGATCACTGCAAACAAAGTCATAGGAATTTTGAAGTGGTCTCCTGATAGGAAGTGGTATGGAGTAAGGAGATGAGGAAAGAAGGGTGAGCCCCAGCAAACATGGCAGGAGGCTGGGGCCTATATGGAGAGATGGTGGGTTGAAACTGAACAATAAATATGTCTAATCATGTTTTAAATTGTTTTCTGTCGGCCGGGCGTGGTGGTGTGTGCCTGTAGTCCCAGCTACTTGGGAGGCTGAGGTGGGAGAATGGCGTGAACCCGGGAGGCGGAGCTTGCAGTGAGCCGAGATCGTGCCACTGCACTCCAGCCTGGACGACAGAGCAAGAGTCCGTCTCAAAAAAAAAAGAAAAAAGTTCTCTGCCTTGGTACTCTGCCATAGTTCGTACTATACCAATCTGTTATTCATTCACCTCCCAACTGTTGTTTCTCATATTGCAGAACTTTGTTAAAAAAGGAATAATTTTTAAGTCTTTACTTTCAGGGCCTCTATGGAATAAATGAAGACATATTCCTTAGTGTCCCATGTATCCTGGGAGAGAATGGTATCACAGACCTCATAAAAGTAAAACTGACTCTTGAAGAGGAGGCCTGCTTGCAAAAGAGTGCAGAAACACTTTGGGAAATTCAGAAGGAGCTCAAGCTTTAAAGTTGCTTAAAGCTAATTCTGTAGATTGAAGATGAAATAGTAGTTATGGAATTGTATATGTCAAACTTTTGAATAAATTTGAATTTCTAAAAGTTGGAAAAATAGAGGAAAGAGTGACCTATTTAGTATAGCCTTCCAGCTTTTTTTTTTTTCTTTTTTGGGAGGGTCTCATTCTGTCACCCAGGCTGGAGTGCAGTGGCACAATCATGGCTCACTGCAACCTTGACCTCCCGAGCTCAGGTGAGCCTCCCACTTCAGCCTCCAGAGTAGGTGGGACCACATGCGTGTGCCTCCATGCCTGCCTAATTTTTGTATCTTTTTGTAGAGATGGGGTTTTGCCATGTCATCCAAGCTGGTTTTGAACTCCCAAAGTGCTGAGATTACAGGGGTGAGCCACTGTGCCTGGCCTTAGCTTTGATTTAGTATCCAGATGATAGATGACACTTTTTTTTTTTTTTTTTTAAAGTGACGGCATCAAAGATGTTTTTGGTACTTCTCAGTACTTGCCTTGTATGTATACGTAATTGCCATCTGGTCCACAAGAATGTGTTTACTGTGTTACACAAATCCTGATTCTTTTCATCAGGTGCATAGTAATTCTTCTCTATGGCTTAATACCTATGTTCATTTACATGCTATCTCTACAATGTAAAAATAAAAGTGTATATATATACACACACACACAGAGAGTAATCTAAATGTTCCTAACACTAGATAAAACATTGATTTGACCTTGCTGTTTTTTATTCTTTGAGTGCATTTTAATTTTTACAGAAAAGGCCTTAAGCTGTAAACCGCTTGGTGACAACAGATTAAATTGGTCATTCTTCTCTTGGGAGTAGAGTGGGCTGCCTAATTATCTTAATAACATCCCAAATTGGAATATACTTTTCTTTGTAGCCTTGTAGCCTCATGAGCTTTCTAGCACTCTCATTTTGATCAAGAACATTCTATTCTGGATGAGCTCTGCAGGACATACAGCAGCTATATAGTTCATTGGGTGGTCACAAACTTGGCTACAGAATCACTCACCATGAAGACGAAACTTTAAATGACAATAAAAGCAGGGAGGCAATGGTACACTATCTTTCCCTTTAATCCTAAAGTTATCAGGTATATAGTTTGGACCTGCCACTCTGCTCCTTTTTGATGAAAACACTTATGGTTCAGTGAGGCCTAGAAAGGAAACAAATTTAGTAGGGTTGGTAGGAGAGCATCTCCTTGGACCTTTCACAGATAAGTTACTCAAATGCTTCAATTTCAAATATTTCAAAATTTAGATTTCTATTTGGTATATCCCCATGTTAATTCACTTTATATGCTGTAGAATAATACTAAATTTCAACTTAAGATGGATTTTATGCCTTTTTTGCTAAATGAGAAGTTGGGCTTACTAAGGTTTCATGGATCTTTCCTAAAGTCCAATAAAGGAGAGAAAAATTATGCAACAAATTTTATTTAGCAGTCCCAACATTCAGCACAAAAAGTTTACAGAGGATAGAAAGTGCATTAATAAAAGCCAGTCTTTACCAAAAGAAAACAGAAAATATATTATTGATTCAAAATATTTTACACTTGAATGATAAACTGCAATAACTTATTCTGGGCACCTACTGATAAAAGGAAGAGAAGAATACTTTAAGAAGAGCTCAACCTCCAGCTGGTATCAGAGAAGTCAGTAGAGGTCACTGAGACCGGCAGTCTTTCTTGCTTTTTGCATTAGTGCCCTCAGCTGGAACTGTTTACGGGACAGAAGACGTACATGCTGGGAGGGGAGAAAAGTTTGAATAGTTTAGAATGGCTTTGATTTAGGCCCAGGCATAAAATAGACAATTTGTAACCTAGATGGGATCTAAGAACCCTAACTCATGACCTGCCAACCTTTGGAATGAATACCTCATTATATGTGGCTTTTAAGCTGCATATTATAAAGGCTTACTCAACAGGGAAAGCATTACATTGCAGGATCTGGCTCAGGAGTTTGACCTACACTTTCTTTTCCTAAGCCATGCCACTCAAGCAAGAGATTGTACAGAAAAAGAGTCCTCTCTTGGGTCTCTGGTTTATATCCAGCCATTCATGTGGTTGTACCACTTCTGAGGCACATGGTTTGGCCATTCCCCCACAGTGAGAGGAGATAGGCAAGATCAGCACATGACCTGACCAGGCTCCAGCTACAGCTGGATCAGATATCCCAAGGGTGGCTGCTATTATCCCTAAAACCATGTTCTCCATGACCCAAGAGACAGCAGTAGCCAAACTTCGCTTACTAGATTTTCCTCTGTACAACAGCATTAAGCTTGAGACAACTTTCATACAAGAGGGCTTGAAAGGGCAGCCTGATACTTTGATGTGGGAAAACTGGTCTAAAGTTATATAACTCTAAGAAAATTAACAGATAAAAAATGGAGGTGGCACAATCAGTGATCTCAATTTAGGTGGTATGACCTCAAAGAACCAATGGAAATCTGATCGTACCTCCTGATCCACCCAGGCACAGAAGAGTTACACTCATCTTAATGCTGCCTGTGGGCAGAGAACTGCAGCCACCAGCCCACTTCTCTTCCCCTGCTCAGACCAATCCTCAGTACTCTGTAGGTAAAAAGATGGTGCAAAACCCTACATCTCATTTAGTGTTTTTTGGGAAGATAAAGAATCTTAATCCATACTACAAAGAAACTCTCTTGGTTTGTGGTTTGCAAGGTCAGTGCCTCTACAACCCAAGTTAAAAAATCTTGGAACGTAAAATGAAGAAATACCTTCAGGAAGACATCCAGGTCTATCACGCCCCTTCTCAAGGCTTCTCCCAAGTAAAAGATAGTGTCTTCAATAGCGTTTTCTTCTGCATACAGATTCAGGATCTGTTTGTATAAGGGAGCTGTGGGAATGATAACTTCATCGATATCATTGTTTTCAGACTGATTTTCCATTTTTTCCAGAGCAGAACTGAGTTCTTCATCCTTCTTTTTCAAAAGTTCTATGTTTTTATCAACCTCGGCCTGAAAACAGAACAGTCCAAGCATTAATAACTGTACATAATTATCCACTTGTCAGACACCTACAACACTTCACAGGAAAAGACAGGCTAACAACCATGTTTAAACAACTCATGGATGAGAATAATGTTTCAAATAACACCCTGGTCAAAGGTAGAGGAAAAGATGTGATCTACTATGCTGAGTGAAATAGAGTAATGATGGAGATATCCTGAGGTGACAGCACTTTCAGTGACAGTAACAAGCTTGTCACCTGTCAGCGACAAATGATACTGCAAACTAAGCCATCAGACAAGATACTTTCCAGCAGAAGGTTCCTTTACATAGAAAATCATAAGAGGTTTTTCTTCCCAACAAATGGGCACCTGCCATAGGAGAGTAACTTTCCTCAGTCTATGAAGAGGATTCAATGCATAGAGGCCCAAATGTCTGCATTCTAATCACAAAGTATCACACGCAGGTGCTGGTTGTAGGCTCTGAGTTGTATTGGTGTCACTTTCCTGAATTCTAAAAATTGGCTACTTCGAGGCTCATTTTACAATCTAGAACCACTTTGTAAGGCTAATGGGTACATACAAATCACTTTCCACAAAGCCCTCAACCTTCTAAGAATTCTTTACTATTCCATCAAAAACACACATTTACTGGAATAAATTCTCCCTCATGGGGATGAAAATGGAGCGTGAAATTGGCACTTCAATTATGCTGATGCTTCCACTTTATCATCATTAAGCAAAGCCATAGGGCTGACTTACACACGGACTGTCCAAGGCATAGCTGTCTGTTATGAGAAAGCTTAAAGAGCTGAAGGTTGCATATGCTATGTTTATATGTAGCTCTTTAGCCAACCAAGTATCTCTGGATTATTGAGAAAGTTCCCTGAACATACTTTTAAAAAATGGCTCACACAACCTTTGGAAACAATAAAATAGTACTGTCCTTTTAAGTCTGCTCCTAAGATGTGCAGATCTTTATCATGGCTTAGAACTCTCTAAACTTATTTCCTAGTAACTGGCAACATCAAGCACTCAAACAGTCCTCCTTTGGGTTAAAACATCCTTTGCCTAAAACATTTCCTAGGGCAAAGGTGTGATAAGGTTTGGCTGTGTCCCCACCCAAATCTCAACTTGAATTGTATCTCACAGAAAGGGACCTGTGTGCGTGTGTGTGTGTGTGTAGCAGGGGGTGGGGAGGGATGGCACGCAGGGGTGGTAATTGAATCATGGGAGCCGGTCTTTCTATTCTCGTGATAGTAAGTCTCACAAGATCTGATGGGTTTATCAGGGGTTCCAGCTTTTGCTTCCTCCTCATTTCCTCTTGCCACCACCATGTAAGAAGTGCCTTTTGGCTGGGCACAGTGGCTCACTCCTGTAATCCCAACACTTTGGGAGGCCAAGGTGGGTGGATCACCTGAGATCAGGAGTTCGGGACGAGCCTGGCCAACATGGTGATACCCCGTCTCTACTAAAAAATACAAAAATTAGCCAAGCATGGTGGCAGGCACCTGTAATCCCAGCTACTCAGGAGGCTGAGTCAGGAGAATCGCTTGAACCTGGAGGGTGGAGGTTGCAGTGAGCCAAGATTGCACCACTTCACTCCAGCCTGAGCGCAAGAGTGAAACTCTCAAAAAAAAAAAAAAAAAAAAGGAGTGCCTTTTGCCTCCCACCATGATTCTGAGGTCTCCCCAGCCATGTGGAACTGTAAGTCCAATTAAACCTCTTTTTCTCTCAAGTCTCGGATATGTCTTTATCAGCAGTGTGAAAACGAACTAATACAAGGTGCAAACAAAATGGTCTAAATATTATACCCCTCCCAATCTAAGACCAAATGCCAAACATAGGCTCCACTGTAAACAAAGGTATAAAAAATTACATTCAAATGTTTAAAGATGCCTATAATTTTCTGAACTCCTACTATGCCCACAACATCCAGGGAACATATAGAACACTCTGCCATGGCTACAATTCAATCCAAAAATTTTAAGTCTTTAATGAGTCACTTACTACTTCTTGATCTAAACGGGTAACCATCTCTTCCAGTTTCTGGTGACCCTTTTTCAGGTCTTCTTCTGTTCGTTTCAAGGCATTGAGCTCTGCCTGGGCACGATCCATTTCCTCCTTCATCCGCCATCTCAGTTTGTCACTGACCGCAGAGATGAGAGAGGCTCGGATGGTGTCCTCGCTGATTGTGCCATCCCTACTGGGACCTGCAGGAAACAGAGGCAAAAAACACTTGCTTACTTCCCAAGTTCCTTCTATTTGTCTCACAGGAACCTTCAGAAAAGGGGGCAATATGAACCGACACTTTCAAAATGTGAGGAAAGAAAAAAATTATGTTACCAGTTTCATGAGAAATAATGTAAAAATCTGAGTTGATTCAGAAATACTTGCCCTACAAGAGATTACTATTAATCCATGTTAAACCCAGTTTCCCTATTCATAGCCCAAACAATTAGCTACAATTAGTTATTTTCTCAATGAGACAGAGGCTATGTCCCTACCAATTACAATTATTCCTAAATAACCAACAAATGGCACAATAATTTCCACTAAGGAAAAACATTTGGTGCAGGCCAAGTCCAACATCAGGCTTCGCTGCTAAGCTGAAGGAGACAAGTGCCCACTGTAGAGGCCAGTGAGAGGACTGAGAATGGGCAGTTTCCCTAAACGAATGTACAGGTTAATAAGGCTTCCCTCTGTAAGACTTTTACTACTTCACCCTTTACCAACAGGACAGAACAGATGAACAAAAAAGAATGACATCCAAAAAATTCAACAGCTGATAAACTGTTTATTCCCAGATTCTTTACTATTCTCTTCCAAATGTCCCTTCCTAATCAGTATATTATATCATTTCCATGCATATTTCAGATCAAATAAACATCCTCTGGATATTTTCTTCAAAAAGGTCCCCTTTCTAATATAAGTTTGGGTATTCTTTATGACTATCAGTGTTCTTCAGTTATTGTCCCAAATCAGCAAATGTGTAAATGGCATTTTGACTTTTAATTATGTTTGATTATAAAATACTACGTGAGGACGTTAAGTATATTTAACCTTAATTGCCGCCTTTTTTTTTTTTTTTTTTTTTGAGATGGAGTCTCACTCTGTCACCCAGGCTGGAGTGCAGTCGCATGATCTCGGCTCACTGCAACCTCTGCCTCCTGAGTTCAAGCGATTCTCCTGCCTCAGCCTCCCGAGTAGCTGGGAAGCAAACTTCCTGAAGGGCCTTGTGAATTACCTGGGTCTTCTAATTACCTGTTAGATGATCCTGCTTTTTACCAAAACCATCAACAAACTCTGTCAACAAACTCTAAGCCATTCTAAACTAACAAAAAAGTTTAATGCTCTCGAACATCAGATCCCATCTTCTCTCTACCATTAAATTATGGTGAAACCTAATCTTTGCCAATGATCTTTCCTCCATTAACCATAATTCCCAAAACGTCAGCACAACAACTAGAATCTGCTCTCTCTTAACAGTTATCACTATATTTATTAGTTTAATAACCTATTTTCTGAAGGAAAGGTCTCTATAATCCTTATTATGCAGCCTAAATACTAAATGTTAAGGGTGGCAAACTGTTGCTGAATGATCTCCTGAAATCAACAGAATTGGTTATCTTCTAGGAGTCCTAGAGAAAAGGCCTCAGATGGTTAGAAGTCCTTAGAATGTGCTTTTTTGGAAACTTCCCTTCTCTTGTCTTCTGCTGCAATGTAGAAGAAGGTAATTATTAAAATTGTTTATAAATATATGAGCGCTCTCCAAAATAAATGGTATGGTGGTATTAAACCAAATGAAAGAACTCATCAATATCTCTACCTGAAAATCAGAAAAATGAACTGCTGAAGCTCTACTGCTTTGAAGGCATGTGGTTGGAAACAGTGCTGAAAAGTCATTAATAGAGTAAAATATTTAAAATTATGGATTTCATTAACAGCAACAGGAGGCAGCCAAATGCTGAGGCAGATGGGGTGGGTCCCCGGTGAAACGCCACCTTCAAGCCAAAAACAGCCTGAAGGCTGAAAGATTGGACTGCTGGTCCCGGATGAAACCCCTGACCTAGAGTGAGAACTTCTATTCCTGTTTGCCCACCCTTTCCCATTGATTCTTCCTCAATAATGCCTTTTAACCAATCAAATGTTGCCTTTTCCAATACTACCTATGGCCTGCCCTTCCCCTATTCTGAGCCTGTAAGAAGCCGCAGGACTCAGCCACTTAGAGGGGACTTTCCCACCTTTGGGTAGGGGAACCACCCCTGCATCCCCTCTCCAGTGAAAGCTCTTTCATCAGTCAATAAAACTCCCTGTCTTGCTCACTCTTGATTGTCAGTGCATCCCCATTCTTTGTGGGCACAGGACAAGAACTCGGGAACCAGCGGGTAAGCCAGACTCGGCCCAAGTGGGCCGAATGGGAGGGCTGTCTCTGGCAGCAGGTAGCATGGCTGAGGGAGGCCCAGGCAGGGTGTCGCTCGTCAGAGGTCCCTGGCTTGCAGAGTGACTGAGAAGAAAATCCTGCATCATCAACACTATCACTGCTTCACTTCATTCAAACAATTCTGCCCAACCAGCCACCATAATTCAGGGCTAAGCCCCTTCGGCAGTTAAATTCTTTAAAAATTTCTTATGCAGCCAAAAGACACATGAAAAAATGCTCATCATCACTGGCCATCAGAGAAATGCAAATCAAAACCACAATGAGATACCATCTCACACCAGTTAGAATGGTGATCATTAAAAAGTCAGGAAACAACAGGTGCTGGAGAGGATGTGGAGAAATAGGAACACTTTTACACTGTTGGTGGGACTGTAAACTAGTTCAACCATTGTGGAAGTCAGTGTGGCGATTCCTCAGGGATCTAGAACTAGAAATACCATTTGACCCAGCCATCCCATTACTGGGTATATACCCAAAGGATTATAAATCATGCTGCTATAAAGACACATGCACACATATGTTTATTGCAGCACTGTTCACAATAGCAAAGACTTGGAACCAACCCAAATGTCCAACAATGATAGACTGGATTAAGAAAATGTGGCACATATACACCATGGAATACTATGCAGCCATAAAAAATGATGAGTTCATGTCCTTTGTAGGGACATGGATGAAGCTGGAAACCATCATTCTCAGCAAACTATCACAAGGACAAAAAAACCAAACACTGCATGTTCTCACTCATAGGTGGGAACTGAACAATGAGAACACATGGACACAGGAAGGGGAACATCACACATCGGGACCTGTTGTGGGGTGGGGGGAGGGATAGCATTAGGAGATATACCTAATGTTAAATGACGAGTTAGTAGGTGCAGCACAACAACATGGCACATGTATACATATGTAACTAACCTGCATGTTATGCACATGTACCCTAAAACTTAAAGTATAATAAAAAAAAAAAAGAAAAAAAAATTTCTGTTCCCAAGGGAACATCCAAATTCTTTAACAAAGAATACTACCATAATTACCATAATTCAATCTCCTGGACTTGCTTTGGTTTCCATTTTTGGCAGGGAGGGGAAAACTGATTTATAATTTTGGTCTCTCACAACAAATTCAAAGGATTAGAAAAAATGTAAAATGCAATATAATTTGAGAAAACTTTACTAAAACACCTTAACACAAGGAAGAAAAAACATTAGATCGTTTCTGTAACCATTAAAATTTTTTTTCTAGTAGAGAGGTAGTCTCACTATGTTGCTCAGGCTGGTCTCAAATTCCAGGCTCAAGCTATCCTCCTTCCTCAGCCTCCTGGAGTGCTGGGATTACAGGCATGAGCCACTGTGCCTGGCATCCCACCTATTTGCTATTGCAAAAAACAAAAACAAAAGAAACAAAAAAACCTCAAAGTATAGGAATCTGCTATAATTCCTGGTTTGTAACAGGAGTGGTGGCCCAGCTCATGCTTCAGTGAGCATACATCCTCCTTTTCCATTGCTCCATGTTGCCCATCTCATCTTCAAATTACAGTATTAGGCAGGAAGCTTTTGGTAGATCTTTTTTTTTTGTATTTGGGTATTTTTTGTTTTTAACTGATAAAATTTTTATTTCACTTTTGAAGTTTTACACTTTTCCTGATTATTCTGTGTAAGGTGAAACTGGAACTGTTTAAAAGACATACACAAACCTAGTACATCAGTAACAGGATTTTTCTTTTTTGCTATACTATTTTCACAACCACAGGTGTGCTTGCTAGACAATATAACCATCACAGAAGAAAACATTAGGCAGAATACTGGTTAAGGAAAAACAAAGCAAGAAAAGAGCTACCAGATATACAAACAGGCTTAGCTCCACATTCACTACTGCATTTTCAAGGGCCAACTATTAACTGCACATTTTTGTTCAGTTAGAAAGGAGGGATTTTTGTTTTTTTTCTTTTTTTGGTTTGTTTTAAATCAGTGCATGAGGTTTTCTTTTCTCATTTCAGCAGATGGACAAACAGATGGACTCTACAGCTAGATGGAATGTTAAAGGTAGAGGGGTGATATTGTGAGACTGATAGGCCTATTATCAATTCTCTCCACTGCAGTGTCCACACAACTTCCCTGAATATAGGGTCTCGTTAAAACACATCTGAGAGTTGAGCTGGATAAGTGCACTTGGGAGACCTGGTGAGGGGCACTAAAAAGCATGATCAGGGCCAGCCTCAATACAGGGAGAAGTCAGGGATATTTAAAAATACTTTTTTGATTCAGATCCTGGTATGACTAAAGAGCAACACCGTGTTGAGAACTGGAGGAAGACAGAGCTCTGGTGCTAGAAGTTCTTCTCAAGTCTTTAAAGCCAGGCTTGCTCACCAAGTTGCTCACTAATGTCTCTCACCCCTGCCCATATACAGCATTAAAAAGTGAACAAAAGACAGGTAAAGATAGAATTCAAAAAGCAAAAAAAGGAAGGAAGCAGAAGGACAGAAATTTAGAGAGGAGGGAAGGGAAAACCAAAGTCAACAGTCAAAAAGGATGATGGGGGGCCGGGCGCAGTGGCTCACACCTGCAATTCCAGCACTTTGGGAGGCCAAGGCGGGTGGATCATGAGGTCCAGAGATCGAGATCAACATGGTGAAAACCCATCTCTACTAAAAATACAAAAATTAGCTGGGCGTGGTGGTGCGTGCCTGTAGTCCCAGCTACTTGGGAGGCTGAGACAGGAGAATCGCTGGAACCCGGGAGGCGGAGGTTGCAGTGAGCCGAGATCATGCCACTGCACTCCAGCCTGACAACACAGCAAGACTCCATCTCAAAAAAAAAAAAGGATGGTGGGAAAGAATGTTTTGATTTCAAAATTTAAAAGCCCCAAGCCAGGAAATTCAGTACTCCTCAAGTGAAAGGCAATCTCTACAGAACATCATTCTATTTTTTTTTTTTTTTGGAGATGAGGTCTCCCTACGTTGTCCAGGCTGGAGTGCGGTTATTTCACAGGTGCAACCACAGGGCACTGCAGCCTTAAACTCCTACGCTCAGGCGATCCTCCTGCCTCGGCCTCCCAAGTAGTTGGGACTATATGCCTACACCACCATGCCTGACTCAGAAGATTATTCTTAAAGGTATTATCCAGGAAACAGATAAGGTCATTCATAAAACACATGGCTTTTCTTTAGCTCAGTGTTAACAATGAAAATAGATTCCATTATTGAAGCACAAGTTGCAAATTGGTAACAAAGTGAACACACTGCAGTAGAAAAGGGGATTTAGTCAGGTGTGTTATATGAGCACTTGGACTTTTCAAGGTGTCATAAGCCAGTTATCTGCCACAAAGAATTTAAATTTCAGGATTCGAGTTTCTTCAGAGGAAGACACTGTGGACATCTGTGGTCATGAACTTTTGAGTGGCAACAGCCCAAACAGGTCAAGTGTCTTTAAGTGCCAAACAACAGGCAGCATTACTATGAATTACCATTAAACTCAAATGCCAAATGATGTGTGTCTCACTCCAGGTTCTAGCATCATAATATAATCTCTATAACCTTCTGTACAACTTTACAATGGAATTGTATTTCAATGATTCTGGTATCAGATTAAACTTTCCAAAAAGTTACACATAATTCAGGTCTATTTTTTCTACAAGTAAGAGTTTTGCTAAATTACAAAACCCCATAATCACAGTGTTGAATTAAAAAAAATTAAACACACAGTAATCCTGTCAATGTTAATCAAAATCAAAACTTCAGAATGCCGTGGCATTTATGTGACCAATCTGAGTTTTAGAATACAAACACCAGCTGTTTATCCCATGAACCATTTTTGCTAGGCTGAGGCTGTGAAAAATCCAAAGTCAACATACAATTATTTTTTACCACACAAGGGATATACGTGGAGGGTACAGAGTGACATTGAACAGATTACAAAGCACAAGAAACATTACTTCTCTCCCTCCCCAGCATCTCCTTCATCTTCCTGGTTTTCCGATGTCCACAGAGTAACACTGTCCCAAGTAATTGCATGATCAGAGTGCTGTCTTTATAAGACTCTTCATTCAGTGTATCCAATTCAGTAATTGCTTCATCAAATACTGTTTTTGCCAGGCTGCAGGCCTTTTCAGTAGAGTTTAGAATCTCATAGTAAAAGACTGAGAAATTAAGTGCCAGACCAAGTCAAACTGGATGTGTAGGCTGCATTTCTTCTTTCTTACTAATTTCAAATGCTTCCTGGTAAGCCTGCTGGGAATTCCACACAGTGGTTTGTTTGTTGTCTCCAGATGCCACTTCAGAAAAATACCTAAAATAATCTCCTTTCATTTTCAAATAGAAAATGGTTGTATAGAATTGAGAACAAGATATTTGTCCAACAGCTCCAGAACGTCATTGCAGATGTCCTGCAGTTCTGCCTCTATCTTCTCATGCTACTCTCTCCCCATCTGCTGCTGTTTCTCATTCCTCTGTTTTCTGCTCAATGCTGGAGAAGACATGCCAGGAAAGCAGCGGGCACCAACCATGTTCTTGTAGGCAACAGAGAGCAGATTTCTCTCTTCGTTGGAGTATTCATGCCTCGTTCTGTGACTGCCTTCGTGACTACAGCCATATCATCATAGCGCTCAGCCTGCTCAGTGAGTTGGCTTTCTGTACCAGCTCACTTTTATCCAGTCGTTCCCGTGGGAGGGCTGCAGGGGACGAGGATGCTTCTGAGCAAAGCTCCAAGTGAGGTGACCACTTCTTTCCCAAGCCCACTCCTCTGGCAGCGGTGGCGGTGCCTGCCGTGGCTGCAGCGACGGTAGCAGCAGCTCCTGTATTCGGATATTTTTAAAGTTCAAGCAAAATAAGGCAAAATGCCTTACAGCTTGGTTCTGTGTAGTAAAGAATTAACTTTACCCAGAGAGGCCACGCCTTTGCCCTTGGCTCCTGGAGGTGATGTCTAAGCCCTCAGAACTTCCTGACTAATTAGAGTGTTCTTTATCTACACCAGACAGTCTAACAGTGTGATTTATGGGGGGGTCTGGGCCATGCAGTGATAGGTAACAGCTCAACCTCTGGAGGAGCTGGAGACTAAAGGTCAGCCTCACAGGCAGTCAATGGTGTCTATATGACCAAGTCCTGATAAAAACTCTAGACCCAAGGCTCAGGTGAGCTACCTTGGTGGGTAATACTCCATGCATAATGATACATACTGTTACTGGGAAAAGTCAGCACTGCCTATGACTCCACTGGGAGAAGACAACTAGAAGCTTTGCACTTGAAACTTTCTGGGTTGCCCACGTGTCTTTCCTCAGCCTATTTTAATCTGTATCTTTTGCCATAAGTCATAACTGTGAGTATAATAGCTTTCAGTGAGCTTTTAAAGTCCTTCTAGATAATTATAGAACTTTAGGGTGGCCTTGGGAAACCATGAACTTGCAATGAGTGTCAGAAGTGCAGGTGGTTTTGTGAACTTCCAAACTTTACAGGTCCTTAACTAAAGAGTATTTTCTTACCTAATCAAGAACTTGCTCTTCATGGCAATTTGTAGAATAAGTCGGTCTACTTCAAATGAGGCCATATAAAAAGGCAACACATCTTTCCACACTCACTGAACATACAGATTAAAATACGTCAGAGAGTGAGCTCTCTTTCACAGACTTAATATGAATTAAAGTCTTAGCTGTTCAGTCATCTGGACAGAATTTAGACCGAATAAAAATCTCTAATTTCTTATACTGTACTTAAAAAGTCCTTTAAAGAAAGTGAAAAAGAGCCAATTTCTACAAGAGTTTGGTTTAGAATTTCATATCCAAAGGATGATTCATGATATGATGACTATTGAAGATTTCATTAAGTCCCCAGTTTATAGTAAGGCTGCATTAGCAAAAGGAATTTTAAAACCTTTCTAGAAGAACCTGTCTTATAATCTATATGAAATATTATGATGGTTCTTGTGAGACAGGAAGGAAAATCCTTCTCCCATAGATTACGTACCTAAATGATATGTCTATAATTAAGCATTCAATCACATGCAACAGTGGTGGTATTCCATTCATTGGCACAGAAGTTATCAGAACTAATGAAAACTTAAGAGTCTTTTTATAGTTAGTGAATTTTTCACACATAAACACATCAACATACTTTGTTAAAGCTATTATATCTGGTCTAATGGGTCAAATTATACTGATGCTAAATTTTTAAATCCTTATTTTTAAAAACACACATTTAAATCCTGGAATTTACATTCTGTTTCTCTTTATAGAATATGTTCAGGCAAATGCTACCATAATACCACCAAATAAGTCCTTGCCAAGACTTTCCAGCCAAAGTCATTAACCCTCAAAATAAGAACCAAGCCGAGGCAGCAGTCGCTTGGCCTATAAAGGTCACAGTTCACCTGAGGAAGTTACAAACACCAAGATTAGACCTAGTCTTATCTCTATCACACATAGACTTCACTGTGAAGTATATCTAAACTTTAAAAAATCGAACTACTTTGTAAAAAAAAAAAAAGGAATTATAACTAAGATCTGAAATAAGAAAGTAAAAAAAGAAAAACCCAGAGTTTTTCAAAGAAGTAAAAGAAAAACTCATCAAAGTTCAAAATTCGATGAACCATGCCACTTTAAGATAATGTTTATGCAAACAAATAAGAAAAAAGATTTGGTGGAAGATTCTCATCTACTTTGTGAACACTTACCAAACCAAACTTTCTTCTCAAACATCTTAGAAGAAATTTGAATATTCTCTATACCTGCTATAACAAGAATAAGAAGAGTTTTTGGCAAACTGCCATACCCCAAGTCCCCAACACACTGACCTTTTTACTCAAGCAGAGTCAGATTTCAAAAGTGCCCTTCTACAATTCCAGATTAGCAGTTGAAGAGCTAACAGACTTTGAGTAACAATCTTAAGCAAAACTTCCTTTAAATGTCAGGTAGGATCTGATCTCCAAACTTAATCCTTAGGAAATAAGATATAATTTTTCTAGTATTAGGAAACCAACACTCTACACTCAATGGACCCAAAAATTCATTGAATAATTTATGCAAGTATATTCACAGTGCACTAGTATACACTACCTGATTTAAAGCCACTATTTAAACACTTAAGACACCCGGTTTCATTTATCTCCTAAGAGTATTTACAAACGATCACTACTTCCTGGAACTCAAATGAAGCTATTTTATATTAGAGAAAGAATCCATAAGCCCAAAGTAAACTATAACTCAACGATAATTTTTCTGACCTCACCCTTAATCAGCAAAAGTAAACTACCTGCCCAGCATTTTTACTCCTGGATGTTACTTGCTCAGGCCCACATAATGGTCCTAGGTCTGGCATCTGTGCTACACAGCAAACTATGGAGCCCAAGTAATCCCACACAGTAGCTTACTGACCATCTATTTAGAAACTAGACCGAGAACATATGAGGATTATTTTTCTTTCATAATAAAAAACAAAAAACAGGTCTATCTCTGAAGAAGGAAGAACATTTCAGACAACTGTATGAGCAAAGGAGTTCTGATCTGTGCTATTAAGTGCAAACACTGCAAATCCATTACATGGCTTACAAAAGTCCTTTTTATTTATAGTGTATGAATATGTAAGCTTCTAATACTACTTACAGGCTTTGTGCAGGCTATGGAGCTTTTCTTCCAAAGAAATTAGGGGGCCTCAATTTATCTTTTAAACACTCAGAAAAATGCGCTTTACTTGAGCTCTAGAAAGTTTCTATCAACACAATCAATAAGAAAAAATTTAAAGAAAGCTATCAGCAGGTTTACACTTCTTGAAAATAAACACACACCACAAAAAAAGTTTAAATTCATTTACATAAAAATTAAAGTTTTCAAAAGTGAAGGTAAGTAGGTATAAGTCTTGCTAAAATGAGACAGCAAAATAATAACTACTCCAAAAAAGAAACAGTGTGACAAAATCATTCAGCTATCATAGTAAGTCATAAAAGATGAAAGATGCTACCTGGTAGGCATAAGCACAAAAGCCAATAAATCTGAAGGAGAGTTAAAATTCTATTCTTAAAAAAATGAATCAGAATCAAAGTAATTCCATTAAAATTAACGTTTTGTGAAAAGACTAATTTAAGAATCTATTATGTTAGAGGTATTCTATAGGAATAACGACAGGAAGCCAAATGAATCAGCTTCTCCTACCTTTCCTTTACTAACAAAATAAAAATCATTTGTTAACTTACACAATAGCTTTTTTAAAAGCTTTCAAATCTATCATTATTGCTTTGAATTTCTGTTATCATTATTTCTGTTATCATTATTGCTTTGGCAGAAAAGGATTTAACATTTAGCAGACTAAACTCTCAGCATTTAAATTTCACTCATGACTCACTGACTGTCCAGGATTGGAAGAAAACGCTACTTATCCTGAAGATGAGGCAGTTATTCCCAAAGGAAGTCTGTGAAAGGTGTGGGGAAGAGGCACCCAAACCTGCACACAAGCAAGCGTGCACTAGTAAACCCACATGGGCTGGGTGCCTTGGGTGCCATATCCTGAAAGTACAGTTTCTGTAGGCCAAACACTTAATCTAGGATGGCCAGAGGGAAGAACAGCATTGGATAAGACAGTCAAGAAAAACTTGTCATGTTTACTAGCTTCTGTCCTCAAAGAAATATTAACAGGTAAGCTCTCTTATTTTTCTTCACCTTTTCCTTTCTTTATCTAAATATTCAGTATGGACTAAAGAGTGGAAACTACAGAAACACATCATTCAGCTGCAGCATTTTCAGGGTTTTCCACTCCCACATTTTTAAACAACACTTTAACAAAGGTAAAACTGGTCCCTGAATCTCTGTTAATAGCACCCTTCCAAACTTACTGTTTCTGATCCTTGTTTATTTGATTTTTAGGAACAAAATCTTAAAATGACATTTTTAAAACTCAGAGGTTGAAATATACAGTATTTATGAAGTTTTACCAAGAAAAATTCTGTGGTAGGTATTGGCTTTAACCGGGAATAAACACCTACTCTTCAATTTTACTATTATTAAACTGCAACTACTGAAAGGTCAAACTGTGTATATGTTAAAGGCCTAAAGCCTAGGATTCAGAGCTATAAATCAACTACAATCATCTATATAGCTTTTTAAAATAAGTCAACCTTCAAAAGAGAACTTTCACCACTGCTGAGACTGGAGTAAGGAATCACCAAAGCCTTTTAACTTCCTCTTTTTTTACCAGGGGCAGGGGTGGTGGTTGTGGTAGAGAAACTTCATGGTGGCTCACCTGGTGCCCATCCATACCCACTATTTTTCAGGGATCTTGTATGTGAAACTGATTAAGATAGGTATAGTCAGTTTATGTTTTGCTCCTACAGTAACAGGAAAAAGAATCTTTGTGTTAAGTTTCAATGCATACTACCAGTTAGGTTTTTTTTTTTTTTTTTGCTACATGAATTGGTTTGTTCCTTCATTATTCACCGACTACCACCTCCTCATTCCCCTAGTTAGTTTTCAAAACACTATGTAAACTGAGGTTGAAGATGTCTATAGCACTCTGATAAAAGGACTCTACATAGATCAAGGCTGAGGCAGGAGAATGGCGTGAACCTGGAGGGCGGAGCTTGCAGTGAGCTGAGATTGCATCACTGCACTCCAGCCTGGGCAACAGAGTGAGACTCCGTCTCAAAAAAAAAAAAAAAGTACTCTACAGAGATCAAATAAACCTGGAGATTCTGGCACAAGCACAGCTGACAGTACATCCTCCAAAGGGAGGGGCCAATTAGTCCACTGACATTCCTCACACATAAATTCACAACATATGGAAGTGTCACTGAGTGGAACACCATTCTCTTCTGGGTACCATACTATATACTAATATTTTTGAACATCTGGTAAATTTTAAATCTTTCTTAATTCAGATTACACCATAAAATTAAAATCCAGGCTGGGTGAGGTGGCTTATGCCTGTAATCCCAGCACTTTGGGAGGCCGAGGCAGGTGGATCACCTGAGGTTAGGAGATTGACCAGCCTGGCTAACATACAAAATACAAAAATTAGTGGGTGTGGTGGCACATGCCTATAGTCTCAGCTACTCAGGATGCTGAGGCAGGAGAATCACTTGAACCCAGGAGGCAGAGATTACAGTGAGCCGAGATCATGCCACTGCACTCCAGCCTGGGTGGCAGAGCGAAACTCTGTCTCAAAAATAAAATAAAATAAAATAAAATAAAATAAAATAAAATAAAATAAAATAAAATAAAATAAAATAAATCTACAGAGTGAAACTGCTAAGTTTCAAAAAGAACAAGGGAGCCTAGTGCAGTGACTCACATCTGTAATCCGGGAGGCCAGCACGGGTGGATCACTTGAATCTAGGAGTTCAAGGCCAGCCTGGGCAATACAAAAATTAGCCGGGCATGGTGGTATGTGTCTACAGTCCTAGCTACTCAGGAGGCTGAGGTGGGAGGATCACCTGAGCCCAGGAGATGGAGGTTGCAGTGGGCAGACAGCACTGCTGCACTCCAGCCTGAGCAAGAGAGCAAGATCCTGTATCAAAAAACAAGGATAGCGCCAGGTGTGGTGGCTCAGGCCTGTAATACCAGCACTTTGGTGGGTTGAGGCAGGTGGTGAGGTCAGGAGTTGCAGTTGGAGATCAGCCTGGCCAACATGGTAAAACCCTGTCTCTACTAAAAATATAAAAATTAGCCGGGTGTGGTGGTACGCTCCTCTAATCCCAGCTACTTGGGAGGCTGAGGCAGTAGAACTGCTTGAACCTGAGAGGTGGAGGTTGCAGTGAGCCAAGATCGCGCCACTGCACTCCAGCCTTGGCGACAGAGCGAGTCTGTCTCAAAAACAACAACAACAAAAAAAACAAGGATAAATAACCAAATTCATTCTTTCTCATGGCCTCAGTAACAGAATAACAGCCCAAATCGTGACCATTGATATACTGAGAAAATGTGACTGTGGACTCTAATATCTAAATGATACTTTTATGTTTCTGCTTTCCTTTAAGTCTAAAGTTCAACAGACTACTAAATGTTCAACTAATGAAATATGATGAAAAAAATCAAATCAAGTAGGTAAAGATCAAAGGGTAGAAAAACAATATATATTAAAGGATATCCTAAATTATCATAAAATAATTTGCCTCTAGCCTATATGCCTAAGACAGTACTCTTGAAAATGTAGAGTAAAATATTAGTTGATTTGATTACCCGTTCAAAAATCATAAACATGAGATCTGATTCCACATATACCATTTTCCACACATTTCTATTCTTTGGATATATGGAAATCATCTAAGCTATAAAAAAATGCTTCGTACCTAATGTAATGAAACAAGTTAATATAAAAAAGATCTTTGTAAACTAAGGTTCTCTACAAATCAAAAGGATTATACTATTATTTCAATGAGAAACAGGGTGACAAACAGCACTATTCCTATTTTATTGATAATGCTGAACCAAAATAAGAGAGCTTCACCAGATTTAGTGTGCTTTGCTTATGGATTAAAGACCTTTTATCATTTAGGTTTCTAACTCCAATCATTTCATTATATTGTAGTTACATTAATGACAAATACATTTTAATAAATCAAAACCACACCACTGGAACCTGAATAGTGTGTATCAATGAGAAAAACGGTGGAAATAACCCTTTATGGGGTGGGGGGATGACATTTACATCAGACCTCAGGATGGTTACAAGTTATCAGAAAACATAACAGAAAAATAAACTTCACAAGATTCTATGTTCATTCAGGAACTCAGCAAATCTCTTCAACAGCAAACTTCTATATACCAAGCACTCTTCTGGATGTTGAGTGTGTGGGTGGGGGGTTGGAGGGGGGATTGGTGGTGGTGGCAGCAAATTGGTAAGGATAGGCCTGGCTGATCCATGCACAGAAATAGGCCGTGGACAAATCCTAAGACAGGAGACCAGTAGGAGATGAGGTCAGAAAAGTAATGGGGAAGAGGGCAGGATCATGTAGGGCCTTCTGGGCCCAAGAACTTTGGACTGAACTCTGAGTGAAACAGGAAATCACTTGAAGGTTTTGAGCAGAGGAGTGATACAATTTATTTATATTTTATTAGGATCACTCTAGCTGCTGTGTCAAAAAAGAGAGATGTAGGGGGACAAGGAAAGAAGCAGAGAAATCTTGTGGAAGGCTTTTGAAGTAAATTAGATGAGCCATAATGGTGACTTGGATCAGCACTGGATATGATCAGATTCTAGATATATTTTGAAGACAAGAGGATTTCCTGATGAGGAGTCAAGGATGACTCCAAAGAGTATAGAGTAGGTAACAATGGAGATGGGGCAGGTGTTAGGAAGATTGAGAATTCGGTTTTGGTTGAGTTTGAGATGCCTATTAAACATCCAAGTAGAGATACTGAAAAGGCAGCTGGATATAACAATCTCGAGTTCAGGAGAGAGGTATAGGTCAGAGACATAAATTTGAGAACTGGGGGCACAGAGATGGTATTTAAAGCTATTGAACTGGTGGAAATTATCAGGAGAGTGAGGATAGAGAGTGCCAAGGAGACTAAGCCAGGGTCACACCAATGTTAAGAAAAATGGAAGAACTTGCAGAGGAGACTAAGTATGAATACCCATGAGACAGGAAGAAAATAAAATGAGCATGGTGTTTTGGAAAACAAGAGGAAAGTGTATCAAGGAGGAAGTAACCAACTGTGTCAAATGCTGCTGATAGGACAAGTAAGATGAGAATAGTAACTATCCATTGGATGTAACCTCAAAAAGTTATTGGTAATCATGACCAGTTTTAGCAAAATGGTATGAGAAAAAGTCCAAAAGGAGGTTTAAGAGAAAAACGGAGAAGAGGTACTGAAGATAACAAAGAGAGTTACTTCAAGGAGTTATTCAGAGAAGAATGAAGACATCCAATAGTGGTGGCAGGAAAAGTGGAATAGAGAAGAGGATTCTTTTTTAAATATATATATATAAAATATATATATTTATATATGATATATAATTATATATTTATATATTATATATATTTTATATATATTTATATATATCATATATATTTATATTTATATATTTATTTATATATATTTATATATTTATATTTATGTATATTTATATATGTTTATATATAAATATGTTTATATTTAAATATATATATATATATATATATTTTTTTTTTTTTTTTTTTTTTTCCTGAGATGGAGTCCCACTCTATTGCCCAGGCTGGAGTATAGTTGTCTGATCTCAGCTCACTGCAACCTCTGCCTCCAGGGTTCAAGCAATTCTCCTGCCTCAGCTTCTTGAGTAGCTAGGATTACAGGCGTGCGCCACCACGCCCGGCTAATTTTTTTGTATTTTTAGTAGAGACAGGGTTTCACCATGTTGGCCAGGCTGGTCTCCAACTCCTGACCTCGCAATCTGCCCGCCTTGGCCTCCCAAAGTGCTGGGATTACAGGTGTGAGCCACTGTGCCTGGCCTAAAAAATTTTTTTAGATACATAATATTTGTACATATTTACGTGGGTACCATGTGATATTTTGTTACCTGCACGGAATGTAATGTTCAAGTGAGGGTATTTAGGGTATCCATCACCTTGAGTATTTATCATTTCTATGTGGTAGGAACATTTTAAGTCTTCTAGCTATTCTGAAATAGACAATACATTGTTAACTATAGTCACCCTACTCTGCTATCAAACATTAGAACTTATTCCTTCTATCTAACTGTATGTTTGTACTCATTAACCAACCTTTCTTCATAAGCCCTATCCCACCCACACACCGTTCTTAAGTCTCTGGTGTCTATCATTCTACTGTCTACCTCCAAGAGATCAAGTTTTTTGGCTCCCACATGAGAACATTTGATATTTGTCTTTCTGCGCCT
This sequence comes from Homo sapiens, assembly GCF_000001405.40. Classification (NCBI taxonomy): domain Eukaryota; kingdom Metazoa; phylum Chordata; class Mammalia; order Primates; family Hominidae; genus Homo; species Homo sapiens. The sequence goes on from NC_000011.10 coordinate 18,500,117, forward strand.
AGTTTATTTCCAATTCCATCCATGTTGCTACAATGACGTTTTCATTCTTTTTATGGCTGAACAGTATTCCACTGTGTACACATACCTCATTGTCTTTATCCATTCATCTGCTGATAAATATTTAGGTTCACTCCATATCTTAGCTAGTATGAATACTGTTGCTATAAATATGGGAGTACAGGTATTCCTTTAATATACTGATTTCCTTTCCCTTGGATAAATACCCAGCAGTGGGATTGCTGAACTGTCTGGTAGTTCTAATTTTAGTTTTTTTAGAAATTGCCATACTGTTTTCCATAGTGGCTTTAATTTACATTCCCACCAACATTGTATAAGTTCCCTTTTCTCCTCATCCTCAATAACATTTGTTATTTTTTTATTTTTTGTCTTTTTAATAATGGCCATTCAAACTGGGATAAGATTATATTTCTTTGTGGTTTTTATCTGCATTTTCCTGATGATGAGTGATATTGAGCATTTTTTCATATACCTGTTGGCCATTTGTATGTCTTCCTTTAAGAAATGTCTATTCATGTTCTTTGCCCACTTTTTAATGGTTTGTTTTACTGTTGAGTGGTTTCAATACCTTGTATATTTATTAGTTCCTTGTCAGATGGGTACTTTGCAAATATTTTCTCCCACTCAACAGGTCGTCTCTTTACTTTGTTGACTATCTCCTTTGTTGTGCAGAAGCTTTTTTTTTTTGAGACAAGGTCTCGCTCTGTTGCCCAGGGTGGAGTGCAGTGGTGCGATCTCAGCTCACTGCAACCTCCACCTCCCAGGTTCAAGCAATTCTCTTGCCTCAGCCTCCCAAGTAGCTGGGATTACAGGGGTGTACCACCACGCCCAGATTTTTGCATTTTTAGTTTTTAGGAGAGACGGGGTTTTACCATGTTGGCCAGGCTGGTCTTGAACTCCTCACCTCAAATGATTCGCCCGCCTTGGCTTCCCAAAGTGCTGGGATTACAGACGTGAGCCACTGCATCTGGCTCACAAGCTTTTTAATTTAGTATCATCGCAGTAGTCTATTTTTGTTGACTATGCTTTTGAGATATTAACTATAAAATGGTTGCCTAGGCCAATGTCCCGAAGGGTTTCCCCTATGTATTCTTCTAGTAGTTTTATAGCTTTGGGTCTTACATTAAGTCTTTAATCCATCTCAAGTTGATTTTTGTATGTGGTACAAGATAGGGGTCCAGTTTTCATTCTTCTGCATATGGATACCCAGTTTTCCCACCACCATTTATGAACAATGTCTTTTTCCCAATATATGTTCTTGGCACCTTTGCTGAAAATCAGTTGGCTGTAAATATGTAGATTTATTTCTAGGTTCTTTATTCTGTTCCATTGGTCTGTTTCTGTTTTTATACCAATACCATGCTGTTTCGGTTACTATAACCTTGTAATATATTTTGAAGTCAGGTAGTATGATGCTTCCAGCTTTGTTCTTTTAGTTCAAGATCACTTTGGCTATTTGGCTTCTTTTTTGGTTCCATATACATTTTATGATAGCTTTTTCTATTTCTATGGAAACTGACATTGGTATTTCGACACAGACTGCACTGAATCTACAGACTGCTTTGGGTAATATAGTCATTTTTACAATATTAATTCTTCATGGGCATGAAATGTCTTTCCATTTGTTTGTCTCAATTGGACTCTTTAAGGCTTTTTTAGGGCATGGTTCTCTGTGCTGATGAGTCATCCAGTAGAGAACAAAACTTGAGAGGAAGGAACTGCTGAAGTGATGCCCCTGAGTACATTAGAGGGGATAAGGTCTAGTGGAGAAATCAGCTTTAGATAGAAGCAAAGATAACCAACTTATGGTAACAGGGAGAAGGCAGATATGGTGGTGCAGGTAGTGGGAGATAGGCATAGGTGAAGGCTGGAGTCTAAAGAAATTCTCTCACTGCCTTAGTTTTTTTAGTTGAAGAAAATTATATTTCAGGTAACGCTAATAAGCAAACACAAAAAGCAAAAACTACTGGTCTTCAATCATTTGTCTGATTTGACCTGCTCATATTAACCCATTTTACTTTCTTCTCTTAATGATGGTGATCTGTTTTCACATATAACCAAGCTAGGAAAATCTATGTATCTGCTAATAGTTCAACACATGTTTGGCTCACAAATAAAACTATGTGATCAAAAGAAAGATTGATGAGTTAATCAGATTTATTTTCATGCCCTGGTAGAAGGTTCATTTATATGTTAAGTCATTTACTTCAAGTTTAAGATTATAGTACATTATTATAGGTTTTCCTCTAAGAAGAAAGAGTAGTCCAAAATTCACAAGTGAAATGTGCTTTTCACAACAGGGAGTTAGACTTTGCTTATATGGTGAAACACAAGTTTTCAAGGGTACTTACCAACAGTGGTCACAGGAGGCTGAGAAGGGTACTGAGAACTTGTTGTGGCAGGATATGGACCACCAGGTGGGTAAGGACAGCCTGGGTAACCACTAAAGACAAGAACAAAAAACATTTAACATTTAAGATGACCCAACCTTATAGTATTTTGAAGAACCCCATTCAGGAAGTTAAGCTTGACATATGGTTGTTTTACCAGTTGATGAATTTATAGTCTTGGAGCTGCAAGTGTTTATTCAAGTAAAGCTCTATGGAAATTGTATTAATGACACTGCATTTACTCTTAAATGGCTAAATGCTCTTGCTTGGTCCCAGTTATATGAGAGTCACCCTCATAGCAGCGGAAATGTAACTAGAGTATTTCTAAGGACAATCCAACAGCATCAGAAGCAACAAGTAATTTGTGAGAGAACTTTTCCGATTTCTCAGTCTGTGGGAAAATGATACTATTTAATTTGTACCTGTGGCTTATTGGTAACCTTTGGGGATATTTAACCCGAAAACACTTGTCTTTAAATAGTTTTTTTCCTCTTTTGATAACATTCGTACCAAACTCATCTTTAGTTTAAAAAAAAACCTTTTTTCTCACTTTCTGGACAGTTTCTGTCATTCATGTATTCGTATCAAAGTCAGAGGAACTTTCCTTAGAGGTATTCTACTCCAATCACCTTTCCAACAATCTCTTATCTACACACATCATTTATAACATCCCTGACAAATGGTCATCTTTCTCTATTTAACATTAAACATCATTTCAATATAATTTATAAATAGGAGTCCTAAATTTGCATTTTGGAAGACACTCAACTATTTGGAGACTCCTAAAACTCGAATATTTGAGAACTTCTAACATTTTTCCCTCAAGCTTCTCTTCTTCAGGTTAAATTTTTTTTTTTTTTTTTTTTGAGACGGAGTCTCGCCCTGTTGCTCAGGCTGGAGTGCAGTGGTGTGATCTCAGCTCACTGCAAGCTCCACTTCCTGGGTTCACGCCATTCTCCTGCCACAGCCTCCTGAGTAGCTGGGACTATAGGTGCCCGCCACCACACCCGGCTAATTTTTTGTATTTTTAGTAGAGACGGGGTTTCACCATGTTAGCCAGGATGGTCTCAATCTCCTGACCTCGTGATTCACCCGCCTCAGCCTCCCAAACTGCTGGGATTACAGCTGTGAGCCACCGCACCCAGCCCTAACTATTCTTAATTCCTTTAACCATTTGTCTCAGGACATGATTTTCAGATCTAATTGCTTTCCTCTGAATGCTTACTAGTCAGTGTTTCCCTTACAACGAAGAAGAAAATTAGAATAGGATGATTACTGGCCACCTGGTTAGTTAGACAATAAATCTCAATTAATCCTATTTTAGCTATAATTATCAATTCTATGACATTTGCCTTTTACAAGCGCATTAAAATTACTGATTAAAAAGAGCTAGCCCAGGCTGGGTGCAGTGGATCACACCTGTAATCCTAGCACTTTGGGAGGCTGAGGCAGGTAGATCACTTGAGTCCAGGAGTTCAAGGCAAGCCTAGACAACATGGCGAAACCATTTCTACAAAAATAGAAAAATTAGCTAGGTGTAGGGGCACACACCTGTAGTCCCAGCTACTTGGGAGGCTGAAGTTGAAAGATCACCTGAGCCCAGGAGGTCAAGGCTACAGTAGCTGAGATTATGCCACTGCACTCCAGCCTGGGCAACAGAGTGAAGCCCCCATCTCAAAAAAAAAAAAAAAAAAAAAGCTAGCCTAGGACACTGGAGCAAGAGCTCCTTCTGAGTTTATCGTCAATAATCCTTTTTCAATGCAGTGGTTCAAAGATTCTCCTATTTGTATTATCAGCTTCCACTTTATAACTTGTCCTCAACTAAGTTTTATATATGACTTGCTGAAGATTCAATGTAATCATGGTACTTCTCTTATATATCAGTATAAAAGCAAAATCAGACAAAAAAAAAAGAAAGCATTTTTGTTCCTAGTGGACACATGCTGGAGGCTACTGAACACAGTACTTTTGTTTCTAGTCTCTTCAGTAATCCATGCTATAATGCTGTAAAGAAATGTCAATCCTACTGAAATTTCTAAATCCACCTTTCTGAAAACTGGGATAAACTGCTCTTTTTTTCTGGAGTTTCTCCCATTTTGCATACCTTTGCAAAGATAATGTGATCACATTGCTGAATTTTTTTGTAACTTGGTATAAAACTCTTCTAAGCCTACAGATATTAACTTCAGAGAAATCTCCATCTGTAGCTTTATTGTTCAGAAGTCCATTTCCATAGTGTACCTTCAACAATTATTCCCTCTATGTCCAAAGCTGCTTTTTACTAGCAATTGTTCAGTAGCCTTGTAATTTCAAGGCTTCAGGTAGGATTCCATTTCTAGAACTTAATCAGAAAATTTAGGGCCTCAAGAAATCTAAAATGAATAACCTGCTTATATATTACTACCAAAGGAATCTTTCTCTATTGTCCCTGACAAATGTTCTTCTAATCTCTGCTTACCTATCCAAAGTGACAGAATGCTTATTACCTTCTAAAAAGTTGTGAAATTAAGACAACCCAGAAATGAAGTGTTTGCTAAATTAACTTTCAAGATCCTAGATATTATATATGTACATATATATATTTACCTATGACATGTGTTCAGAAATCTGGCTGCATTTATCCATGAGGATTATGACTGGGTTATATGAAACTAAGAAGACTTAGTAGAGTTAAATTTTCCTTGCTAATTGTTAGAGCAGCTGGAAGTCTCATCTTGGCATCAGTATATGCCAATCTTTTTTTTTTTTTTGAGACAGGTTCTCACTCTGTTGGCCAGACTGGAGTACAGTGGTGCAATTACGGCTCATTGCATCCTCGATCTGTAGGCTCAAGTGATCCTTCCACCTCACCCTCCCAAGTAGCTGGGACTACAGGTTCACACCACCATGCCTGGCTAATTTTAATTTTTTTTGTAGAAATGAGGTCTACTATGTTGCCCAGGCTGGTCTCCAACTTCTGGGCTCAAGCAATCCCTACCTCGGCCTCCCAAAGTGCTGGGTGGGATTTTAAGTTAGCCCATAGACCACCTTTGGAGAGTACTCCTAGATTACCACTGAAACAAGTACACATTTAAAACATGGGTTAGTAATTATTTATCATTGACTTTCTAGCGTGTGTTAACAGACTGATTTCATTGTTAATTTAATTTAGTTACCTATGTTATTACTAAATGGATAATAAAGGTTGATAGTACAGGTAGTCTATGAACTGAATAAGTAAATATCATGCGACAAGTTTGACCCCATTATCTGAACCATTAATTGATTCCTGCAATGTATAGAAAAGATAGGTTGTGGGGTTTTGTTTGTTTGAGAGAGAGTTTTGCTCTGTCGCCCAGGGTGGAGTGTAATGGCGCGATCTCGGCTCACTGCAACCTCTGCCTCCTGGGTTCAAGCAATTCTCCTACCTCAGCCTCCCAAAGAGCTGGGATTACAGGCATGTGCCACCATGCCTGGCTAATTTTGTATTTTTAGTAGAGATGGGGTTTCACTCTGTTGGCCAGGCTGGTCTCGAACTCCTGACCTCAGGACCTCAGGTGATCCGCCTGCATCGGCCTCCGAAAGTGCTGGGTAAGATTACAGGTGTGAGCTACCACACCCGGCCTTATTGCTAGAATTTTAAGGTGTGTGTGTATAATTTGAAAGGAGTTTCTTTCAATCTACAGAAAAGCAGCTCCTGGGCTGCATTTTTATTTTAAAGAGGAAAGAAATGGGTTGAGTAATGACAGTGATCTCAATTGGTTTTTGATCTTGAAGTCCTTTTAAGAAATTTGTATATCTAGTATAGATAGCTGAAATATTAAATGGAATGCTAGTTATAATGAATTCAGCCAAGGGGAAAAATATTTTATAATACTCTCTTCTTTTAAAAAAAAAAAAATACATAGGCTGGGCATGGTGGCTCACACCTGTAATCCCAGCGCTTTGGGAGTCTGAGGCAGGCAGATCACAAGGTCAGGAGTTTGAGACCAGCCTGGCCAACATGGTGAAATCCTGTCTCTACTAAAAATACAAAAATTAGCCGGGAATGGTGGCACAGCCTGTAGTCCCAACTGCTAGGGAGGCTGAGGCAGGAGAATCACTTGAACTGGGGAAGTAGAGGTTGCAGTGAGCCGAGATTGCGCCACTGTACTCCAGCCTGGGTGACAGAGCAAGACTCCATCTCAAAAAAAATAAATAAATAAATAAATAAATTCCAGGAATAAACCAAGTTTTATCTTCCACTAAATTGCAATTAAATTTATTTTAATGCCCTAATTAGCAAATTATTTTGATTCTAGATCTAATAGAAGAATTTGTAATACAATTATTCAAAAGAACGTTTTTCATTACCTGGGATTGGGAGGGTATCCGGATGGGTATGGAGAGATTCCACCTGGCATGCCTGGCATGTAGGAAGCTAAAAACAATTTTTTTCACATTGTAAAAATAATATACAAGGCCTGAATATGTAGGCTACTGAATAAGATATACATCACACTGTCAATACACAGCAAAATTTCACAGTTAAAAAATCCAAATCTCAGCACCAAAACAAAACAAATACCTCTCCCTTTCATAATCCTGAAATCATTAAACATGAATTACAATACTTATGACAATCCCTACCAAAAGAACTGGCAAACAGGTCAACCTGGTCAGCTTTTAAAGTTCTCAAGAAGTCTATTACCTAAGAGCAAGTTCAATTTCAAATTTAGAGGAAGGTAATTCTGGCCTTCTTCGGTCCAAGGTTAACTTCTTAGAAAGTAACTTCTTTATTATATCTAATAAATCTTTTGATATTTCTTTTATAACTATGTTGGCCAATTAGCACAGCTGATTTTGTTGGTTTAAAGACTTCAAGAGACTTCAAACTACTATGAGAAGTCCTATACAAAACTTACATTATCCAGACTGTTAAAAACTAGTCTAGGTGACAGAGTGAGACCCTATCTCAAAACAAAGAAACAAACAAAACAAAAGCTTAGAAATACTAGGGATAAAAGGTTAAAACCCAGCAAGCTTAAAGAATACTTTATACATTCTTTAAAGAGAACGTGAATGCCAAAGAACTAAGATCAGTGGTGCCAAGAGGCTAATCAACATAGAGGAAGAAAAAGAGAAGTTAATCTTGAGCTTAACTGACAAAAAAAAATAGTAAAGAATCTGCTCTAGAGTGTTTAACATGACTTACAGTGACTGAGTACAAAATTGAATTGCAACAGTAACAATAGTATGGTCTCTTTCTTGAATACTGCACTTCCAATGTCAATTTAAAACTCAAAGAAATTTAGGAAAAAAAAAATGTTGCAGGCCGGCCGCGGTGGCTCACGCCTGTAATCCCAGCACTTTGGGAGGCCGAGGCAGATCACTTGAGGTCAGGAGTTCGAGACCAGCCTGGCCAACATGGTGAAACCCCGACTCTACTAAAAATACAAAAATTAGCTGGGCATGGTGGTGGGGGCCTGTAATCCCAGCGACTTGGGAGGCTGAGGCTCGAGAATCACTTGAACCTGGGAGGCAGAGGTTGCAGTCAGCCCAGATCATACCACTGCACTCCGGCCTGGGCAACAGAGCGAGACTCTGTCTCAAAAAAAAAAAAAAGTTGCTTAGGAGACTACCTGAATTTCTGAAAAGGTTACCTTTGTCATAGCGGTCACTCGCTATATTATCTGAGCAAATAAACAAAGGTAATGAGACTAGGAAATATTTGATATCTTTTTTTTTTTTTTTTTTGATACAGAGTCTTGCTCTGTCACCCAGGCTGGAGTGCAGTAATGCGATCTCAGCTCACTGCAACATCTGCCTCAGCCTCCCGAGTAGCTGGGACTACAGGCATGCACCACCACACCTGGCTAATTTTGTATTTTTAGTAGAGATGGGGTTTCATCATGTTGGCCAAGCTGGTCTTGAACTTCTGACATCAGGTGATCCACCCCCACCTCGGCCTCCCAAAGTGCTGGGGTTACAGCTACCACACCCGGCCAAATATTTCGTATTTCAAACTTAAGCAAGATACTCTACTCTTGGGCACTAGAGTCAACAGAATTTAATAAGATAAAAACAAATTTCTAATCCAAAGGAATTACCAGTACCTTTACTAAAAGAAATAGTAATCCTAAAATCAAGCTTATTCTGGGAAGGTAGGGAAGGAAAGAGAAATGGGTTCAAAAATTCTTTCTGTTAAATTCCCATTCAGCTTATAAACCAAGATGTTCCTCAGGAAAGAATGGATTAAAAAGGAAAAAGTATAATTTTCAGCAGAAGAAAAATGAAAGCACATATAATTTGTCTTGTAAGATAAACAAGTTTGGTTAATTATAATCTTAAAGAAAATTTACCAAAAAAAAAAAAGTCACAGCTCAAAACACAGTGAAATCAATGCAGATTTAGTAAATTCAAAATAAGTACAACCAACTCACAATTATTCAGAGTGATTTTTAAGTATCAGTAAGAATTATTCAAGAAAATAGAGATAACAGAGATAATATATTCCAATTAGGGGAGAAGCAACACTCTCTCCATGCTCCCACCACTCCACACAAGGTAAAATCATGAATTGGCTGTACGAAAGAGAAGAAAGCTAAGAGCTAGATGTCCAATTGTGTATACCCAGAATAGCTGAATGTGAACGCTTCAGTTGACCTTAATCCTTATCTACAACACTGATTTTGTAGTTGCAAAGAGAAAGGAGAGGTCAGACTACCTTTCAAGTTATATGTGCTTCCAAGCTGATCAAATAAGGCTATTCTGCAGCATGCATAATTTTAAAAATTCTAGCTCTATTCTACACTTTCTCCTCCATTTTGGAATCCAGCACAACCATTCTTAGATTTCTACCTACAAATGGAAGCCCAAATGCCAGTCTTTGGTGGGAATCTGTACATGCAGATGTGGGGCCTCAGAATACTTCCAAAAAATCCACTAGCTTGATAAACTAAAAAGCAAAGAAGTCATTATTTTTCTTTATTTTTTTACAAAGGTTTCTGTTCTCTTTTGTTTATATGAGTTTTAAAGTAAAATCTCAATTCTACTTACTATTTGGTGGCCCCGTTGCCTGGTATGGCGGATAGGATGCCGAAATAGGACGAGAGAAGACTGGAGGTTCATCTCCAAATACCACAATCATGACCTGAATAAGCCCCAACAAGTCTGACTGTGGCTACAAAATGAAAAAAAATTCAAGTCAGCTACAGAGTTGCTTTTCAGTAAAAAGAAAAAGGTTAGCCATTTCTCATCGGTTTTCAACTCAGCTTGATAATTTTCTTTGTAGGACCCCAATCATGAAAATTTCATTTAATTAATTTATTTTAATAGAGTTAAGTGGTTTTAAACATGATGTGCAGCAAGGTTCTTGCTTCAAGTATATAAAAATAGCACTAGTTAAAGCAGCATATTGCAAAATTCATAGAGTTTTGTTCTTCATTTGACTCCACAGAACTAACAAAAATTTATTTTATTGCCACTGTACAATGTATTATAAGTATACTGGTACAAATTTAGGGATGAATATGAGCAACAGTCACAATATTATTAAAGGCCATTAAAAGACATCAATGATATCTTGGAAATACGTGTTCTTAAAATTAATTTTTATTAAAGATATTATGAACTCTGAAATTACAGGTAGATTCTAGCCAAGTGAGGTGGTTCACACCTGTAATCCCAGCACTTTGGGAGGCCAAGGTGGGTGGACTGCTTGAAGCCAGGAGTTTGAGACCAGCTGGGCCAACATGGCAAAATCCCATCTCTACTAAAAACACAAAAATTAGCCGGGTGTGGTGATGTGCGTCTATGGTCCCAGTTACTCAGGAGGCTGAGGCAAGAGAATTGCTTAAACCCCAGAGGCAGAGGTTGCAGTGAGCTGAGATCACACCACTGCACTCCATCCTAGGCGACAGAGCAAGACTCTGTCTCAAAACAAACAAACAAAAAAATTATACGTAGATTCTAGCTTAGAAATTGCTAGATTGTAGTACAAAGGGGTGAATTGTTAAAGGATCTTTCCTTCCAACAATGACAAAGAGATTCCTATTTTTTCATAAGTTACTAAGATTTTCTCTCAAATACCTATTGAGCACTGGCCAGGGGTGGTGGCTTACACCTGTAATCCCAGCACTTTGGGAGGCCAAGGCAGGAGGATCAAATAAGGCTATTTTGCAGCATGCATAATTTTAAAAATTCTAGGTCTATTCCAGTACTTTCCCCTCCATTTTGTAATCCAGCTTGAGCTCAGGAGTTTGAGACCAGCCTGGTCTCTACAAAAAAATTAACTGTACATGGTGGCATGCGCCTGTGGTCACAACTACTCAGGAGGCTGCAGCGGGAGGATCACCTGAGCCAGGAAGGTTGAGGCTGCAGTATGACTGCGCCACTGCACTCCAGCCTGGGTTAGAGTGAGACCCTGTTTCAAAAAAACAAAAACAAAACCCAACAACAACGACAACAAAAAACAACAAAAGAAATATCTACCAACCACTAATTAAGCTGTGCTAGACAAAGTTGTTCAAAATGGCTTATTTGATTATTCTTCTTTTACTCCTTAATCTATTTTGTGTATATCTCATCTCACGTACTTCATTCATAAGTTCACTGAGTTCTGAAGAATTACTCAATCACCTTGATAGGCTAACCATCTTCATAGAAACTACTTTTTACACCCCTCCTCCCCCCAGACAAGGTCTTGCCATGTTGCCCAGCTCAGACTTGAACTCAACAATCTTCCTGCTTCAGTCTCCCAAGTAGTCAGGATTACAGGATTAGGATTGGCACTTCTTTTAATACTCCTGACAGAAGAGTTCAGTGGCAGTTTTCACCTTTTCCAAAGAACCAAACTCACCTCATTTGTTCAATTTTGACCTAACTCATGGAAGATGACAATTAATAACATTTCTCAAAGCTTTCTGTGAAAACTTGCTGATATCTACTTTTCCAATATTTTTCTTGTGTTTGCCTGTAAATTTATATACTGAGACTCGGGGTGTTATAAGCACAGTATCTGTGCAACACTCACAGATACTGTGGCTGGTGTGTGTGGGGATGGCCACTGAGACCACATGCTTTCTCAATTTTTCGGCCCAACAAAATTCCTTAACTAAATCATAGCCTCATGTAAGCCTCATGCATGTAGGTGAAATATAATTCACATCCCATAAACTTTCTCCTTTTAAAGTATACATTTCAGTGGCTTTTATTATTTCACGAAGCTATGCAACCATTACCACCATCTAATTCCATAATATTTTCATCATCCGAAAAAGAAACCCTGTACTCATTAGTAGTCACTTCCCGTTTCCCTTTCCCCACAGCCCTTTAGCAACCACTAATCTACTTTCCATCTCTATAGATTTGCTTTCCTAAATGTTTCATATAAATGAAATCATACAATATATGGCCTTTTGTGCTTGGCTTCTTTCACTTGGCATAATGTTTTCAGAATTCATTAATGTGGTAGTATGAATCAATTCTTCATTCATACATTCTTACAGTTTTGTCAAGGTAAGTTTTAATTATCATACCATTCCTTTTACACTAAATTCTTTGAAGAAAAAAATTAATATCTATGTTAATATCTACTTCCAGGCCTAATATAAAGCAACAGGTTAAGAATTCAAACTGAGGCGAGGCACAATGGCTCACACCTGTAATCCCAGCACTTTGGGAGGCTGAGGCGGACGGATCACCTGAAGTCAAGAGTTCGAGACCAGACTGGCCAATGTAGCAAAACCCCATCTCTACTAAAAAATACAAAAATTAGCCAGGTGTGGTGGTGGGCGCCTGTAATCCCAGCTACTCAGGAGGTTGAGGCAGTCTCTATTCTACTGAGTCCAGTCTGCTACTAAACCCATCTACTGAGTTCTTAATCTCTATTATTCTATTTTTCAGTTCTAAGATTTCCACTTAGTTTCTTTTTAATAAAATTTACCATCTTGTCCTCTATTTTCTTGAATGCACTGATCACAACCATTTTTAAGTCTGTGTCTGATAACCAAGTTACCTGTGTGTTTGTGGGGGTGGAGTGGAGGGATGTCCCGTTTCTATTGTCTTTTTTTCCTCTTGGTTCTCTTTCTTGGTGTACTTGATAAATATAAATTGTATGCTAGACATTGTGAAAAATTATAGAGAGTCTATATATTATCTTCTTCCAGCAAGGGTTCACCCTATCCTGTGGCAGGCAGACAGTCAGGATCAGGGACTGAGCTGATTGAAGGACAGACAGATTTTTTTTTTTTTTTTTTTTGAGACAGTCTCTCTCACTCTGCCACCCAGGCTGGAGTGCAGTGGTGCGATCTCGGCTCACTGCAACCTCCGCCTCCCAGGTTCAAGCGATTCTCCTGCCTCAGCCTCCGGAGTAGCTGGGATTATAGACATGTGCCATCATGCCTGGCTAATTTTTATATTTTTAGTAGAAATGGGATTTCACCATGTTGGCCAGGCTCGTCTCAAACTTCTGGCCTCAAGTGATCCTCCCGCCTCAGCCTCCCAAAGTGCTGAGACTACAGGTGTGAGCCACCCCACCCAGCCTCAAGGACAGATTTTTATAAGGCTCATTCTACCTCTAAGTTCTCCCTCCTAAGATGTGTTCTTCCAGTGGTGCCAACTAACAGCCTAGGATGTTTACTTGTTCCCCTTCTTGATAAGGTACTGAACTCCAATTGCCTCCTCAACCTAAGACTGCTGAAAACTTGGCTGATTTTCAGAGGCGTTCTGCTTAGTTTTTTTTTTAGCATCTTATCTTTGAAGCTCAGGAATTCAACATATCTCTTAAGGTGGGAAAATTCAGAGTATCTCATCTTTTCTTTTCTTTTTTGGAGACAGATCTTGCTCTGTTGTCCAGGCTGGAGGACAGTGATGCAATCATGGCTCACTGCAGCCTCGAATTCCCAGGCTCAAGTGATCCTTTCACCTTAGCCTCCTGAGTAGCTGGGGTCACAGGCACACACCACCATGCCAAGGTTTTTTTAAAATATTTTTTTATAGAGATGGGGTTCTCACTATGTTGCCCAGGCTGGTCTCAAACTCCTGAGCTCAAGCAATCCTCCTGCCTCAGCTTTCCAAAGTCCTGGGATCACAGCCATGAGCCACCATCCCCAGAGCTACTCACTTCTTTATGGCTTTTCTCCCAAATCTTGGATCTAAAAGTCCTAGTTACTTTGGTAGACAGAACAGCAACTTTTGTCTTTTCAGCCCTCTGAGACTGCTAGAGACTCTGCAGGTTTCTCTGCCTCTTAGCTAAGGCCCTTTGCCCAGATTCTCAGCCCTTCATCCTTCATCAAGAATAAGTAAGTAGGCTGGGCATGGTGGCTTATGCCTGTAATCCCAGCACTTTAGAAGGCCGAGATGGGTGGATCACTTGAGGTCAGGAGTTCGAGAACAGCCTCACCAACATGGTGAAACCCCACCTCTACTAAATACTAAAATACAAAACTTTTGTATTTGGTGGTGGGCGCCTGTAATCCCATCTACTCAGTAGGTTGAGTCTACCAAGCTGAATTGCTTGGACCTGGGAGGTGGAGGTTGTAAGTGAGCTGAGATTGTGCCACTGCCCTCCAGCCTGGGCAACAGAGTAAAACTCTGTCTCCAAAAAAAAAAAAAGGAATCAGTAAGTACCCTGGGGGAAAAGTTATTGGCAGAACTACCTCATCTCTTTGCTGTTTTCTTCTCTACAGAATCTTGGCCATACATGTCTTGATTGCCTAAACAGCTTTCCAAAGCCTTCCAACAGGTGTTGTTTGTATTTTCTCTTGCTTTTCTAGTTATTTTTCATAGGAACATTAATCTGTCACAGTTACACTATCAGACACATAAACAGAAGTTCCCTACTATTATTCTTGACAGAAATGCTTTGAGTAATCAGATTTGAATTCCATAACTACCTCACCAGGATACTATTTTTTAAAATGCACTTCCCACTATGTGAATCCTGCCTATTTTAAAAAGGTTCAACTAAAGCCAACAAAATATTGAATATAAGTATTCTGAAAATTACAAAGCTCTACAGAAACCCATTTCTTTTAGTCAGCCTTTTCTAATTTACCCTCAACTCAGTGATTAGTCCATTATCTGAACTTATCTATCCTACCTCGAATCCTCCTTGAGTGCTAAAAGAAAGCAGATGCTAGTGAGCAAAATATATAAAACATAACTAATTCACAGAACACTATGAATACTTACGTGTTTCCATTCATGTAGATAAGGAAGATATATCTTCCCATTTGCATCAACATGCTTTCCTGTTTTAATAGTCATTGAACTAGTAGGCTTAACAAAACAGATAGGGGGATTATATGGGTATGTGTCCAGTAGCCATAGGCATATTGGAATATTGTATGTATTACCTGAAAAAGAAATAGAAACTTCAGTTACTCTATTTTTATTATTTTTAAATTGAAGAATGGTTAAAGGAACAGAGGTTTAGTCTAGATACAATTTATACATATATCCGCATCCCCCCCATTCCTATTTCCCCCAGCAGAATTTATTTCCTGAGGGCAATAGCAAAGTCAGTAATCTTAAATTTTACTCAGTCTTCCCTAAACTTATACTTGCTTTATACAATGCTGATACTCAATTAACTGTTTTTTCCCTCTGTTTATTATGAATGGTTGACTTATTAATAGTGGCTCAAATGTCACTTCCTCTGTGATCTTCCCATGTGGCCTTGTTCTCCTCTGTAATCTCATAGCACTTTTTCATTTTATAATTCTATAGCAGTTACAGAATAGTGTAAATATCTATCTGTTCCCTTTGTTTCCCCTATTAGTGGAGTTCTTCCAGAAGAGGTACATCCTTTATTCATCTTTGTAGCCACAGCTCCTATCCTTATTGCCTTATGAATAGCAGGTACTATGTGAAATCAATGGGTAAAGGACATAGGTCTTAGCTAATTACAAGGAATAATTAACAAACAGAGCTGTCCAAAAACAAAATGGTCTCTCATTAAGCTAAATGCTTCCTCACCACTAAATATTTCAGCAGAGGGTGAAAGACAGGCTAACAGAGATCAATTATCTATCATTAGCATTATCACCAACATCACAACCATAAATAACAGCTACTTTTAACTGTCTGCTTATTATATTCCAGGCTCTGTGCCACGTCCTTTACATTCATTATCTAATAAATGCTCACTTCCCCCAAGTTAGGTACTATTATCCAAATGTCAAAGATATCCATATATAACATGTAACAAAACTGCTAAGATTATAGAGCAAGAACTCAAACATAACTCTGTCCTGACTTTGAAGCCTATATCTTAGCTTCCCATTGTCAGGAAAGTTTGAATGGTGTGGGAGGCTGAACTAGGAGGCAAGTAAGATCCATTTCTAGTTCTACAATTATTTGATTCAGTGAAACATTAAACTCCTCTGGTGAACTTAGGCACTTATTTGTTCATATATCTTGGTAAGGAAGTTTTAAGAAAGCTGAAAATGTTAGGTGTTACTGCCAAATGAACTTCAATTTGAATAGAAGTTAAAATCTATATCAGCATCAAAGCCCTGAGAAAGTAGGTTTAATTTGGTTATAACTCTTTGGCAACATATTTATTATGTATTCAAAATGCATCTATGCTGGAAACCTAATAAGACATTTACCTCTATAAGGCACAGGGATTGTTCCAGTGAGGTTCATTAGTTCCCTGGAACTGCCATCGTTAAAAACTGAAAGGAAAGAACAATGATTTAATCATGAGCATTTTTTAAGATACTCCCATAAGTTATTCTTTCAGAAAGACTGGTTAAAATTCATCATTATCCTTGAAAGGGGCTGACCTGTCAATGTATCATCCATCCTGTCCAATAACTAACAATTCTTTGTTGATTCACTCAATGTCATTGATCAGCTCTTTTTTGTTTTTTTTTTCAGAGTCTCATCCTGTTGCCCAGGATGGAGTGCAATGGCGCGATTTTGGCTCGCTGCAACCTCCACCTCCTGGGTTCAAGCGATTCTCCTGCCTCAGCATCCCGAGTAGTTGGGATTACAGGCACGTGCCACCACACCTGACTAATTTTTTGTATCTTTAGTAGAGATGGGGCTTCACCATGTTGGCTAGGCTGGTCTCGAACTCCTAACCTCGTTATCCACCTGCCTTGGCCTCCCAAAGTGCTGGGATTACAGGTGTGAGTCACTTTTAAAACTATTTAAAAATCACCATCGGCCAGGCGCGGTGGTTCGCGCCTGTAATCCCAGCACTTTGAGAGGCCGAGGCAGGTGGATCACCTGAGGTCAGGAGTTTGAGACTAGCCTGACCAACATGGAGAAACCCCATCTCTACTAAAAATACAAAATTAGCTGGGCGTGGTGGCACATGCCTGTAATCCCAGCTACTCGGAAGGCTGAGGCAGGAGAATTGCTTGAACCCAGGAGGCAGAGGTTGCAGTGAGCCGAGACTGTGCCCATTGCACTTTAGTCTGGGCAACAAGAGCAAAACTCCACTGCAAACAAACAAACAAAAAAACACTATCAAACAATACCATACTAAATGTTAACCTACTGTCTTTCTATTTTAGAGATGTGCAGACATTTATCCCTAGTCGCTCACAGTTATTTATTTATTATTGTTTTTTGGAGACAGGGTCTTGCTATGTTGTGCAGGCTATCCTCAAACTCTAGGCTCAAGCAATCCTCCCACCTCAGCCTTCCGTGTAGCTGGGACTACAGGCGTGCACTACCATGCCCAGCTTTTTTTTTTTTTAGAAATGGGGTCTAAGTTGTCCGGGCTGGACTTGAACTCCTGGACTCAAATGGTCTCCTGGCCTCAGCCTCCTTAGCCAGTATTAAAATGAAAAAAAGAAAAGTTCATAGCCAAATATAAACAATTTCTTTCAATCTGTATTTCTCATACCACACACATTTTTCTATCTATAATTTATGTCTATAATTAATATGGCACATAGTTTGTATTGGACAGCTATTATTTCTAACAATAATTTGGAATTAACACTATACCCATAGAGGAAAGGTTGTAATGTGCAGTACAAAAACATAGAACTATAGCCATCTACTGTGTAATGTTTGGGTCTACAATGGACTGCACATAAGAACACTGGTCCCATAAGATTATAATACTGTATTTTTACTGTAACTTTTCTACGGTTAGATACATAAATACCATTGTGTTACAACTGCCTATGGTATGCAGTACAGTAACATCTGGTATAGGTTGTAGCCTAGGAGCAACAGGCTATGCCATATAACCTAGGTGTGTAGTAGGATATACCATCTAGGTTTGTCTAAGTACACTCAATGATGAAATTGCCAAATAATGCATTTCTCAGACCATATCTCTATCACTACAAAATGCACGACTGTACATTCTTGACCTTTGTTATTTTACTTACTGTTGACGAATGTAAGCTATACCGCAATGTATTCTGATTTTGTGCATTTTAAAAAAGAAAACCACCTTATATAAATTTGGGGCTTTGTTTACTCTAAAAGTATTTGTTAACAATGATTTACACTTAGTCCAGCCACATGAAACTATACAAGACTTTATAATGGAGTCTTTGTCAGTTTTGATAAATGTATTTATTCTTTTATATGCAGTAAAAACTATAAAATTCTAGCTCCAACCATTTTTCTCCCCACTGAAGCCATTTAAAAACTAACTTTAATTTTGGTAATGTGAGGCCTTTGTAGTTCAAAATACCATTGTACATATAGTATGCAGACAGAAATAAGGTAGGCTGAGATGAGAAGGAATCGTGTCCTAGGTTTGGAAGAGGACTTTGGGTTCATGTCTTTATTGTTCAGGAAATGCAGAACTGATTGCCCCTCTGTTGCTTCCCACCTCTCTTCACCAGTTTCCTAATGTTTTCAAAGCCTTGGAAGCAAATGAAATTTAGAAAGTCTCAGCTACAAAATTCAGTTCCTTGCTTTCAGAGCTAAGGGACTCACAATGGACAAGCAGCAGCATGGGTTTTCCCTCGGCCCTGGCATATTATTTTCAAGGAGACAGGGTTGAAGAAATTATGTTAGGATTTGGTAGGGACAGAAAAGACTATTTTAAAATAAGGAAAACTCCAAGCGTTGTCTTGCCTTACAACTTTGTCTCAATAGAAAGTAGAGACAAACTGTTATGCTTACCTACTCTACAGAATTAAAGACCACATTAAATAACATTTTCCTCATCTATAAAATGAAAGGGACAGTCCAGAGTATAGTTTCGCAAAATGTGTTCCTGAAAATATAAAGAGACACTATGGGGGCAGGGAGGTTCAGCAGTTAAATAACTTTAGGATGTATTATACAATATATTCTTGCTCGTCTCGGTGATACACAACACATTAGCATACTAAAGGCTCTGATAAATCTTCATGCAATGAAACTCAATTTTGTTTAATCCATAAGTTGCTCAAGCTTAACTATAGAATTCTGCCTCTACCCCTGTTCCCAGCATAACTAAGGGTCTACAGACAACACTTTGGGAAATGGACTAAATTATCTTTAACATCCCCTCCTAGGTTTAAATTTGCATAGTTCTATGTTAGAGGTTTTGTTTTTTATTTTTTTGAGACAGGTTCTTGCTCTGTTGCCCAGGCTGGAGTGCAGTGGCCCGATCTCGGCTCACTGCAACCTCTGCCTCCTGGACTGCCTCCTGGACTCAAGCAATCCTTCCACCTCAGCCTCCTGGGTAGCTGGGACTACAGGAGCACCAGGCCAACTTTAAGTATTTTTTTGTTGAGACGAGGTTTCACCATATTGCCCAGGCTGGTCTCAACCTCCTGGGCTCAGTGGTCCACCCACCTCAGCCTCCCAAAGTGCTGGGATTACAGAAATGAGCCACCACATCCAGGTACAGTATTTTTTTTTAACATAAAAAACTAAAACTAAAGAAATATGAAATGTTTTTATTAGATCTTCTAATTTGCTACCCTCCAACAGTTTTATTAGGCGGTGGTGCAATCCCACAATTGAAAAATCCACAAACCTCAAATGGAAAAAATTACAATCATTAACAAAGAGAGTAAACTCAAAGTATAGAAATTGCTATTTTTACTGCATAAACTCACCATATGAATCCAAAACAGGTTTGAGATCTTTGTATAGAGTAATAACATTGACAGTTTCACGTACAGTTAGGTCTCTGTATTTGTACTGAAAAGCAAAATCGCATAAGAATTTAGTTTAAAACCAATGCATATATTTTACAGCTGGATGAATTTTCTTAAAATCTCTTCCACTAATTGTTAACATTAATGAAAGCCTGAAAGAACCTAAAAAACCCATAATACTATTATCACACTAAAATAATCACTATTTTCTTAACATCAGTAAATATCTATAGTCTCAAGTCATGTTTTTTATGTTCTCAGTTTGAATCAGGATCCAAATAAAGTCCACACATTGCATTGGTTAAAACGTCTCAATAATTTATATTATTTAACTCACCATTAATAGCTTTTTAAAGATATAATTCACATACCATATAATTCACACATTTAAAGAGTATAGTTCAATGGTTTTTAGTACATTTGGAGTTGTGTAACCACCACCATAATCAACTTCAGAACATTTTCACCATCCCTAAAAAGAAATCCATACCCTTTAGCAATCACCCCCCATTCTACTTGTCCCCAGCCTTCATCCTAGACAACCACGAATTTACTTTGTCTCTACAGATTTGCTTATTCATACAATGTGATCTTTCATGACTAAATTATTTCACTTAGCATGTTTTTGAGATTATCCACGTTGTAGCATTTATCTGTATTTCACTCCTTTTATTTATTTTGGAGACAGGGTCTCGCTCTGTCGCCCAGGATGAAGTAGAGTGGCACAATCACAGCTCACTGTAACCTCGAACTCCTGGGCTCAAGTGATTCTCCTGCCTCAGCCTCCCAAGTATACAGAACTACAGGCATGTGCCATCATGCCCAGCTAATTTATTTTTATTTTTGTAAAGACAGGGTCTTGCTATGTTGCCCAGGCTGGTCTCCAACTCCTGACCTCAAGCAATCCTCCTGCCTCAGGCTCCCAAAGTGTTGGGATTTACAGGCACGTATGGCCCACTTCTTACTGAACATTTTATTCACCTACTGTTCAGCTGAAAAATACTTAACTGATGGGCACATCTCTTTTTTGCTCCTTAGAATTTATTTCTTAAAGAAATTTGTTCATTTGTCCTACAGAGGCTCTCACAGTTTGGAATGTGTTAATTGTATCCCTTTAGTATAGTTTCATAGATATATGTTTCTGTGAGTTAGTTGGATCTAGAGGTTATTTTCATGATTACAAAATTTCCGGCCAGGCGTGGTGGCTTACACTTGTAATCCTAGCATTTTGGGAGGCCGAGGCAGGCGGATCACGAGGTCAGGAGTTCGAGACCAGCCTGGCCAACACAGTGAAACCCCATCTCTACTAAAAATACAAAAATTATCTGGGCGTGGTGGTCCGCACCTATAATCCCAGCTACTCAGGAGGCTGAGGCAGGAGAATCGCTTGAACCCAGGAGGCAGAGGTTGCAGTGAGCCGAGATCGTGCCCTTGCACTCCAGCCTGGGTGACAGAGCTAGACTCCGTCTTGGAAAAAAAAAAAAAAAATTTGCTTTTATATTTTTCTCCTCTTCTCTGGTAAGATCACTTCATAGAGGATAACGTTTTTTCATCATGGAGCACAATATATCTGAGTATCTCTGTGATATCAGCAACCACTGATGCTCAACGTCTAGAGACCTGGTCTCTTCAAATCCACTCCAATTAGGCTTCTACACTCAGCATTTCACTGAAATTGTTCATTAAGGTCACCAATAACTGCCACATGATATGTAATGACCAATTCTACCTTTGTCTTACTTCACCTGTCAGCAGTATTTGACCAAGCTGATTCAGCAATATTTGACCAAACTGATTCCTTTTTTTTTTTTTTTTTTTTTTTTTTTGAGATAGGGTCTCACTCTGTCGCTCAGGCTACAGTGCAGTGGTATGATCATGGCTCACTTCAGCCTCAACCTCCTGGACTCAAGTGATACTCCCACCACCGCCTCCCAAGTAGCTGGGACTACAGGCATGCACCATCACACCTGGATAATTTTTAAATTTTTCATAGAGACAGGATCTCACTATGTTGCCCAAGCTGTTCTCAAACTCCTGGAAGTGATCCTCTCAACTCAGCCTTCCAAAGTGTTGGTATTACAGGTATGAACCACTGCACCTGGCCCCTTCCTTTTTTTTTTTTTTTTTTTTTTTTTTGAGACAGCATGTGGCTGTCACCCAGGCTGGAGTGCGGTGGTGTGATCTCAGTTCACTGCAACCTCCACCTCCCAGGCTCAAGCAATCCTCCCATCTCAGCCTTCCAAGTAGCTGGGACTACAGGTATGCGCCACAGTGTTTGGCTAATTTTTGTATATTTTTGATAGAGCTGGATTTTAGCATGTTGCCCAGGCTAGTCTTGAATTTCTAGACTCAAGCAATCTGTCCACCTCAGCCTCCCACAGTGTTGGGATTACAGGCATGAGCCATCATGCCCAGCTCCCTTTCTCTTAAAACATGTTCTTCATTTGATTTCCAGGACATCAACTGTTCTCCTGCACTCTGTGCCTGTGCCTTCTCAGTCTCTTTGCTGGTTCGTTCTCTTATCCTAACCAATTATTATTGAGCACAGGCTAAGTCCTTGGTCTTCTTCTCTATCTAAACTCATTCCTTTGATCTCCCTCATGGTTGAAAATTAATTTATATGTTGAAACCCTTAAATTAAAATTTTCCAATCTTAACCTCTTCTCTGAACTCCAGAAAACATATATACAATTACCAATTTGACATTTCCCTTGGATATCTAATAAATGTCAAATTGAACATGACCAAAACTGAACTCCTCATCTTCTCCCCAAATTTACTTCTCCAGTGTCTTCCATATGTGTATACATACATATCCTTCCAGGTGCTCAGGCCAAAAACCATGACATTATCCTTGATGCCCTCTCTTTTCTTCACATCCACAGCAAATCTGTCAAAATATCCTGTTAGCTTTGCCTTCAAAATACATCCGGAATCTCCACAGCTACAGTCCTGGTCTAAGCCACCAGCACCTCTCACCTAGATTACTGCAACAGCCTCCTTACGTGTCTCTGCCTCCATCGTTAACCCCCTACAGTCTAGTCTCAGCATAGCATCTAGAGTAATATTGCTAACAGCTGAAACACAGCAACGGCTTTTCATCATACTCCAAGTAAATGCCAAGGTCCTTACAATGGCCTGCAAGGCCCTCCAAACCTCCCATACCATTGATGCTGTCTAGACCCATACCACCACTTTCCTCCCTTGCTCACTCCAGTCTAGCCACCATACCCTCCTTTGTTGTTCCTCTATCATGCATGACAAACTTCTGTCTATGAGTCTTTGCATTTGTTTTTCCTTCCTTCTGAAATGTTCTTACCCCAGATTGTTCCAGGTTTGTTTTTTTCTTGACAGGATCTTGCTCTGTCACCCAAGCTGGAGTACAGTGGTGTGATCACAGCTCACTGCAACCTCAAACTCCTGGGCTCAAGTGATCCTCCCATCTCAGCCTCCCAACCAGCTGGGATTAGAGGTATGCACCACGCCTGGCTAATTTTTTTATATTTTTAGTAGAGAAGAGACAAGGTCATGCTATGTTGCCCAGGCTGGTCTGGAACTCCTGGCCTCAATGTGATCCTCTAGCTTCCGCCTCCCAAAATGTTTGGATTTCAGGTGTAAGCCCCATGTCAAGCACACAGTTTCTTTACCTCTCTCAGGTGAGCTCAAGTAGATTTTTTCAGAAAGACCTCTCTTTACTATCAGATATAAAACGGTGACTCATCCCATTTCCACACCCTAGCATTCCCCATTTCTTCCCTGCTTTATTTTCTCTAAAGCACTTATCACTTTCCAACGTACTTCTTGATGTATTTATTGAGTTGTTTATTGCCTTCTATAAGAATTTAAATTCCAGAAGCACAGTTTCTTTGTCTGATTGTTCACTGTTGCATCCCTAGAACCTAAAACAGTGAGGGACATATCAATCTTTATTTTATTATTTTTATTTATTTATTTGTTTTTGAGATGGATTCTCGCTTTGTCACCCAGGCTGGAGTGCAGTGGCGTGATCTCAGCTCACTGCAACCTCTGCCTCCCAGGTTCAGGCAATTCTCCTTTCTCAGCTTCCCGAGTAGCTGGGATTACAGGCGTGCGCCACCATGTCTGGCTAATTTTGTATTTTTAGTAGAGATGGGGTTTCACCATCTTGGCCAGTCTGGTCCAAAACTCCTGACCTCAAGTGATCCGCCCACCTCAGCCTCCCAAAGTGCTGAGATTACAGGCATGAGCCATTGCACCTGGCCAATTTTGTTATAGTTTAAAATGTTTATTTTTTACTTTTTGAGACAGGTTCTCTGTCATAGCTCACTGTAACCTTGAACTCCTGGGCTTAAGTGATCCTCCTGCTTCTGCTTCTCAAGTAGCTAGGACTACAGGTGCAAGCCACGAAGTCTGGCTGATTTTTAAATTTTCTGTAGAGACAGAGTCTAGCTATGTTGCCCAGGCTGATCCTGAACTCCTGGCCTCAAGTGGATTCTCCCATCTCTACCTCCCAAAGTATTGGGATTACAGGCATGAGCCACCACACCAGGCCCACAGTTTTCTTCTACTCATTTAGCAGTGACTGTGCCTCTAGAAATGCTGTAGATAAACTATGTAAAAATATAAGTGGCTGTATGTATGAAACATCTAAAGTGGGAAGTTGTTTCTGTAAAAGAAGAAGGACTAATCTGGTATAAATATATCTGTTAATTGCAAAAATAACAGAGAAAGGTGTTGAAAGTTATGTTGAAGTTGGGAGCTAAGATAATGCTCAAGGGAAAAAAAGACCTTTTATAATAAACACATAAAACATAAGGCAGGTGGCCAGAGTACCATGATGTGTGTGGAGAGCCTACAATCAGATAAAGAGAAAACAATAATGACCTTCACCCTAGCTATGTGTTCAGGGTCCTGGCTAACAATTCTTACATCAGACCACACCAGCTGAAAGGAAAACATTTGAAGCCCTTCTTTAGGAGGAAGGAGCCCCACAACTGCTTCTATTACTTTACTTCCTATTCTTACCTGTCTAAAATTCATAGGTTGGACAGTACTAATGCTGATGCTCAGAATCGTCATAATCACATACAGGAGTCTCAATTTTCCAGATATTGAGTCAAGGACCAAAAGGCAGGTAGGATGCCCTCTCCCACCTCTTCCCTACCTCTGTTTTTGTTTCTAAAGTAATCACAGGTTGGGTGGAGGGGAAGGCAGGTAGAGGTATAAAATATCTTCTGAACATGCCTTGCCTTTGTCTTTGATGGCAGGTTTCTCTAGGGAAGCTTAGGAAACTTAATTAGGGTATAAAAAATAAGCTAATATTTGAATATTCTTGCTCTTTATATGAATATACATACATTAAGGAATAAATCTTTTTTTTTTTTTTTTTGAGATGGAGTCTTGCTCAGCCACCCAGGCTGGAGTGCAGTGGCCTGATCTCGACTCACTGCAACCACCGTCTCCCAGGTTCAAGCGATTCTCCCATCTCAGCCTCCCGAGTAGGCTGGGATTACAGGCACCCGCCATCATGCCCGGCTAATTTTTGTATTTTAGGAGACGGGGTTTCACCATGTTGATCAGGCTGGTCTTGAACTCGTGACCTCAGGTGATCCACCCGCCTTGGCCTCCCAAAGTGCTAGGATTACAGGCGTAAGCCACTGCGCCCAGCCCAAGGACTAAATCTTAATGACTATGCTATCAATTTAAAGATCAAAAATGTCATGGAGGCCAGGTGTGGTGGCTCACGCCTGTATTCCCATCATTTTGGGAAGCCAAAGCGGTGGATCACTGAGGTCTGGAGTTTAAGACCAGCCTGGCCAACATGGTGAAATCCCGTCTCTACTAAAAATACAACAATCAGCTGTGTGAAGTGGTGGGCACCTGTAATCCCCAGCTACTTGGGAGGCTAAGGCAGGAGAATCGCTTGAACCTGGGAGGCGGAGATTGCAGTGAGCCAAGATCGTGCCACTGCACTCCAGCCTGGGTGACAGAGCAAGACTCTAAAAAAAAAAAAAAAAAAAAAAGAGTCATGGAACAGATACTCTTCAGTTACATACTATGTAAAACAATATACCGTTTTTTTCAAAAAGTGATATATAAAAGTTACAACATGGATCTTTACCTGGGTCACAATCTTCTATGGCTTCCCATATGTCTTCTATAACTAAGGATAACAAGTTTATCAAAACAAAACCAAGAAGCCTAAAATATACGATTACACAACCAATATATGCTTTATTTTGAAAGCTGTCATTTTCTCCTTAGAGATTATTTGGTCTTCAATCAAGAACTATGGGGGCGATTTAACTGGAAAAAGTCTGTTTTTAAAAAAGTTTTACACATAATAGTGTGTTTTATTAAAAATTGAAACCGCTTAAACCGCTGATTGCTACCATTCTTGCTTTGACAAAACTATCCCAAGCTAACACGTTGAACTGGTCAAGACTCAACTCTCAATCATTTTACATAGTTTTGGAAAATTACAACAAAACATAACAAAAGCCATTCCACTCTGGTGTGAGGTGCCACGTTTGAAGTAATTATATAAATAAATCATGGCTTTAAAATACAAAATGCTTAACTGCTTTTTTAAAAATTGAAAAAAAAAACACTAGTCTTGAGCCGTGAAGATCATAAATTAAGCTCAAAGCAAATAAATACGCGTTATAAGAAGCATACACTTAAAAGTAGTTACTCTTAGAAAATCCCTGAAATGGTAATGGTATGTATTTCACCTGGGGCAGTAAGGGACTGGTATTTTCGCTTCTTTTCTGGAGAATACAAAACTGAAAAGGCCACACTCTCTGCGGGTCGGCAAAAGAAAGGCTAAGACTGGAGGATCCCTAGATTGGGACAGGAGTAGAGGATTGCCTCAGATCTACAACTAAGTATGATCCCTTGTTTGTGTTTATAAAAACAAACGAAAAACTACACTGCCCCACAGACAGCTCCAAACTCAGTGGAAGAGAGGAGGGCGGGTGGGCGGCAGGTGTCAGGTAGCCTCCGCTCCACGCCTTTGTTGACTGTCGCCGTCCCCCACCCTCCCAGCTCCCGTACGGGGATTCCCGCACCAGGCGACAGGCGCCTCGGGGCGGGGTTCTGAGGAGGTCGCTAAGGACTGCACCGGGGCTTCCGGCCCGTCTGGGAAGCTTGCTTGGCTGGGCCGGGACGGACTCGACAGGGCGCGGAAGGGAGCGGTGGGCGCGCCCTGGGAGGCGAGCGCGTCGCAGCCTCACCTTGGACACCATTTTCTTGAGCTGGCTCTCCGACACCGCCATGACGGCCGCCTGGCGACTCCCTTCCCCGCAGGCAGAGGGTCAGCCGCTGCTGGGCTGCCCCAGACCGTCCCACACAATCGCACACCCCCAACCCGGCCTCAAACAACAGGAAGTCGGCACCACTACACCACTTCCGCTTCCACTACGTCACTTCCGGGCCGCCGTCCTGCGGGCAAGGGTGGACACCGTGTGGGATTGAGAGGGGCCTGGTGGGGTGGGTTCCAACCAACCCGCCCCTCGAGTGCCGGAATCAGCAGGACGAATCGGGTCCCAAAGATGTGGGCAAGACTGTTCCGAGGGTCGAAACTCTGGTTCAGGATAAGATTAGCAGGTATTTCACAGAGTCGACTTAAGGAAGCTAGTGCCGGAGAGGGAAGAAGTACGAAGGGCTTGCCAGTGAGCCTTAATGACTGATTGATCAAGTGGGAGGGCACTGCACTGGCGGTCAGAGAACTGTTCTGTCACTGACTTGCTCTTGTGATAATGGTAGGCTAGTGCATTTCTAGCTCAGGCGCAAATTTCTCCCGACTCTAAAGTCATACACTTGCCTTAGATGATGCCCAGTGGTCCTCTAATTAATGATTTTTTTTAAGCTTAAAGACCTTCATACTATACGTTGGCAAGGGTAAAGTGTAGAGCCTTTGTTTCACAAGAAGCCAGATAGTAATTTCTTCTCCAGGAAATCATTCCGTAAGTCAGAATTTCTCCTCTGTACCCACCCATAAATGATAATACAGGCCGTATTTTACCTGGTGCTGTATTTGTGTACCTGTCCGCTGTCAAAATCCAAGCCCTTGAAGGCAGGCTTCCTTCAGATCTTCATTGCCTTGCACAATGCAAGGGTAGGTACTTCCATCTTAATTGAATTTTTACTTCCCATAAAAATTCTTCATGGTGACTTACATTAGTCATCATTACACATCACCGTCAGTTTTGTAAGCACAGTGTCATTCAAGGTATTGTAAAATTTTGAGTTTGATGATGTGTGACAGTTTCAATTATTTTAGTACAGCCCTAATGAGAACAAGGCCGTAGTATTGATTCCCTTCAAAGTTGGCGTCTAAGTGAAGGTCACATTCACAAGGAGGGCCTAACTGAAAGCATGTGGAAGCATCATTATAAACTGTTGCTAACACGCACAAATAAAGGCTATTAATAGGTATTGTTTTTCTTTTTCTTTTTCTTTTTTTTTTTTTTTTGAGTCACTCTCACTCCATCGCCCAGGCTGGAGTGCAGTAGCACCATCTCGGCTCACTGCAACCTCCGCCTCTGTTTTTCAGCTCCTTAGTTAAGCATACAGCTCCAGTCAAACCAAACTAGAGGTCTGTCTGTCCTTCCATTTTACTTGCTGTTTTATGTCTTTTAAAAGCAAGAAGGTTTTCAAACTGTTCTTAAAGCCACGGCTTAACCAGGAGTCCCTTTAATTAGAGCAACTGTACCTTTGTGAGTTGGAGGAATGCCAGGTAATATATATTATTTATATATTTTATAAATGCAACATTTATAAATATTAAAATAAATTTTACATATATATATATATATATATATATATATATATATATTTTTTTTTTTTTTTTTTTTTTTTTTTTTTGAGACAGAGTTTTGCTCTTGCTTCCCAGGCTGGAGTGCGATAGTGTGATCTTGGCTCACTGCAACCTCTGCCTCCCGGGTTCAAGCGATTCTCCTGCCTAAGCCTCCCGAGTAGCTGGGATTACAGGTGCCCACCACCACACCCAGCTAATTTTTTGTATTTTTAGTAGAGACAGGATTTCACTATGTTGGCCAGGCTGGTCTGGAACTCTTGACCTCAGGTGATCCACCCGCCTCAGCCTGCCAGAATGTTGGGATTACAGGCGTAAGCCACTGCGCCCAGCCCATTTATATATTTTTGTTGCCCAGGTCATGGTGCAGTGATGTGAACATGGCCCACTGCAGCCTCGACCTCCCTGGCTCAAGTGATCCTCCTGCCTCAGCCTCCCATGTATATTGGGACCACATGCGTGTGCCACCATGCCCAGCTAATTTTTAATTTCTTTGTAAAGATGAGGTCTTACTTTGTTGCCCAGGCTGGCCTCAGAACTCCTGGGCTCAGGTGATCCTCCCACCTTAGCCTCCCAAAGTGCTGGGATTACAGGTGTGAGTCACTGTGCCCAGCAATATATTGTTTAAAAAAGCTTTCTTGCTGCATGTTTACTATCAGTCTTTTGCAATCTTTTAGGGTCAACACTATACCTCAATATAAAGTGTTAACTTCTTATCTATTTCATTGGAACCATGGAGGATTGAATGTGTGTGGGGAAAATGTCTTTGTGGTTTTAGAAATATGCAAAATCAGTTAATTTTTTAATGTGAAGGTAATAGTAGTTGAAATGCTTTTGAAAGTTGCTTGCCATTTCAACACTAAAGATGAGTTTTTTTCCACTCATTAGGCATTTTGATTTCTATCCTCACGTATATTAGTGGAGAATTTTAAATCCTCCGATTATCACAGATGAAAACACAAATAAGCTGATGGTGCACCTGCAGTCCCAGCTACTCCATTGGCTGAGGCAGGAGGATTACTTGAGCCCAAAAGTTTGAGTCCAGCCTGGGCAATATAGTGAGAACCTGGCTCAAAAACAAAAAGATTTAAAAAGTTTTCTTGCTAAAAATAATTTTTAAAAGTTTGAAAATGATAAAATCTAGTCTCTTCATTTTACACAAAATAACTAAATATCCTGGGTACTGTGTGAATTATATGAAAAAAATTCCTTAATCTGAATGTTTCACTTAATAAATGAAGCATCTCCTGGTGATTTTAAAATCAGTTTATTTTACTCATTATTCTTAATATTTAAGGAAAACAATGTAAAATGGGAAAAAATGTATCTTCTGCTACATCAAAAAAGCATTTTAATCCAAACCCCACTAAAAATTATAACAAGCTCTGCATGATTTCATAAAAATGAAAACATGAAAGTTAACAAGCATTGAAAATGCCAAATTATCACAAAATCATAGGGAGGTGGTGGTGGTGATATTGCTTCTTGACTTACACTGGGATTTACAACATGATTACTAATACACTTAACACTCAAGGAAATATCTGATACAGAGAATTACTTCTACATTGTGGCCTTCCAGAGGGCAAAGACTATTATTCATCTTCGAATAGTCAAATTCTAACACAGTATTTGGAGTAACAGTAGGTGTTAAATAAACATTTGTTGTATTGACATGTTCCTTTTATAATTAATGTAATGATTTCTTGGTAATTTATTATACAATATTTTCTGGTTAGATTATTGTTCAAAAGCATATTACATATTATCTAACTTTAATTAGATATCAAATATTAGAAAAGGCTAGTTTTAAAAACACAAGAAATAGTTCTTTCAGTTTTACTTTCCTATTTCATAAAAAAGGACAGTAAGAATACATTGTTAGAGTAACATGAACTAATTCACGTGCATATTGAAATTAGATAGAACTAAATGCTTTTCTCTTCAAATGTCCAAGGTTTTTATTCAGTTAACTCTGGTTGGAATCTTTCCAAGCATATTAAATAGTTTTCTGCTTTCCTAACATGGGTTACTGAATATAATTTCACCTTTTCTTTATGACTAAAGTTCATCATTATAAGCATTCCTTATTACACTAAAACAGCATTAGTTTGCCTATTTCCTCTTTACTAGGATGTGTCTGCCCTTATAAACCCTCCTAACTCCATCTGGATTAACCTATTATATGCTTGCTTTATTTTTATTTTTTTAGAGACAGGGTCTCACTCTGTTGCCTAGGCTGGAGTGCAGTAGCATGATCATAGCTCATTGCAATCTTGAACTTCTGGGCTCAAGTGATCCTCCTGCCTCACCCTCCTGAGTAGCTGGAACTACAGGTGCACATCACCACACCTGGCTAATTTTTAAACTTTTTTTTTTTTTTTTTGAGACGGAGTCTTGCTCTGTCGCCCAGGCTGGAGTGCAGTGGCGCGATCTCTGCTCACTGCAAGCTCCACCTACCGGGTTCACGCCATTCTCTTGCCTCAGCCTTCCGAGTAGCTGGGACTACAGGCACCTGCCACCACGCCTGGCTAACTTTTTGTATTTTTAGTAGAGACAGGGTTTCACCATGTTAGCCAGGATGATCTCAATCTCCTGACCTCGTGATCTGCCCGCCTCAGCCTCCCAAGGTGCTGGGATTACAGGCGTGAGTCACTGCGCCTAGCCCATGTTTGTTTTTTATAAAAGCATGCCCTTACATGAGAATGAAAGTAATCCTTTCATGGTGTACAGGACCCCAGCTTTAGGGTCTTTTGATAACTATTTTGGCTATTAAGCCTTTTCCCCCTTTTAGTGCCTAGAAAAAGTAGAGGTTGTATGGATAAGTGCCCCTTAATAGCCAAGACTTCTTGAGGACTAAACCTCAATTTCCTTTTATAAAATGATGATGGCAATAGTCCCTACCTCAGTGGTCTGTTGTGAGGATTCAGTAAAATAATAAAGTGCTTATCATGCTGCCTGGTATATATGAAGTGTTGATGTTAACTGTTACTATTAGTTGTATGTCACAATAGTAATAATAAGCTATCTTTCACATAAGAAAATATTGCTCTTGATCCATCACCAAAGTGTGTGTACTCTGAACTGTATCATCAGGAGAGGTTAAAGGATTTGCTCAGAACAAATAAAAAACCTCTCCCTATTATGACCAATGTTTTTAATGAAAATCTCATATTTTGGCTTTAAAGTAAGGTGCTTGGCTTTCATTCATAATCTATTTCCACTAAAAATATATATTTGCTTATGGTTCCACTAATATCACAATTAGTTTATGAGATGTTGGAGATCTTGTAATACTCCAGGAAGAGGTTATGGAAAATTTCATAAAGGAAGTCCCACTGGAAATTAAAGTAAACTTTTAATGCATATATTTTAAAAATTCACTTTCCATTTTACTATTTTAAAGTGCATGTAAAATTCTTTTCCATTTTTTGGTAGGTAATTAATTTGAAGAAGGGAAATACAATGCTTTACTATTACTACCAACAGGATTTTACACAAGAAACATTAGTAACTTAAGCTGTGGATCCTGTGAATGTACAACTGACACAGATTTTGTAAATCCATACTGGGCCTGGAACTTATGTTGATTATAAAAGTCAAAGGGTAATTTTCTTTTAAAGATATATTACTTATAAAATATTCCCGAAGTATGAATTGTGCTTTTAGTTTAGGATATATGATTTAAATTGATGCACACTGCAGATGAATGTTTACCCCTGCTGTAGATTTAAAGAACAGCATAGATATCTCAAGAACCCCAAATAAAATTAATTTTTCCCCTCCTTGTATAACTCCTTAAGGATTTACATCACAAAGCTAATCAAGAAACCCTCTACTTTAACCAAGCAGTTTGTAAAAGTAAGTAGCAGGATACAGAAATCCTCAAACCTATATATAGGTAAAATTAAATGACTTTTCCCTTTAGGTAGAAGTCCAGCCTCTCAAATTGCATTTGAGAATCAAAGTTTTAACTGTTGTTGGAGACTGTGGATTGAGGATGCACTGCTTTGGAGTTTCTCAGTAACTGTATCTTCTTTCAGTGTGGTTTTGATAACTTCAGATACTCCATTGGTTCCAAGGATGCAAGGCAAACTTAAAAACACTTCACTATTTATATCATAATATCCCTGAAATGAGAAAAATAGGGATTTAATAGAACTAAATCATTGCAAAGAAGTTAATACAAAAATGCATACTTTCTTGCTTTCTTAACTAGGACAAAGTGATACAAGTTGGACTTAAAAAAATTTTTTTGTTCATTTACTTATTTTATTTTTAGAAGTCCAGACCTCACAATCATTCATTGATTCTATAAACTTGTTATCATTTCAGAAAATTTTTGAGAGATGGAAGCAACTTGGTCAGACACCCACTTTGTAGAGAAGCAAGCTAGCCCCCCCTGCAATATGGGTAGGAGGTTGGGGGCTAAGAAAAAAGATAGTTAAGAATGTATTTCCTGGGGAGGGGCATGGGATGGTCTCTGGGCACAGTCATGACAATAGCTTCTTTAAAAAATAAAACAACTGGTACCATAAGAGTGTGTATTTGTGGGGTACATGTGATATTTCAATATATGCATATAACATGTAATGATCAAATCAGGGTAATGGGGCTATCCATCACCTCAAACATTTATCATTTATTTGTGTTGAAAACATTCCAAATGGTCTCTTCTGGCTATTTTTTCTTTTCTTTTCTTTTCTTTTTTTTTTTTTTGAGATGAGGTCTCTCTATATTGCCCAAGCTGATCTTGAACTCCTAAGCTCAAGTGATCCTCCCACCTTGGCCTCCCAAAGTGCTGGGATTACAGGCATGGGCCACCACACCCAGCTTCTTCTAGCTGTTTTGAAATGTACAATAAATTATTAATAATCACACTCACCCTACTGTGCTGTTGAACACTAGAATTTATTCCTATCTATTTTTGTACCCATTAACCAACTGCTTTTCATTCTATCCCCCAACCGCAGCCTGTGGTAACCAACACTCTACTCTCTACCTCCATGAGATCAACTTTAAAAAAAAAAAAAAAAGCTCCCACGTGAGTGAGAATATGTGATATTTGTCTTTCTGGCACATAAATCTGGGGTGACTTGGCTGGCTGAGATGATAAATGACAGTCAGAAGAAATTTATGGATATATAAACACTATTTGGGGGTTACATGAGTAAGAATATGTGATATTTGTCTTTCTGGCACATAAATCTGGGGTGACTTGGCTGGCTGAGATGATAAATGACAGTAAGAAGAAATTTATGGATATATAAACACTATTTGGGGGTTACCAAAAATCACATGAGGGTGAGAAGGCAACCTGATAGAAGTCCACACTTTTTTTGTTTGTTTGTTTTCGAGACTGAGTCTCGCTGTGTCACCCAGGCTGGAGTTGCAGAGGTGCTCACTGCAACCTCCGCCTCCCGAGTAGCTGGGATTACAGACATACGCCACTATGTCTGGCTAATTTTTGTATTTTTAGTAGAGAGGGGTTTCACCATGTTAGCCAGGCTGGTCTCAAACTCCTAACCTCAAGTGATCCACCTGCCTCGGCCTCCGAGTGCTGGGATTACAGGCGTGAGCCACTGCCCCCAGTCAAAATGTTATCTTTGGAGACAGGGATTCGCTGTGTTGTCCATGCTGGAGTCCAGTGACATGATCATGGCTCACTGCAGCCTCAACCTCCCAGGCTCAAGAGATTTTCCCACCTCAGCCTACTGAGTGGTTGTCACATGCCTGGCAAAGTTTTGTTTTTGTTTTTGTAAAGTTGGGGTCTCACTATGTTGCCCAAGCTGGCAGACTTCTCATAGCTAAGCAGGATAGGGCTTAAACTAAACTGCCTTCTCCTACCTGTTACTCTAAAAGCTGGTGATACTGAAGACACCTGGGGTTAGAGTATGAATAATGATTTTGTTAGTTTTGTATTAATAATATCTAAGTTTAAAATATAATAAGAGAATAAGAATAGCAATTACCTTTGCTAAAGCTGATACAGAATGCACTTTCTTCTTATTGTTTACAATACTGTCAACCATGTCAGCTACTGATAGTCCAACAGACCAGGATCTTTGACCTTTTACTCTTAGCAGTTCCATGGCTCTAGGTTACAAAAATACGTGATCTCAGAAAATGCATAAAATATGCACATTTAGTTTTACATTCTGGCTAAGGTATTAATTAGATGTTTCTATGACAGAAACAAGAGTTATGCAGCAATTGTTAGGGAAGCCTATAGATAATCTAATCTAATGTTTATTTAAACTTTTCCTAAGATGTCAGATAGGCAGTTCAAAGAAAATACAAATGGCCTAATAACATAAAAAATGTTCACTGCCATTGATATTTAACCAATATGAATTAAAACAATAAATACCAATTTGCCTATCGATAATTGGCAAAAATTAAAAAGACTGATAACTAATTTGGAGAAACTGTAAACAGGCATTCTCATAACTGCTATTGAGAATGTAAAGTGATCTAACCTTTTAAGAAGAAGATTTGGTAACGTCTGATCTAGAAATTCCTCTTCTAGGCATTTATCTTACAGCAGTATGCTCAAGTGTGCAAAGATGTACATAATAAGCATGTCTGCAATATTTGGAAACAACTCATCAAAAGAGGACTGGTTAAATCACTACCAAGCGTAGTACCATGTAGCTTTTGAGAAGAATAAGGTAGATTTACATGTACAATGTGCAAAAATGTCTGAGATTTCATCATTAAGGAAAGAAATGAAGTTGCAAGATAGTATGGATAGCATAAATCTATATTATTATACATTTGTAGAAGCATTGAAAAACAATTTTTTCTTTTTAGAGACAGGGTCTCTGTGTTGTCCAAGCTGGTCTCAAACTCCTGGGCTCAACTGATCCTCCCATTTCAGCCTCCTGAGTAGAAAAAAAATTTTTTGGACATGTGGACACTAAATTGTTAAAAATGGTTGTCTCTGAAAAATGGAATTACCTTAGCTTTTTCTTTTAATATTTTATAGATATCTGCAGTATCTGAAGTTTTATAATAAGCATACATTCTTTTATAAATGATAAAAATACATAAACACTTAAATTTCTTCCTTTTAAAAAGTATAAATGCAGGATTGTATAATCAGATTAGAATGAATTATACCATACACTAATCTTCTCAAGAAAGAGAACACTTTTTCCAGTTGTTATATTCTAAAAGTCATAAGCTGATGGCTTTGAAAGCTAAAGATCACCACCTCTCAGACTTCAGGAAAATGTTATATGACGGTGAAACAACAAATGCCATGAGTATAAATTCTGTGTAGAGTCCTGCCTATGCGGTACAGACCCCTGGAAGGCCTCTGGATAAAAGCAAAAGATACAAGGATCTGTGTGTTACACTTTTTTTTTTGCCTGAACATATAATATGGCTTATCCATTCATATTAGACTGATTTCCAGTTCTATTTGTGTGTGATTAATAGATATTCATTTTTAAGTGGTGTGGACAAATTATCTTCTACATTAAGAAAATTGTTGGCCTGGCACGGTGGCTCACACCTGTAATCCCGGCACTTTGGGAGGCCAAGGCGGGTGGATCATGTGGTCAGGAGATCAAGACCATCCTGACCAACATGGTGAAACCCCGTCTCTACTAAAATACAAAAAATTACTGGGCATGGTGGCGCATGCCTGTAATTCCAGCTACTTGGGACACTGAGGCAGGGGAATCGCTTGAACCCGGGAGGCGGAGGCTGCAGTGAGCCGAGATCGCGCCACTGCACTCCAGCCTGGTGACAGAGTGGGGCTCAGATGTTTAGGTAGAGAAGCAGTAAATCACTGTCTACAAATAACATGTTTTACCATTTAAATGTCAACTGTGTTATCTGAAAAAGCTTGCAAAGCACTCTTAGATCTACCTTCAGATAAGAAATCAAAGAATATAAAACACTGCTCCTTTATACTTTTGGGTTTGTCCATATTAGTTTTGTTTCCAGAAGCCTGGTTAAGTACATACTGTATAAATAGCTGTTAGCTATGAAGTAAATGATTTTTCGTTGGATAAATGCAAATTTCCAGTCAGTGTTACCTGTTGGACAGCTGCACTTGAGAGGTATGACTCACTACTTCTTCTTGGCCACTCCATGTGAGCACTAAAATTAGATGAAGAATTAATTATGTTTTGCCAGTGACTCTTTGGATTAAGATGTGATAACAGATCTTTTGGAGTCAAGGGTACCTGTGCTAATATTTATATAGAAGTTTTCTCATTTCTAGCAAGTTAGATTTTTCCACTGGATAACAATGAATGTGCTGTACCACTAGCCCGAGGTGAGGAAAACTCTGAACTACAAAAAACATGATCCCCAAAGTCTGCTTGCAGTCTCCTTACCTGTTTTCTCTCATCAGTAACAGTTCTGCAAGGGCCATTTTACTATCTAAGTAGAAACCTATAAGCACTTGACATTTGTTCTGCTGAGAAATGCACTGAGACTAATTTCACCAGGTAGGGAATAATCTGGTCACCTATTTTGGGCTAGAATTTCCACAGCTGTTACAGAGGCAGAGAATCCTGTTCCTTTTTTTTTTTTTTTTTTCAGATGGAGTCTTGCTCTGTCGCCCAGGCTGTAGTGCAGTGGCATGATCTTGGCTCACTGCAACCTCTGCCTCCCGGGTTCACGCAATTCTCACGCCTCAGCCTCCCGAGTAGCTGGTACTACAGGCACATGCCACCATGCCCTGCTAATTTTTGTGTGTGTGTGTTTAGTAGAGACAGGGTTCACCATGTTGGCCAGGCTGGTCTTGAACTCCTGACCTCGTAATCCACCTGCTTCGGCCTCCCAAAGTGCTAGGATTACAGGCTTGAGCCACCACACCCAGCACCAGGGTCCTGTTTTCTAAAAGAATCTTCTGGGTTACCCATTTCCTTTTACTACATCATTTACAAAAACAATTCAAAACTTCAAAGCTGCATACACAGACTGGAAATTTCTTTATATATATATATATTTTTTTTTTTTTTTCTTTTTCTTTTTGAGACGGACTCTCGCTGTTACCTAGCCTGGTGTGCAATGGTGTGATCTTGGCTCACTGCAACCTCCGCCTCCCGGTTCAAACAATTCTCCTGCCTCAGCCTCCTGAGTAGCTGGGACTACAGGCACCCGCCACCACACCTGGCTAATTTTTGTATTTTTAGTAGAGATGGGATTTTGCCATGTTAGCCAGGCAGGTCTCGAACTCCTGACCTCAGGTGATTCACCCACCTTGGCCTCCCAAAGTGCTAGGATTACAGGTGTGAGCCACTGCGCCTGGCCAGACTAGAAATTTATATCACACTTTAATATTATTATTATTATTATTATTTGATACACAGTCTTACTTTGTCACCTAGGGTGGAGTGCAGTGGCACACTCTCAGCTCACTACAACCTCTGCCTCCTGGGTTCAAGCAATTATTCTACCTCAGCCTCCCAACTAGCTGGGATTACAGGTGCCTGCCACCACACCAGGCTAATTTTTGTATTTTTAGTAGAGACAGGATTTCACCATGTTGGCCAGGCTGGTCTTGAACTCCTTACCTCAGGTGATCTGCCTGCCTTGGCCTCCCAAAGTGCTGGGATTACAGGCGTAAGCCACTGAGCCGAACTGCACTTTAATATTAAATTGAAGTTGCCAGTAACATTTTGAAACCTTTCCAATGTTCACCTGTTTCTCATCTGTGTGAAGAGATTGTTTGGTACAAATCTGTACATATTTGAGTAGGCAAAACAAAAATACTTGTGGCTATAGAATAATATGTTTAAGATACAAGAATTCTAAACTACATTCAAAATTAGACCACTTAGTCATGTGTCAGCAACAAAGGACCCCATATGTATCCAGATGCCTCCCTTCCTCAAACTGATTATAAGCTCCCAGAGTGCAGGGACCATGTATTATTCTTTTGTGTTCTCTTGCACATATTCTTTTTTTTTTTTTTTGGAGACGGAGTCTCACTGTGACCCAGGATGGATTGCAGTGGCACCATCTCGGCTCACTGCAACCTCCGTCTCCCAGGTTCAAGCGATTCTATTGCCTCAGCCTCCCAAGTAGCTGGGATTACAGGTGTGCGCCTCAGACTCCCAAGTAGCTGGGATCACAGGTGTGCACCCCCACGCCCGGGTAATTTTGTATTTTTAGTAGAGACGGGTTTTCACCATGTTGGGCAGGCTGGTCTCAAACTCCTGACCTCAAGTGATCCACCCGCCTTGGCCTCCCAAAGTGCTGGGATTACAGCTGTGAACCACCATGGCTGGCACCTCTTGCACGTATTCTTTACCATGGTGTTGGGTACACAATCGAGGAAAATACAAAACCTCTCGCATGATTCATAATTATATTTGGTAACAAAGGGGAAAACATACTTGCCATAGTTAAGTTGAAAAACAGAAAAAGGGCCGGGCGTGGTGGCTCACGCCAGTAATCCCAGCACTTTGGGAGGCCGAGGCGGGTGGATCATAAGGTCAGGAGTTCGAGACCAGCCTGGCCACCATGGTGAAACCCCCATCTCTACTAAAAATACAAAAATTAGCCAGGCGTGGTGGCGCATGCCGGTAATCCCAGCTACTTGGAGGCTGAGGCAGGAAAATCGCTTGAACCCAGGAGGCGGAGGTTGCAGTGAGCCGAGACCGTGCCACTGTGCTCCAGCCTGGCAACAGAGCGAGACTCTGTCCCCAACCCCCCCAAAAAAGAAAAAGAAAAACAGAAAAAGTTTTATAAGTTTTTTTTTTTTTTTTTTTTTGAGACAGTCTCGCTCTGTTGCCCAGGCTGGAGTGCAGTGGTGCAATCTCGGCTCACTGCACCACCTCCCAGGTTCAAACAATTCTCCTGCCTCAGCCTCCCGAGTAGCTGGGACTACAGACGCCAGCCACCCGCCCGGCTAATTTGTATTTTTAGTAGAGACAGGGCTTCACCACGTTGGCCAGGCTGGTCTCGATCTCCTGACCTTGTGATCCACCCGCCTCGGTCTCCCAAAGTGCTAGGATTATAGGCATGAGCCACTGCACCCAGCCAAAAGTTTTTGTATAAGAAAAAAACACAAAACCATGAACTGTTATATGAAAAATATAAATACATATGGACAACTTAAGGGATTTTTAAAATGTTTTACTTAGATAGAAGGGTGATAGGTGGATTACTTTAAAAATTTGTTACATTGGGCGGGATGTTTTGAAAATTGTGTTTTGGCATGAATGTTTTACTTAGATAAAAGGGTAATAGGTGGATTACTTTCTTTAAAAATTTGTTACATTATTTGTATGAACTTACTTAACTTGGCAAATTAAGGAAGGCTTCCTGGGAGAGGTGGCACTCAAGCCCAATCCTAAAGGGTAAGCAGGAGTTAGCCAAGTGAACGAGTTCAGGGAAAGGAAGCAGCAGTTGCTAAGTTAAGGAGGCATGAGAGTGCATAAACCATTCAGTAAACTGCAAGTCAACCACCTGACTAGCATAGAATGCCTGGGAGAATGGGAGACGATGAAGCAGGAAATAGACCTAAAGGTCTTGTATGTCATGTGATTCCTCCCTAGGCTGTAGCTGTCACTTGTCTCTGAAATACTTGAAGAGGATATTTTATTTACACAATTGTTACTCTTATATCTGTTTCCAAATCCTAATGTTGCTTTACTTCAAAGAGTTATTTTACATGTTTTTTGCCAATTTTCTATTCATCACCATCTTGCCAATCACTGTAATAATAGCTACCATTTGCTGAGCGTTTGCTGTGTGCCAGATACTGTACTAAATGCTCTAGATACATTATCTTAAGTGACAGCAAGGAAGAGCACAGCTTCAGAGTCAGATCAGGGTTCAAATCTCAGTTCTGCCCTTCACAGATATGTAACCTTGGGCAAATTACTTATCTCATTGAGCCTTAAGTTTCCTCATACATAAATCTGGAAAACCACTACCTCCTTCACAGAGTGTTTATAAAATTTAAATGAGATATGCAAAATATTTAATACACATAGTAGGTACAATAAAAAATAATTATAATTGCAGTTACTGTGATGGTATCACTTATGCAAAAGTCTAAACAGTTGGTATCTATACATGAAACCAGCAGAGGGAGCTTCTAATCCATTTCTGATACCAGGACCAAGGTAAATATACCTATCCATGGATATAACTAGCTCTTCAAGAAGAGTAGAAGACAGAATAAAAAGTGATCAGATGGTACTTCTAGAAGGCAGACAGGGAGATAGACTGGGGAGAACTACATAGTTAACTTCAGTATCAGTAATGTTCTTGATTGAGTATGGATTCATACGTGCTCAGTTATGTTTTAACACTGGCATTATGTGTGTCAAATATTACATAATACTACATTTATGTGATCTCAATTTGCATGCACCTACATCTCTCTATTTCTAGTTCCAATTTGAGACCTCAAGACAGAATTACCACATCTCTTCCCTGTGGTTTTATCCTACTTCCCTTGGACCTCTCTCAGAGTACAGCCTTCCAGTCATTTCCAGTATTAGACTCAAAGTTTCCTAAAGACAGGGTCAGGTTCTTACACATCTATATAGTTCTAACAGCAATCAACACAGTGTTTATTGAGCAAAGCAGGTGGCCAATAAATGTTTCTGAAAATAAATTCCTACATTTGGGATAAAAGGTCATTTAATCAAATACAAACTGCTTTTTGGTAGGTTTTAAATTGTTCCTCTGAAGAGCTCACAATTAACTTCTATTAGATTGTTTTTTTCCTTCACCCAGATATACTAGGTTAGGGTAAGTGGTATATTTATCACATCACATCAGCCTGTATTTTCTCTTTATGAGACTTAAGAAATTAATACAACCATATTTCAAACATTCTTACTCATTCAATATTTATTGTATATCAACTATTCCTCAAAACTTGTAAATTAGAGAGGCTGGTTAAGTAAATTATGGTATATCCAGTAGTTAAAAAGAATGAATGAGCTCTATGTTACTGTGCAATCATTCCATAATCATTGGTAAGTAAAAGGGCGAGGTGGAGAATGATGTATGATGTCTATTTCACATGTGTGCTTGTCTATACACAGAATATTTCTGGAAGATTATAAAAGAGACTGATAACTGTGATTGTCCCTAGGAAGAAGGATTGAGTGTCTGGCATCTAAGGGAGACTTTTCACTGCATATCTTTTTGTACTTATTTTTCCAGTGTGAATGTACTACATTTTCAACTAAAATAACTTAATAATTTGCACTTTAAATAAGGAGAAGGTCACACACAAAAATCAGATAAGAACAAGCAGCAGGACAACAAAAGTAACATGATGAGACAAGATGTAGTTTATTACCTTATAGATTGAAATAGCTTTAGCTCAAAGGAGTGAAGAAATCACTGTGAAGTGATGTGATCAGGAAAAAACCTTTATCATATAAGGGATGCTTGACTTAGACCTTGAAAGATGTCAATAAGATGGCCGAGAAGGCAAAGGGATTACAAGGGAGGTAAACAAAGTGAGTAAATGTCCCTGTGGCAAAGCTGTGGGGTGGGCCTGGGAGACACAAGACCTGGGTGCTAGTCCTTTGACCCTAAAAGCTGTAGGCTTCCACGCAGGTCACTTTTACAATGCCTGCATTCACTGGCTCCCTAAAACAAAATGTAATAGATGGTCCCTTCCAGCTCTCTAATAACGTGGCTATCTCCCTAACTATAATTGGGAAGAAAGATTAGGGTTATATTTTGGGGGTCCCTGAGTGCCAAGCAATGCAATTTAATGGTTTGGTCAGAGGAAGCCTCTGAAAGTTTTTGAAAATAATAACATGTTTTAGGAAGATTGAATTAATATGTGAGAGCACACAATAAACATTCTATAAGTTTTGAGTAATATTATTATTATTTTCACATCATTTACCGGGTAGACTAGAGGGGAAGAGGCAAACTAACCATGAGATGTGCAATAACCAGGCAAGCAAGAGATCAACATGGACCAGAGGGTTTGGTCTATGTTGGGTTTTGAGTTTGAATGAGCCATGAATTTCAAATGTATTCAAGTAATGAATGAATGGAGACATTCATTACTTGAATACATTTGCTCCAAGTTCTTGTTTGCTACCCTTTTCCAGGGTCCTGTTGATTAGTGTGTAGTGTCAGGGAGCATTTGGAG
This sequence comes from Homo sapiens, assembly GCF_000001405.40. Lineage (NCBI taxonomy): Eukaryota > Metazoa > Chordata > Mammalia > Primates > Hominidae > Homo > Homo sapiens. Next base: position 18,542,462 of record NC_000011.10, read on the forward strand.
CCTCAAAAGTATTTTTGCTCAGTCATGCTGTCGGGTTTTTTAAGGGTTTATTGTATAGCCTGACTCATTCTAGCACTGAGCCTTCTAGTAGCCAGTGCAGATTTTTACAGATTTAAAATACTGTTATATTTTATTAAAATGCTTTTCTTAAAAATTATATAAATACTACATATTTTTACTACACAGAAAACTATAAATTTTTAAAAGTTACCTCTAACCTAGATATCATCAATGTTAATATTTTATTTTAATGGCATCAAAGTATAGATGACACTTTAAATTCCAAGGAAATAGTTTTGAGAGGGTGATTTGCTTTGTGGAAATATGGTTTGACATCTATTTAACTTTTTAATGTGCATGGTCTTTCTCTAACTCTTCAATTAAATTATTACCTCCTCACCGGCAGAGGAGTTATTTTCTTTTCTTTTCTTTTTTTTTTTTTTTTCTTTGAGACTAAGTCTCACTCTGTCGCCCAGACTGGAGTGCAGTGGTGTGATCTCGGCTCACTGCAGCCTCCGCCTCCTGGGTTCAAGCAGTTCTCCTGCCTCAGCCTCCTGAGTAGCTGGGACTACAGGCACGTGCTGCCATGCCTAGCTAATTTTTGTATTTTTAGTAGAGACGGGGTTTCACCATGTTGGCCAGGATGGTCTCGATCTCCTGAGCTTGTGATCCATCCACCTTGGCCTCCCAAAGTGCTGGGACTACAGGCGTGAGCCACCACACCCAGCCCAGAGAGGTTATTTTCTATATCATGCTCTACCTTGCAGCACTTACATGCTGAGTGAAGTTAACAGTAAGTACTTCAAATGATGAAGTAATGACTAATTTTCCCCAGATCACTTTCCAGCTCTTCGATCGGGTATTCACAGATCTTCAAAATGTAATTTCAATTAGATTTATCTCATTGAAACCTTCTGCAACAACTAGTCCACATTTTTTATCCCATGAACATGCCATACTTAACTTCGTGCTTTTGCCTAATTCTGATTTCCCATTCCTGGAGTGTTTTTCCTATTGTTCACTATCTATTAAAATCCTATTCATTCGTCCAAACTCCAGTTCAAACTCCAGATGGCCTTTATAGAATTTTCTCTAGTCATTTCAGCCCATGTTAAATGCTCACTCATAAGTATCTAAGCACTGTAAGTGTATAGTACTCACTTTGGCACTTACTCTAATAGTATACTATTATCTTTATTTTACTCATATACTTAAATGAACAAAATCAGGGTGAACAGCACTTAAATCACTGACCAACCTGGCTTTATAGCAAGAGAGAAACAATAAAAGAGTAAGGGAAGAGATTCTCAAGTTAAATAGGGAAAGCATTCTTTTGAAATAGGAAAAGGAGCTTTCCAATACAGGAAACTGAATGCCTTCTGTGGGAAAGAGCAAGTGGCTGGAGAAAAAGGCCATAGGGATAAACAATGAGTGAAAACTCTGTTTAAAAAGAAGCAGACAGAAGGCATGTATCTAGGGAGAAGGTCTGAACTTGGGAAAGGTAAGCAAGGTTGAAGGGTGGGAAGAGTAAAGGAAAGAGTTCTATATATGCTTTAAGGTTTATTTAAATGTTTCTTTCTGGAAAATTAAATTTTTAAATTGATCCTGAACTCTGAAATTCAATTTAAAAATATAAAATCCTACTAAGCGGTCTTGTCTAACCTTAAACTTACAGAAAAGTAATTACAACGAGAATGACACATATGAGGAATTTATTCACAATATAGGGCCTGTTATACAGAAGGCACACTCAAATGTGGAACAAAGCCAATTAAGCCCACAATTCTGGAGTCCTCAGATATATGTGAATGCCATGACCACTGGCAATTTTGGTTGTAACTAATAATAATGTACTTCTTTTTTTAGCGATGGGGTTTCACCCTGTCACCCAGGCTTGAATGCAGTGCTGCGATCATGGCTCACTGCAGCCTTGACCTCCCGGGCTCAAGTGATCCTCCCACTCAGTCTCCTGAGTAACTGGGACTACAGGCATGCACTACCGTGCCTGGCTAATTTTTTATCTTTTTGTAGAGATGGGGTCTTGCTATGTTGCCCAGGCTGGTCTTGAAGTCCTGGCTTCAAGCAATCCTGCCTTGGCCTCCCAAAGTGTTGGAATTACAGGCATGAGCCACCACACCCAGCCTAAAAACGTACTTCTTACCTTTGTCTTCTCCTTGCTCGCCAATAACCCATACTTCTTTGCCTGAAGTCTGTGCCTTCAAAACATTTGTAATAATATACTGTAATCTCTGTGAATCCAGATTACATCCAATTCCGATCACTCGATTTGCAGGAAATGTACTCAGTTTCCATGTTACATAGGTCATGATTTCCACTAAATATTGCATACAAGGTAAAAAATGTAAAGGTTAAAAAATATATACTTCTAGCCTAGCTCACAAATATTTATTATTTTAATAAGTATATTAGGTCCTCAATGCACTGAGGCATTATATGTATATATATACACACACACATATATACATATATATACTATATATATACACATATAATACACACATACATACACACATATATATACACGTATGTATATATACGTGTATATATGTGTGTGTATATCTATCTATATCTATATCTATATCTATATCTATATTTTTTTTTTTTTTTTGAGATGGAGTGTCGCTCTATCGCCCAGGCTGGAGTGCAGTGGCACGATCTCGGCTCACTGCAACCTCTGCCTCCCGGGTTCCAGCAATTCTCCTGCCTCAGCCTCCCGAGTAGCTGGGACTATAGGCACCTGCCACCATGCCCAGTTAATTTTTGTATTTTTGGTAGAGACGGGGTTTCACCATGTTGGCCAGGATGGTCTCGATCTCTTGACCTCATGATCCACTTGCCTCGGCCTCCCAAAGTGCTGGGATTACAGGTGTGAGCCACCGCGCCCAGCCCATAACATATTTTTAATGTACATTAGAAACACTAACAAGGTTTCAACAAGATACATTTTACTGTGTTTTGTTTGTTTGTTTGTTTGTTTTTTGAGATGGAGTCTTGCTCTGTCCCCCAGGCTGGAGTGCAGTGGCATGACCTGGGCTCACTGCAACCTCTGCCTCCCAGGTTCAAGGGATTCTCCTACCTTAGTCTCCCTAGTAGCTGGGATTACAGGTGTGCACCACCACACTTGGCTATTTTTTGTATTTTTAATAGAGGCAGGGTTTCACCATGTTGGCCAGGCTGGTCTCAAACTCCTGACCTCAGGTGATCCACCTGCCTCGGCCTCCCAAAGTGCTGTGATTACAGGCGTGAGCCACCGTGCCTGGTCAAATTTTATTGTTAAATATAAATTGTCAGGGGTAGAAAATAGATAATTCCTAGAACAGTTAAGTGAGGATAAAAACTGGTACAAAAAACTAAAAAATAATTTCTTCTTATTGATCGAGTTTTCTTTTACATCTATCTATCTTAAACTGAATTTCTATCTTTAAATTAAAATACTGATTCATATGCCACCATGATTCAGTGTCGCATTATGAATGAAAACACAACTACTTTTTTCTTACATTCCAAAAGCATGTCGAGAATTAAAGAGATCAATGTCCCTCAACAAATTACTACAAAAAAACAACTGAAATGCATACAATACCTCTACATTGGGAACATTTAAAAAAAATCTGTTCACCAATTTGAGCCCAGTACAAACTAACTCTTTGAAAATATTTCTATTTTTGAGTACGACAGTTCCAAAACAACCTGCAAAATACAAAATGTTAAAAATGCACTCTGGCATGCTAACATTTTTGATACTTCAGAATTAACAAAATATCATGCATATAAGTCATTGCATTTTTCTCTTGGGAGTTTAAACATCTTCTCACTGAGGAAGGTATGGCTTAGAACCTAGAACATAATATCATATTTCATTAAAAAATTGTATGCTGGAACCTTCTAGATAATGTTAGTCATAACAAGTAACTGGTTGCCAGAATATTACACTGTTTATTATATAGGCAATTTTGCTGAATATTCTAGCCATCTCTTTATAATTTAAAGGCTTTTTTTGTTTTGTTTTTTATTTTGTTTTTGTTTTTTTTTTTTGAGAGAGTCTCACTCTGTCGGCCAGACTGGGGTTCAGTGACACCATCTTGGCCTCACTGCAACCACCATCTCCGGGGTTCAAGCAATTCTCCCACCTCAGCCTTCCAAGTAGCCGGGATTACAGGCACCCGCCACCATGCCTGGCTAACTTTTGTATTTTTGGTAGAGACGGGGTTTCACCATGTTGGTCAGGATGGTCTGGAACTCCTGACCTCAGGTGATCCGCCCGCCTCAGACTCCCAGTGTTGGGATTACTGGTGTGAGCCACTGTGCCAGGCCCTAAAGTTTTATGGTTTTTATCAGTAATGGCAATTCTACTGATGTACTGGACCATCAACTTAATTTAAAATAAAGCATTTTACCTGGTTGAGATGCAACGAGCAGGACACTGTGTTGACTATAATGTCCCAGAGCTGGGACAAGGGCTCTGAACATATCCACATTGCTCTGTACCACATCAAGGTACGACTGAGAACTACCCAAAGAGTTGACTGTGAAGATCACCACCTTGGAATGAGCAGAGGCAGACAAATCTAGTGAATGAAAAGAAACAGTCTGAGCTGAAGATACAGGCTTTAATCAAGTTCTAGTTCACGATTAAAAGGTTGTTCTTTTCAACAAATAAGAGAGCTTTTAGGCACGCCTCCCCATAAATCAACCCCAGATCCACAAAAGCATATAAAATGCGGAGGTTTGCCTCCAAAAAGAGGATTAAGAGTAAGTGTTGACTGGGTGTGGTGGCTCATGCCTGTAATCCCAGCACTTTGGGAGGCTGAGGCTGGTGGATCACTTGAGGCCAGGAGTTCAAGACCAGCCTGCCCAACATGGTGAAACCCTGTCTCTACTAAAATATAAAAATTAGCCAGGCATGGTGGTGTGTGACTGTAGTCTCAGCTACTCAGGAGGCTGAGGCAGAGATTCAGTTGAACCCAGGAGGTGGAGGTTCAGTGAGCTGAGATCTCGCCATTGCACTCCAGAGTCTCGTGACAGAGTGAGACTCTGTCTCAATAAAAAAGGAAGAGTGTATCCCCAGGGGGGAAGATAGCAATAGTAATAATCAAAATAAATTATGGGATCTAAAACCTACAAACAAGAACTGAGTTTTTTATATAAATTACAATTTTTAAAGGAAAATAAATATTATGCTATAGGCAAAATGAACCTACCATCAATTACACCATTGGTTCCTAAACTGTGAGCTTAGGTGCCCTAAAGTTCCTTGAAAGAAACTCAGAGGCCATCAGGGAGGAGTGGAAATAAGTAGGAAGAAGGCTGGTAAGTATAGCTCCAGGCCACTTACTTTGGCCTATCCAAGCAGAATAGTGGTGCTTTTTAAAAATCTGTTTTACTTATTAAGGATTCTACTCTAAAGAGTAGTTCAAAAATCTCTAAATTAAATATCTTGGCTTTTTTTTAATAAAGAGACAAGGTCTCACTATATTGCCCAGGCTGGACTCAAACTCCTGGGCTCAAGTACTCCTCCTGCTTCTGCCTCCTGAGAAGCTGAGACTTTACCACACCTGCCTCTTGGATCATTTTAAACTGACTTTTCTTATACAGAAGCCCAGCTGTCCTTGGATAACTACTTCTTCCCATGGGAACTACAGGTAATCAACTGTTATGACTTAGGAAAAGCTAGTCTATGGAGTTCACTCTGACTCCAGAGCACCTTTGACCCTCCAGCACACGTTATGCTGTTACAACTATATTACTCTCCATTGCACAGTGTGTTTTACAGTAAGTACATGCCCAAACCGTGGCCAGATGTTACCAACATCAGAAATAAGAGAACCATAATAAAGTAATTAGAATGGCATCAGTCCAGTCAACATTTACAAATGAATATTAGCCTCCCAGGGAGACAGTAGACTCCATGGTTTATATTCCTAATTAAGCCTCTAAGGCCATCTTTCTTTTTTGTTTTTTGAAATGGAGTTTCGCTCTTGTTGCCCCAGGCTGATGTCCAATGGTGCAATCTCGGCTCACCACAACCTCTGCCTCCTGGGTTCAAGTGATTCTCCTGCCTCAGCCTCCCAAGTAGCTGGGATTACAGGCATATGCCACCACACCCAGCTAATTTTGTATTTTTAGTAGAGACGGGGTTTCTACATGTTGGTGAGGTTGGTCTCGAACTCCCAACCTCAGGTGATCCACCCACCTCGGCCTCCCAAAGTGCTGGGATTACAGGCGTGAGCCACCGCACCTGGCTAGGCCATCTTTCTAAACAAGTTTCAGAAGGAAACACTTGTGCAATGTGTCCACTGGGAGATGCATTATCTAATTTTACTTCCTATTCTGATACAGTTCTAGTGATGGTAGATCTAAACACTAAGTCCTAGATTTTAATTATGGTTCTTCATGAGTCCTCTTAAGTAATTCCTATGTTGTAGGATTCACAGTAGATACCTGGTGATGAGTCAAAACCTCAAGAATTAGAAGACATTAGAACTGGAAGGGATATACTTAACAATTCCATATGTGTCAAACACTGTTCTAACAGTTCTCCATAAATTTATTTGTTTAATCTAATCAACAATACACAATGGAGTATTTTACAGATGAGAAATCTGAGGCACAGAGAAGTTAAATAAACTGCTCAAAGTCATAGAGCTGAAGTGTAGAGCCAGAGGTTAAGCCCATGCAGTCTGACTTCAAAGTGCTATTAAACACTATGCTACATTTAGAAACTTAGTCCTACACCCTCATAAGGATGAGGAAACTGTTATGTGGAGAGGTTAGGTGGTCTGTCCATATTATGAAATATTAGTGGACAGTTCAATTTATAACTCTACAATCTGGCCCCAGGCTATTGTGATTATTTCTTTTCTTTGCTCCTTTAGCTTCCTCATCTTCAAGGTTGACTTAGGAGTAAACATAGTAGTGGCTACCTAATATGATTTCTTTTCTTTTTTGTTTTGAGACAGGGTCTCACTCTGTTGCCCAGGCTGGAGTGCAGTGGTATGCAATCTCAGCTCACTGCAACCTCTGCCTCCCGGTTTCAAGTGATTCTCCTGCCTCAGCTTCCCTAGTAGCTGGGATTACAGGTGCCCGCCACTGAGCCCGGCTAATTTTTGTATTTTTAGTAAAGACAGAGTTTCACCATGTTGGCCAGGCTGGTCTCGAACTCCTGACCTCAGATGATCTGCCTGCCTTGGCCTCCCAAAGTGCTGGAATTACAGGCGTAAGCCACTGTGCCCAGCCCCTAATATGATTTCAAAAGTACAAGAAAGCCTTCCTACTCCCAAAGATTTTCCCATCAAGCTCTCGGGCCTTTTAATCAATTCCTCTGAGTTTATTTTTTATTTATTTAATTTTTTTTTTGAGATGGAGTTTTGCTCTTGTCGCCCAGGCTGTAGTGCAATGGTGCCATCTTGGCTCACTGCAACCTCTGCCTCCTGGGTTCAAGTGATTCTCCTGCGTCTGCCTCCCAAGTAGCTGGGATTACAGGTGCCCACCACCATTCCCAGCTAATTTTTGGATTTTTAGTAGAGATGGGGTTTCACAATGTTGGCCAGGCTGGTCTTGAACTCCTGACCTCAGGTGATCCACCTGCCTCGGCCTCCCAAAGTGCTGGGATTACAGGTGTGAGCCACTGTGCCCGGCCTCCTTTGAGTTTAAAAGCCAGTATTTCTTATATTTTAAAGTTTTCTTTTAGACATGGGGTCTTGCTATGTTGCCGAGGCTGGATTCAAATCCCTGGGCTCAAACAATCCTCCAGCCTCAGCCTGCCAAGTAGGAGGTACTATAGGTGTATGCCACAGCACCCAGCTCAGTATTTCTTTAAATTCTCCTACATAAACTTGTGATGCAGGCTGAATTGGTCTATACTCATTCCCTAGAATATCTACCTAATTTTCCTGATACTGGCTTTTGCTCAAATTCTCACTGCACTCACCACATGTTTGACAAACATCTGCTTAACTGTCTACATCAAACATATTACAAGCTCTGGGGGAACAGGGATTATTTGTTTCTTACTCATCTTTCCACCTCCAAGATCTAGTCGCATAGCAACTGGAACATTTCCCCCAGCTTTCTGCCAGTCCAAATCTCTCCAATCCCAGAAGAACCAGCAACTATCTCAATCCTAATCAGTTGAAAGCAATCTCTGTCTCCACCCAACTTCGAGTCCTCACTGTCTGGACCACTCTCTTGGCATTAATCACATAGTGCCTCCTCACTCTCTTGTCATGAATAACTGTTTATATATTGCATGTGTCTTTTTATCTAAACTTTAAGCTGCTTCTGACCAAATAGAGTCTTCCATTTCTATCAATCTCTTGCAGCAGTTCTTAAATGCTAGGCTAGGTGCCTAAGCCTAACCTGGGAAGCTTAATAAAAATGCAGATTAGCCCATGTTCTGAAGATTTTACTTAAATATATAAGGGGAAATAGCTTCCAGAATGCAAACCCCCAGATGATTCTGATGCACAGCCAGGTTTGGTTAGCATTGCTCCACAGGCAACTAAGTTCCTTGTACCTGGCACTCAAAATCTTTGACTTTTCAAGTCTTCCCTTACAAGTTGATGATTTAACAAGGGAAGAAGATTATACAGTTATAAAGAGAATTAGAAAGAACTTTAAGCATGATTATTAAAGCTATAAATTACAAGGTTAAGGATCAGGATAGGCCGGGTGCAGTGGCTCACACACGTAATCCCAGCACTTTGGGAGGCTGAGGTGGGCGGATCACGAGGTCAGGAGTTCAAGACCAGCCTGGCTAAGATGGTGAAACCCTGTCTCTACTAAAAAGAAATTAGCCGGGCGTGGTGACACGTGCCTGTAATCCCAGCTACTCAGGAAGCTGAAGCAAGAGAATCGCTTGAACCTGGGAGGAGGAGGTTGTAGTGAGCTGAGATCGCGCCACTGCACCCCAACCTGGGCAACCGAGTAAGACTCCATCACAAAAAAAAAAAAAAAAAGAGGATCAGGATAAAAGTTCATTCGACAATAATGAATTCAACAAACCCCTACTAAGGTCCTGTCATGTCACAGGTAATGTGTTAGGCCCTAAGAACACAAAAGTGAACATGATATTGTCCCTACTCTATATATCACACAATGTAGTACAAGGGTTAGTAAGGAGGGCTTCAGAATGAGACCGCCTGGTTCAAATATGAGTTGTCCCACTTAGACATTAGCATAATGCTAAGTTTCCTCCCATGCCAAGAACTCAGTCAGCATCTGTGTTACCAGGACACAAGCCTCTCACCTCTTTCCCATTTCTATAGGTAGCCCAGAAAAAACTATATCCTTCCTGCTAAGCCAAGGTCTACAACCTAAACCAAAGGCTGGTCACAGTTATACTAAGGGATGATCAAATCAAGTATGTCAAAAGACCCAGTAAATAATATTTCATGCTTTAATATACTACTGTTCTCGGATTATGAGGCCAATGTTATGATGAATGAAATATGAACTCATTTTAAAACACTGCTGATTATTTAAAATACTGAAAGACCAGGTAACTCTGTATCAAATAATGATGGGTAAATACCGTGCAGACCTACTGAAATATTCTAGCTACTCTATCAGTCTGAATATACTGAAGACACTACACATATTTTCATTTATCTGGTATATCATTAAGCCATTCTTACGGTACTAAAAATTATTGAATATACTCTTTTCAAATTATTTAATATGACCCAAAATTTTAGAAATGTGTGTTCTCTCATACTAATGATAATGACCCTTAATCTAGAAAACTGTGCTAAAATTATAGCTATTAAAAATCTTCCTGAAGGCTAGGTGCAGTGGCTCACGCCTATAATCCCAGCATTTTGGGAGGCCAAGGCAGGTGGATCACTTGAGGCCACGAGTTTTGAGACCAGCCTGAGACAACATGGTGAAACCCCGTCTCTACTAAAAATACAAAAATTAGCCAGGTGTGATGGTGTGCACCTGTAATCCCAGCTACTCAGGAGGCCGAGGCAGGAGAATCACTTGAACCCAGGAGGCGGAGGTGGCAGTGAGCCGAGATGGCACCACTGCACTCTAGCCTGAGCAACCGAGCGAGACTGTCTCAAAAAATGAAAATAAAAATTAAAATTAAAAAATTAGGCTGGTCACGGTGGCTCACGCATGTAATCACAGCACTTTGGGAGGCTGAGGTGGGCGGATCACCTGAGGTTGGGAGTTCAAGACCAGCCTGACCAACATGGTGAAACCCTGTCTCTACTAAAAATACAAAATTAGCCAGGTGTGGTGGCACACAATTGTAATCCCAGCTATTCGGGAGGCTGGGGCAAGAGAATCGCTTGAACCCAGGAGGTGAAGTTTGCAGAGAGCCAAGATTGCACCACCGCACTCCAGCCTGAATGAGTGAGACTTGGTCTCAAAAAGAAAAAAAATTAGGCTGGGCGTGGTGGCTCACCCCTGTAATCCCAGCACTTTGGGAGGCCAAGGCGGGTGGATCACGAGGTCAGCAGATCGAGACCATCCTGGCTAACATGGTGAAACCCCGTCTCTACTAAAAATACAAAAAGTTAGCCAGGCATGGTGGCATGCGCCTATAGTCCCAGCTACTTGGGAGGCTGAGGCAGAAGAATCACTTGAACCCAGGAGACAGAGGTTGCAGTGAGTCGAGATAGCGCCATTGCACTCCAGCCTGGGTGACAGAGTGAGGTTCCGTCTCAAAAAAAAAAAAAAAAAAAAAATTAGCCGGGCATGGTGGCGTGCTCCCGTAATCCCAGTTACTTGGGAAGCTGAGGCAGGAGAATAGCCTGAACCCAGGAAGCGGAGGTTGCAGTGGGCCACGATTGTGCCACTGCACTCCAGCCTGTGCATCAGAGCAAGACTCTGTCTCAAAAAAAAAAAAAGAAAAGAAAAAAGAAAATACAGTCACTCATATGATGGAATATTATGTAGAACGTTTTCAAAGAAATAGAGTTACTTAGAGCTATATGTACTGTTAATAAACATCTTCAAAAGTGTAGAATTAATTCCTTAATAAGTTAAAGATCAAATTACCATATAATCCAGCAATTTCACTTTTGGATATACATCCAAAAGAACCAAAAAGAGGTATTAAAAAAACTGGTACATGAATGTTCATAGTAGCACTAGTTACAATAGTGAAAAAGTGCAACCCGATGTCCATTAACTGATAAATGGATAAATAAAATGTGCTATATCCATACCAAGAAACATTAGCCACAAAAATGAATGATGCACTGACACGTGCCACAACATGGATGTACCTTGAAAACATTATGCGAAGTGACACAAAAGTCACATACTATATGATTCCATTTATATAAATTAGCTAGTAGAGGAAAATCCACAGAACAGACAGATTAGTAGTTGCCAGAACCTGGGAGAAGGGAAAATGGGGAGTAACTGCTCAATGTGTACAGAGCTTCCTTTTGGGGTGGTGAAAATGCTGGAAATTAGTGGTGATAGTTGCACAACATTGTGAATGAGTACCTAAAGTCACCAATGGTAAATTTTATGTTATGTGTATTTGGGCACAATAAAAAGATAAAAGGATTTAAATATATATACTATTATATGCAAAAAACAAGTGCAAAATCAATTCCCTCGGTCTGACTCCTAAAGCAACTACTCTTAATAGTTTCTTTTTTTTTGAGACGGAGTTTCGCTCTTGTTGCCCCCAGGATGGAGTGCAATGGCACGATCTCGGCTCAATGCAACCTCTTCCTCCAAGGTTCAAGCAATTCTCCTGCCTCAGCCTCCTGAGTAGCTGGGATTATAGGCATGCACCACCACATCTGGCTAATTTTTGTATTTTTAGTACAGATGGGGTTTCTCCATGTTGGTCAGGCTGGTCTCAAACTCCCGACCTCAGGTGATCCTCCCGCCTCGGCCTCCCAAAGTGCTGGGATTACAGGCGTGAGCCACTGTGCCTGGCCATTTTTTTTTTTTTTTTTTTTGAGACAGAGTTTTTACTCTTGTTGCCCAGGCTGGAGTACAATGGCACAATCTCAGCTCACTGCAACCTCCGCCTACCAGGTTCAAGCGATCTTCCTGCCTCAGTCTCCTGAGTAGCTGGGATTACAAGAACCCGCCAGCATGCCTGGCTAATTTTTTGTAGTTTTAGTAGAGATGGGTTTCCACCATGTTGACCAGGCTGGTCCTCAACCCCTGACCTCAGGTGATCCACCCGCCTCGGCCTCTCACAGTGCTGGGATTACAGGCATGGGACACCGTGCCCAACATCTTAACAGTTTCTTAGTATTTCTCCAGATTGTCGGTATATACACAAGCATAAGTGTGTATGTATGTATCTGTATGTAAATTTTCATGCTCATATGTATATATGTATATCCCTCCCCAAAATGTTATAGTAGCTATTAAAAAAGACATCAAATGATCAGTCAGCTGCAGTCATCTATGTGTGTTACAATGGGGCATTACTAAAATTTCCAAATGAGCTTTAATTCCCCGAATTATTGATGTACTTCGCCATATCTCAGAATATATTCATGAGAAGTCAGTTAACATTACATTTAAAATTACTTCATCTAAGGATGGTTGCAGTGGCTCATGCCTGTAATCCCAGCATTTTGGGAGGCCAAGGAGAGAGAACGGCTTGAATCCAGGAGTTCAAGACCAACCTTGGCAACATAGTGGGACCCTGTCTCTACAAAAAATGAAAAAATTAGGGCCAGGTGCGGTGGCTCACGCCTGTAATCCCAGCACTTTGGGAGGCTGAGGAGGGTGGATCACGAGGTCAGGAGATCAAGACCATCCTAGCTAACATGGTGAAACCCCATCTCTACTAAAAATACAAAAAATTAGCTGGGCATGGTGGTGGGCACCTGTAGTCCCAGCTACTCGGGAGGCTGAGGCGGGAGAATGGTGTGAACCCGGGAGGTGGAGCTTGCAGTGAGCCGAGATCGTGCCACTGCATTCCAGCCTGGGTGAAAGTGCGAGACTGTCTTAAAAAAAAAAAAAAATTAGTCAGATGTGGTGACGCATGCCTGTGGTCCCAGCTACTTGGGAGGCTGAGATAGGAGAATCACTTGAGCCTGGTAGATCCAGGCTTCGGTGAGCCATGATTCTGCCACTGCCCTCCATCCTGGGCAACAGAGTGAGACACTGTCTAAAAAAAATAAACAAATGAATAAATAAAATTACTTCATCTAATAGTAATTAAATAAATGCTATCAGAAATATACAACCAAGCTGGGTATGGTGACGTGCACCTGTAGTCCCAGATACTTATGAGGCTGAGGCAGGAGGACTGCTTGAGGCTAGGAGTTTAAGACCACCCAGGGCAACATAGCAAGACCCTGTCTCTGCAAAAATGAAAATAAATTAGCCAGGAATGGTGGCACATGCCTGTAGTCCAAGCTACTTAGGAGGCTGAGGTGGGAGGATCGCTTGAACCCAGGAGTTTGAGGTTACAATAAGCTATGATGGCACCGCTGCACTCCAGCTTGGACCACAGAGCAAGACCTTGTCTCTAGAAAAAAAAAATGTACAACCACAATTAATAAGGGGAACATGAATGAAAGTTACCCCAAGATGATATACACTCATTCAACATTCAACAGATAATTACTGACTCCCTACTTGGTGGCAAGCACCATGCACTACACATCTATTCCAAGGATTCTAGTCTTTCAATTATCTGAAGCAATACCTATTGATGGTTGATGAGACACACAGGAAGAAACAATTTCTTCAGTCCTACGTGGCCTCACAACCTCTAGAGTCCATATACTGAAGAGTCTCCTAAAGTGATTTTGAAGAGTTAAGAGGTCCTTTAAGAACTTCAGTACCTGAAAATCACAGGCACAAGAGAATATCCAGTTCCCCAAAGAACTTCTACATGAGACCTACAAAAAAGATCCTTAAAGCAACTATGGTACTCTTTCCAGAGAAGGAAAATGAACTCATTGTATCCTACAGGCAGCCGAAGGCTTACTAAAACTTTTACACCTAACTTTTACAACTGATAGGTATAATTTCAACTTTTCTGACTACCATTCCTTAGTTTATTGAGGCTTGTAATACTGTATGTCTTTATATATTATTTGGAAAATATTGTCAAGGAATAAAGGGGACCTAAGGAAAGGCAAAGGAAAGCCAAACAACTATAGCATGTTATAATCCGACCTTACCCATAACTTGGTAGAAAGGCTTTAGGAAATGTTTATTCTAGTTCAGTGGCCTTTTTTCTTTTTTTTGGATCATGCATCCTTGGTAAAATACTTTCAACTCCACATCCCCAAATACGGTATTTACCTACATAAATATGTCTATACTAATATGTTACGTACATTATAAAATACATGCAAATTTTTTAATTAAAAAATGAGATAGGGCAGGGTGCGGTGGCTCATGACTGTAATCCTAGTACTTTGGGAGGCTGAGGCGGGCAGATCACTTGAGTCCAGGAGTTCAAGACCAGCCTGGGCAATAAGGCAAATCCTGTCTCTACTAAAAATACAAAAATTAGCCAGGTGTGGTGGTGCATGCCTATAGCCCCAGCTACTTGGGAGGCAGAGGTGAAAGGATAGCTTGAGCTGGGGAAGTGGAGGTTCCAGTGAGCTGAATCATGCCACTGCACTCACGCCTGGGTGACAGAGTGAAACCCCGACTCAAAAAAAAAAAAAAAAAGAGAGAGAGATAGAAAATTTAACATTTCAAACGTTTTGTTTTTGTTTTTGTTTTTGTTTTTTTGAGACAGAGTCTCACTCTGTCGCCCAGGCTGGAGTGCAGTGGCGCATCTCGGCTCACTGCAAACTCCGCATCCCGGGTTCACACCACTCTCCTGCCTCAGCCTCCCGAGTAGCTGGGACTACAGGTGCCCGCCACCATGCCCGGCTAATTTTTTTGTATTTTTAGTAGAGATGGGGTTTCACCATGTTTGCCAGGATGGTCTCGATTTCCCGACCTCGTGATCTGCCTGCGTCGGCTTCCCAAAGTGCTGGGATTACAGGCGTGAGCCACCGCGCCTGGCCCACTCAAATGTTATTGACACAGAAAATCTTTTTATTATTAAAATTTATTTTAACAATATATTTTTAGTGCAATGAATGTAAACTGAATTTTTTTTCTTTTTTTCTTTTTTTTTTTTTCAGAGACAGGGTCTCGATATGTTGCTCAGGCTGGAGTGTGGTGGCTATTCACAGTCACAATCCTAGTGCATTGCAGCCTTGAACACCTGGGCTCAAGTAATCCTTCTGCCTCAGCCTCCCACGTAGCTGGGACTACAGTCATGAGCCACCACACCCAGCTAAATTTTTTTTCTTATTCTTGGTTTAGCACTTTGCTATATACCAAAAGGTAGGTATTATTTCTACTTTATAGATGAAAAAACTGAAGTTTGAGAGATTATATAATCTGACAAATGTCAGCACTATTATGGCAGAGCAGGGATGGAAACTTCTATCTGTAGAACTCTAAAGCCAATGCTCTTAACCAATATATTCTAAGAAAAGAGGCAATCAGAGATAAATTTATTTTGAGGTATAAGTCAAAAACAAAGAATAACTCCTTCTGACCAATCTGAATAAATCTGAATTATTTGCTCATTTGATTCCTATTAATATAATCAGTTAAAATCCCTGAATGACTCTTTGGGTAAGTCATTTAACTTATTTCAATCTTAGTTTCCCAATATGTAAAATGAGAGACTTGGACAAGGTGATCTTTAAGGTGCTTTTCAGCATTAACATTCTAGGAGTCAAAAATGAAGATCTAATAAGGCATACATCTTTAAGCAGAATAAACAGACCTTTGCTGATCTCCACATTAGGAAGGTTGAAGATTTCAAGGTCCATCGTGGCTCCTTTAGTCCCTTCTGAGAGGTCTAAGAGGACAAGCCTGTCTGCAATACCCTGTACAGTAAGAGAAAGAACATTACACTGAACATGGCCAGTGACTCAATTTAAATTCATTCAACAATGAGGACTAAAGGACAATAAACAGGCCTCATACACTGTCTTTTAGTGTTAAGAAGAGTAAGTAACACAATAGCAATAAAAGTGACATGCAAGCAAGAAATTATTAACTTTGGCTGGGCTTGGTGGCCTGTAATCCCAGCACTTTGGGAGGCCAAGGCAGGCGGATCACCTGAGGTCAGGAGTTCAAGACCAGCCTGGCCAACATGGCGAAACCCCACCTCTACTAAAAATACAAAAACCAGCCAGGCATGGTGGCACATGCTTATAATCCTAGCTATTCAGGAGGCTGAGGCAGGAGAATCGCTTGAACCCAGGAGGCAGAGTTGCAGTGAGCCAAGATTGTGTCACTGCACTCCAGCCTGGGCGATAGAGCGAGACTCTATCTCAAAAAAAAAAAAAAGAAATTATGAACTTCAATAAGTAATCCTTTAGGCTTGACTACTAAAAGCTTTAACAGGGCTTAACTCACAAGTCACAGATTGCAGGTTTCTTTTGAGAACAGCATTTCACTCTTGTCGCCCAGGCTGGAGTGCAATGGTACAATCTCGGCTCACTGCAACCTCTGCCTCCTGGGTTCAAGTGATTTTCCTGCCTCAGCCTCCCAAATAGCTGGGATTACAGGCATGCACCACCATGCCCACCTAATTTTGTATTTTTAGTAGAGACGGGGTATCACCATGTTGGCCAGGCTCATCACAAACTCCTGACCTCAGGTGATGTGCTCACCTTGGTCTCCCAAAGTGCTGGAATTACAGGTGTGAGCCACCGTGCCCAGGTCTGCAGGTTTCTTTTTCTTTTCTTTTCTTTTCTTTTTTTTTCTGAGAAGGAGTCTTGCTCTGTCGCCCAGGCTGGGGTGCATTAGCACGAGCTCAGCTCACTGCAACCTCCACCTCCCAGGTTCAAGCGATTCTCCTGTCTCAGCCTGCCAAGTGGCTGGGATTACAGGCGTGCACCACCTCACCTGGCTATTTTTTATATTTTTGGTAGAGATGGGGTTTCACCATGTTGGCTAGGCTGGTCTCGAACTCCTGACCTCAAGTGATCTGCCTGCCTCGTCCTCTCAAAGTGCTGGGATTACAGGCATGAGCCACTATGCCTGGCCCCTGCAGGTTTCTTTTAATGGGATGAGTTAATAAAGATGACTTGGTGCACTCAATACTTCTGCTATTGCTCTTGATTTATGTTTTCATTTTGATGTTATCATTTTCATTCTGAAAGTGCTTTTGGGTCTATTTGTGTGTCTTATTTCTAGTAGAAAAGTTAAAAAAATAATGCCAGCTTTTTCTTAAAAAAAGTATAATAGCTATAAAATCTAAAATCAAATCCTATTATCATGCAGTACTCTCCCCAGAGATCTCATGGAAAATACTCCACATGCCTGTAAATAGGGCGGCACAGTGGGCTGACTGTAAATAACAGCATGGAAACTCCTAAAAATCAGTTTACCTTTATGGAAGGTCTTTCTTCAAAGTAGTAGGAGACTTGAAGATATCTCCTATTTTAGGATTCACGGGCAAAAGTACCCAAAGATCTACCAGACTATCAGACAGAAAGTGTGATGGTAAAGAAAACAACCCTGGCTGGGCACGGTGGTTCACACCTGTAATCCCAGCAGTTTGGAAGGACAGGATGGGCATAGGCTGGAGTCCAGGAGTTTCAGACCAGCCTGGGCAACATGGCAAAACCCCGTCTCTACACACACACACACACACACACACACACACACACACACACACACACACAGAGAGAGAAAGAAAATAACCCTGCTACACTATGTATTAGCTATGTAACACCAGGACAGTCACTGAATTCGGCCTTACTTTATGAGGTTGTAAGGATTAATTATGTGACACAGGGCTTGCATATAGTAATCCCCTCTAAAACATAGTTATTAATTTTATTGCTAACCATACCCATAAGGAAAATGCAAAGAAAACTATGAGTTACCATTTTCATTTATAAGGCACAAAAAAATCCAAAAGTTTAGCAGTAGTTGTAGGAAAATAAGTATTCTTACATATTATGGGTATGGGAATAAACTGGTATAATTAATAAAAGATAATTTGACAATTTTCTATCAAAAATTTAAAACATTAACTTCTTGAATCCATCAATTCATTTATAGAAATCATCCTACAAATTTATCAGTACATGTGTAAAAGAGTACAATATTAAGGATATTCATAAGACTAGGAACAACAAAACGTTCATCAGTAACAACGAGACAATATAGTGGTTTATAGCAGAGATTGAAAAAGTTTTAAAATGTCACCATGTAATCAATCCGTGAAGCATATATTATCACCAGGGATTTTATTAAAATGCAGATTTTGGCCGGGCATGGTGGCTCAGCCCTGTAATCTGAGCACTTTGGGAAACCAAGGCAGGTTGGTTGCCTGAGTTCAGGAGTTTGAGAGCCCCGTAGCCAACATGGTGAAACCCTGTCTCTCCCAAAAATACAAAAATTAGCCGGGCCTGGTGGCGCATGCTTGTAGTCCCAGCTACTCGGGAGGCTGAGGCAGGAGAATCTCTTGAAGCCGGGAGGTGGAGGTTGCAGTGAGTGGAGATTGCGCCATTGCACTCCAGCCTGGGACAGAGCGGGACTCCATCTCAAAAAAAAAAAAATGCTGATTTTGTTTCAGTAGGTCTGGGAAGGGTCCTGGATTATGCATTGCTAGCAAGAACTCAGGTGGTACCAATGCTGCTAGTTTGAAAGCCACACTTTGTTTAGTAAGGATCTAGAATACAGGCTCTGATAAACAGATTACCTGGTCTTTAAATTCTCGCTTCATCATTTATTAACAGTGTAATTTGGGGCAACTTGGGTAACCGCCCTATGCCTTTGTTTCTTCATTTGTAAAATGTCAGTAATAACAGTACCTAAACAAAGGGTTGTTGTAAAAATGAGTCAAGTGGGCCAGGCACGGTGGCTCATGCCTGTAATCCCAGCACTTTGGGAGGCTGAGGCTGGTGCATCACCTGAGGTCAGGAGTGAGTTCCAGACCAGCCTACCAACACAGTGAAATCCCATGTCAACTGAAAGTACAAAAATTAACCAGGCATGGTGGCACGTACCTGTAATCCCAGCTACTTGGGAGGCTGAGGTGGGAGAATCGCTTGAACCCGGGAGGCAGAGGTTGTGGTGAGTCAAGGTCACACTACTGGCCAGGCACGGTGGCTCACGCCTGTAATCCCAACACTTTGGGAGGCCGAGGCGGGCAGATTGCCTGAGGTCAGGAGCTCAAGACCAGCCTGGCCAACATGGTGAAACCCCGTCTCTACTAAAAATACAAAAATTACCCAGGTGTGGTGACGGGTGCCTGTAATCTTAGGCTAAGGAAGGAGAATCACTTGAACCCAGGAGGCAGGAGGTTGCAGTGAGCTGAGATCACGCCACTGCAATCCAGCCTGGGGAACAGGGCGAGACTTCGTCTCAAAAAAAAAAAAAAAAAAGTTTGCGCCACTGCACTCCAGCCTGGGTGACTGAGCGAGACTCCATCTCAAGAAAAAAAAAAGAGTCAAGTGTTTAGACAAGTGCCTGGTACCTAATAAGCATTGTGTAAAGGTTAGTTGCTGCTGCTACCACCACTACTTTTGTTGCCACTATTATGAGTACTATCACTGTTGCAGTCATAATAGTGGCCTATGAATATTGTACTTTGTATCAAAATATTAACGTCTAAAAAGAAAAACAGAATTTTTTTTTGAGACAGGGTCTCACTGTGTCGCCCAGGCTAGAGTGCAACTGCACAATCGCAGCTCACTGCAGCCTCAACCTCCCAGGCTCAAGCAATCCTCAGCCACCCAAGTTGCTGGGACTACCAGTGTGCACCACCACACCTAGCTAATTTTTAATTTTTGTAGGGTGGAGGCAGTGGCTGACACCTGTAATCCCAGCACTTTGGGAGGCTGAGGCAGGCAGATCACCTGATGTCAAGAGCTCGAGACCAGCCTGGCCAACATAGCGAAACCCCCTCTCTACTAAAAATACAAAAATTAGCTGGGTGTAGTGGCACACGCCTGTAATCCCAGCTACTCGGGAGGCTGAGGTAGGAGAATCACTTGAACCCGGGAGATGGAGGTTGCAGTGAGCTGAGATCATGCTACTGCACTCCAGCCTGGGAGACACAGCGAGACTCCATCTCCAAAGAAAAAAAAAAAAATTTTTTTTGTAGAAATGGGGATCTCGCTGTGTCGCCCAGGCTGGTCTCAAACTCCTGGGCTCAACTGATTCTCCTGCCTTGGCCTCCCAAAGTGCTGGGAGTACAGGTGTAAGCCACCGGGCCCAGCTGAAAAACGGCAAATTTTCCACCCAGACAATTCACAGACAAATAATGACAGTGAGATTCTTCTAACAGTTTAAAAACATGGCCAGGAGCAGTGACTCATGCCTGTAATCCCAGCACTTTGGGAGGCCAAGGCAGGAAGATAGTCTGAACCAGGAGTTCAAGACCAATCTAGGCAACACAGGGAGACCTATCTCTACAAAAAAACTAAAAATTACCTAGGTGTAGTGGCACACCCCTGTGGTCCCAGCTACTCAGGAGGCTGAGGTGGGAAGATCTCTTAAGCCCAGGAGATAGAGACCGCAGTAAGCCATGATCATACCAGTGCATGCCAACTTGGGCTACAGAGAGAAACCTGGTCTCAAAAACAAAAATGAAAAACCATGACTTTCAGACTTTCAGATGCCTTCTTGTGCTTACCAAAAAAAAAAAAAGACAAATAATTACAAATAAATAAAACTTAGTACTGTTAGGGATGTCAAAAATCAGGTTGATGTGCATGTTATTAGCAGCATAAATTAGTTCTGCCTTTCCAAAGAGCAATCTGGCACTATGTCATAAGTGCTATAAAAACCATTCATGCCCTCTGACTCACTAGTACTATTTTTTAAAATTATGTACAACCAGGCCGGGTGCAGTGGGGCATGCTTGTACTCCCAGCACTTTGGGAGGCTGAGGCAGGAAGATTGCTTGAGCCCAGGAATTCAAGACCAGCCTGGGCAACATGGTGAAACTCTGTCTCTACAAAAAAATACAAGAATTAGTGGGGATGGTTGCTGGCGCCTGTAAGCCCAGCTACTTGGGAGGCTAAGGTGGGAGGATGGCTTGAGCTGGGGAGGTGGAGGGTGCAGTAAGCTGAGATTGCACCACTGCATTCCAGCCTGTGCAACAGAACATGACCCTGTCTAAATAAAATAAAATAATGTATGACCAAATAAAAATTCAGATGAGAAAACAAGCAACTTGAAATGTTTATAGAAGCATTTATTTAGTGACAAAAGACTGAATACAACTCAAATTCTAATTAAGAGGTAATAGCAGGCCAGGTACGGTGGCTCACACTTGTAATCCCAGCACTTTGGGAGGCCAGGGCAGGTGGATCACTTGAGGTCAGAAGTTCGAGACCAGCCTGGCCAACATGGCAAAACCCTGTCTCTGCTAAAAATACAAAAATTAGCTGGGCGTCGTGGCGCATGCCTGTAGTCCCAGCTACTCTGGAGGCTGAGGCAGGAGAATCGCTTGAACCCAGGAGGCGGAGGCTGTAGTGAGCCAAGATTGTACCACTACACTCCAGCCTGGGTAACAGAGCGAGACTCCACCTAAAAAAAAAAAAAAAAAAAAAGAGGTGATAGTGTATTCAAATGGAGGGTGAAAGAAATAAAACTACAGCATGCCAAAAGTTGGCATATTTAACTCTGAGCAGCCAGCTTTTAAGATATTCTAGCTCCATGGATATAATTTAATTATTTGCTGCAGTAGAACCCACCTCCAAGACATATGTGAGTCTTAAATGGAAAGGGAAGAATTTAGATGGCAAAACAATCAAATATATATAGAAAAGAAAAACTAATGCCAGCCACCAAATAAATATATAGAGGTACAGCTATTCTATTCAGGGCTACATCTCTCAAATGACAAAAGACATGCTGTTATCATGATACTAGGCTCTGGAGGGAGGCAGGCAGGTCTTTTGAACCTCTCTGGAAGGGCATTTAAGCTTTCCTGCAAACAATTTATGCAGACACTAGTAAAAAGGACTGATGAAAAAAACAAACCCTAAACTAGTATTAAATATCAACTCAGAAACTGTGATCCTAAAAGAAAGTAATTATGTAAGAAAAGGCCATCTTTAAAAAAAAAAAAGCCAATTTTAGAAAGAGCTAAAATTACTACATTAAATGAGTTTAATTAAAGTGGCATGATTCAGAAAATACAAAAGAATTTGTGATTAAGTCATATGAATGTCAAATTGAGCTTTCCCTTGGATGAGGATAAGCCCATTGTTCAAATCACTTTTTTAAACCTACTAATTAAAAGGCAACATCACTGATGAAAGCTTTCAACTTTTTTGTCAACTTACTAAATATATTTTAAGCCAAAATAAGGTTTTCCCACGACAAAATGAAGGCATTTTTTGGTGTGTAAAACACAACCTGCCTAGAAGTGTGGCACTATGATAGATGTATTTATAACCACTATGTTTACATACCTTTGCTGAAATTGCTAATGTGCAGGCAATACCGAGTTCTCCACCTCCAACCACAGTAATTTTATTGACTGTTTTATTCTCATGATTTGCCCAGCTCTTTGAATTTGTATCTGAAACACCTAGAAAGAAAGGTGAATTATCCTGAGAATTCAAAAATATCAAGAATTTTTTTAGGATCTTTAAAAAAAATATATAGCAGGCTTCATAGCTTAGAGAGAAAATATGGTGCTAGTCCATAATGGGCAAAAAATACTACTGAACAAATGAATGCAAGGAAGGCAGACGTTTCCTATTAAATAGTCGACTAAATAGAAATTATCCTTCTAAAGAGAATGTATCTTTCTAAACATTTTTAAAATATTGTATAAGACTCTAAAAAAGTAGGATTTCCATAATTCTGAAAAATATTCCAACTCATTGCTCTGGTCTACAATAAAAAAATATGTCTAACACCTTACCAAATGTTTCAAACATAGGTATTTGCCTTTATTCTTGATGAGAATCATAGATATTCTGATCCAATATATTGAATAAGCCAACAAGCCACATATACATATCATGAAAAAAAGTTTGGGATCATTAATATACAGCAAGTGGTTTTGAACAAGAATTGTTTTATCTGTTTAAGACCAATTCTTTACACTTTAAGAAACCTGGCCAGGCCCGGTGGCTCATGCCTGTAATCCCTGAACTTTGGGAAGCCAAGGCGGGAGGATCACCTGAGGTCAGGAGTTCAAAACCAGCCTGGCCAACATGGCAAAACCTCATTCTTATCAAAAATACAAAAATTGGCTGGGCATGCCTGTAGTCCCAGCAACATGGGAGGATGAAGCAGGGGAATCGCTTGAACCCAGGAGGCAGAGGTTGCATGAGCCCATATGGTACCACTGCACTCCAGCCTGGGTGACACAGCGAGACTCCATCTCAAAAAAATAAAAAAATAAATAATATTTATTGGAATTACATGGTAATACCCTGTGATAAAGGCAAAGGAATTACTTTTTTTTTCTTTTTTTTTTTTTTTTGAGATGGAGTCTTGCTCTGTTGCCCAGGCTGGAGTGCAGTTGTTCAATCTCAGCTCACTGCAACCTCTGCCTCCCGGATTCAAGCAATTTTCCCACCTCAGCCACCCAAGTAGCTGGGATTACAGGCACCTGCCACCACGCCCAGCTACTTTTTTTATTTTTAGTAGAGATAGGGTTTCACCATGTTGGCCAAGCTGGTCTCCAACTCCTGACCTCAGGTGATCTGCCTGCCTCAGCCTCCCAAAGTCCTGGGATTACAGGAGTGAGCCACTGCGCCTGGCCTGAGGCACAGGAATTTCTTATTTCAAAAACAGATGTACATACGCACACAAATTTATTTATAAAAATCAAGTGGCAGAAAGTAAAGGAGTTTAGTGAGAAACTGGTAACTCATAACTCTCAAGATAATCTGCCTGACAAATATACAAACCTTCAGTGATTTTTGCAATATAGGCTAGCAAGTCTACCTGCCGTGCCTCATCAGATGATGATAGAGAATACATGGGAAGTTCCTCTTGAAACTTGGCAATCATTTCTTTAATTAATCCAACAATGACAGATTTAGGCTGTAGAATACACAAAAAACAGAAAAGTTACACAAAAATTTTGCTGAAGAATACTACCTTTGTTGAGGCAGGAGTATTACTTGAGCCCAGGAGTTTCAGATGCAGTGAGTTATGGTTGCACCACTATACTCCAGCTTGGGCAACAGAATGAGACTTCATCTCCAAACAAAACAAACAAAAAATCTTTTTTAACCTATACATTCTTTTAGAGTTAGTCAAAAAGAAGCATTCAATCATGTTCTCATTTTTCAAAAATCATCATACACATTATATGATACTTTTAACTGTTGTAATGCTTTTCATGAAAAATTACTGAATACTTTTAACTGAAAAATAAAGGAAGAAGAAATGCTAATTCAACATTTCCCAAAAGTAGAAAAATAGCATGAATATGCTTAATAGCCGAATACCTAGGTTTAGGAACTCTCCTTTTTTTAACTTTTCATTTTGAAATAATTTCAGACTTACAGAAAAGTTGCAAAAATAGTACATATACTCTTCACCTAGATTACTCAAATGTTAACATTTGATCACATTTGCTTGTTTAGTCTTTCTCTCTCTAGTTTTTCTGAACAAACTGAACAAGTAAACTGCAAACATGATGTCCTTTTACCCCTAAGTACTTTAATGTATATTTCCTAAAAGAAAAAGACATTCTCCTTTTAACCGTTATCAAATCAGAAAATTAACACTAATAGTATCTAATCTGGTACTGTATTCTTTTAATGTAATTGGTTAAGCAACCTTGATGAAATTCACTAACCTTTCTGAGCTTCAGTGTCATCAGTAATACAAAGTGAATAATAAATCCCAAATGGTTGTTATGAGCAATAAATGAGTCAATGAATGCAAACTATACGCCGTGAGTGTAAAACAGATGTTTATTATTATTCCTGGGAATATTTAGTAGTATGCTCATTTAAAAAGTGCTTAATTTCTCAGAGTCTGAGTTTCACTATTTATAAAGTAAGAAGAGGCTATTAGGGCCAAGAATTCAAATACCTTTGGGGACCAAGCAGGTAACGTTAAATGTGTGAAGCTGGCAAGTACAAGAAAATCTGGAGAGACGGTTATTGTGGCAAATTGGAAACAGCATGCCAATAGGCATTCAAATTTACATTAAGAACAAAACAAAACAAGGTAAAACAAAACGAACTGTGCTGTTCAAACAAATTCCATAGGCCTAACGCGGCCCTCTGAATCTCTCAGAGAAATTGCAAACCCTGGCCTAGATGACCTCTAGATTCCTTCTAGCTCCAAAGTTCTATAAAATTATGCTACATAATTATAATTCCAACTGCATGTGGAACTTAAAGGTGCTGCAGTACTTTTAAATAGGGCAATTTAAATAATGTAATGTCTTTTTAAGACTAGTTTTAAGTGGGGGCACTGTGGCTCACACTTGTAATCCCATCACTTTGGGAGGCTGAGGTGGGAGGATGCCTTGATCCCAGGAGTTCAATACCAGCCTGGACAACATAGGGAGATCCTGTCTGTACAAAAAATTTTAAAATTAGTAGTGGATGGTAGACCATGCTTGTAGTCCCAGCTACTCAGAAGGCTGAGGTGGGAAACTCACTTGAGCCCAGGAATTTGAGGGTACAGTGAGCTATGATTGTGCTACTGCACTCCAGCACGGGTGAAGACAGCATTACCCTGTCTCAAAAAAAGAGACTAGTTTTAGCTTATAATAAAGAGGCTCAGAACAGTAAAATAAAATCAGAACTGTCTAAACTAAAATTAAACACAACTTTCACTAGATTATAAGACTATCCCCGAGGATTTATTAAACAAACAAAATTATGAAAAGAGATGCCAATGAAAACCAGAGAGAAGAAACAGGATACATGAATTCCTGCAACATGGTACAGATGTCAAAATACTACTCGAGGATAGTTTTGTTTTGTTTTGTTTAAAGAAGGGTGTAACAATGGATGGAGGAGAGAAACAGACAATTCAAAAAGGAAGAAACGTACGATTGATAAGTAAATGAAAATGATTTCAATTTCTCAAATAACCAAACAACTGAAAATTAAGAGTAAGATCCATTTTTGTCCTTCCAACTGACAAATTTTTATTATGCCCCATTCATCACATTTAACTGGCAATCTTATTTAAATCATCAGGTAATGCAAATAACATAAATGTTCACAAAGTAAAATGTCAACTCCTACTACTGATAATCCGAAGTATGTCCTTTGTTTTTTCTATTTCTTTTTTCTTCTTTTTAAATGTTTTCTATATAAAAATATAGAAAACCATAAAACAAAGTAAAATGCATCTACAATTATACACCTTTTTATAAGCTGTCTATAAAATAAAAAGTGATAATCCTAAGGCATTCTTTACTCCAACCTCACTGGACTCCAATATACCCCTGTCCTCCAGCCCTACTAGCTTTCTGGTACATATAAACATATTTTTTTTTTTGAGGCGGAGTCTCGCTCTGTCGCCCAGGCTGGAGTGCAGTGGTGCAATCTTGGCTCACTGCAAGCTCCACCTTCTGAGTTCACACCATTCTACTGCCTCAGCCTCCCAAGTAGCCGGGACTACAGGCGCCCACCACCACGCCTGGCTTATTTTTTGTATTTTTAGTAGAGACAGGGTTTCACTGCGTTAGCCAAGATGGTCTCGATCTCCTGACCTCGTGATCCACCCGCCTCGGCCTACCAAAGTGCTGGGATTACAGCTGTGAGCCACTGCACCTGGCCTCATATAAACATATTATAAATTATCCTTTTATACAGATTTTTAATTATTTACAAAAATGAGAGAATACTATACATCTGTCTAAACCAATGTATAGAAGATAAGCAAAGGTTTGTTTTAAGGATAATACCTTCTATTAGAGAAAAGGTACTGTAAAATAGGTACCCTCCTACACTGATTTCTACTGATTATAGAAATGTATCATTTTGTGTACCCTTTTGGAGGCCAATTTAGTAATATATAAGAAAATCTTGAAAATATTGAAAACCTTTGGACCAATAATTCTACTCCAAGAGATTTATCATTACGGAAGTATCAAAGATATATTAGATATATACAAACATTTACATTTAAAGATGTTCATCATTAAATGTCTTACGTTAGGGCAATTTGTAAATACAATACGCAATATCCTTATGCTGTCATCAGGTAACCATTAAAAACCATGTATTTTGAAAATGGTTTAACATGGAGAAATGCTCAATATAATGGTCAATGAAAAATGCAGAATACAAAATTACATAACATGAGGACATAAAACAAATACTACAGTTATATAGATCAATGTGGATGACTTTTTAAAACTTAATATTGGTTAAAACAAAGCATGTCACAAAAGATTACATACAGTATGATTCAACTTATATGAAAGTCAAAAACAGGCAAAACTACAAATAAATATAACATAAAAATCTGTAATAGGAAGGGACTTGGAAATAATGCCCCAATCACTTGCTAGTAGCTCCTCCTGTACTTTCTCAAGTGGGAAACGACTATAAAAAGACAGGGAGCAAACAGTTGGCTCCAAAACCTGGAGGGAGCAGCTTTGTACAGGCAGTTGTCATCAGGGTTCTGGGACTTGGGTAACCCTAGAGAGCTCAATTTCAAATTACTTCCAAAGACTACATGAAGAATATCATTGAAAGAAAATGCAGTATCATACTTATTTGTACCAGCAGAATCAATGATAGGTATTTAAAAAAAAAAAAAAGCTTTCTGTAGAAAATCCAAATTGATCTTACATGGCTCCAGTTTTGGAGATAGGGCAAATATATTCTGCCTTGAGCATCCACATGTTTTCCGACTAAGATTCCCATATTTGCAGTTGGCTTCAAGAAGCAAATAGGGGGAGCGAAAGGGTGAGAATCCAAAATCCAGAAACGAATTGGTATGTTATATGTATTACCTATTTGAGACAAAAGAAACATATCTTCAAACAATAATAAAGCACACACATTATGATATAGCTAGGCGGCATTTTAAGAAATGAGTAGGCTGGGGTGGTGGCTGAAGCCTGTAATCCCAGCACTTTGGGATGCTGAGGTGAGCAGATTGCATGAGCCCAGGAGTTTCAGACCAGCCTAGGCAACATGGAGGAACCCCATCTCTACAAAAAATTTTAAAATTAGCTGGGTGTGGTGGCACACACCTATAGTCCCAGTTACTGGGGAGGCTGAGATGGGCAGATGACTTGAGCCTGGCAGGTGAAGTTTGCAGTAAGCCATGATTGTGTCACTGCACTCCAGCCTGGGTTACGGAGTAAGACACTGTTTCAAAAAAAAAAAAAAAAAAAAGAAAAGAAATGAGCAGTCTAGTCAGGTTTACATATAAAGGATTAATGTTAATCAAGGCCTATTCCCCCCCATTTCATCCACATTCACATTGGAAATATGTTCCTATTAGATCACTGGTATAACATTTGAGTAAGTTTAATTAAAACAATGGCCAAATCATCCACCCTGCCTCTCAAAAAAAAAAAAAAAATCAAATTTTCAAAAATGTTTACTAATATAGCCAGAGTGGCAGCCCAAATCCTGATGGAGTCACTTCCTACATTAATCACTACACATTAAAGAAAAGGAAAGAAATGTCTATTGAAGGCCGGGCGTGGTGGCTCACACCTGTAATCCCAGCACTTTCAAGGTGGGTTGACCACTTGAGGTCAGGAGTTTGAGACCAGCCTGACCAACATGATGAAACCCCATCTCCACTAAAAATTCAAAAAGTTAACCGGGCATGGTGGCAAGCACCTGTAATCCCAGATACTTGGGGGGCTGAGGCACAAGAATGGCTTGAACTCAGGAGGCATAGGTTGCAGTGAGCCGAGATTGCGCCACTGCACTCCAGCCAGGTGACAGCGCAAGACTCTGTCTCAAAAAAACAAAACAAAACAAAAAATGTCTATTGAAGGTATTCCCCTGGTTGATCAAGGATCTGCCTCCACCAATGCCCCTCCCCAGCAGTATTCTTGCATTTTAACAGCCCATGACTGGCAAAGCACCTGGTGACTCAGATTCCTGTGTCTAAACGTTAAGATTTCACCACTAGTTCACTAGTCTCTTCTTCCTTCCCTCTTTCCTATCAGCAAATACCTTGACTCCTACCCTGCACATCTAGCTTTTAGTAATTCAGCACTGAAGAGTCCGAACTCCTGGCACAAAGTCCTCAGATTTAAAGGAATTATATCATAAGAACATAACTTAAGTTGGATGTAAACAAAGTTTAGATAGGTGTGATCTTAAGATGATACATTGGTAGGCCAAAATGGGAGGACAGCTTGAGTCCAGGACTTCAAGACCAGCCTGGGCAACAATGCAAGACCCTGGTGTGGTAGCACATATCTGTAGTCCTAGCCACTCAGGAGGCTGAGGCAGGAAGAATGCTTGAGCCCAGAAATTTGAGGTTACAGTTAGCTATGATCACACCACTGTACTCTAGCCTAGGCAACAGAGCAACACCCTCTCTCTTAAAAGAAAAAGAACAGCCCAGGAGTGATGGCTCACGTCTGTAATCCCAGCACTTTGGGAGGCCAAGGCGGACAGATCACGAGATCAGGAGATCAAGACCATCCTGGCTAACACGGTGAAACCCCATCTCTACTAAAAATACAAAAAATTAGCCAGGTGTGGTGGCGGGCACCTGTAGTCCCAGCTCCTCAGGAGGCTGAGGCAGGAGAATGGCATGAAACTGGGAGGCGGCGTTTGCAGTGAGCCGAGATCGCGCCACTGCACTCCAGCCTGGGCGACAGTGCGAGACTCCGTCTCAAAAAAAAAGTAAAAGAAAAAAAGATTACATACATCTCTAAAAAATGAGTGTTTGAAGAAAAAGTATCATTATAACTTAACACAATGTTGGCTGTATAAGAAATAATACCAAAAATTTCTAGAGGTAAACATAAGGTAATATTAACAGAAGTTCCATGCAGATGGGAGGATAGATATAGGCTTCACTTCATCCCTTCCCAAATGTTTAAATTTTTTTTAGCATAAGCATGTATAATCATTACACTAATAAAACTAGTTAACTAAAAGAGAGTAATAAAGGCAGACAAGGCTGGGCG
This sequence comes from Homo sapiens, assembly GCF_000001405.40. Lineage (NCBI taxonomy): Eukaryota > Metazoa > Chordata > Mammalia > Primates > Hominidae > Homo > Homo sapiens. Next base: position 18,572,532 of record NC_000011.10, read on the forward strand.
CGGTGGCTCACGCCTGTAATCCCAGCACTTCGGGAGGCAGAGGCGGGCGGATCACCAGAGGGCAGGAGTTCAAGACCAGCCTGACCAACATGGAGAAACCTCATCTCTATTAAAAATACAAAATTAGCTGGGCATGGTGGTGCACACCAGTAATCCCAGCTACTCAGGAGACTGAGGCAGGAGAATTGCTTGAACCTGGGAGGTGGAGGTTGCAGTGAGCTGAGATCATACCATTGCACTCCAGCCTGGGCAACAAGAGCAAAACTCCATCTCAAAAAAAAAAAAAAAAGGCAGACAAATAATAATGGCCACATTTACTGAGCATACACTGGCACACACTATATGCCAGGCACTATGCCCAGAGCTTTACTTACTGTAATTCATTTAAGCCTTACAACTCTGAGGTGGGCTCTACTATTGGCCCATTTTACAGATGAGAAAGATAATATACATTCTGACCTTCTGATCAGCAGGAAATAATTAGTGTGCATTCACACTGAGTTGATATAATTCCAAAGCAAAGGAAAAGTGTAATGCAGGAAAAAAAGGTGGGGGGAGCACCTGAGGAAGACCCCAGCATAAGAATCAATGACATAACTCAATGACTGCAGGACAGGCATAGTGCCAATCAGCGGGATTTTACCAATGGTATTAAGATAACCTTTCTGCCCTCATGTTACCGCCCTACTCTGTATTAGAAACCGAAATGCTACTAAGCAGTAATTCATTTAAATTCACAAGCTCCTCTGTTAATATGCAACTACCCTTGAAAACACTGGGGTGGGTTAAGAATTAGCCTTTATCTCTCAGAATGAATCACCTTAATCAGTTTCCTTCCCTCTTCCTCTCCCTTCCTCCTTTCCCTAATACCCTTCCCTTCCCTTTCTTTTCAACGTCTAACCAAGATAAATTCAGAATACAACTTAAGGGGAACAGGTCTGAGTAAAATTCTCTACACAGCCAGGAAACAGTCTAAAAGCTTGGCAGGGAAGACCAAGGAAAGAAAAGAAAAATCAACTCTATGCCTGTTCTGCCTACTTCACTCTGCAATCTCTGCATGGATCCCATGGCTAGCTGCATTCATCTCCATCCATTCTCCTATGCATAAAAACAAAATGAATTCCTACACATTTCCTGAGTGCCTACTATTGCAAAAGGAGGTATCATGGTGGGACATACACAGAAGCAGAACAAAACATGAGTGCATCTCTAGCAACAAGTCATGACTGGGGGTGGGGAGTGGGGAATTAAGGGGGTTTGTGATAATCCAGGAGCTACCACAAAGAAGCACCTACTTTAAAAGAAGTCCCCGCAAATGCAGCTTCCTAGTGTCTTTTGGGCAATGTATTCTCATTGTACAATGCTGAACTCTTTTTAAGAGATCAAAGTTACGCTGTTCTCTCCCTATTTGGTTTCCAGATCTTTCTCAGCCCCCCTTTCAGTGTATCTTCTGTTTCAAATGCCCCAGTAAGCCACTTATTCCTAAGCCCTTCAGTCAATAATCAAACTAACTCCACTGTTCAACAAATACCAAAAATGTCCTTTAAGCACATAACTGTATATTAGTGATTATGGATGTTATTTGTCCTGGGATTATTTGCATTTCAAAAGAACAGTGAACTTTTATTGAGACTGAGTCTCACTCTGTCACTCAGGCTGGAGTGCAGTGGCACAATCTCGGCTCACTGCAACCTCTGTCTCCTGAGTTCAAGAGATTCCCCTGCCTCAGCCTTCTGAGTAGCTGGGATTACAGGCACGTGCCATCAGGCCTAATTTTTGTATTTTTAGTAGAGATGAGATTTCACCATGTTGGCCGGGCTGGTCTTGAACTCCTGACCTCAAGTGATCTGCCCACCTAGGCCTCCCAAAGTGCTGGGATTACAGGCATGAGCCACCACACCCGGCAAGAACAGTGAATTTCTAATGGTGAAATTTCAGGCACCACTTCAGATAAATATTTGGAAACAAAGATTCACTGGTGTTCTTAAAATCATACTATATATAAGCAACCTCTTGTGATTCTTATCTGAAAGGTTAGTCCTTGATGAACACAGGAGAAGTAGGTCTGGAAAAATGGGAAGAGTTAAGTGTAAGAAAAGTCAGTGATTTGTTTTCTTTTATTTTTGGGCAAACACTTAGCTATTCTAAACTGCTAGGTCACTCTAAAATGTGTTCCTTTCTTTGAGCTTTAATGGCTTCTGTGTTGTAAAATTTTCCTATTGGAGTCTGAGTTTCAGGCTAACACTAGCTATGTGATCTTAGGTAAATCAGACCAGGCTAAGATTCAGTTTCACCTATGGAATGGAGATAATGCTATATCACATAGAGAGGAAAGGAGGGGAACAAAATATAGGTGTAATGAAGAAAAAAGTAACTCTCCCCAAGGGCAGGCCTATGTCTGTCTTGCTTTCCTTTGTACCCTGGAGCCTTTCAGAGTAGTGGTAGTAGGGGGTTTGTGATAATCCAGGAGCTACCACAAAGAAGCACCTACTTTGAAAGAAGTCCCCCCAAAATACAGCTTCCTAGTGTCTTTTGGGCAATGTATTCTCATTGTACAATGCTGAACTCTTTTTAAGAGATCGAAGTTACGCTGTTCTATTTGATTTATCTAGTTGATAGTAAGTATTTGTTGAATTGAACTGAACTTGTTGACATTAATACAGGCCTTCCTTGACTGGAACAGATCCAGTAAGGTTCTGTATAGGTCATATATCTGCAATAATACTTTAAGAATGTTATGGCATAAACAAATTTAAGTTATTAAATGAACTGCTCTTTTAGAAAACTCACACATTTTTTCAACTTCCACACTTACCCTGATACATCACAGGAATTGTGCCAGTAAAATTCAGCAGGTCTTTCTGAGAACTATCTTTAAAAACTAGAAGAAAAAAAAAAAAGCCCCAAAATGTGCAATCAGAAACAGAAAGAACTGTAGTAAAGTATGTAAGTGTGCACATGTGTGTGCTCATGAATATACACACACAAATACACACACAATCTCTAAACATAATCTAGGAATCGGTAAATCTGTCAACAAGAGGAAATGACTAGATGTTGTTTACTTAGAAAGCAGTAAGGGTAGCTGAAAGAATACAGGACTTTGATACTGAAACCCCAAGTTCTAGGGCCACCTTCCCCACTTAGAGGAATGTGACTTTTGGTGACTTTAATCATCTTTGATCTTCAGTTTTATCATCTATAAAATAAAGATAATAAGACTGCCTTACAAAGTTGTCATAAGGATCAAATGAGAAAATTTGAAAACTTAAGAAGTACTATAATATGTGGGGCCATTATTAAATAATTGTCAATGTCAGTTGCAAAGCAGTTCCACTCCTCTCACCTCGGTGTCAACACCTACCTCCACTACGCCCCCTCAGCAGGAAGAAGCCAGAGTGATCGACGGCCTTTTCCCATTTTCATTAGCCAACACCTTAAGATTAAGGTGTTTTAAAAATCCAAAGGGAGGGGTTGAAATTGCCTTTGCAAAATTATGACTGAGACAGCAAACAAGATCTAACCTAACCAACTCCGTCTTCCTTCTAACCTTTAAGCTGTCCTTGTTCCTTCCTGGGCATAGGCTGAACTCACTTTGGGAAGAACTTAATTTATAATTTATAGTTTAAAACAAAGACAATAACAGCCCTTTCCCAAAACAAACTTCCTTCTTGCCTGGGGACTAGACTGCCTTTGTAAGACTAACAAATTAGCCACAAAATTAAAAATTATGGTTTATGGCCGGGCACGGTGGCTCACACCTGTAATCCCAGCACCTTGGGAGGCTGAGGCAGGTGGATTACTTGAGGTCAGAAGTTCAAGACCAGCTTGGGCAACATGATGAAACCCCATCTCTATCAGCCGGGTGTGGTGGTTCCCAGCTGCTCGGGAGGCTGAGGCAGGAGAATAACTTGAAGCCAGGAGGCAGAGGTTGCAGTGAGCCAAGATCACACCACTGTACTCCAGCCTGGGCAACAGAGCGAGACTCCATCTCAGAAAAATAAATAAATAAATAAATAAAGTAAAATAAAATAAAAATTATGGTTTAGTAATCATGCACCTGGAAGCTTACAAGATTCTGGTCCTCCCTAAACTGCTCCTAAGATCAGTGCTTGAGATATTTTGCAGGCCCTACACTTGATGGATCAGCTGGCACCACCCAGATTGATAAACTGGCTCATCTGATCTTGTGGCCCCAACCCGGGAAGTGACCTAGAGCAAGAGGACAACTTCAACTTCCCATGATTTCATCTTCTACCTAACCAATCAGCACTCCTGGCTCACTGGCTTCCCCCCACCCACCAAGCTGTCATTAAAAACTGTTCTCACAATGCTCGGGGCGACTGATTTGAGTAACAGTAAAATTCCAGGTCTGGCACAGTGGCTCATGCCTGTAATCCCAGCACTTTGGGAGGCCAAGGTGGGTGGATCACTTGAGGTCAGGAGTTCAAGACCAGCCTGGCCAACATGGTGAAACCTCATCTCTACTAAAAATACAAAAATTAGCAGGGCGTGGTGGCATGCGCCTGTAGTTCCAGCTACTAGAGAGACTGATGCATGAGAATTGCTTGAACCTGGAAGGGGGAGGTTGCAGTGAGCTGAGATCGTGCCACTGCACTGCAGCCTGGGCAAACAGACAGTGACTACGTCTCAACAAACCAACCAACCAACCAACCTCCAGTCTCCCGCAAAAACAAACCAAAAAACAAAAAACAAACAAACAAAAAAACATTATCGCATGTAACAAAATCAGTTATAGTCACTTTTAGAACCAGAAGAAAAACTGCCAGCATTGCTTTCTAAAGCAAACTGTTAGATCAATAATTACCTTCTTTGGTTTCTCTAATTTCATTATTCTCAACCTCTTTTCAACATTCATATCTCTGAAAGTTCAACTTTCCCATCAGTAACTGGGACACACTGATAGAGAATCAACGCCCTAATCTCAGGATTGAGTACAGGAAACACTATCTCTGGTTTCAAACAATCAAACTACCTTGGAGGGGGGCCTTTGGGCCCTCATGAATGAGACTAGTGTCTTCATAAAAGAGCCCATGGTCGGGCACAGTGGCTTACGCCTGTAATCCCAGCACTTTGGGAGGCCGAGGTGGATGTATCAATTGAGGTCAGGAGTTCGAGACCAGACTGGCCAACATGGTGAAACCCCATCTCTACTAAAAATACAAGAAAATTAGCCGGGCATGGTGGTGGGTGCCTGTAATCCCAGCTACTCGGAAGGCTGAGGCAGGAGAATCGCTTGAACCTAGGAGGCAGAGGTTGCAGTGAGCTGAGATGGTGCCACTGCACTCCAGCCTGGGCGACAGAGCAAGACTCCATCTCAAAAAAAAAAAAAAAAAAAGAAAGATTAAGATAATAAAGTAAAATATTTCTTAGAAAACCAAATTCTTACTATTAGGTGAACAGAATAACTAAAACTGTTAATGATTTAGAATCAACCATATACATATGATAGGCCGAATAAAGGTCCTTTAAAGATGTCCATATCTAACCCTTGGAACCTGTGAATATGTCACCTTACTTGGCAAAGGGATTTTTTAGATGTGATTAGTGACTCTGATCACTTGGCTAGCCTTAAAAAAATTAAGGAGTCTGAGATGAAGAAATTATCCTGTATTACTGGGGTGGGTCTAATCTAATCACATTGGTCCTTAAAAGCAGAGAATCTTTCCCAGCTGTGGTCAGAGGGCGATTTGACTATAGAAGAATGGTTAGAGACATGCAACACTGCTGGCTCTGAAGATGGAGAAAGGAGACCAAGAGCCCAGGAATGTGGGTGACCTCTAGAAACTGAAAAAGGCAAGGAAACATTATCTCCCAGAGCCTCCAGAAACAAAGGCAGTTGACACCTGGATTTTAGCCAAGTCAAACCTCTAGTTTACTTTCTAAGCTATAGAAATTTGTGGTGGACTTCTTGCCTACAGAATTATAACACAGTAAACGTGTGTTTTTTAAAGCCACTAAGTTTGTGGTAGTTTGTTACAGCAGCAATAGAAAACTAATACAAGATACATTGTATTAATTTAAGCTTTCTCAGAAATTGCAGGTCATAAAGTATAGCTGAAAATCAGAGGATAAAAGAGAAAAAGAGAAATTACAATTTTGCAGCTCTTTAGGACCAAAAATTAGTAGTTCAAATAATGCAGCATTTAAACTAGAGGATATGATTCTTACCATAGGTGTCCATGGAATATTTGAAATGTGGGAAAAATACATTTACATTCCTTAGTTCTTCCACAGTTAGGTCCCTGAACTTGTACTGAAAAGAGAAAAATAAGCATGGAGTAAGAATAAAGCTGTAAGCAAAAGAACAATTGCAGTTAACTTTTTTTTTTTGAGACGGAGTCTCACTCTGTTGCCCAGGCTGGAATGCAGTGGCGGGATCTCAGCTCACTGCAACCTCCGTCTCCTGGGTTTAAGTGATTCTCTTGCCTCAGCCTCCTGAGTTGCTGGGATTACAGGCGCACGCCACCACGCCTGGCTAATTTTTTGTATTTTTAGTAGAGGCAGGGTTTTGCCATGTTGGTCAGGCTGGTCTCGAACTCCTGACCTCGTGATCTGCCTGCCTCGGCCTCCCAAAGTGCTGTGGTTACAGGCGTGAGCCACCACGCCCGGCCTGCAGTTAATATTTAACTGACAATTTACGGTGTGGTAGGCCCTGAGCTCTGCAAACAAGAATGGTATTTGATTTAATCTTTTTAACAACAACCCTACCAGGTAGGTAGGGCTTTACAACTGCTCTATAGGAGCAGGAGAAGAAAATGAAAGCTAGAGAATCAAAGTAACTTGCTGAGTCATATAGCAAGTTAAATAGTGAAGCCCGAGCTCAAATCCAGGACCAGAGTCTTTAATCTCTAAATCAAACTGCCTCCAAATACCTCCAGACAGCTTAAATGATGAGGCAGAATGGATCACCCCTCTCACCACTATGCAGGATCCAACCGTCTTTTTGGCACGGCTCATTCACTTGAGATACCTCGACTTTCCCCTCCCACCTTCCTGGCACTGCATCCTGGGTTTCAAATGGAAAACAAAAGCATGCAAGTTTTGTAGTCAGGTGTGTGAACTGCCTCTTCATTTATCCAGATGTCTTCTCAGAGATACTGACTTGGTTGTCTTGTGGGCAAAATCATTTAAATTCTTTAAGCTTATTTTCTCATCTGCAAAAATAAATAATACTTACCTCTTACACTAGTGGTTAGGTTTAAATGAAAGAAAATAAGTATATTAAGAGTTTACCATTCTGAAAATGGATTTGAGACAACAATTCCTTTTACAATGGTATCAAAAAGAATAAAATATTTAGGAATAAATTTAACAAGGTACAATACTTAGACTCTGAAAACTACAGAACATTGTTGAAAAAAATAAAATAGACCAAAGTAAATGGAAAGCATCCCTTGTTCACGGACTTGAAGACTGTATTGTTAAGATGGCAATTTTCCTCAACAGATTCAACATAATCCCTATCAAAATCCCAGCTGGCTTTTTTTTTTTTTTTTTTTTTTTGGCAAAGATTTACAGTCTCTAAAATTCATTTGGAAATTCGAGGGACCTAGAATAGCCAAAACGATCAGGAAAAAGAACAAAACAGCTGGTGGATTCATACTATAATCAAAAGACAGGTTATCATCAAAAGGAGAAAATAACAAGTGTTGGAGAGGATGTAAAGAAATCAGAACTCTCACACATACACCACTGCCAGTGGCAAAATGATGCAGCTGCTTTGGGAAACAGCCTGGTAGTTCTTCAAAAGACTAAATACAGAGTCAGGGTTACTACATGACTGAGCAATTAATTCCACTTCTAGGTATACACCCAAGAAAAATGAAAACGGGTACCTACACAAAAACTTGTATGCAATTGTTCATAGCAGCATTATTCATAATAGCCAAAAAGTGAAAACAATTCAAATGTCCATTAACTAATGAATGAATAAAATGTGGCATATCCATAAAATGAAATATTCAACCACAAAAAGGAATAAAATGCTAATATATGCTACAACATGGATGAACCTTAAAAACACTATGCTAAGTGAAAGAAACTAGACACAGGAAGTGCCTGCCTCTGGTCTTGGACAAAGACTGTGCTTCCCAGAAAAAAAAAAAAAAGAAAAATTAAAAATAAAAGAAATGAGACACAAAGGCTATATATTTTATGATTCCATGTATATGCAATATCTCCAACTGGCAAATACATAGAAACACAAAGTAGACTAGTGGAAACCTAGGATTGTGGGAGTTTGGGAGAAAATGGAAGAGGATTGCTAGTGGATCCTGTTTCCTCTCTCAGAGCCTTAAGTTGTTCACCTGCAAAAAAGATACAGCTCGCCAGGCGCGGTGGCTCACGCCTGTAATCCCAGCACTTTGGGAGGCTAAGGTGGGTGGATCACCTGAGGTCAGGAGTTCAAGACTAGCCTGACCAACATGGTGAAACCCCATCTCTAATAAAAATACAAAATTAGCCGGGCATGGTGGCAGGCGACTATAATCCCAGCTACTTGCGAGGCTGAGGCAGGAGAATCGCTTAAACCCAGGAGGCGGAGGTTGCAGTGGGCCGAGATGGTGCCATTGCACTCCAGCCTGGGCAACAAGAGCTAGACTCAGTCTCAAAAAAAAAAAAAAAAAAGATATAGCTCTACTGCCTACAAACTTCAACAGGTGTGTATGAAGGTCTTACAATTAACATATGTAAAAGTGAGATAATAAACAAAATATGTATACAATAGTAAGTACAGGCAGGAAACTACAAATTGACACAAAGAACATCTAAGTTAGAGAAAGGCCTCTGGAGAAGCTGAATCTACATTTCAGCCTAGAGTCTAGAACAGTATAGAAAATTAGTAGTTAAGCCAGGCATGGTGGCTCACGCCTGTAATCCCAGCACATTGGGAGGCCAAGGCAGGCAAATCACTTGAGGTCAGGAGTTCGAGAACAGACAGGCCAACATGGTGAAATCCCGTCTCAACTAAAAATACAAAAATTAGCCAGGCATGCTGGCATGCACCTGTAATCCCAGCTACTCAGGAGGCTGAGGCAGGAGAATCACTTGAACCCGGGAGGCAGAGGTTGCAACGAGCTGGGATCACCTCACTGCACTCTAGTGACAGAGCGAGACACTGTCTCAAAAAAAAAAAAAAAGAAAATTAGGGGGAAAAGGGAAGGTCATTCTAAGATGGGGAAGAATTTGCTAGAAGAGAAGCCTGATTATAAACAACTTGAGAGCAGGAATCGTCTTTCCCTCATTGTTCTAGCTCTTCACAGTACTTAGTACAGGGTATGCCTTTGATAGAATTATGTTTTTTGGATAGGAGTTAGCAAATAGGCAGATTTATATGAGTAGAGTAGACATAGAAAGTAATTATGATCCACAGCACTGAGCATCAAAACTAAGAAATGATCAGTATTAACTATAACAGACTTGTTTAGTCTGTTGGGCAAAATGAGTCCTAGATTCAGTGCCCATGATTCAGTGTAAACAAAACTGAATGAAGTCACCTCAACTCCAAACACTACACAAATGTACAAAAGGCTGCATTGTTGTCACCTGGAATATACATATTATCAACAAATATAATTTGTTTCATTTTCCACTATTTTTTACATCCGTAAAATCATTGGAGAACATGATTATTAATAGCTATATAAGGCTACACTAGAATTGATTTAATTGCAAAACTGCTACACAAGTTTCTCAAAGGCAGCAAAAGCACTCTTCTCGGGACTTAAAAACCCAAATGTTACTATTAGTTAAATATTTCATTTGCTGTTTTGTTTTGACACCCACCACCCACCCCCACTCCCGGCCCGAGCCAAAAAGTACCTGTTTTATCTGTCCCAAGGAAAATATTAGCTTTTTTTTTTTTTTTTTTTGGAGACAGGGTCTCACTATGTCACCCAGGCTGGAGTGCAGTGGCACAATCAGGTGCGTGCCACCATGCCTGGATAATTCTTTGGTATTTTTCGTAGAGATGGGTTTCACCATGTTGCCGAGGCTGGCCTTGAACTCCTGGGCTCAAGGGATCCACCTGTTTCACCCTCCCAAAGGGCTGGGATTACAGGTGTGAGCCACCACACCCAGCCTTATTTTCACTACATATTAAACAGTGTATCTTCTTAGTGTAATATTAAGACAGATTCCATACTGGTCCTCACCACTAAAAATTCTGCATAACATTCTCTAAAGAAATGTGTCTCAAGCAGTGCCATGTGCTTAAAGGGTACAGGTACTTCACTAAAGAAGAAAGTGGTCCAAGACATTCTAAAAGTAATACAATTACATGGTTATAAAAATTAGTAAGACTGAAAAATTGAGTTTAATAAAATTTTAAATTTGCCTGCTGCACTACAGTGTATTTATTCAGAAGACTGATATTTCTTTTTTCTTTTGAGAGGCAGTCTCACCTTGTCGCCCAGGCTGGAGTGCAATGGCGTGATCTCAGCTCACTGTAACCTCCATTTCCCGGGTTCAAGCAATTCTCCTGCCTCAGCCTCCCGAGTAGCTGGGATTACAGATGCGCATCACCACACCTGGCTAATTTTTTGTATCTTTAGTAGAAACAGGGTTTCACCAAGTTGGCCAGGCTGGTCTCGAACTCCTGAGCTTAAGTGATCCACCTGCCTCAGCCTCCCAAAGTACTTGGATTACAGGCGTGAGCCATTGTGCCCAGCTTTTTTTTTTTTTTTTTGACAGAGTTTCACTCTTGTTGCCCAGGCTGGAGTGCAGTGGCGCTATCTTGGCTCACTGCAACCTCCGCCTCCCGGGTTCAAGCAATTCTCCTGCCTGAGCCTCCCAAATAGCTGGGATTACAGGCACCCGCCACCATGTCTGGCTTTTTTGTGTTTTTAGTGGAGATGGGGTTTCATCGTGTTGGCCAGGCTGGTCTCGAACTCTTGACCTCAGATGATCCACCTGCTTTGGCCTCCCAAAATGCTGGGATTACAGGCGTGAGCTACCACGCTCGGCCTAGAAGACTGATATTTCAAGAGTATTCTTACATGACTTTGCTCAAATGTAGGACACACTGAGGAATAATAATACTTTGTAGTATCATTTATTAAAAGAAGTTTTTAGCAGGAAGGAATCTTTATTAAGTCCAGTATTACTTTTTTTTTTTTTTTTTTTTTGAGACAGAGTTTCACTCTTGTTGCACAGGATGGAATGCAATGGCGCAATCCCGGCTCACCGCAACCTGCACTGCCCAGGTTCAAGCGATTGTCCTGCCTCAGCCTCTCGAGTAGCTGGGATTACAGGCATGCACCACCACACCCGGGTAATTTTGTATTTTTGGTAGAGACGAGGTTTCTCCATGTTGGTCAGGCTGGTCTTGAACTCCTGACCTCAGGTGATCCACCCACCTCAGCCTCCCAAAGTGTTGAGATTACAGGTGTGAGCCACCGCAGTATTACCATTTTATGAGTGAGCAAATCTAGGTTAAGTTGCCTCTCCGAGGTAACTCAGCTGGAGGAGCAGAAAATAGGAATTAGGGAACTAGGTAATTTCTCTAAATGTAACACTTAATATAAACGAAGGAATATACTTATTGGCTGGGCATGGTGGCTCACATCTGTAATCCCAGACTTTTGGACAGTCAAGGACAAAGGATCACTTGAGGCCAGTAGTTTTGAGACCAGCCTGGGCAACACAACAAGACACTGTCTCTACAAAAATAAAAACAAAAATTGGCCAGATGTGGTGATGTTGCCTGTGGTCCTAGCTACCTCCAGAGGCTGAGGCAGGAGGATCACTTGAGCCCAAGAGTTTGAGGCTGCAGTAAGCTATGATGGTACCACTGCACTCCAGCCTGGGAGACGGAGCAAGGCTCTGTCTCTTTAAAAAAAAGAAAAAGCACACGCTTTTTGCAGAATAATAAGTACTGGTGAATTGACCCACCCACTTATGATACAGAACTGTCTGACAAAGCTTTCTGCCATAATGGAAATAATCTACACATACATTGTCCAATATGATAGCCACAAACCACATGTGGCTACTAACAATTGAAATGTGATTAGTGATTTTATTCCTGTTTTTAAAAAATGCTTATTTATATCTTTTGCCCAATTATCTATTTACTTTTTTGTTTGCTTTGTTTTTTTGAGACGGAGTCTTGCTCTGTTGCCCAGGCTGGAGTGCAGTGGCGTGATCTCAGCTCACCACAACCTCCACCTCCCGGGTTCAAGCGATTCTCCTGTCTCAGCCTCCTGAGTAGCTGGGACTACAGGCCCATTGCAGGATGCCCGGCTAATTTTTGTATTTTTAGTAGAGACAGGGTTTCACTATGTTGGCCAGGCTGGTCTTGAATTCCTGACCTCGTGATCTGCATGCCTCAGCCTCCTAATGTGCTGGGATTACAGGTGTGTGCCACCATGCCTGGCCTATTTATTGGTTCTAATATTGATTTGTAGGCATGCTTTATATATTTTAGATACCAATACTTTGTCAGTTATGTGTGCTACAGATAGCTTCTCTAAGTTTGTATCTTGCCTCTTCACTTTCTTTAATTTTCTTTTTAAAAAAATTGAGATAGGGTCTTGCCATATTGTTCAGGCTTGTCTCAAACTCCTGGACTCAACAGATCTGCCTGTCTTGGCCTCCCAAAGTGCTGAGATTACAGGTGTGAGCCACCACACCTGGCTGCCTCTTCACTTTCTTCATGGTGTCTTCTGTTCTTAATTTTAATACAGTTGAATTTGTCTCTTATTTGTGTATTATTTTAAAACGGTTTGCATATTCTGAGCCTATAACATTTATCTTTTTAGGTTTTAAAGTTGTCTTTTACATTTAGGTCTTTAATCCACTGGAAATTTTTATGTTTGGCGTAAGGCAGGGATACAAGGTACAATTTCATTTTTCTCATGTGGATATTCACTTGTCTCTCCATTCTCCTTTCGCCATTTATCTGCAATGTCTTCTGTTTTATATTGCATTTCCAAACATGTGTGACTACGATTCTAAGCCCTTTAGTCTGTTTCACTGGTTAGTCTATTCCACACCAATGCCACACTAAATTTTACTTGCCGTAGTACTGATATTTGGTAGAGCAGGTCCTCAAATCTATCATCTATTCTTTCCTTCTTTATTATTATTATTTTTTTTTTTTTGAGACAGAGTATTGCTCTGTGGCTCAGGCTGGGGTGCAGTGGCGCATTCTCAGCTCACTGCAACCTCTGTCTCCTGGGTTCAAGCGATTCTCCTGCCTCAGCCTCCCAAGTAGCTGGGGTTACAGGTGCCCACCACCATGCCCAGTTTTTACATTTTTTAGGAGAGACGAGGTTTCACCATGTTGGCCAGGCTGCTCTTGAACTCCTGACCTCAAGTGATCCGCCCACCTCGGCCTCCCGAAGTGCTGGGATTAGAGGCGTAAGCCACCACACCCAGCCCTCATATCTATTTTTTTTCCATAATAATGTCAAGGTTATCCTTGGCCTTCTGCTCTTCTGAATGAATTTTAGAATCAGTTTGAAGTTTCCAAGAAATGCATTGACCCTATAGATAAATTTGGAGAGAACTGACAATCTTCACATCTATGAAACTGGGATATCTATTTAATTAGATTTTTTACTTTCTCCATAGTTGCTTAATTTTTTAATGTACTGATCACTTCTCCATCGATTTTTTCTGCAACAAAATTATTTCTAAGTTTTAAAAAATTTTAAATTCATTTTTTTTTATTTTTTTGAGATGGGGTCTCCCTCTGTTGCCCAGGCTGGAGTGCAGTGGCACGATCTTGGGCCACTGTAACCTCCACCTCCCAGGTTCAAGTGATTCTCCTGCTTCAGCCTCCCGAGTAGATGGGATTACAGGAGCGGGCCACCACGCCTGGCTTATTTTTTTGTATTTTTAGTAGAGATGGGGTTTCACCATGTTGGACAGGCCGATCTCGAACTCCTGGCCGCAGGTGATCTACCCGCCTCGGTCTCCCAAAGTGCTGGAATTACAGACGTGAGCTACCGTGCCTGGCCTTACATTTATTTCTACTTTTTAGAGACACGGTCTCGTTCTGTCTCCCAGGCTGGCAAGCAGTGGCACAATCATAGCTCTCTGCATACTCAAACACCAGGGCTCAAGCTATTCTCCTGCCTCAGCCTCTCAAGTAGCGGGGACTACAGGCATGAGTAACTGTGCCTAGACTAAAATTATTTCTAGATATTAAACAATATTATTTGCAGACTGCAGTGAATGGTCAGGAAACTTCATATATTTGCTGCACTGACTTGTTTCTGATTGGTTTCCTTAATTTATACAGCCAACAAATACTTATTAATAATAAGCTACCCCAGCCTGGCCAATATGACGAAACCTCGTCGCTACTAAAAATACAAAAAAAATTAGCCGGGCTTGGTGGTGGGCGCCTGTAGTCCCAGCTACTCAGGATGCTAAGGCAGGAGAATCGCTTGAACCCAGGAGGCGGAGATGGCAGTGAGCAGAGATCGCGCCACTGCACTTCAACCTGGGTGACAGAGCGAGACTCCGTCTCAAAACAAACAGTAATAATAATAATAAGCTACCTATGTGCCAGACTCTATGCTATGCACTGATGGGGAAAAAAAAATCCTCTACTATTCTACTCTCACCCTTGAAAAAACCATTGTCTCTCTTCTTTTCCTTCATTCCAGTGCCACCAAAAATATGCTCTATGTTTGAATCTTAACTTGAACAATTCTTCCCATCGGACAATCCATCATCCTCTGCACATTAAAACTTGAATGGTTCTTTTAATTTCACATGCTCTGAAGAGGAGACAGAAAGGGTAGCATTATGATACTTCTCTTCCTACAAGATCTGCACCTGTCGCAGTAGATAAATTCATTCAAGTCACTTACATAAACAATTTCAATCTTAGGACTTCAAAACCTCCCACGGGTATGTAAACTGCCCCAACAAAGAAAGAGGCAAGTATAACAAAAATGGCATAAACTATGGTTTCTGCATTAGGAAGTCTTAAGAAGCATTAAGAATTATTTAAGGCCGGGTGCGGTGGTTCATACCTGTAATTCCACCACTTTGGGAGGCTCAGGCGAGTGGATCACTTGAGGTCAAGAGTTCGAGACCAGACTGGCCAACATGGTGAAAACCCATCTCTACTAAAATACAAAAATTAGCCAGGCATGGTGGCACGCGCCTGTAGTCCCAGCTACTTGGGAGGCTGAGGCACGAGAATCGGCTTGAACCCGGGAGGTGGAGGTTGCAGTGAGCCTAGATCGCACCACTGCACTCCAGCCTGGGGGACAGAGCAAGACTCTGTCAAAAAAAAAAACACAAAAAACAAAAAACCACCTTAACTAGGAAACTGGTGAAAACTAGTCTTCTTAACTAGAAAATTGGCGGGGATTCCCTCAGATTGTACACCGGAAACTCAGGCTAGTCAGGTCTCAGAAATATAGGTCAGATTTCTAGGTCGGCCCGCCTACTCCCCAGCCTTCCAACATTAAGATCTCTCCAGGGCCTTCAAGCTCTGTCTTCATCTCTAAATCTACTCAGGTCTTTCATTCACTGCACAGTTACTTAGTACCTATGGTGTTGTCAAACATAGTGGCTAGAGGAAGGGAATACAAAAGCACAATGTCTGCAGTCAAAGGGGCTCACAGCAAGATTACGGTTTGTAAATACATAATTACTCCACAATGTGATAATCGATATCTTTCAAAACAGAAGGGTTGATTCAATCTTACAGGGAGTGACTGAGTTGGGTCTTACAAAGGATGAGCTTTGCAATTCAAGAAAAAAGAAAAAAAAGGCAGACCATTTCAGCAGAGAGAAAGAGAGAAAGGCGTGGTTAGGCGTGTGCTGGGAGCTGTTTGAGGTCAGTGAAGCTGGGGGTATGAGGAGGGCTCGCACCAGGTGGAGGTTGGGAAACCTCAGAGTTGCGGGAGAAATCAGAATCCAGGTCCCCTCAGCCTCCCTGGGGCCGCGCCCCATAGCCGGTTTCAGACCAGCCGCCCCGGCTCCAAGCCCCACTACAAGCCGGGAAACGCAAAACGGAGGCAACCTGGCCAAAGGCAGAGGCACCCCCCGCAAGACCCTGAGGACCCAAACTGGCCCAGCGGACTGCCCGCACCTTGCCAAGCAGCCGTCTCAGGCCCTCGCAGTCGAACTCCATCTCCAGGCCGGTCCCGAGCTAGGTCCCAGGACTCCAGCCCCCGGACCTTCTTCCGGACTTGCTGCAGGACGGAAGCCGCTGAGGACCAAACTTCCCGGCGGTCCAAGGCCCCGCCCCTTCCCAGACTGGAAATTCCACCCGCATTCAACGCCCCGGGCTCAGCCGCGGCTGCGCCCGGAATCCGGGGCCTCTCCTTCGTGACCCCGGAGTGGGCAAGTGACGAGGGCACGGCCAGAAACGCATTGGCGTCAAGGAAACCACGACCCATCTTCCTGGAAGGAAACTTGGGGACACTTATGAAGAGAAGACTAGGAAGGACCGGAGTAGAAGCACTAAAGGAGGTAGAGGCAACACGCGGTGTTCTTGAAGAGTTTCCAGACAGATGTATTAAATTCCACAGTGTATCAGGAAAGAGCAAGACCGAAAATTGCAGTTGAATTTAGGAAGGAGGCGGTAATGGAACTTCAGAAGCAAAATTTCAGGGAGTAGAAAGGAAAAACAA
The DNA here is from genome assembly GCF_000001405.40 of Homo sapiens. Taxonomy (NCBI): domain Eukaryota; kingdom Metazoa; phylum Chordata; class Mammalia; order Primates; family Hominidae; genus Homo; species Homo sapiens. The sequence continues at coordinate 18,589,157 of NC_000011.10, forward strand.
AGTCAGGAGGAGCCTTGCCGGAGAAGCGGAGATAGGACAGCCCCAGCATGAGGGTGGCTTAGCACGGGGAGAGTGGTTGCTTTTTTTATTTTTTTTAGGGGTGCCATAACAATGTTGGTGGTCAAAGAGAGGAGAAATCCAGGTGAACAAATAGTTGGAAAACAAGAGAGGAGGGAGATGGGTGGATAAGGTCATCTGGAGAAGGTGGGTGAAGAAGAGATGCAGGATACAGTAATTTTCTGGCGTTGTTTGATCTCCTTGGCCCATGGCTGACTTACCTGCCCTGTATCCCTGGCCTGAGCCACTGAAGCGAAAAGTCCCAGGAGCTGGATATTGTAATTGTCAAGAGGTTGGACATATAGGAGAGAGATTGTATTTATAGGAAGATCTGAAGGGAGTGCTGCCCTGACTCAGGAGAAGAAGCTGAAAAGCTGGAAGGAACATTCATTCAGAAAGTTTTTGTTGAGCATCTACTACTTGCCAGCTATTTTTCCAGGTCTCAGGATACAGCCGTGAACAAAATACACTCAGATAGCTGATGTCTTAAGGGTGTCATTCCTTTATTAGCAGAGAGAGAGCAAAACAATAAATGTAATAAGTAAATTATTCAGCATGTCAGAAGGTTGATTACGTGTTGTGGAGAATAAATTCTGAAAAGGGTAGGGAGATTGGGGTAGGTCTCACTGAGGGGTGAGGGAGTAAGTGTTACGAATCCGAGTGCAGACAAAGCAGTAGCCTAAGGCATGTGCCCAGGGAGGCTCAACACAGCAAGGAGGCCAGTGTGGCTGGAGTAGAATGAAGTAAGATGGGAGTGGAGACAAGGAGGCTAAGTCAGGGAAATAAGACGGGGGAACAAGTGGTTTAGAGAAGTGAGTCTTCTAGTGTGAGCCCCAGATCTGCAGCCTCAGGTGCTGGGAGTTGTTAGAAATGCAGATGCTAAGACCTCAACCCCAGCTTTATTCAATCACAGGCTCTGGGGTTGGGGACCAGCAATTCTCTTTTAACAATTCTTCCAGATGATTCTGATGGGTGATGAAGTCCAAGAACCACTGTGGGACTTTGTAGACAATTGTAAGGACTCTGGCCTGTCCCTGCCCTCCAGCCAGAGACCATCAGGAACACACCTGTGCTTAAACAAGTTGAGTTCATTATTAATAGTTCTTGCAGTGAGGAAGCAGGTGTTGTGGAGGACCATTGGGACAGCTTGGTGAGGGTGAGAGAACCTATTATAGAATTTGGGCGATTTGCGGGAGGGCTCAAGAAAGCCAGGCTTCACCCTGGATTGGGTGCTGTCAGAAAGCAGGGACATTTCTGTGACTAGGTATCTGAATAAGTATTGTCTATAAGATGGACAGACTAGAGTGAGGATAAAGCTATACCTAGTAAAGAAGCAGCAGTCACTCATAATAGCAGAGAAGGACGTTTGGTATTTCATGGCTTGCACAGTGACCTTGCTCTCTTGTCTCTGCTTAGACACAATTTTGAAATGGCCTTGTTGTTGTGTCCCTTTTTTATAGTCTGACTGACCTTGTCTCATGTTGGTGTTCTGTGAGATTATGTCCCACAGAAGAATAACTGGGCCAAGCTGTGAGCATCAGGCCAGCTTCTAACAACCCTGAAGTCTAGCTGTGTCAGACCAGCTCTCAGATGTCAGGGCCTGCCTCTTCCTTTCTCAGGCTTTTAATCTGGGAGAAAGAGAAAGCCACTGGGAGGTTTCGAACAGAACAGTGACATGATCTGACTGAGCTTTAAAAAAATATTAATAACTCTGCAGTGTTGTGAAGAGGCAGTAGTGTCAGGCAAGAGTAGGCCAGAAGACAAGGTAGGAGGAAGATTACAGAGAAAAGCTGATAGAAGGGCTGTTAAGTGCATCTCAGCCAGATCTAACCAACCTTAAAACAGTAGAACTGCCAGGGGCTCCAAATTCTAATAGATCCTGCCAGAAATCCGTGGTATAAGGAAAAGATACCAGTTAGCAGCAAGGCCAGAGCAAGATTCTTCCATCTTTTATGAAAGAGCCTTTTATGAAAGAGGCCTTCCAACCAAACCAATTCTCTTCTGGTCTAGTCACTATGCACACTTTATGCCAGAGAGAGTGTGAGTGAGTGAGTGTGTGTGTGTGTATGTAGCATTTCCTTTGTGGAAGGTATACTGCTAAGAGTTTTATGTGCTTTATCTCCGTTCATCTTCATAAGACCCTATGACCTGGATAGAATTATTACCTCAATTTTACTGATAAGAAAATTGAGGTGTATTGTTATATTACCTATTTTACTTGTTTCTGAGGTTCTGTTGAATAAGAGATGTATTAATGATAGCTTTTGGGGGGAGAAGAAAACTACAAAATTAAACATACATACTGATTTTAACACACCTATTTGAAAAGAATGTAAATGTGAAATAGAGGATATGTATATAATTGTCTCCATTTTACAGATAGGGAAACCAAAGACTAAGGTTAAATTACTGCAGAAGATGATGTCAAAGACTGTCTTCCTAAACTACATGTTATAGTGCCTCTCACTGTGGGTGAAATTGTGATGACACTTTGTGATTAATAATAGTCTAGGAAATCAGCCAGGTGTGGTGGCTCATGCCTGTAATCCCAGCACTTTGGGATGCCCAGGCAGGCGTATCATCTGAGGTCAGGAGTTCGAGACCAGCCTGGCTAACATGGCGAAACCTCATCTCTGCTAAAAATACAAAAATTAGCTGGATGTGGCGGCAGGTGCCTTTCATCCCAGCTCTTTGGGAGGCTGAGGGAGGGAGAATTGCTTGAAGTTGGGAGGCAGAGGTTACAGTGAGCCGAGATCTTGCCACTGTATTCAGCCTGGGCAACAGAGTGAGATTCCATCAAAAAAAAAAAGGTCTACAAAGTCTGAATTATGTGCTTATATTGCTATGCAGTTACAAGAGAAAGGCTGTGTAGTACTGAAATTGGCTTTTTTTTTTAAGCCTCTCCCTTGACTTCCATCCTGACCACCAGGCTACCCTCATCTCCTGAAACTGGTGCTATTAGATCCTATAATCCAGTTAGGCTGAAACATTCACTCTTCCCCAAGTACATTGTCTTCTTCCTTGCCTCATACCTTAGTAGCTGCCAGGAGTGTTTTATTATACTTTTGTACCTGTCTACCTCCATCTCCACTCCTCTTTCTGTCCTCAGATACTGTAAGGCCCTGGCAAATAGGGGTTGAATCTCATTCATCTCTATATTCCCAGTGCCTAGCATAATTATTTATGCATATATTCCTTCTTATATGTAGAAAGCCAGATATAAAGAACCTGCAGTGGAAAGTTTGCAGAATGAATGAACGTATAAGGTGATCAATGCCTTAAGGAGAAGAAGGTATAGTGTACTAGTTCTCAGCCTTATCTGGGCTTCAGACTTTTTTTTAAAACGTCTGTTGAGACCGGGCTCAGTGGCCCACTCCTGTAATCCCAACACTCTGGGGCTAAGACAGGAGGATCACTTCGGCCCAGGAGTTTGAGACCAGTCTGTTTTGTAGACCCAACTCTACAAAAAATTTAAAAATTAGCCGGGCATGGTGGTGCACACCTGTAATCCCAGCTACTTGGGAAACTAGAGCAGGAGGATCTCTTGCGCCCAGGGGGCTGAGGCTGCACTGAGCTGTGTTTGTGCCACTGCATTCCAGCCTGGGTGACAGAGCAAGATCGTGTCTCAAAAAAAAATCTGTTGAAGATATAGACCTGTCCCTGTATACATACTCATGTATACAGTTTGTTTTGTGTCCAGTTTCTGGAATGTTTGTAGATTTACTGAAGTCTGCTAGACCCCAAGTGTCGTTGGTGGGATCATAATTTGCTACAACCTTTGGGCAGAGTAGTCTTGGACCTTTGACCCCATAATGCCACATTGGGAATCTGTCTTACAGAAATAAAAGTACTCAGGATATATGTACAAAGATGTTAATAATGTTAAAAGGGGCAAAAATGTCCCAAACTAAGAAATGGGAAAAGTGTATATGCTGCATCTTTGTAAGTTTTAGAAAAAACACAAAAATGGCTTGTTTAAAATTAGAGCTTGTTTTTTTTTTTTTTTGGTGCTGTACTTCTGATCTCTCTTTATACCCTTTGTTGCTTTCATGATTATTGGCCCTAGCAGACATATTAGGGGACAAAACCTTGTTATTCCAGATATCACACATATATGTATTCTTATCATATACTTCTTTTTTTTTTTTTTTTTTGAGATGGAGTCTTGCTCTGTCGCCCAGGCTAGAGTGCAGTGGCACAATCTTGGCTCACTGCAACGTCTGCCTCCTGGGTTCAAGTGATTCTCCTGTTGTAGCCTCCCGAGAAGCTGAGATTACAGGTGTGCACCACCATACCTGGCTAATTTTTGAATTTTTAGTAGAAACAGGATTTCACCATGTTGGTCAGGCTGGTCTCGAACTCCTGACCTCAGGTGATCCACCCACCTCTGCCTCCCAAAGTGCTAGGATTACAGGAGTGAGCCACCGCACCTGGCCTATCATATACTTCTTAAATGTATAGAACTTAACTGTTGTGTTCATTGACAGCAATTTTGTATCTCAGGTCATTCTTCCTGAAATATCCTTTGTAACAACCTATGTTTTTATGATATTGTGAATTAAAACTGCAATTTTTCTTAAGCTAATTCTTTTTGTAAGGATTTTATTTTATTTTATTTTATTTTATTATTTTTTGAGACAGAGTCTCCTCTGTCGCCCAGGCTGGAGTGCAGTGCTGCAGTCTCTGCTTATTTCAACCTCTGCCTCCCAGGTTCAAGCAATTCTCATGCCTTCACCTCCTGAGTAGCTGGGATTACAGGCACCCGCCACCATGCCCAGCTAATTTTTTGTATATTTAGTAGAGATGGGGTTTCACCATGTTTGCCAGGCTGATCTCGAACTCCTGGCCTCAGGTGATCCACCTGCCTCCTCCTCCCAGAGTGCTGAGATTACAGGCCTAAGCCACTGCACTGGGCCCGTAAGGATTTTATACAGCCTCTGCATTTTCATACTGTGTCTAAACTTGCATACTCTTTTTTTTTTTTTTTTTTTTTTTTTGAGATAGAGTCTCCTCTGTCACCCAGGCTGGAGTGCAGTGGCGCAATCTCAGCTTACTGCAACCTCTGCCTCCCAGGTTCAAGTGATTTTCCTGCCTCAGCTTCTCGAGTAGCTGGAATTACAGGCATGCGCTACCACACCCGGCTAATTTTTGTATTTTTAGTAGAGATGGGATTTTGCCCTGTTGGCCAGACTGGTCTAGAACTTCTCATCTCAGGTGATCCACCCACCTTGGTCTCCCAAAGTGCTGGGATTACAGGCATGAGCCACTGCACCCAGCCTGAACTTGCATACTTTCTTGTCATCTTTTTGCTTCCCTGGTTAACAAGAAAAAAATTGGCCATGATTAGAAATTTGTTGAAGAAAAAAAATTTTTTTCACCACCAATACATTTATTCATTTATTTGCAGGAGATGGGGTCAAATCTTACCACTAACTTTTTTTTTTTTTTTTGAGACGGAGTCCCGCTGTGTTGCCCAGGCTGGAGTGCAGTGGCGCAATCTCAGCTCACTGCAACCTCTAACTCCTGGGTTCAAGAGATTCTCCTGCCTCAGCCTTCCGAGTAGCTGGGATTATGGGTGCCCACCACCACGCCCAGCTAATCTTTTTTGTATTTTTAGTAGACATGGGGTTTCACTATATGTTGACCAGTCTGGTCTCAAACTCCTGATCTCAAGTGATCCACCCACTTCGGCCTCCCAAAGTGCTGGGATTACAGGCGTGAGCCACTGCGCCTGGCCTTATGAACTTTTAAGCTAGGTAGGACTAGACACACTGATCTGCCTAACCTCTGGGTATTTATCCTGCACACAAGGCATCACCAGTAAATACATGAGCATTAGATGAGGGGGATGCATTCTGACTAATCACATGATTAGCTATTCAGAGGAAGATACTGCCCTTGTATCAAAAGTAGTGTTGAGAAAAATAAAGGCAGAGCCTAGCATTTGCCTCCTAGCACAGGCTGAAACATGCTAGTGGCCTTGTGCAGAAGAATGATGCTTTCAGCTGAGCTGCAAGATAGGAGCTGGACCAACTGGGGGCTTGGACAGGGGTGGGATCTGACCTGATTAGGCTTTCCCCATCCAATCTGGGCCTCCAAAAGCCGTTCTCTGGCCCTCTGGACAAGGCAGACTCAGCAAATCTGGGAGGTATGGGGATTCTGCCAATTCCCCACCTAGCCCCACCTCCCCCAGGTTTGGCAGGCGATCTAATCCCCAGGGTGCAGCCCCACCCCCACCTGACCCCACATCTGGACAAACACATGGCAAATATGGAAACTGAAGCCCAGCTGGGCTGGAGCACATCTGGTTGTTGCTGCATTGGAGTCATCTTGCAGATATCCTGAGATAATCAGGCCTCACCCACAGTGGCCATGTTGAGACAGCAGTTGTTTTTTTTTAAAGATGATTCACGTTGCTCCAGGCGAAAGCATGATCCTGATGACACGTGGGGAAAAGCAGGCTGGAGCCTCAGAAGAGCTGGCCCTGCACACTCAGGTACTTACAGCAGTAAATCCAGGATTTGAACACCAGGGAGTAAGGAGAGGGCCCAGCCTGCGGCCTGCAGTTGTTCACAGCCATGAGGCTGCCAACTGGCAGGAAAGGGTAGGTCAGCATGCTCACTGCGATCTCCATCACAAACTTGGTGTAGCTTTGGATGGTCAGGGCCTGGCCTAACTGGGAACCCCGATTCTGGTCATTTCTCAGCCCCTCTAGGTGTCACTCACTCTGTCATCCGCCAGGTGGGCATTGATAAAGTGGGCCAGCAGGTTATAGCCTCACAAGAAAACTACTTCACCCGGGACATGAGGGATCAAGCCAACAAAGAATCCCAGTGGCCCTTTCTCTTTGAAAATCTTCCCAGTGGAGCTCAGCACACCACTGTACTTAACCTCCCATCCCACAAATTAGACCATGCAGCACATCAAGATGGCATGCAGGGGGTGGGCCAACATACAGGACGCACACTGCATCATCATCCCCTAGGAGGTCTCCTTCACTGCTTGCTTCAGAGAAGTCTTCATATCCATCCTTATTGGAAACCTGCTTGATTTCATCTGGAGGGAAAACCTTCACGCTGCCCCTGGTTACAAAGGAGAGGGGTCACATCAGTTGGGGGCTCAGACCTCGGAACAGCCCTGTCTTGCCATCCATCACACCCATGCCCAGTGCCACAAAAAGCTTCAGTGGTCAGGGAGTTGTCTTCAGGACCCAGGACCCAGGACCCAGGACCCACCATCCATTCTTCTGGCCAAGGGTAGCATGGATGTGCGTGGGCAGTCTCGACCTTCATTGCAAGTTCCTGCTCCAGCTCCTCTGCTTCTGCCATCTCCGTGGCACTACCACAAGCCCAGGGCCAGAAATTTTAACAATCACAGCATTGTTTATGATGGTAAAAATTGGGAAAAAAATCCTAATGCATATTATGCCAGTTATTTATTGCCTTTCAGTTCCAAATCCATCATTTATTGCTTGCTCTACCATAATGAAGCTGGGCCCTGTAAGCATTTCTTCCTCGTTAGTGGACAGGCTAACGTTTTGTCAGTAGAGGGCCTTCAGAGGATACTACAAGAGGAAGGGCTTTCTCTTCTTAGTTCCAGTGTGTGTCTATTCGTGATTCTGTGTGGCTGCCAGTGGCATATATGGGGACTTCTAGTGGCACTCACCGTGTCAAGTATCAGTGGCTCCACTGCGGACTTCTTCCACACCTGTGTCACTGAGACAATTGACCAGTGAGTTCCACAAGCACCCATTGCCAGCTTTAGCCTGCAGCAGCTCATTAGACCTCTACCGTCCAGTTGGTCATGTCCACAACTCCTCCAACATGTTTTGGATCTCAGCCCTGGAGGGGAGGGGACTATTCCAAATTTATTTCTTCCTTGGGTACTTTGCCTCAGCCCTAGAGGTAGTGGCTGCTCCCTATATATGCTATTCCTGTAATATGTAACACTTTCTACCCCTTCTATAGTCGGTCACTTGCTCCTAGTTGATAATTCTCTTTATTAAAATTTTCAAATTACTGTCTGGTTTTCTGTCTCCTGACTGGACTTGACCTACTGTATCATTGGGAGCAAGATGAAATAAACTAGAATATTGTGCAAGAATTAAAAAAGAATAACCTAAGCTAGGCACAGTGGCTTATGCCTGTAATCTCAGCCCTTTGGGAGGACGAGGCAAGAGGCTTACTTGAGCCCAGGAGTTTGAGACCTGCCTGGTCAACATAGCAAGACCCTGCCTTTACAAAAAAAAAAAAAAATTAGCCAGGCATGGTGGTGCGCACTTGTAGTCCCAGCTACTTGGGAGGCTGAGGTGGGAGGATTGCTTGAGCCCAGGAGTTCAAGGCTGCAGTGATCTGTGACTGTGCCACTGCACTCCAGCCTTGACAACAAAGCAAGACTGTCTCCAAAAAGAAGAACATACACTTCTGCTTCTGCCTGTGAAGGATCAACTGTTACAGAAATTACCTTCTCTTCATAAATAGAAAATTGCACAAAACATGAAATAATTGTTTTCAGATCTTGTACAAGAGACAGCACAAAACTGTGTACTTTGAGAGAAAGGAAACCAGTGACGGTGAGTCCTACAATTGCTCCAGCCAGGAGGCAGTTTTCAGACTGTGGCACAGAAAGGAGTTACCCAACTGAGCATTTCACTGAGTTGAAGAGAAAGATAGCAAAATACAGCAGAGGCCAGAATTTGCAGGATGGAGTGCTAAGAAGAGGGATCTCCATGGAGAAAGCTCTGTAGATTTCCACAGGGGCCCTTATAAGTCTTTGGCTGAGTTCTGTCTGCACATATATGGGATAAAACTCGATGAGGCCTGGAAAAGATCCACCCAAAAGCAGTCGGCCAAACACTTCTTGGAGTTCCTGAAGGGCAGGGAATTGTGGAACATTCCACAGATTTGGAAGATCTATGCCGGGCACAGTGGCTCACACCTGTAATCCCAGCACTTTGGGAGACTGAGGCGGGCGGATCACCTGAGGTCAGGAGTTCGAGACCAGACTAACCAACGTGGAGAAACCCTGTCTCTACTAAAAATACAAAATTAGCCGGGCGTGGTGGTGCATGCCTGTAATCCCAGCTACTCAGGAGGCTGAGGCAGGAGAATCACTTGAACCCAGGAGGCGGAGGTTGCAGTGAGCCAAGATCACGCCCTTGCACTCCAGCTTGGGCAACAAGAGCAAAGCTCTGTCTCCAAAAAAAAAAAAAAAAAAAAAAAAAAGCTCTAATACAATCAGCCTCAGAGAAGGTGCTCAGAGAAAATGGTCATTAACTCAGCAGTGCGGATATTAACCCTAGAGTAAAGGCTGCTCCTGGCCTATCATAAAGCTTCAAACAAGCCTCAGAAGAATCAAACTGATCGCAAGTAACTTAAGTGCACCTTAGAATAAAATTTAACACTGTTGAATACAACAAAATCCAGCACTCGGCAATAAAATTTACCATGTTCAACATCTAATCAAAAGTTGTAAGACATTTAAAGAAGCAGGAAATATCACAACAGGCCAGGCGCGGTGGCTCATGCCTGTAATCCCAGGACTTTGAGAGGCTGAGGCGGGTGGATCACCTGAGGTCAGGAGTTCGAGACCAGCCTGGCCAACATGGTGAAACACCATCTCTACTAAAAATACAAAAATTAGCCAGGCGTGGTGGCGGGTGCCTCTAATCCCAGCTACTTGGGAGGCTGAGGCAGGAGAATCACTTGAGCCCAGGAGGCGGAGGTTGCAGTGAGCTGAGATTGCACCACTGCACTCCAGCCTGGGCGACAGAGCAAGACTCTGTCTCAAAAAAAAAAAAATTGTAGAGATGAAAAATACATTAAATGTCCATGATGTTGTAGCAGAAAAGCAAAAAATATCTTTGGTGACCTCTGAGAGGGTGTCTAATAGTGGGGTGGGGCTAGAAGTCAGAATGTAATGCATGGAAGAGGCGTAGATTGGAAAAAGCTTTGAGTATGGACCACTTGTTTAGGAAGTTTGGTCATAAAAGGAAATTAAGAAATAAGACAGGGAAGGAGCCACAGTATCATCTGGAAGTTTTTTTGAGGAAAGGACAGGGGTACCTGTGGCTTCATGATGGCCAAGAAAAGAGAATCAATGGAGAGGAACTAATCCAAGGTGATGAAGATGTGGATATACCATCATGCTGAGGATCCCCTTGACATGGGGAGAGGAGGTTTTGCAGGGACAGAAATAGAGACATCTGTCTCATTTACCTGTAATTCAGTTTGTTTCGTTCACATGTCGTACACCTAGCAGCAAAACACCTTTCCAAATCTCTGCCTCTAGTGTAAAGAGCCCAGCTGCCCAAGAGGCAGCTGAGTCCTAAGTCTTGGCCCTGATCTGGAGCATCAGCTATGTGCTGTAGTGCGGGTCACTTAGGCTGTAGTCTAAGCCTTAGTTTTCTGATTAGTGAAATGGGGTTAACAATAATGCCTACTTCATAGTGTTGCTGTTTGCTGCTCAGCTGCTGGTCTGGGGGCAGTGTCTCTGGTGTGTTTTGAGTCTGGGCCATATGGTCAATGATGTCACAATGCCCTACTAGATTTCAGCTTCTCCACTAGGGAGTTGTGGATCCTTTGGAGCCAAAGACTCGAACAGACATGCGAGACCTCTACCAACTGAAGGTTTCGTGAGCGCACTCCTTTGCCAAGATCTTGGTGAATAGTCTTTCACTGTGCAATTTTATCTTAGAAATTGTTTTACGTTTGATCATGATTGTGCTTGGCTGGATGTTTTTTGTTGGACTTGTGTGTTACATGGGCACGTTTCCAGAGTTGATGGTAAGTAATGGCTCTGCCTGTAAATCCCTGGTGGTCAGTCCTGTGCTGGCTCATCTTCCTGTCTGGGTTTTCTGACCAAATGGGAAAGATAGTTGAGGTCTCACCACTAACTGGAAGTCAGAATGTGATGGGAACAAAGTTAGTGTCCCAGGCTACCGGGCTACTTCCCATCCCACTAGGGACATCCTTTTTTATTTTTTATTTATTATTATTATTATTTTTTGAGATGGAGTTTTGCTCTTGTTGCCCAGGCTGGAGTGCAGTGGCGCGATCTCGGCTCACTGCAACCTCCGCCTCTCAGGCTCAAGCGATTCTCCTGCCTCAGCCTCCTGAGCAGCTGGGATTACAGGCATGCACCACCACGCCTGGCGAATTTTGTGTTTTTAGTAGAAACAGGGTTTCTCCATGTTGGTCAGGCTGGTCTCAAAGTCCTGACCTCAGGTGATCCACCCACCTCGGCCTCCCAAAGTGCTGGGATTACAGGCATGAGCCACCACGCCTGGCTGGGGACATCCTTTTTTTTTTTTTTTTTTTTTTTTTGGAGACGGAGTCTTGCTCTGTCGCCCAGGCTGGAATGCAGTGGTGCGATCTCGGCTCACTGCAAGCTCTGCCTCCTGGGTTCATGCCATTCTCCTGCCTCAGCCTCCCGAGTAGCTGGGACTACAGGCTCCCACCACCATGCTTGGCTAATTTTTGGTATTTTTAGTAGAGACGGGGTTTCACTGTGTTAGCCAGGATGGTCTAGATCTCCTAACTTCGTGATCCGCCTGCCTCGGCTCCCCAAAGTGCTGGGATTACAGGCGTGAGCCACTGCGCCCGGCCAGGACATCCTTTTAAGTCTTTTTTTGTTTCCCCCTCCCTTGCATATATAGCTGTACTTGTTTCAAAGCACTATGGAATTTGCAAGGGGTCTGCTGGAGACCGTATTTGACTTGCGGATTGCAGGCCAAGTGGATCAGTGGTTATTGGTAGGAAGGGGGACGGTAGGGATTGGTGGGACCTTTTAGCAGCCCTTCTGGTCACCACACAGAGTGGTTACCCACTGGGCCAATGAGTAGAGCCATCTCTGCCCTCAAATTTTCTTTCTGATTCAGCCTCCAACTCTGAAGTGGCAGGAGAGGTGGCCTGTTCAGGAGAGCAAAACACAACTGAGGAGGCGGGCTTTAGGTGAAGATCTGCTGCAGTAAGTGGGTGGTCAGGTCTGGTGGGTTGGATTCCTCCCTTTCCAAAGTACTTGGTAGCACCCTGAAGTCTCAGTGGAGAATGTTTATTCCTCTGGAAAATATAATAAACTGTGGAAGGGGAAATGATTTGGTGAGTACTGCTGAGGACAGCAGGCCAAAGTTGTCTATTAATAACCATGTCTCATAGGTGTTGTTTTGAAGACTGTTCCCATCTATTATTTTTCTCCTCACAACACTGTAATATATTATACTATTAATAGCATTCTTTTTTTTTTTTTTTTTTCTGAAACAGGTCTTGCTCTGCCACCCAGGCTGGAGTGAGGTGCAAGCAGTCTTCCCATCTCAGCTTCTTGGGTAGCTGATCCTCAGGCACATGCCACCATGCCTGGCTAATTTTTTTTTTATTTTTTTAGAGACAAGGTGTCACTATGTTGCCCAGGCAGGTCTTGAACTCCAGGCCTCAAGTGGTCCCCCAGCCTTGGCCTCCCAGAGTGCTGGGATTGCAGGCATAAACCACCGTGCCTTGCCAGGACCAGCATTTTTAACGTCCCTTTTGGCAGATACTGAAACTGGAGTTAACATTGAACTTGGGTTTAGGTCCTAACTTTGTGACTTTCTAGCTACGTGACCTTGGGAAAGTTTAATTAGTTTCTTTGAACTTCAGTTTCGAAGTTTCTTCTGTACAACAGGAGATATCACTATTTTTGTGAAGATTATATTTGGGAATTAATGTAAAGCATTTAATGCAAAGCTCAAAAATTAGCATTTAGTAAAATACTAACTTAACAACAAGCAAATAATGAACCAGTCAACAAAGATTTACTGGTGACAGTGACCTCAACTATTTACCTGAGGCCACACACAGTAGCTCGTTGGTAAAGGTGGGATGCGAGCACATTTCTCTGTCTCTGGACTTCATAGCCTCCCATACTCATTCCACTAGACCAGCCTGCCTACAGGAAACACTAATGGCAGTGCCCTTAGCAGACCAGCTCCTGGGTTTCTTAACGTTTCACCCCATTTCATTCAGACCTGTTTTTTTTCAGAGCTGTGCCTATTGTTAGAGAAACTTAACTCGGAGAGTTTTAATAATATACTGATTACAGGAGCAGAAGGTTTTTTGGAAGCTACTCCAGAAGTTAGGGGTGTTTAGCCCCAGCCCCAGGTATACTAAGAGCAGGACTTGATGGTTGGGGTTTTTATCTCCATCTGCCCCAGGATTTCTGTGAATGCATTAGCCCAAAGCAGTCAGAACTTTGTGGCAGTCCTGACCAGACCACTTAAACTATTCTGTGCCTCACTTTCTCCAGCTGCGAAATGAGTAAACAGACAGCCCATCTTCCTTCTCTTCCCTTCTCAGGAAAGTTGTAAATAGGCTCACCCTACATGTTAAGAGTTTAACTGTACCATTTTATAAAATGAAAGATTTCTTTTTTGAACAGCCTAACAATAGCATATTAAGTTATTTGCTCATGGCATACCTAGCCAGCTAATTCTCTTAATGAATCCAGGCTTTTTTTCTTTTGCATAGCATCTGATTGCACAAAGCCAATAGTTAAACATTTTGGCAGGTGACGAGTTAATGAGTATACTGCCAGCTAGGTCCAAATCACAGACACACCAGAGCACAGGGCCCTTTTGATAAATTTTCTTTAACCCAACGCATCTAGCACCCTGGCCAACCATCCCATAGGTGCTCATGCTGACTGGGTTGCCAAGGTTACAGGAGCTGATATCATAATTGGTGTCTGAGCTCTGCCCCCCTAAATGGCCATGAGGAGCCACTTCAATTCAGACTAGGCCACGAAGCTCCTTAGTGAGGAGCTGCCATGCTGGGCCATCCACCATCTGGATTCCTACGACTCAGGGAATAGAACACTGCACCTTCCAGAAGCACTTGTTTCTTCGTGGGTACACCACCAGCTGAGAAAGAAGCCTCATGATGATTGTTGTCTTATGGATGCTTCTCATTGCAGGAACCATGTGGAAGGGATATAAATATCCCCCAGGAGGGGTAAGTGTACCTTCAACTTTGTTCTCTATTCCTACTTTGAAATGTATTCCCGCCCCCAAAACAAACTAAGTATGAAAATCCAACTCTAGTAACATTAGAAACAAATACTTTTATTATTTTTTTAAAGTTACTGTAGCTGTTGGGAGGGTTCCCATTTTCTTTCACGTGATCTTTAAGGCCCAGAGTCAAAGCTTTCTGAGTTGGGCAGTCTTGTCTCTGTTGTGCTAATGGACATTTTGTATGCCCAGTCTTTGATGCCATTTCCTAAGGATCAGTCCACTTCAGAAATCCAAACTTCTCTCTTCCACAAGTAAACACTAGTCTGTAAAAGGGATCTGGTGGCAGATGTCTCTTTTCTCTCTCCTCCTGCTAGACCTTGGAATTTCTGTCTTTTCTCTGCCTCTTGTCAGCTCCCCAGTGCTAAGCTCCCCTTGCATCCGGGATCAGAGGCATTAGGTGAGACAGAATTGGAGGTAACCTCCCCTGCCAGTCCTTGCCTGGGAGGCCAAATGCCTAAGCCCCCACACTAGAAACCACTAGGCCTGCATGACACACACTTTCTTTTTTCCCCCACAGACTCCAGTGGAAGTAAGCAAGGATGATCCTGGTGAAGTAATGCAGCTGTGAAGCTCACCTGACCAGCTGTACAGTTCCTGTTGTTGGTTTCACATAAAGTAATTGCACATTATTTTGTCATATTTTATGTTAAGAAGTTACCGCACTTTTTTTTTTTTTTTTTTTTTTTTTTTGAGACAGAGTCTCGCTGTGTCGCCCAGGCTGGAGTGCAGTGGCGCGATCTCGGCTCACTGCAAGCTCCGCCTCCCGGGTTCATGCCATTCCCCTGCCTCAGCCTCCAGAGTAGCTGGGACTACAGGCGCCTGCCACCACGCCTGGCTATTTTTTTGTGTTTTTAGTAGAGACGGGGTTTCACCGTGTTATCCAGGATGGTCTCGATCTCCTGACCTCATGATCTGCCCGCCTCGGCCTCCCAAAGTGCTGGGATTACAGGCGTGAGCCAATGTGCCCGGCATTACCGCATTTTTTAAGATGAATGAAGACTTAGTATTCTGTTAGCTTGTAACAGAGAGACAGAGGGTGGGGAAGTAGTTGAGTGGATGGGAGACAATTGGGTCCTTCTGCTACATGGTCTCTAAGACTGGCATTAAGATACCTAGTTTTGCCTGGCGCGATGGCTCACACGTGTGATCTCAGCACTTTGGGAGGCCAACACAGGTGGATCATCTAGGGTCAGGAGTTCAAGACCAGCCTTGCCAACATGGTGAAACCCCGTCTCTACTAAAAATACAAAAAATTAGCTAGGGCGTGGTGTGGTGGCACGTCTGTAGTCCCAGCTACTCGGGAGGCAGTGGTTGCAGTGAGCTGAGATCGGCCACTGCACTCCAGCCTGGGTGACAGAGTGAGACTCAGTCTCAAAAGAAAAAAAAAAAAGAACCCTAAGCTTATACCATGTGGGGTAAGAAACTCATTTTTAATATTAGGGTTAAATACTGAAGTATAATTATCCTAATCCTTAAAATAACCTTCTGAAGCTATTAGCCTCATCTTACAAAATGGCAAAAATGAAGTTGAGGGGCATGTTTATCTTGCCAACACACACAGCCCTGGGCTGCAGAGTCAAGATTAAGATCCAGGCCTTCTCCCTTCACACTTTCATGTGCCAAGGAAAAGAGCCAAACAAGAGACTGTGGGATATCCAAGATCTTGCTGTTTAAATGTCTCCCTCACCTGAAAACCCAAGAAGTTAGGCCAGGCGTGGTGGCTCACACCTGTAATCCCAGCACTTTGGGAGGCCGAGGCAGGCGGATCACTTGAGGTCAGGAGTTCGAGACCCGCTTGGCCAACATGGTGAAACCCCGTATCTACTAAAAATACAAAAATTAGCCAGGTGTGGTGGTGGGCACCAGTAATCCTAGCTACTTGGGAGGCTGAGGCAGAATTGCTTGAACCCGGGAGGTGGGGGTTACAGTGAGCCGAGATTGCACCACTGCACTCCAGCCTGGGTGACAAAGCAAGACCTTGTCTCAAAAAGAAAAAAAAAAAGAGAAAAGAAAACCCAGGAAGTTGCCTGATAATTCTTTTTCATGACTACTGAAAAGATGGGAGCCTGAGAGAGACCTAACAGGAGTAAATACTTTAAAAACAAATTGTATGGAACTGTACCCATTCTGAGGATGACTGATACAGTTCCAGTATTCAAAAGAAGTATACCTTTTCCAGCAAAGCAGATCTTTTGTTTACATAGAAAACATTTTGTTATTTGGGAAGTTTGCTTAACTATTTGTAAGTGGCTCTTTGCAATTAATGGATTACCTTTTTTTAATGGAAAGAAAATAAATT
This sequence comes from Homo sapiens, assembly GCF_000001405.40. Lineage (NCBI taxonomy): Eukaryota > Metazoa > Chordata > Mammalia > Primates > Hominidae > Homo > Homo sapiens. Next base: position 18,605,554 of record NC_000011.10, read on the forward strand.
CAAAATCCATAAGCAAAACTTTAGTAATTTCTGACTCTAGGATACTAGCATCTTCTATTTCTTATGTGATTTAGACTCAACATTTTCCAGTGAGTTAAGTACTTACATCCTCTGGCTGTATAGCTCTGCCCATTTGCCTCGTAATACATTTTTTTTTGAGACAGTCTCGTTCTGTCACCCAGGATAGAGTGCAGTGGTGCAATCTCGGCTCACTGCAACCTCCACCTCCCAGGTTTAAGTGATTCTTATACCTCAGCCCCCTGAGTAGCAGGGATTACAACGCACGCCACATTTTTGTATTTTTAGTAGAGACGGAGTTTTGCCATGTTGGCCAGGCTGGTCTCGAACTCCCAGCCTCAAGTGATCCACCTGCTTCTACCTCCCAAAGTGCTGGGATTACAGGTGTGAGCCACTGTGCCCAGCCTGCCTCATATACATTTCTAAGGACTCCTCTTCTCAGCCATCTCAAGCTGCTTTTATCATAAGAGATAGGACCCTGCTCATTTTGACAAGAGGAACCATATACCCAGCTGTGTCCTCCCTCCATTTGAGTAAACTTCCAAAACTTGAGCCACTAAAAGATTCCATTGCTCTGACCACCTAACAGTTCTCCCAACATGGGTCAGAGAGCAGAACAGTTCTCTAAGCTGGTAGGGGGAGAGAAGCTCTATCATGTTAGAGCAGACATGAATGTGTAAGGGAGAATAAGCAGAGGAGTGTGTGCAATAGGCAAACCATATCTCTGAAGTGTGATGAGTATACCGAGGTTTCTAGCTGGAAAAATGTTCAGGGTGATGAGATAAAGAATATCTCAAAGTTTTAATCAATAAATGCAAACCAGCAAAAATATCAATAAAATATTTTTAATGCCTACAATTTCTTGTATACATAAATTGCAAAACTTTCACCTGTATATGCAAAAGTATATTCTCTTGCAGGTCAACAGCACCAGAAAACAAGCTAAGCTATCTAAAAATTTTTTTAACTTGATTTGTCCATTGTGTAAAAGACAGGATGGATTTAATTACTCCAAAGAAATCTCTATCTCACTCTTAATCATACACTAAACGTCTGAATATTTAATCACATCCACTCAGAAAATAAATAGTAGTCTAATATATTCAATACATTGAAAATAAAACAACCAGTCTCTCTTCATATATTTATTCTCTTTCCAAACATGTTTTGGTCTCCTGCTATATCTCAGAAATTTACCAATAGCTGCTTTTAAGTTACAAAATACAAAACAACAATTTATTTCTTGGAGAAAATCTTGGGGATTACATTAAAAATGAAAATTTGAGTTCCCACATTCTTTTTTTTTTGACATGGAGTCTCGCTCTGTCACCCAGCCTGGAGTGCAGTGGTGCTATCTTGGCTGACTGCAACCTCCGCCTCCCAGGTTCTAGCGATTCTCCTGCCTCAGCCTCCCCGGTAGCTGGGATTACAGGTGTGTGCCACCGCACCCGGCTAATTTTTTTATTTTTAGTAGAGACGGGGTCTCACACCATGTTGGCCAGGCTGGTCTCGAACTCCTGGTCTCAAGTGATCCGCCCGCCTCGGCCTCCCAAAGTGCTGGGATTACAGGCTTGAGCCACCATGCCCGGCCAGACTTACTTTTTTGTTAACGGTCTTTGAACCTTTTCACGGCACACATGTAAGGCCGCCTGTGACATGTGGTACCCTGGCCTCCAACTGGACACAACTGCATTTATAGTTTAGCGAAAATACAAAGTTCTGAAAGTAGCCTTAAAAGAAGTGCCCTTTGCTTTGACATAGCAATATCAAAAGCAAGTGGGACTGTGCAATCAGAGCCATGAGTTTTATGAAAACTACTTTCCTTTCACATCATTTGTTAGAGAATGCCACACCCATGATCATGTAACATTATTACAATCATGAAATATTACTACATTCGTGATTAACATTACCCAAAAGGCACATCTTCAAATGTTGAATTAAGAAAATCCAAAAATCAAAACAGTAGAGAATACATTAAAAATCAAGCATTTAATTTGTAAACCTTAATGAAATAACAGCCTACTCCAGTTTCTTCAAAGGTTTGTGAGCTTTTTATAAGAGTGGTCAGGAAGTGCAGAAAAACAACATGGAAGACAGGATTTGGAAACAAGGCCAAAATTTAAAAGACTTAACCTTTTTTTTCTTTTAAATGAGCCACAGAAGTGCTCTTTTATAATGTTGACGCAAATCAACATTTATATTATAGAAATGCACTCAGAAGTAACAGACACACAAGGTTAAAACCTGATTCTTCCCACTAAGTTCTGGAAATTTATTCTAACATAATGGTGCCTTTCTGTACAAAGAACTGTACCATATCATAAATTTACTGCTAGTAAACTTTAAGCCACCAGAAATCTTTCAGCTGTGACAAGCACTTGATTGTAATGACAGATTTCAGAGTCTGAATACTGAAAAATATATATATCCAATAAAAAATTTTTGAAGGGGGAATAAAAGCACATAAATGGCAGCAGAGGAATTGATGTTCTAAGCCTGTTTTATTACATGGGACATCACACTACCCTTAATTTCACTGAAGGTATCTGAAATGGGTGAGATGAAATCAATAGGATTTTCTGCTACCATTGTAACAGTTCTATATGTAGTTACAAAGGGTGTTATTCCTAGTGATGATGACACCTTTCATGGGATTCAACTTAAAAATTAAATCCTTGCACTTTCAAAGTTTGAAACTCAATTCAAAATGAGTCCGTCTTAAAAGCCTGGCTCATATGGTCCCATTAAGGGAGGCTAACAATGGTAATCTATAATACCCAAACTTGAAGAATAAAGACTTTATGGATAAAAAGGAATAAACCAAAATATTTGGGCTGTTGAAGTATAAGGGCCTGTTGTAGGACAATCCCTCCTACTTCCTAATCCCCCCCATACAATGGCTTAAGATAGCCAAAACGTTTATTGTAGAACGTTTATTATTCCTACAAGCTTATGTCTCACTTCCCCTAAGCCTCTGTACTTACAGTCAAGGACAAATGCTCTCTAGCATCATATCTCATTTTCTGTTGCTGACAGTTCTTGAGACTTGGCTTCCTTCCAGCATGATCCTAAGTCAGCCTGATTGGAACTGCTTGGACTTGAAGGTTAAGGGCTATTAAGTCCATATTTATGACTTTAAAAAGGGTAAAAATGAGTTTCCACAGCTCAGTAAAATAACGATAACAGGGAACATCCCTTCCTACCTGGGGAAAAAAATCTCTTCACAGTGCATAGTTTGAAATCAAAGTGCAATATGGGCAAAAAGAGAAGGTGGTGCTCTCGATACCATAAATTTAGTTTTTGGTTTTCTGCCATTAATATTTGCTAACAAATTCAAGCTAAAAAATGAAGTCATTAATGTCAAGAGGTATGAGGGCACCTTGGGATTTCAAAATATCTTTATGATGGGGGAGGGGAGGAGGGGAGAGCCTCACATGTTACTTCCTTATTTTATAAACTATTACTCTTTCAAATCTAATGTTTGAATAAAATATTTTTTCTTCGATATAAAAATGAATTTTTTTAGATAAAAATCAATCAGCACAGTGACCTTGTCTTACACTAAAGCCAACATAACAGTAAATCTGAAAGGAAAACTTAGAAAAGAATATTATACTGTTATAACCTGTATTTTAACTTGAAAATTTTTTCATTAATTCCTAGCCACCTAAATTAATGAGTAAGAATGCTCAGCATCCAATCCATGAATACAGAATTTATTCTACTTTGTACTTCAAAGTCACAGGATGACATCCATATGATAGTTATAAATTCTACTCTACATTTTCAAGTTCTCAATCCATAGATTAGGACAAGTCACTTTATTGCTGGCAACATTCATGGAAGGTCCAGGTTTCTCATAAAAAGACTAAGTTTGATTGGGAGCAGGGCAGTGCCCTACTCACAGATCAGCAGAAGAATTACAGAAATCAAGAGACAACCTTTTTTTTCCTTTCAAAGTAGCAAAGGAACAATAAAAGATTGGCTGACTGGTGAGTGGCCCCACATTAGAGTGCATAGCTCATCAGGATCAAGGCTGGCATCTGTGAACAGTTAACTTCATAAGAGCACAAGTGGGCATTATATCATCTGCATTACAGATTTCACCCTGGAAAATATCTGAAAATATTTTATGCTCAAATGACAGCCTGCAAATGACAGTATGCATTCCTTCTCCTTGAGTACCCAAGTATAAATCTAAAATGATAAGGGGGCTTCTTCAGTCTGAAGGCAGGAAATCCTTGCAGCAGAGCAGCTCTAGAATTTCACAAAAATAAAAGCAGCAGCTAACGCCTCTTCAGCTTCTTGGCCCTTCGACGTTGCATTTCTTCTTCTTCACGTCTCATTTCCTCTAAGTCCTCTTGCATACCCAGTCTTAAGCTGCCAAAGAATTTTTAAAGGGTATTTGTCAATATACATGAGATGACCACTTTCCTTAAAAAGAATGAAAATTCCAACTGGGAGCTCACATGGATTGTGCTGATGCTCTCAAAATGCCTCAAGGCTTTACCACTGAAAACAAACTAGCAGGGATATTTTTTTACCAGGGGCCACAGACTCAAATTGTCGTGGGAAAAAGAACTCACACACCACAAAAACCTTACTATTTCCATTAAAATAATAAAATATAGGTTTATCTCAATAGCTTTTAAAAATAAACAGCAAGAAGCATTTATTCATTAACTAACATTCTATTCTTGTTCTCTTCCAACACTTTAGTTTGAAATTTTATGGGCAAGAGGGAGAAAAAGATATAGTATTCTGGCTTGAGACTGAAGTGAATTATTTACCTATAATAACATTATGGCCGGGCACAGTGGCTCACACCTGTAATCCCAGCACTTTAGGAAGCCGAGCCAGGCGGATCACCTGAGGTCAGGAGTTTGAGACCAGCCTGGCCAACATATGGTGAAACCCCATCTCTACTAAAAATTACAAAAATTAGCTGGGCGTGGTAGCGCACACCTGTAGTCCCAGCTACTTGGGAAGCTGAGGCAGAAGAATCGCTTGAACCCGGGGAGGTGGGGGTTGCAGTGAGCCGTGACCATGCCACCGCACTCCAGCCTTGGCGACAGAGCAAGACCCTGTCTCTTAAAAAAAAAAAAAAAAAAAAACAACAATACTATAAACAAAGTAATTACTTTTTACCCCAATAGAGAAAGTATCATTAGCTTACTATCAGATAGCCAAACAGAAATCAGAGGAAATGTAATATACCTACATCCCTGAGGCCAGCAATGTTACAGGTTACCAAGATTGAGATGTGTCTGATGCAGAAAGAAAAGCAAGAATTTGCTACAACAGGATTAGGGAAAGCATCTAACATTTACTGTGTATCCACACATGTGAGGCACTGCACTAGGCATCTTGTACACGTCTTAATCCTCATTATACTTAAATGAGTAAAACAGTATATTCTCATTTTACAAAAGAAAATAGGCTGGGCATGGTGGCTCACACCTATAATCCCAACACTTTGTGAGGCTAAGGCAGGAGGATTGCTTGAGCCCAGGACTTTGGGACCAGCCTGGATAACAAAGCAAGACCCCATCTCTTAAAAACAAAACAAACAAAAAAAACAGTGATGGTCCAGTGCAGTGGCTCATGCCTGTAATCCCAGCACTTTGGGAGGCTGAGATGGGAGGATCACTTGAGGCCAGGGGTTTGAGACTAGCCTGGTCAACATAGCGAGACCCCATCTCTGTTAAAAAACAAAAAAACAAAAACCAGTGAAAAAACAGAACTGTTAAGGAATTTGTCCAAGGCCCCACAGCTAGTAAACAGGATTGGAATCCAGAATTCTCTGGCCCAAAGCCCCAGTTCCCAATGGTGCAATTGTAGCAATAAGCAGAAAGGAATTTTTAGGACATTTTTGCACAAGTATGCTAAATTTTATGCTTACCTCTTTGCTTCTTCCTTCTGCTGCTCTTTCCAACTACTTTCCATGTAACGTAAGGCATAATCACTTTCATCTTTGTATCTGATAAAAGGAAATCAAAATGATAAAAAGAGAAAACTTCAATTTTCTAAAGGAACTACGTCCTCTCATTTAAAAAATCAATATCTCCTTTAAAACTAAATCAAGCACACATTTAGAATTATTCCTTGCTTGGCAGCGAGTGAGGGGAGTGGAGGATGGATAGGTTTCTGAAGTAAAGACAAGTTTTAGATAAGCCCTTATTACCCTCAGAGGGCAACTATTCTGAAGCTAATGTTCATGAAGGTACCAATCCTACAGTGCTTCCTCAACTCACTCACCTACATTTACTTGATAATTTATATTAAAATTTGAAAGCACAGTATATATGAAAATTATTTTATATATAATAATCTAATTTGAGCTTCATGACCATCATGAGGTGGGGAAAGACTTTAGACCAGAGGAAACTGAAGCAGTTGAGTTAACAGACTGACCAAGAACATACAGCTTGTTTTTTCAAGAGCCAATCTACTTCTACTACACTAAGCTGCTTCCATCTCACTAAATATATATCTTATAAGAATAACAATTTAAAAGGGTTATTTTTTGTTCCTCATGCAAATAACTACAGAAACTATTTTGAATTAAATATAAAATATTTAGTGCTAAAAGAGTACGTTTATTTAAATAACAATCACCCAAGGGTTCCTAATTAAGAATTGTATTCAGTGCCTCCACTATTAGTTTATTACCCCATGACATGAATTATTCAAAATAAAAAAAGGATGTCATAGTTATCTGAATCTTCTTTAGTCTTACTTTTTTCGGTCATAACCAAAGATTTCTCTAATGTGCTTGGATATTTCTTCCTGAGGCTCTCCTTCATCTTCAATAAAATCTTCCATTTCAGAGTCGTATTCATCATCATCGTCATCTTCCTCTTCATATTCTCGCTGCCTTTTGTAACCAGTAGGGAAGGGAAGCCTTTGAGGACCTAAGAAACCATTATTTATAAGAATATTACAATTTAAAATAGTTCCAATGCAGTTCTATGTAAACTGAAATTGTGAGTCATCATTAAGATGGTATCCTTTAAAACCAGAGCAAGCAGGCTGGCCCTTAGCGCAGAGCCATCATCCTTGCTGTGTCATGGTATCCAGAAGGAACAGAACTCCTGTTTTATCCCAGGGCTTACCAGAAATATCTTGTTACATTTTCTAGCTTAGTAGTGCCAATATTTCTGAATTTATAAGATCAGTAAAATTTCTTTCTTTCTTTTTTTTTTTTTTGAGACAGAGTTTCACTTGTTGCCTAGGCTGGAGTGCAATGGTGCGATCTCGGCTCACTGCAACCTCTGCCTCCCAGGTTCAAGCAATTCTCCTGCCTCAGCCTCCCGAGTAGCTGGGATTATAGGCATGTGCCACAACGCCTGGCTAATTTTGTATTTTTAGTAGAGATGGGGTTTCTCCACGTTGGTCAGGCTGGTCTCGAACTCCCGACCTCAGGTGATCTGTCTGCCTTGGCCTCCCAAAGTGCTGGGATTACAGGCGGCGCCACCGCGCCCGGCCAAAATCAGTAAAATTTCTAAAAATAAATACAATTTACAAACCTCCACAGAATCATTAACTTTTGCCAAGACACCAAAAGTAGCAACTACCATCTACTATAATCACAATTTCATTTAAAAATTTAAAGTTGAATGAAGTATGAATGACTCTCAGAATTATATTGTTCAAACTGAGTAAGTTTGACTGTAGGAAAAACTCACTACATTATCCTTATTTTTGTCATTTTACCAAAAGACTGATAAAAACTTTGCAAAAGACAGGCATTGATCAACAGCCCAGGATCTGGGAACAACTACTTTCTAGTTTTTGATTACAGACACTTCTTTTGTTCTTCTACGGTTGTTTTTAATATGCATGGCTTGTCTCCCTAGCTTAGTTTCTCAACCTTAGCTCAATGACATTTCGGACCAGATAATTCTTTGCTGTCAGGGGGCTATCCCATGCATTGTTTGTCAGCAGCATCCCTGTCCTCTATTCAGTAGATGCCAGTGGCATCCCCCATCCCCAGTTGTGACGATTGCCAAAAGTCCCCTGGAGGGCAAAATTGCCCTTGTTAAGAATCAATGGTCTAGTTGAACTAGGAAATTTAAAACAAGTAATTCAATCATTGGTTCCTTTTTATATTCTCCGTGGAGCCTAACAAGTGCTTTAATAAATCTCTATTAGCATAAAGCAAGTACGACCTAGCAGCTAGCAGGTGCCACCAATGATCATATACCTTGGGACAGCAGATTCCTGAAGGATCAGTGTTTAGGATCTTGATACTAACCATTATAACAAGCAGAAACACAAGTACAATCTAAAAACAGTTCCTGGCACATAATGGGTGCCCAAGAAATATCTGCTGAATAAGCTTCCGATTATACCCTGATCCTTGAAGACAGGTCTCTTTAGTCCTCAGGAAAAAGTAGATTAATTCATCCATTGCAGCATACATATGTAAGTCACGTACATTCACCCTGAATGTTCACAAATCACAAAGCTAAGTTTATCACACTTAGGGACATTTCAAGGGTGAACACAGAGATCCTAGACAAGTCTCTTTCTAAAGACCTTTCCAAGCCATTAAAGGAACTCTCAGCAGGGAATAGTGACTCATGACTATAATCCCAGTATTTTGGGAAGCTGAGGAAGGCGGATCTCTGAGCCCCGGAGTTAGAAACTAGTATAGGCAACATACTGAAACCCCATCTCTATAAAAAATAAAAAGTTAGCCAGGCATGGTGGCACACGCCTATAGTCCCAGCTACCTGGGAAGCTAAGGTGGGAGAACTGCTTGAGCCTGTGATTGTGCCTGGGCAACAGAGCAAGACCCTGTCTCAAAAACAAAAAAACAAGGAACTCTCAACCACAAGGCAGATAAAACATCACGATTCTATCAACACTACAGCACATTAAAGGACAGCACATGAGGGGTTCAAAGGGTCCCTGATAATATAAAAACTCTTTCCAATTTCCTAATGACAAATATATACTCTTTCGGGTGAGGGGAAATTTTACCTTGGGCAGCTCTGTAGCCAGATAGGGGAGGCTTCATTCCATTCATCTGTCCATTGCTGGACCGGCTAATGATATTCTTGGAAGAAATTGTTTCGGAGACAACAGTGCACTTAGGCTTTATAGTGGGACCTGAGCTACTAACTGTTTGCCCAGGTCCCAAGCTGCTCACTGGTCTTCCTGGGACTGAATTACTGACAGTCCGTCCAGCTGGAATTGAGCCACTTATGGATCTCCCAGGGCCACTGACAGACCGCCCCGGGGGGCCCAAGCCACTCACTGGTCGTCGAAGTTCATGTGGACTGCTCACAGGCCGGCCAGGGCCACGAGAGCTGCCCAAGGGTCTTGCAGAACTAACTGAACCACTGATGGGTCGCCCAGGGCCACCTGAGCTGCTTGCAGGTTGTCCAGGGCCACATGTACCACTGACTGTCCGCCTAGAGGGATTTGAGTCATTGGTTGGCTTCTTGGACCCACTGATTGATCGCTCAGGTCCTGAGCTGGAGCTGCCATTCTGGCGCCTAGGCACAGGGCCAGAACTAACTGTGGGTCGAGCAACCCCTGTGCTGGGCTGCCCAGGGGCTGAGCTAGAGCTGCTGCCTGGCTGCCTGACACCTGGACTCTTAGCCTTATTGTGTGGGGTGACCATGGGCCCAGGCCTGGAATGGCTAGGATGGGACAGAGATTTTTTGGCTTTGTGCTCAACAGCAGATTTCTGAGTCCTGCTAGCAGAAGTCTTTGGGACACTTGGTGAAGAGGTGCTGGAATGAGGCTTTCCAGCTCCATTAAAAACAGGTTTGTCGTGGCCCTCACGAAGTGAGGGTTGGGAGCTATTGCCAGATCCTGCCTTGATCCTCTCTCCTGGCATGGATTTGGATGAAGACAAAGCGAGGTGTTTCTCATTGGCCATGCTGGGTCTTGATTTCTTCTCAGCATGAGGAAGGGGCATTCCTTTGGAAGAAGGATGCCTGTCTCCAGAACCTTTGCTAAGTTTTGTGCCCACACTTTCTTTCTGAGAGGGTGCCTTTTTGGACACAGTTGGAGGTAGTTTTCCATCTGTCTCAAGTTTTTTTCTCCTATGCTTTCGTTCAAGGAATTCTCGCTCCCTAAGTTCTTCTGCGGTCATAGGTCGCTCTTCTGATTTCTTCACTACCTTGATTTCCACTGGTTCAAACTGCTTTTTCTCAGCCAGCCTGAGTAAATCAGTGAAGTTCATGGGTGGTGGGGCACTTTTAAGGGGGACCTTTGGTTTGCTTTCAACTTTGGGAGGTTCTTGCTCTTCCTCATACTCCTGCTCTGACTCTGCGTGATTGTACTCGAGGAATTCATTCTCTTCTTCCATTTCATACTCTCGGTCGGTTCCTTGGCTGGTATGGCTTTCTGTTGCCTGCCTCTTCTTTGACTTTTCCTCAATAGGAATCCCATTGTAACCATGGAAATTATCCTTTGTCCTCTTGGCCATAGCTCTTGCTTTCTTGTCATGTTTGAGCTCAATTCGCTTTTTCACTAGTTCCTCTTTTCTCCTTTTCTCCTCTAAGGCTAAAAGGGACAAAACAAGAATATGTTATTACTTCGAGATCTCAAGATTGCAGTATGCTCAAGTGAAAACACAACGTTCAGGTTACAGTTTGAAGACATCTAGGAATCAAATGAGGAAGTCATGTGAACAAGTATCAATTGAGTCATCTTTACATAATGAGTGGGAGACATATGGGTTTTTCTATATGACTAAGCAAGTGGGAGACTTGGTTTTCAGCTTTAAATATACAAAATACTTCAAACCAAATACATTACCAAGTTAAGAGAACATTAGTATCCACTTAGTAGTTGTTATTAATTATGATTCAATGAATACTTAAACATATTGAATCAGTTTCTTTGTATTTGCATGAAGTAGAACTATTCGAAATAAAGACTTTAAAACTTATCTCTATTTTAGCCTTTTAGATAGCATTCTGTTAATAAAAATTAAAATACAAAATGGGTAGAAACACTTTCAGAACCAAGATTAAAGAAAGAATGGAGTTCTTACTGGGGACTTACTATGGCCAATTAGAAGACATGGCTACTAACCCCCAAAAAGCTGTTACTTCAAGGGGAGAAAAAAAGAAAACGTTTATACAAATGATCGAGGTAACATATGTAAAGCCATGAATACAGTCAGTTAACCTGGACACACACACACACACACACACACACACACCCTCCCAAATCTGTTGGCCTGTTATGTTTTTATAGACAGCCACTGGTTTAGTACAAGCTAGATGGTGAAGATGGAATACTTTAAAATTGAGAATAAGGCTATAGATACATACCTTTTCGTCTCAGCTCCTCTTCTTTCCTTTTAAGAAAAGCTTGTACAGCTGCTGATTGGACACCTTTAACTTTTGGGTCTTTTTTTGGAGGCCCCACTGCCAAACTATACCTTTTCTAAAAACAAAAACAGTAAAAGTTAGAAGCAATTCAACTTTTAAAATACATTATTAGGTATAAGGCACTGTGCCAGGTAATAAGAGGTATAAATGTTAACTGTGAAACCTATTCTGAATAATTGAGAGATCATATAACCCATAATAAAGCTTAGCTATAAAATTTCAGACTATTTATTACGTATGGTGATTTTGGGGTACAAAGTTTCCATGTAACATCCCAAAATAATGCATAAATGAACAATTCACAGAAACACTGTTTTCAGGCTATTTTCCAAAAAAGAACCTGGACTGGGTAACTAAATGAAATCACCACTTAGAAGAATCGATTATTTGTGTTTTAAAATTCTGATTTAGGCTGGGCTCAGGGTCTCATGCCTGTAATCTCAGCACTTTGGGAGGCGGAGGCGGGCGAATCATGAGATCTGGAGTTCGAGATCAGCCTGGCCAACATGGTGAAACCCCATTCCTACTAAAAACACAAAAAATTAGCTGGGCGTAGTGGCGGGTGCCTGTAATCCCAGCTACTCAGGAGGCTGAGGCAGAAGAATTGCTTGAACCCGGGAGGCAGAGGTTGCAGTGAGCCGAGATTGTGCCACTGCACTGTAGCCCGGGCGACAAAGTAAGACTCCGTCTCAAAAAAAAAAAAAAAAAAAAAAAAATCTGATTTAGGCCAGGTGCGGTGGCTCACGCCTATAATCCCAACACTTTGGGCGGCTGAGGTGGGAGGATTACCTGTGGTCAGGAGTTAGCAACCAGCCTGGCCAACATAGTGAAACTCCGTCTCTACTAAAAATACAAAAATTAGCCGGGCATGGTGGCGCACATCCGTAATCCCAGCTGCTTAGGAGGCTGAGGCAGGAGAATGGCTTGAACCCAGGAGGCAGAGGTTGCAGTGAGCCGAGATTGCGCCACTGCACTCCAGGCTGGACAACAGAGCAAAACTCCGTCTCAATCCATCAATCTATAAGTAAGTAAGTAAGTAAGTAAATGTATAAAATTCTGAGTTTAAAAATAGCCTGCCTTAGAAAGAAGCATTTCAAAGTCCAACTTTTCAAACGAACAGAAAAAACTACTCCTCACAACTATTTTCTCTCCTGACTACTCCAGATGATTTCCTAGTAGAGACTCATAGCTACATGTTTTATTTTGCTTAGAACACGGAAACACTGAGGTTTTACTTTGACCACACACAAAGGCTGGGGCAAACCACAGCAAAAAAGCATTTCAAAAAATCTATGCAATAAAGGCCCAATTCCCAGCAACCTTTAACTGTAGCTCTTATGTTCACTAAATGTTAATTTGCCTCACAACCTCCTTTTTAGACAGGTTCCTATAACACCCAAAAAAAGCTTACATTATCCTGGCACAGATGAAGTCTCTGGACCTCAGTTTTTATATAACTGCATCAAGAAATTACTAAACTCAAGTAATGTTAATTTGAACTATAAAAGGAAAAATATTTCCACTTTATAAGTACCTATTATGAGAGAAATATGACGAACATAGAGCTAAAATAAATTCAGACCAGGGATGATTCACCTCTACGACCATTCCACATTAAATCCAGGAAATAAGATTTTTAAAGTATCCTCCTTTTTTTGTTTTGTTAGGCAGATGCATTCTCATCTAACGTACCTGTTGCTGTGGCTAGCAGAAAAAGAAACATGTCCAAGAACAAATTGAGACAACTTAGGAACAACTTAGGAACCAAAAAAGTATTCCCAAATATGTATGAAATTCTTGGAGGAAAACCAAAAGATATGTGCTTACTATAAGGCTGCCAAATACGACGTATCTTGAAACAGGCTGGAAGTTTCAACTAAATTAGTCTGCCAACAAAGCAGCTGGCCAAGGAAGCAGGCTCTAATTCAACCTGAAAATCTTGCATGATAGCAATGCTGAGAAGTGACATATCCCTAATAGAGAGAAGTCCCAAGACAGCATCCAGATTTCTTTCCCAGTCACCTTGGCTAGGCCATAGTGAGATCCTTTAAAGTCCATATCTTTGTAAATTTAATTTTAGACTCTTTCCATAGTGGATAGGGGCTCAATATTTAAAGGAGAAAAGGGAGAAAGAAAGGGAGAGGAGAAAGGAGAAGTAATACTGCTAACCTAACTAGATATATATAAAATTGCCCTTGTTTACAAGAAAAGAACCACAAACATAGGTATTAATCACAAGGAGCTTACATTTTCATTGTGGAAAGGGCACCATGAATATGATTCAAATGAAGACATACAAAAAACTCATAAGCAGAGGCACACACTCACTCCACTCCATCCCATTAAGGGATTTGGAAGCAGAAGAAGGTGGATTTTTTTTCACTAACACTTAAGATTTTCCTGGCCAGGCGCAGTGGCTCAAGCCTGTAATCCTAGCACTTTAGGAGGCTGAGGCGGGAGGACAGCTTGAGCCCAGGAGTTAAGACGCCAGCCTGGACAACATGGTGAGAACTCATCTCTTTAAAAAAAAAAAAAAAAAAAAGGCTGGGTGCAGTGACTTACACCTGTAATCCCAGAACTTTGGGAGGCTGAGGCAGGCGGATCACAAGGTCAGGAGATCGAGACCATCCTGGCCAACATGGTAAAACTGCATCTCTACTAAAAATACAAAAATTAGCTGGGCGTGGTGGTGCCTGCCTGTAAGCCCAGCTACTTGGGAGGATGAGGCAAGAGAATTGCTTGAACCAGGGAGTCGGAGGCTGCAGTGAGCCAAAATTGCGCCACTGCACTCCAGCCTGGTGACAGAGCAAGACTCCGTCTCAATAAACAAAAAACAAAAATTTCCTGTCCCTGTCCATTATATAGCTCATAGAGTTACAAAGCCCCATACAAATCAAAGCCCCATGCAAGGTTTTCCCCAAGAAAAATGCAAATACATATATTAGCATTACTTATTTTAAACAGGACTGGTTTGCTGTCCAAATAACCCAGCATTGAGCACTATCTAACATGATTTTGGGATAGATATCTTTCATCTTAACCTGGGACTGCAAGAGATAGAAAGTGGGATATGACAAACCGAAAAGCTGCTCTTGACTGAATACTGGTATCCAAAAGGGAAAACATCAGTGTCAATGGGGCATAGTTTAATGCAGTGTTCAGTAAGCTTCAGTCATTTGCATACTACCTTTATGATTTTTGCCTTTGTGGTATACTACCCCTACCATTACTTACTAATTTAAAAAAACATACAGAGTTGGCCAGGTGCGGTGGTTCACGCCTGTAATCCCAGCACTTTGGGAGGACAAGGCGGGCAGATCACTTGAGGTCAGGGGTTCGAGACCAGCCTGGCCTCGAACTCTGGTGAAACCCTGTCTCCACTAAAAGTACAAAAATTACCCAGGCATGGTGGCTCACGCCTGTAGTCCCAGCCAGTTGGGAGGCTGAAGCACGAGAATCACTTGAACCCAGGAGGCAGAGGTTGTAGTGAGCCAAGATCACGCCACTGCATTCCAGCCTGGGCAACAGAGTGAGACTCGGTCTCAAAAAAACAAAAACAAAAACATCATGAGCCGTTATTATAGCTTTACCTCAGCAATAATATCCACAAAATGACTGACTTGAACAACTAGTTATATTTTTCCAATTCATATAAAAATACATACTATTAAGCCGGGCACGGTGGCTGACACCTTTAATCCCAGCACTTTGGGAGGCCAAGGCGGGCGGATCATGAGGTCAGGAGATTGAGACCATCCTGGCCAACACAGTGAAACCCTGTCTCTACTAAAAATACAAAAAACTTAGCCAAGCGTGGTGGTGGGCACCTGTAGTCCCAGCTACTCGGAAGGCTGAGGCAGGAGAATGGCGTGAACCTGGGAGGCGGAGCTTGCAGTGAGCCGAGATCGCGCCACTGCACTCCAGCCTGGGCAACAGAGCAAGACTCTATCTCAAAAAAAAAAAAAAAATACTATTAAAATAAAAAATATTTTATTTGTAAAAAAATGTAGAAATATTTTAAATGGTATATTTGTATACCATTTATATCCAGGCCCTATATGTGCTGCTCTTTAAAAACACTGACTGAGGCCGGGCGTGGTGGCTCATGCCTGTAATGCCAGCACTTTGGGAGGCTGAAGCGGGTGGATCACCTGAGGTCAGGAGTTCGAGACCAGCCTGGTCAACTTGGTGAAACCCCATCAAAATACAAAAATTAGCCAGGCGTGGTGGTGGGCACCTGTAATCCCAGCTACTCTGGAGGCTGAGGCAGTAATTGCTTGAACCCAGGAGGTGAAGGGTTGCAGTGAGCCGAGATCGCACCACTGCACTTCAGCCTGGGTGATTGTACTCTACCCTGGGTGAGAAGAGTGAAACTCTGTCTCAAAAAACAGAAAAGAAAAGAAAAGAAAAGAAAAGAAAAGAAAAGAAAAGAAAAGAAAAGAAACACTGACTTAGGGAACAAAAATACAGGAAAGGCATAAAAACAAGGAAGGTGGTGTTCAGGAACTCAGATTTGCTTTGAAAAGAATAACAAAGGCTACTTTTAGCTTTTTTTCAAAGTATACACCTATTCTCATCAATTTATATGTCAACTTCAAATTCTGCCTTTTTAAACACCTCTAATCATTAAGGATACTTAAGCTGGTCTCACATTTAACCCAACAACTTTGCAGTACTTGTTGTACTGTCCTTATGATGCAGCAGAAACTCAATAAATCTATACAATGTCTATTTTGTTGATCTTCAACAACTTAAAAAGCTAGCAGTAAGGCAAGGTCAGCACTGCTTTAATGAGGCTTAATCTTGTTTATATGAACTGAGCCATAATCAATTAATTTCTTATATCCTCTGTAGCTTAAAAATGTACTCAGGTCAGGCATAGTGGCTCACACCTGTAATTCCAGCACTTTGGGAGGCTAATTCGAGAGGATCGCTTGAGCACAGGAGTTCGAGACCAGCGTGGGCAATATAGGGAGACCCTGTCTCTCCAAACAATTTAAAAATTAGCTGGGCACAGTGGCATATGCCTGTGGTCCCAGCTACTCGGGAGGCTGAGGCAGGAGGATTGTCTCAGCCAGGGAGGTCGAGGCTGCAGTGAGCCATGGTTGTGCTATGGCACTCCAGCCTGAACAACAGAGTAAGACCCTATCTCAAAAAAAAAAAAAAAAAACCAAAACCAAAACCAAAAAAACCTCAACAGCACAAATACCAATAAGATATTAAAACACTCTTAGACAAAGTTTAGGTTCACAACCTAAAAAAAAGACTGGGTCACTCGAGATCATCTTTATATTTTTGGAAATATCTTTGAATGGCCAGGTATGGTGGCTCATGTCTGTAATCCCAACACTTTGGAAGGCTGAGGTGGAAGGACTGATTGAGCCCAGGAGTTCGAAACTAGCCTGGGCAGCATAATGAGACCCCCATCTCTACAAAACATACAAAAATTAGCCGGACATTGTGACGCACGCCTGTAGTCCCAGCTACACAGCTGATGTGGGAGGATGGCTTCCGCCCAGGAGGTGGAGGCTGCAGTGAGCCATGATTGTGCCACTGTACCCCAGCCTGGGTGACAGAGCAAGACTCTGTCTCAAAAATAAAATCTTTGAGATAAAATTCATATACCACAAAATTCATCCATTTAATGTATACTATTAAATGGTTTTTGATATACAGTTGACCTTTAAACATGGTAGCATGGGATGCCACCACCCTGTGCAGTAAGAAAAAATTCCGGCTGGGCGCGGTGGCTCACCCTTGTAATCCCTGCACTTCGGGAGGCTGAGGCGGGCAGATCACCTGAGGTCAGGAGTTCGAGACCAGCCTGATGAACATGATGAAATCCATCTCTACTAAAAATACAAAAAATCAGCTGGGCGTGATGGCACGCACCTATAATCCCAGCTACTCAGGAGGCTAAGGCAGGAGAATAGCTTGAACCCAGGAGGTGGAGGTTGCAGTGAGCTGAGATCGCGCCACTGTACTCCAGCCTGGGCAACAAGAGCAAAACTCTGTCTCAAAACAACAACAACAACAACAACAACAACAACAACAACAACATTCCATGTATAACTTTTGACTGCCTAAAAACTTTACTAACAACTCAAAGTTGACCAGAAGCCTTACTGATAACATAGTCAATTAACATACATTTTATGAATCCTGATATACTTTTTTCTTAATTCTTTTCAATATTTCTAGGCTATGTTCATCTGCAGGTTTTTTAAGTTATCACAAATTTAAAAAAAAACTTATTGGAAAAAAATCCATGTATAAGTGGGTCCACACAGTTCAAACCTATGTTGTTGAAGGGTCAACTGCATCCACAGAGTATAACCAACACCACCATCTGATTCCAGAAAATTTTAATCATTCTCCCAAAAAATCTCTTAGCTTTAGCAATGACTCCATGTTCTTGTCTCCCCTCAGCCCCTGGCAAACGCTAATCTACATTCTGTCTCTATGCATTTACCAATTCTGGACATTTCATACAAATGAAATCGTATAATATGTAGCTATGATGGTTAATTTTATATGTCAATTGGACTAGGCTATAATACCCAGTTATTTAATCAAACATTAAGCATTACTGTGAAGGTATTTTGTAGATATAATATCTACAATCAGTTGACTTTAGGTAAAGAATACTACCCTCCATAATGTGGATGGGTCTCATCCAATCATGCCAATGAAGGCATAAGAGCAAAACCCGAGGCTTCTAAGAAAAGGAGTTCTATCTCAAGACTACAGCATGAACTCCTGCCTGATTTTCCAGCCTGCTGGCCTGCCCGAGAAATTTCAGACTTGTCAGGCCTCCATAATCAATTCCCTAAAATAAATCCTACTGGTTCCATGGAGAACACTGACAGATACAGTGGCCTTTTGTATCTGGCTTCTTTCACTTAGCATGTTTTCAAAGTTCATGTTGTAGCATGTATCAATATTTCCTTCCTTTTTGTGGCTGAATAATATTCCATTGTATAGATATACCATGCATTATTTTTATATTCATCAACTGAATATTCGGATTGTCTCTACTTTTTGGCTATTATGAATAATGCTGCTGTGAACATTTGTGTACAAGTTTTTATGTGGATGCACATTTTCCTTTCTCTTAGGTATATGACCACAGATCTTTTTCTCATTGAGCAGGCAAGACCTTTCAAAAGGGGGTTGCAATAGACCCTGGTATCAAAAGATGTGTTGTAATGGAATATTTTAAAAGACAGTTCCCCAGAGGGGCAGCCCAGTGGAGAAACATTTTTAAAAAGAGAGGAAAAAAAAAAAAAAGCTTCAGGCTGGATTACATTATATTCTATTTAATAACCCAGAAGAACTATTTGGCACTTCCCCTCGCATCACATGGTCATATTTAGCTCTAGCAGCAGCACATCAGGATGCATCCATCAATTCTGAATCTGAGTCAAGGCACCAGGCTGCTTCATTGTTTGAGCTTCATGGAAAGCAGCTGGACAAGAGTTTCTTTTATCCTAAGCATATCCATTTTATTACACTGCAAGCCAACTCAGTCATTCTGCTACACCCCAATGAATGATCCACCACAGTGAAGCTTGTCATTTAAATACAACATCAGAGATTTTGCCAAGATTTGTAACTCTGAAGCCAAGAGCTTTAGAAAATATTAAGCCACTTTAAAACATATCTGTTCCTTGCATTTAAACTGTATCATCTAAGCCAGATTAAGAAAATAAGGAGACATTAGTCTAGAAACATGTGTACACCGACTACTGTATGTTATGTTGGAATCGATAGTCAATCCCTGGCCAGGCGTGATGGCTCACGTCTGTAATCCCAGCACTTTGGGAGGCTGAGGTGGGTGGATCACCTGAGGTTGGGAGTTCAACACCAGCCTGACCAACATGGAGAAACCCCATCTCTACTAAAAATACAAAACTACCCAGGCGGGATGGCGCATTGCCTGTAATCCCAGCTACTAGGGAGGCTGAGGCAGGAGAATTGCTTGAACCCGGGAGGCAGAGGTTGTGGTCCGCCAAGATCGCGCCATTGCACTCCAGCCTGGGCGACAGAGCGAGACTCCGTCTCAAGAAAAAAAAAAGTCAATTCCTCCATGAAAGCTGTTCTTTACCCAGGAGATAACATATTGTTTCGACTGTAGAAAATATAAATTTCTTGATGGCTTTACATAAGAGATTTATAACTGGTTAGAATTAGGAGTTAGGAATATTCAAAGAATGCTGCATCCTTAACTTTAATAATCACCACAGTTTTTAAAAATTTTCTCAGAACATCAGAGTCAGAGAAAGAAAGTAGGCCTGGAAAACCAATGGTTCCATTAGAACTGCTTAGCTGGATGGCTAAGAGGATAAAAATTAATAACCTGCCCCAAAAGATGCTATTCATAATTGCTATGGAGTTAAATGTAAATTTTACTGTTATTGTGTTTACAAAAACATACCTGATTATAAAATGTAATAATATCAGATAGGTGTCTCATGGAGTCTCCAGTCCAACCTCTATGTTAGAAATGGCCCAGAACACCTGTGTATTTACTGGCAATCACACGGTTTATAGCAGAGTCTGAATTAGAATCCAGATCGCCTAACTCAGCCCCAAAATATTCTCACTACAACACATCTCATTTTTTTTTTTTAGAAATACATAGGGTCTTGCTTGATTTGTCACCCAGGCGGCTGGAGTACAGTGGCATGACCTTGGCTCACTGTGGCCTCAAACTCCTGGGCTCCAGTGAGTCTCCCACCTTAGCTTCCCGAGTAACTGGGACTACAAGCACACACCACCACAACTGGCTATTAATAATTTTTGTATTTTTTGTAGAGATTGGGGGGGGGGTCTCACTTTGTTGCCCATGATGGTCACTTCTAATTTAACTCCAACACTTTCTTTTTTTTTTTTTTTTGAGATGGAGTCTCGCTCTGTTGCCCAGGCTGGAGTACAGTGGCGTGGTCTCGGCTCACTGCAACCTCCACCTCCTGGGTTCAAGCAATTCTCCTGCCTCAGCCTCCCAAGTAGCTGGGACTGATTATAGGCACCTGCCACCACACCCAGGTAATCTTTTGTATTTTTAGTAGAGACAGGTTTCACCACGTTGGCCAGGTTGGTCTCGAACGCCTGACCTCATGATCCACCCACCTCAGCTTCCCAAAGAGCTGGGATTACAGGCGTGAGCCACAATGCCTGGCTCCACCACTTTCATCTCTAGTTTTTAATTTAACTCCAACACTTGGATCTCTAGTTCTAACCTCCTTTCCCTAATTTCCACCTGCCTCTTGGATAATGCCAGTACTTCAGAAAGGTCTACAACCAAACTTCTATCTTATCCTCCCTCACCTTCAGACTCTACTTCTGTTAACCATGCTGGCACTGTCCTAAACAAGCTGTAAATATCCTTCTGCCTATCAGTTTCCAAATGATTTTGGTTCAGCCTTTACATTTGTCTCCCATCAGACTCTACTGTATACTAAGAATGTCATTAAAAAACAAAACAAACAAACAAAAAAAAAAAACAGAGTTACTGCCTAAGGCTGGAGTTGGGGATAGGGAACTGGATGGGTTCAAGCTGTGTAGGTAACAACCTTCCTCACTATACCATCCTCAGTACACGCCCCTCATTCAACACAAGCTCATGATTAAGAGCAAGAACTCTGGAGCTAATCTGCCTGGATTAGATTCTCTGCTCTACCATATCTAGCGTTAGCTCTGTGACCATGGGCAAGTTACGGGCCTCAGTTTCCTCATTAGTAAAATACTGCTCATTATATGGTTATTATGATGATTAAATTAATATATAAAGTGCTTAGAACAGTGCCTGGCACAGAGTATGCACTATAAAGGTTAATTGTTATTCAGAAAGAGATTATCTTGGTAGTGATGGGGAAGGGAAATAACAGAACCTCTATGGGAAAAAGGTGAACAGTAGTTTCTAAAAGACCCTCTCCCTAAAACACTAGTTGAGAGGTACTGCTCTAGGCTAGAAATCCAACACTGCCCCAGACATGAGACAAGTCATCTTCAGATCTGTGAAAGAAAATGGAGAGTCTATTTGGGGCTTCTAAAGGTTGTTCAGCCCTGAGGAGGTTGACTTTGGAGACAGAGTCTTGGAGCATGACCTATTAATTAATGACCTTTTGTTTTAAATTAACTTCCTTATTTTTTTGTACCAGGCTCAGACCACATGGCTGAGATAAAAGACCCTTGGCCAGGCATGGTGGCTCATGTCTATAATCCCAGCACTTTGGGAGGCCGAGGTGGGTGGATCACCTGAGGTCAGGAATTCGAGACCAGCCTGGCCAGCATGATGAAACCCCATCTCTACTAAAAATACAAAAAAAAAAAAAAAAAAAAATTAGCCAGGCGTGGTGGCACATGCCTGTAATCCCAGCAAAGACTGGAAGGCTGAGGCAAAAGAATGGGTTAAACCTGGGTAGCAGAGGTTGCAGTGAGCCAAGATCATGCCATTGCACTCCAGCCTGAGTGACAGAGCAAGACTCCATCTCCAAAAACAACAACAACAACAAAAAACCCTTCACCGGGCGTGGTGGCTCACATCTGTAATCCCAGCACTTTGGGAGGCCAAGGCGGGTGGATCACTTGAGGTCAGGAGTCCAAGACCAGACTGGCCAACATAGTGAAACCCCATCTCTACCAAAAAATACAAAAATTAGCCAGGCACGGTGGCTCACGCCTGTAATTCCACCACTTTGGGAGGCCGAGGGGGGTGGATCATGAGGTTAGGAGATCGAGACCATCCTGGCTAACACAGTGAAACCCCGTCTCTACTAAAAATACAAAAAAAGTAGCCAGGCATGGTGGCGGATGCCTATAGTCCCAGCTACTCGGGAGGCTGAGGCAGGAGAATGGCGTGAGCCCGCGAGGCGGAGCTTGCAGTGAGCCGAGATCATGCCACTGCATCCCAGCCTGGGCAACAGAGCAAGACTCCGTCTCAAAAAAAAAAAATACAAAAATTAGCTGGGCATGGTGGTGCATGCCTGTAGTCCCAGCTACTCGGGAGTCTGAGGCAGGAGAACTGCTTGAACCTAGGAGGCAGAGGTTGCAGTGAGCTGAAGTGGCATCACTGGACTCCAGCCCAGGCGACAGAGCAAGACTCTGTCTCCAAAACAAAAAAAACCTGACTGAGATAAGAGACCCCTTTACTATTACACCCTTAATGTGGAATGTTAAATACACCCTTCCCAAAAAAGAAACACTGCCTACTACCGAATTGCTGCAACTATGCATTAACCTTGTACAGAAAATACTGAAATCCTGTTAAGCTTCCCCAGACCTTGCCTATATAAAAGATTCTCAGATCTCTCCCTTTTGGAGTACTCCATTTGGCTATTATGAATAATGCTGCTGTGAACATTTGTGTACAAGTTTTTATGTGGATGTATGTTTTCCTTTCTCTTAGGCATATGATCATAGATCTTTTTAACATTGAGCTAGCAAGACCTTTCAAAAGGGGGTTGCAATCAGACCTTGCTATCAAAAGATGTGGTACTGGAATGTTTTAAAAGACAGCTCCCCTATCCCATAGGGGTAGCCCAGTGGAGAATCATGTTTATAAAGAAAAAAAGCCACAGGCTGGATTACATTATATTCTATTTAGTAAGGCAGAAGAACTATCTGGCACATAAGAGAATGCATACATCCTGAAATACACACATTTTGAAATTTTCTGCTGTAGGATTATCTGTCTGCTTTGTGGAGTCTGCGTCTTCCCAGGTAGCCATCCTCAAACTGCACTCAAATAAGCTCAATATCATATTGCCAGGACCTCGTTATTAAGGTTAACAGATCCAAGGGTGGGGAGCAATCCAGTTACAATCCATTATAGATCAAACATTACCTGCAGAAAAAAGACATCTACAAAAACTTTTTGTTGGCCCACACTGTTCTTTAAAAGAAAATGTAACTACTATGCAAATCGTGGGCTTTTTTTAAATACATGGAGCTTGGCACCTATCATTTTTTATGCAGACTACTTCAAGAATTTACATTATCTACCTGGCCCCTGAAGACATCTGAATTTGCTGTCCTAGTTAATGTCCTGGGCTCTTACTTTCACTACCTATGGTTCTTATCCTTAAGGGGCTATAGGCAGACCCCCAAATTCTGGTATACCTGGTACCACATGAAGGTTTGCCCTTTACCTTTCGGTTTGTGGCAGTGGAGGTCATACCAGAGCTTCAGCAGCTTTTCTGGTTGTTTTTCACAGTCTCACTGGGAGAAAGACCATATAAGTTGGCTTATGCTTTACAAGCCATCAATTATAGCTATGTGATGGCCCGGTGTGGTGGCTCGCGCCTGTAATTCCAGCACTTTGTGAGGCCAAGGCAGGCAGATCACTTGAGGCCAGGAGTTCGAGACCAGCCTGGCCAACATGGTGAAACCCCCATCTCTTAACTAAAAATACAAAAGTTAGCTGGGCATGGTGGCGTGCGGCTGCAGTCCCAGCTACTCAGGAGGCTGAGGCAGGAGAATCGCTTGACCCCGGGTGGCAGAGGTTGCAGTGAGCCCAGATCGCTCACTGCATTCCAGCCTGGGCGACAGAGTGAGACTTTGTCTCAAAAAAAAAATTATAGCTATGTGAAACCTGTAAGAATCCACATTCTAAGCTCTAGTATTCTACCAAAACAAGTTAACTACTTTGTTTTTCCTACTGGAACCCAGGGAGAAAAATCAAGTGCAAGTTTACCAAAAATATCTTTTCTCCTTTATATATAAACAGAGCCAGTGACGACAACTTGTTTCATCACCTTGATCAGCAGTTATTATATATTCAGTTTTCCACTGGGAAATGACAGTGTGCCTACTATTTCTGGGCCTGATGCAATCCTACCTTTAACATAAAAAACTATTTGTTAAAAATTAAGAAACAAAAAAATGATGATTAGGGAAATACTCATAGCTTCTCAAGACAGATACAATAGGTAGCTTTAAAAAATAAAGCTCTGCCGGGCACGGTGGCTCACGCCTGTAATCCCAGCACTTTGGGAGGTCAAGGTGGGTGGATCACAAGGTCAGGAGATCGAGACCATCCTGGCCAACATGGTGAAACCCCATCTCTACTAAAAATACAAAAATTAGCTGGGCGTGGTGGTGGGTGCCTGTAATCCCAGCTACTCGGAAGGCTAAGCCAAGAGAATGGCTTGAACCCAGGAGGCGGAGGTTACAGTGAGCCAAGACCATGCCACTGCACTTCAGCCTGGTGACAGAGGAAGACTCTGTCTCAAAAAATAAAAATAAAAATAAAGCTCTGGCCGGGCATGGTGGCTCATGCCTGTAATCCCAGCACTTTGGGAGGCCGAGGCAGGTGGATCACGAGCTCAGGAGATTGAGACCATCCTGACCAACATGGTGAAACCCCATCTCTACTAAAAATACAAAAATTAGCTGGGTGTGGTGGCATGCGCCTGTAATCCCAGCTACTTGGGAGGCTGAGGCAGGAGAATCGCTTGAACCCAGAAGGTGGAGGCTGCAGTGAGCAGAGATAGCGCCACTGCACTCCAGCCTGGTGACAGAACGAGACTCGTCTCAAAATAACAACAAAAAGCTCTGCAAAGAGTCTGAAAGGCTGAAGTGGCTGTACAGGTGTTTGGATTTTAGTCTAATCATCGCTAGTCACTGGATTTCCTTACCATAGTAAAGGTCTGACCCAAGAACTCTGAAGACTGAAATTCTGAGCATTAGCTCTGATAGGTTCCAAATGAAGGTGGGAGAAGAAGTTGGCGAACAGGGAAAAATGAACCAATCAATAGAGAGAGATGCAGCCTAGTTAGTTATTGCAAAGCCTCTGTGGTTCTCAGATCAATTAATCAAGTAAATTTATAACAGCAGGGTGTGTATAGGGCAGGGAGGGATGTAGCTGTCTTTTTTTATTTTATTTTATTTTTCTTTTCATTTGAGACAGAGTCTCGCTCTGTCACCCCGGCTGGAGTGCAGTGGCACGATCTCCACTCACTGCAACCTCTGTCTTACTGCAACCTCCGCCTCTCAAGTTCAAGCCATTCTCCTGCCTCAGCCTCCTGAGTAGCTGAGATTACAGGTGTGCCCCACCATGCCTGGCTAATTTTTGCATTTTTAGTAGAGACGGGGTTTCACCACATTGGCCAGGCTGGTCTCAAACTCCTGATCTCAGGTGATCTGCCCACCTTGGCCTCCCAAAGTGCTGGGATTAAAGGTGTGAGCCACAGCACCCAGCCAGAAATAAAGCTGTTAATTGATACGATAGTCCCCAACTCTCTCTTTGTTTTTAATAATTGTGAAAATCATAGACATAGTGTACAGGGTAACAGATTATTAGAAAGCAAGTATCCTTTTAAGCTACCATCGAAGTCAAGAAACATTTCAAGACAGGCCTGGCTCAGTGGTTCACACCTGTACTCACAGCAGTCTGGGAGGCTGAGGTGGGCTGATCACTTGAGGCCAGGAGTTTGATACCAGCCCTATCTCTACTAAAAATACAAAAAAATTAACTGGGCGTGGTGGTGCACCCCTGTATTCCCAGCTACTCAGGAGGCTGAGGCAGGAGAATGGCTTGAACCTGCGAGGCGGAGCTTGCAGTGAGCCAAGATTTCGCCACTGCACTCCAGCCTGGGCAACAGAGACTCCATCTCAAAAAAAAGAAAAGAAAAGAAAAAGCTTTATTTCTTTTAAAATAGATAACAAAAAAAAAAAAAAAACCACCAAACACTTTATTTCTTTTAAAATAGATGGCAAAAAAAGAAAAAAAGCTTTATTTCTTTTAAAATAGATGGAATAAATATGGGGAAATGTTAATATGCTAAATACGGGGTTTGGGTATATTAGAAATGTGTTAACATTCCTTATGTTTGAAAGTGTCCAAATTACTTTAAGCTGATAAGGAAAAAGTAAATAGAACAGTTAGATGAATCAAGTTAAAGCAAATCAAGTAAAGCATGAAATTTGGCCGGGTGTGGTGGCTCACACCTGTAATTTCAGCACTTTGGGAAGCCGAGGTGGGCGAATGACTTGAGGAAGGAGTTCAAGACCAGCCTGGCCAACATGGTGAAACCCTGTCTCTACCAAAAATACAAAAGTTAGCTTGATGTGGTGACAGGTGCCTGTAGTCCCAGTTACTCAAGAGGCTGAGACAGGAGAATTGCTTGAACTCAGCAGGTGGAGGCTGCAGTGAGCCGAGACCATGCCACTGCACTCCAGCCTCCAGCCCGGACGACAGAGTGAGACTCTATCTTAAAAAAAAAAAAAAAGAAGAAGAAGAAATTTAACTACAGTCTTATCCTATTCCTCAATAGTTTCTTTTGTGACTTTAATTCCACATAAAAAGATAAGAATTATAATGCTGGTAACTAAATCAAACTTCTAGGCTTACTAGCTTTGGCGGGGAGAGGTCAGAGAATGCATGATTCATAAAATATATGGCTATATTATCTATTGATTTTTTTTTTTTTGAAATGAAGTTTTTCTCTTGTTGCCCAGGCTGGAGTGCAATCGCACGATCTCAGCTCACTGCAATCTCCGCCTCCTGGGTTCAAGCAATTCTGTCTCAGCCTCCCAAGTAGCTGGGATTACAGGCGCACACCACCATGCCCGGCTAATTTTTGTATTTTTAGTAGAGATGGGGTTTCATCATATTTGTCAGGCTGGTCTCAAACTCCTGACTTCAGGTGATTCTCCCGCCTAGGCCTCCCAAAGTGCTGGGATTACAGGCCTGAGCCATTGCGCCCATCTATTAAATTTTAAATTACTTTTTTCCCCTTTTTGATTCTTCTGTTATTCCAATCATAGATAATGCATATATTATGACATATACACATATTTTGAAATTTTCTGCTTTAGGATTATCTGTCTGCTTTTCTCCCAGCAGCTACTGGCTTTCAGAATAAGAAATGACTTAGTTCTGATTCTTCCACAGAACAGTACTGGGCATCAAAGCTAGTACTATCTTTGACCTTTACTGAAATTCAATAAGATCTAGAATGAAATACAGACCAAATTATGCAAAGATGAATGGTTACTAGACCCAATATTGATTCATCTGGAAAATTTACAGATGCTTCTAGAAAGTAAATCTGTTGATCTGGGTTTCAAAGGTTTGAGTCTATACCTTCAACATGCAAAGCTTATGACTCACGGCTTAGAGGAATGGTTATTCAGAGTTCTTGGGATAAGGGATGGCTGTGTGTGTGTATATATACATATATTTATAAACATAAATATAGACCTTTTTCAGATCAATATTTTCAAAGGGATAAAAGAATGAACTAGCCTCAGAAGACAAAAAAAAGCTGCAGAAGAGAAAAAAACGAATATTGCAATATACGAATATCTAGGAAATGCAGAGCACTTCGTCGGAGCTCAATAAATTCTAGCTGAATTGACTTTGAGAGCCGTTTTAGTTCTATACCTCACTGCTCAAACCGCAGGCATCACCATGCAACTTATCGGTTTACAGCTGTGCTGTGGGTACCATCTGAAAATCTGGAAATGATTAGCTTATGCAAAACAGCCATAACCCCCAGAAACCAGGCGCTCTCCACCACTTTACCATTTAAGTCTTACACCGCTCTTGCGACTGTAAGCGAACTGACAAACATCTACTGACCAAATGGGACCTAGATTTTAAACAAAGACTGAAATCTGGAAGGCTACAAGTAAACAGAAGCTGAAACTAGCTCACCTATTCTGTTGGCCAAGGATTTCGTGGAATCTGCTAAACTTCTCTTCCCAAAAGATGATACCTATCCCCTGGGAGGTGATAATTTAATCACCTCGGTGGCTGAGTGGGTGGGGCCGAGTCAGAGAATTCTTTCAAGAAATCGCTAAACGTTTGACTTGAAGATCGATGAGAAGCCAGCCAAAAAGCTATCAAGCCAAGGACCCCAAACCCCCTAACTCCCTTACATACATATTTCCTTCCCAATCTCTAGGCTGAAGTTTATGTGGAAGCCAAAAACTACCAGCGCTAGAATCCACAGCGTGCCAGGCACAGCTCACTCACGGCTTTCACGCAATTCTAGCTACAACACCCAAACCGCAAAGTCCCTGTTGCAGGGGTAAATAAGCCGGCGAAACCCATTCACAGGAAGGCTCCCGCGTCTCGTCCCAAGCTCTTTTCTCCCGAGTTCCCAAGAGTATAAACCCAAGAAAAGGAAATAAGGCGTCCGGGTCTTTCCTCTCCCGGAGCCGATAGGCGGCTGCCCAGAAGTTCCATGGGCCACACACATTCCGAACTTGGAAGACTAGGGTCCCCTACATTGATGCCCCAGCTGCTACTTACCGGCACATTGTTGACACCTTGTCCCTTGGAAGCTATCATGAGAATTTCTCTGAAGTCCATGTTGGGCCGAGGCGGGAGAGACTGGGCCAGGCACTCGGAAAGGACTGACAGCGCACCTAACCGAGGCGCCCAGCTACAGCCAACTGCACTGCCTCGGGAGCCCCACTCCCACCCCGCCTCTGCGGGACCACTTCCGGCGCCTTCCTATGCCGTCTGCCCGCCCCCTTCCCTCCACGGCCTATATCCTTTCAGGGCCGCCACAGCGCTCGCGAGTCCCTGCGTAACTTCCGCTTTTAGGCCGAGACACGTACAAACGTGATACGTGGCTGCTGGCGTCGACCCGAGGGGCAGGGACTAGGCATTTTAGCAACCAAGGGGGTGTGGCTAAGCGAGAGAGCGGCTTCCCTGGTGGCCCGGGCGCGCGGTCTTGTCATCTTGTTGCTCCTTGTGAGCGCTGGGTAGAGAAAGTGAGGGGGTAGAGGGTTTACTTGCCAGGCCTGGGTTCTCTGGGTGTCACGGGTAGGCGCTTAGATCCAAAACGGCGGCGCCACAACAGCTGAACAGACGGATCTCGAGCCGGGGTTTGGGCTACTTGTGTCTAGGCGCTCGCGAAGCTGCGCAGGCGCACACAGCAGCGCCGTGGTCCTGTCTTGGATGCCCATTACTCATCAAATTCGGCCACATGCCGTGCGCTTACCTCCTACTCAGATGCACGCGTGCCGGGGATGGGGGCACGCGCTTACTTCTTTTGCCCCGTTTAGAAAGTAAGTTTTATGTGGAGCAGCCAACCTGTGTTTTTGCTCAGGCAATGGATTAAGGAATTTCACATACAGACCCAGCCTTGACATAACTTTGGTGTACTGATGAACATATGCTTCATATTCATATTCATTGGGATCCTAGTCCTGACTTCTTTTGGAGAGTTATCTTGGATCTGTAAGGTCATTTCGACTTAGCAAAAACACTGAAAATAATTAGGCAAACCTGGGTCTGCAAGTGGGAACCCGCCAGGGGATTGATAGCAAACAGGTACTCGGGATCTTTTCGGTGGGATGGAAATGCCTCCAAACTGGATTGTGGGGATGGTTGCACTATACATGTACTAAAAATCGTACACTTAAGACGGGTGAGAATGATACAGTATGTAAATATGTCAAGCTGTTAAAACATGCTAGACAGGCCGAGCGCGGTGGCTCACGCCTGTAATCCCAGCACTTTGGGAGGCCGAGGCGGGCGGATCACGAGGTCAGGAGATCGAGACCATCCCGGCTAAAACGGTGAAACCCCGTCTCTACTAAAAATACAAAAAATTAGCCGGGCGTAGTGGCGGGCGCCTGTAGTCCCAGCTACTTGGGAGGCTGAGGCAGGAGAATGGCGTGAACCCGGGAGGCGGAGCTTGCAGTGAGCCGAGATCCCGCCACTGCACTCCAGCCTGGGCGACAGAGCGAGACTCCGTCTCAAAAAAAAAAAACAAAAAACATGCTAGACAAAGCTGCTGGCTCTTACTCTTTGATGGTTTAATGCTGCGAACGTAATTCAAAATCAAAGCTGTTGGAACTTTAAGTTATTTTGCGCCTTAAAAGAATGTTATTATGGAACCTGAGCTACATAACAGGCAGCTGCGTTTGTTCCTCTGATTATAGATTAGCCTTTCTTTCCTACATCGTTTTGTGAAAACACAGGGAGAAGACAGCCATGTACAAACCAAGGAGAGAGACCTCAAGGTAACCACACCTTGATCATGGAATTCTAGCCACCAGAATTGTTAAGACAATAAATGTCTGTTGTTTAGGCCACCTAGTCTGTGGTACTTTGTTATTGGCAGCCCTAGCAAACGAATACACTGGCATATGGTGTTTTCAATTAATGCCAACCATCATTTCTCAAGGAAGCTCTTCCTGAGCTATCTCAGGGCCCCTTTTATAAATTCTTACAGCCCCCCAGTATTTCCCTTCATGCAACATTTTACAGTTTGTAATTACATATTTGTTCTTTTTTTTTTTTAAACTATTGGCTATATCTGTGATAGACAGAGCTATGAAAATGGGCATAAGCCTATTTTACCCATCACTATTTCCATCACCAGCACAGTTCCCTGCTAATGCACATAAAAGTTGCAACAAAGATTTTTTGACCAAATTAATGAATCGATAAGTGGAAAGCTCCCAAGATTCAATATTGTAGTACTTAGCATACATTGAGCCATTACTATATGCTTAGTGCTTGACATGGATTATCTGACTTGATCATGAGTGTTGTATAAGGCATTTCCTGTTACTGTTTTATAGATGAAAAGCTGAAGCTTGAAGAGATGAAATTAGACTTATACTGTACCATTAGTCAATCGGAGAGCCAAGACTAGAACCCTTAGATTACCCAAACCAGACTCTATATTTCAGTTAGCCCATTTGAACTGGTACAAGTCTATGTACATGGAGTTATAATGTAAAAAAGGGCTTGGATTAGGTAACTAATACCTAGTTAGTCAAAATCAAGAACAACTGCTGGAGGTGGGAATGAGGTAAGGAATGAGAGGAGCAATTTTCCTGTATCCTTGTAAAACATTCTATCATCGAGTTCAGCAAATACTTCCTGGGAAACTACTACTGTGTGCCCAACCTTATGGATGATACAAAGAAAGACCCATATCCTGCCTGCCTGATCAGAACTTTTAATTCTTGTGTGAACACAAGTAACAATTATGTAAAACAGAAAGTGCTAACTGTATTAGGGATACAAAGTGTGGGGAATAGCGTTGCCAGATTTAGCAAATAAAAATGTGGACATCCAGTTAGGATCTTGCTCTGTCACTCAAGCTGGAGTATGGTGGTGCAATCACGGCTCACTGCAACCTCGACCTGGGCTCAAGCCATCCTCCCACCTCAGCCTCCCAAGTAGCTGGGACCACAGGTGTATGCGACCACGCCTGGTTAAATTTTGTATTTTTTGTAGAGATGAGGTTTCACCATGTTGCCCAGGCTGGTCTTGAACTTCTGAGCTCAAGTAATCTGCCCGTCTGGGATTCCCAAATTGCTGGGATTCCCAAATTGCTGGGATTATAGGCATGAGCCACCATGCCCAGCCCATCCAGTTAAATTGGAAAGACATACACCAAAAATCATTTGTTGTTTATCTGAAATTCAACTTTAGGTGTCTTGTATTTATCTGGCAACTCTAGAAGTGTTGGAATTCCAGCTACAACATTACATTTAGAGAGTGTGAAAAGCACATTAAAGGGTTGAAAGAACAAGTAGTGGGTGTATTTAGGAGAATGCTAGGAAATAAAGGTCAGAAAAGTAAGTGAAGGTCGGGCGAGGTGGCTGACACCTGTAATCCCAACACTTTGGGAGGCCGAGGCAGGCGGATTGCCTGAGGTCAGGAGTTCGAGAACAGCCTGGCCAACATGGCAAAACCCTGTCTCTACAAAAATACAAAAATTTGCTGGGCATGGCGGTGGGTGCCTGTAGTCCCAGCTACTTGGGAGGTTGAGGCAGCAGAATCGTTTGAACCCGGGAGATGGAGGTTGCAGTGAGCCGAGATCATACCACTGCACTCCAGCCTGGGTGACAGTTAGACTCTGGGCATGAGGAAGGACAGGTGAGTGTGATACTTCAGGATACTTGGTGATGAAGAAAAGGCGAGTGATATGCAATAACCAGGGTGGTGGGTAGAGGCTGTTGGTAAAAAGGTAAACTCGGGTAGTATGAACCAGAAAGAATGGAATGAACTGGGTCTTTGCCAACCGCAGGTCCAGGCTCTGCTGTGGAAGGGCTGTGTGTCCTTAGGCAAGTTTCTGTTTTGTACTTTTTGATGTATGGCACAGTATTTGAATATAAGGTTTGATGTAAAAAATTTTCAAACAAAAAAATAACATAAAGCTCCCATCAGCCTCCCTCAATCTCATCTCCCTCCCTAGAGGATATTACCATATAAAGTTGCTGAGTGTGCTTCTGAGATGTTCGTGTACACAAAATTATGCCTAATGTACAATATATAATGTACATATATAAATGTTCTATATATATATGTAGGATACATAGAACATATAATATTAGCATATCAATATAAATCTAGGATATGTATCTTTGAAAACATGTAACTTGGTTGTGTGTCCTTGGTTTATTTATAGAAATACACACACACACATACATATGTATATGTGCTGTGGGCTGAATTGTGGTCCCCTCAAAATTCATGTATTGAAACCCTAACCCTAACCCCCAATGTGAATATATTTGGAGACAGGGCCTCTGAAGAGGTAATTAAAGCCGGGCATGATGGCTCATATCTGTAATCCCACCACTTTGGGAGGCTGAG
The DNA here is from genome assembly GCF_000001405.40 of Homo sapiens. Classification (NCBI taxonomy): domain Eukaryota; kingdom Metazoa; phylum Chordata; class Mammalia; order Primates; family Hominidae; genus Homo; species Homo sapiens. The sequence goes on from NC_000011.10 coordinate 18,638,515, forward strand.
GCAGGCTGATCACTGGAGGTCAGGAGTTTGAGACCAGCTTGGCCAACATGGTAAAACCCCATCTGTACTAAAAATACAAAAATTAGCCAGGCATGTAGTCCCAGCTACATGGGAGGCTGAGGCACAAGGATCACTTGAACCTGGGAAGTAAAGGTTGCAGTGAGCTGAAATGGCGCCACTGCACACTCCGGCCTGGGTGACAGAGCAAGACTACATCTCTAAAAAAATAATAATAAATAGAGGGGCAATTAAGGGCCGGGTGCGGTGGTTTATGCCTGTAATCCCAGCACTTTGGGAGGCCAAGGTGGGTAGATCACCCAACATCAGGAGTTCGAGACCAGCCTGGCCAACATGGTGAAAACCTATCTCTACTAAAAATTAAAAAATTAGCCAGGCATGGTGGTGCACACCTGTAGTCCCAGCTACTCAGGAGGCTGAGGCAGGAGAATTGCTTGAACTTGGGAGGTAGAGGTTGCAGTGAGCCAACATCACCTCACTGCACTCCATCCAGTCTGGGCCACAGAGCCAGACTTCGTCTTAAAAAAAAAAAGGAAAAAAAAAGAGGTAATTAAGGTTAAATGAGGTCACTGGGATGGGGCCCTGATCCAATAGACCTGGAGCCCTTATTGGAAAAGGAAGAGACACCAGAGTTGCACATGCCCAGAGAAGAGGCCATGTGAGGACACAATGAGAAAACAGCAATTTGTAAGCCAAGCAAAGAGGTCTCAGAAGAAACCAACCATGCTGACACTTTAATTGTAGACTTGTAGCCTCCAGAACTGTGAGAAAGTAAATTTTTGTTGTTTAAGCCACTGGACTGTGGTATTTTGTTACGGCAGCCATAGCAGATTCAGACAATATGTAACTTGGGTTTTCTCTTGTTTCAATTTAAAATATGTCTTATAGCTGTTTTCATGTCAGTACAAATTGATCTACTTTGTTTTGTATAACTACTGCATCATATCATATTCCATCCTTTTTTTTTTGTTTTTTTGTTTTTTTGTTTTTTTTTGAGATGGAGTCTGGCTCTGTCACCCAAGCTGAAGTGCAGTGGAAGGATCTCGGCTCACTGGAACCTCAGCCTTCTGGGTTCAAGCGATTCTTCCGCCTCAGCCTCCCGAGTAGCTGGGATTATAGGCGGCCCCCAACACGCTCGGCTAACTTTTGCATTATTAGTAGAGATGAGGTTTAACCATGTTGGCCAGCTGGTCTCAAACTCCTGACCTCAAGTGATCCACCGGCCTCGACCTCCCAGAGTGCTGGGATTACAGGCGTGAGCCACTGTGCCTGGCCCAGAGTATGTATTTAACATAGTTTATTTAACCACAGGACTATTAATGAATTGTAAGGCTGCTTAAAAATGTTTATTATCATGAACAATGCTGCCATGAATGTCCTTGCACATGCTTTTTTGTGCAAATACTGATCATGTTTCCCTGTGTTAGATATTTAGATACTTAGAAATTGGATTGGGGGGATGAAGGTATGTACATTTCAAATTTTAATAGCTACTACCAAGTTGTCCTCCAAAAAGGGCATACCAATTTAGATTCCCACCAACAATATATTGGAGCTATTGGAGCACCCTTTTCTCTATACTTCATCAGATCTGGATATTATTAAACTTAAATTTTTGTCAATTTCATGGGTGAAAAATATCTCCTTGTTGTTTATTTTGCATATCCTTGATTACCAGCTAGCATCTTTTCTTATGCTACTTGATAATTTTTTGGGCTTTTTTCTTCTTTAAATTGTTCACATCTGCAGTGGGTATTTTGATTTCTTTGGCATCAATCTCACTGTCTCTCCCATCATACGGCAGAAATTCCATCTGGGTGGGATGGACCCCATTCCCAAACTCTAGGGTAGCACCACCAACCCCTGGCTATAACCTAATTAATATAATTTAATCACCATTTCCCATGATTAAGTCAAAGAAACTATTCTATCCAAGCCTAAATCAGGCAGGAACAACATATCCCTCAAACAGTAGACATAATGCCTAGGGTCTACAATCCTTTTTAAGGGAATAAAAAATGTTTTAATTCCGTTTTTTTGTTTTTTTTTTTTTTTTTTTTTTTTTTTTTTGAGATGGAGTCTCGCTCAGTGGCCAGGCTGGAGTACAGTGGCACGATCTCGGCTTACTGCAACCTCCTCCTACCAGGTTCAAGCAATTCTCCTGCCTCAGCCTCCCAAGTAGCTGGAGTTACAGGCTCGTGCCACGACGCCCAACTAAATTTTGTACTTTTAGTAGAGACAGGGTTTCACCATGTTGGCCAGGATGGTCTCCATCTCTTGACCTTGTGATCCTCCCGCCTCAGCCTCCCAGAGTGCTGGGATTACAGGCATAAGCCACCATACCCTGCCTAAAAACTTTTTTTTCTTTATGGTTTGACTCTGGGAAAACCTATTTTATTTTTTACCAAGTATGTCAACAAAAACAGTTAAACTCTGTAAAATATCTGAAGATATTTATTCTGTGCCAAACACGAGTGACCATGGCCCATGACACAGTCCTCAGGAGGTCCTCAGAACATGTGCCCAAGGTGGTCGGGGTACAGCTTGATTTTATACATTTTAGGGAGGCATGAGACATCAATCAAATACATTTGAGAAATACATTGGTTTGGTCCAGAAAGGCAGGACAATTTGAAGTGGGCAGAGGGTGGGGAAGTGGGGAGACAGTGCTTCCAGGCTATAGGTAAATTTAAACATTTTCTGGTTTACAGTTGGTTGAGTGGGCCAGGCATGGTAGCTCACGCCTGTAATCCCAGTACTTTTGGAGGCTGAGGCAGGCGGATAAATTGAGGTCAGGAGTTTGAGCCTGGCCAACATGGTGAAATCCCGTTGCCACTAAAAATACAAAAATTAGCTGGGATTATCACTGGATATGGCGGCACACGCCTGTAATCCCAGCTACTTTGGAGGTTGAGGCAGGAGAATCACTTGAACCCGGGAGGCGGAGGTTGCAGTGAGCCAAGACTGTGCCACTGCACTTCAGCCCGGGTGACACAGCAAGACTCTGTCTCAAAAAAACAAAACAAAAAAACAAAAACAAAAACAACAAAAAACACCCAAAAAATTCCAAACAAACAAAAAACTTATTTTTAGGAGTATTCTATCCCTCCCCACCCTATATTCCCCAGGTTGCCACCTCAGAGGCAACCATTCTCAAGTCCTCTTGATGCTTCCCTCTTATTCAAATTTGACATGTCTAAATAGTATCTTTATTGTTTGCTATGTCTTGATTTTGCAGTCTTATTAATTGATTTATTTTAGAGATGAGGTCTTGCTCTGTCACCCAGGCTGGAGTGCAGTGGTGCAATCATGGCTGCAGCTTCAAAGTCCTGGGCTCAAGCGATCCTGCCACCTCAGCTGCCACAATAGTTGGGACTTGATGGATGACATCTCACTGTGCTAGATAAGGATGTAGCTTTCTCATTCCATCCCTGCCTACCCTACTCCTGTAATCTCTCAACATAGATAATGCCACAGTGTTTTAGAAAGACAGTAGTCCACATGTACAGTATTCTTATGTAACTATTGTTTACTGTTGAGGCACATAGTATACTACAAACATGTCTCCTTTTATGTACAACTCATTTTCTTAGAATCAATAATTGCCTTGTTTATTCACTTGTCGGTTTTCATGGACCTGCTCCTAATTTTCTCCACATGTTAAACATTTCTGTCACATGCCTAGCAATAACATTTCCTTTTTTTTTTTTTTTTTTTGAGAGACAGAGTCTTGCTCTGTTGCCCAGGCTGGAGTGCAGTGGCACGATCTTGGCTCACTGCAACCCCTGCCTCCCACGTTCAAGCTATTCTCCTGCTTCAGCCTCCCTCCTGAGTAGCTGGTAGCTGGGATTATAGGTGCCTGCCACCATGCCCAGCTAATTTTTTTTTTTTTTTGGTAGAGGCAGGGTTTTACTATATGGTTGGCCAGGCTGGTCTCGAACTCCTGACCTCAAGTGATCTGCCTGCCTAGGCCTCCCAAAGTGCTGGGATTATGGGCATGAGCCACTGCACCCGGCCCCCACTGAACTAATAATTATCGTGAGTGTGGAGTTTATCATTTCCATGCACGTGTTTATACTTTTACTACATAGTATTCTTTAGGTTTAAATTAGTTTGAGTTAGGGCCAGGTACAGTGGCTCACTCCTGTAATCTCAGCACTTTAGACAGTTGAGGTGGGTGGATCACTTGAAGTCAGCAGTTTGAGACCAGCCTGACCAACATGGTCTCAACATTTCCGTCTCAACTAAAAATACAAAAATTAGCCAGGTGTTGTGGTGGGAGCCTGTAATGCCAGCTACTTGGGAGGCTGAGGTAGGAGAATCGCCTGAACACAGGAGACAGTAGTTGCAGTGAGCCGAGATTTGGCTGCTGCACTCCAGCCTGGGTGTCAGAGTAAGACCCTGTTTCAAAAAAATAAAAATTAGTTTGAGTTAGGTTTTCTGTCATTTGCAATTAAAGTAAGGATACAATACTTTTTGAAGAGGAAAAGGAGGAAGAGGAGGAGGGAGAGGAGGAGGAGAAGGAGGAGGAGGAAGAGGAGAAGAAGGGGGAGGAGGAAAAGGAATTCAGTAGGACTGAAGTGCAGAGATGTTGAGCGCCATGAAGCATGAGAAGGGTCCTTTGGACTGAGATTTGTAGTTAATTGTTGATTTCCTAGACAGTAGTTTCAGTAGAGTATGGGAGGGGGCAGTGCAGAGCCCAGGTTACAAGGGGAGAAGAGTGTCAGGCCTCTGAGCCCAAGCTAAGCCATCATATCCCCTGTGACCTGCACGTATACATCCAGATCGCCTGAAGCAACTGACGATCCACAAAAGAAGTGAAAATAGCCTTAACTGATGACATTCCACCATTGTGATTTGTTCCTGCCCCACCCTAACTGATCAATGTACTTTGTAATCTCCCCACCCTTAAGAAGGTTCTTTGTAATTCTCCCCACCCTTGAGAATGTACTTTGTGAGATCCATCCGCTGCCCACAAAACAGTGTTCCTAACTCGACTGCCTATCCCAAAACCTATGAGAACTAATGATAATCCACCACCCTTTGCTGACTCTCTTTTCGGACTCAGCCCACCTGAACCCAGGTGAAATAACAGCCATGTTGCTCACACAAAGCCTGTTTGGTGGTCTCTTCACACGGACACATGAAACATTTGGTGCCGAAGACCCGGGTCAGTGGGACTCCTTCGGAAGACCAGTCCCCTGTCCTCACCCTTACTCCGTGAAGAGATCCACCTACGACCTCGGGTCCTCAGACCAACCAGCCCAAGGAATATCTCACCAATTTTAAATTGGGTAAGCGGCCTATTTTTACTCTCTTCTCCAACTTCTCTCACTATCCTTTGACCTCTTTCTCCTTTCAATCTTGGCGCCACCCTTCAATCTCTCCCTTCTCTTATTTTCAATTCCTTTCATTTTCTGGTAGAGACAAAGGAGACACATTTTATCTGTGGAGGCAAAATTCCGGCGCCAGTCATAGACTCGGGAAGGCAGCCTTCCCTTGGTGTTTAATCATTGCGGGGACGCCTCTCTGATGATTTACCCACGTTCCATTGGTGTCTGATCTCTATGGGGATGCCTGCCTTGGTCATTCACCCACATTCCCTTGGTGGCAAGTCAATTGTGGGGACACCTGCTTTGGCTGCTCGCCCACGTTGCAGCCCAGGGCTGCTCCCCAACCCCCCTCTCCGTGTCTCTACCCTTCTCTTTAAACTTGCCTCCTTCACTATAGGCAACCTTCCACCCTCCATTCCTCCTTCTTCTCCCTTAGCCTGTGTTCTCAAGAACTTAAAACCTCTTCAACTCTCGCCTGACCTAAAATCTAAGCATCTTATTTTCTTCTGCAACACCGCTTGGCCCCAATACAAACTTGACAATGGTTCTAAATGGCCAGAAAACAGCACTTTTGATTTTTCCATCCTACGAGACCTAGATAATTTTTGTCAAAAAATGGGCAAATGGTCTGAGGTGCCTGACATCCAGGCATTCTTTTACACGTTGGTCCCTTCCGAGTCTCTGCTCCCATTGAGACGTGTCCCAAATCTTTCTTCTTTCTCTCCTGTCTGTTCCTTCAGTCTCCACCCCAAGCTCTGAGTCCTGTGAATCCTTCTTTTCTACGGACTCATCTGACCTCTCTCCTTCTCCCCAGGCTGCTCCTCACCAGGCCAAGCCAGGTCCCAATTCTTCCTCAGCCTCTGCTCCCCCACCCTATAATCTTTCTATCACCTCCCCTCCTCACACCCAGTCTGGCTTACAGTTTCGTTCCACAACTAGCCCTCCCCAACCTGTCCAACAATTTCCTCTTAAAGAGGTGGCTGGAGCTAAAGGCATAGTCAAGGTTAATGCTCCTTTTTTCTTTATCTGACCTCTTCCAAATCAGTTAGCATTTAGGCTTTTTTTCATCAAATATAAAAACCCAGTTCATGGTCCATTTGGCAACAACCCTTAGACGCTTTACTGACCTAGACCCCAGAGGAAGGCCGTCTTATTCTCAATATGCATTTTATTACCCAATCTGCTCCCAATATTAGAAAAAGCTCCAAAAATTAGATTCCAACCCTCAAACCTCACAACAGGACTTAATTAACCTCGCCTTCAACGTGTACTGTAATATAGTAGAGGCAGCCAAGTAGCAATGTATTTCTGAGTTGCAACTCCTTGCCTCCACTGTGAGACAAACCCCAGCCACATCTCTAGCACAAAGAACTTTCAGATGCCTGAACCACAGCTGCCAGGGGTTCCTCCAGAACCTCCTCCCCCAGGAGCTTGCTGCAAGTGCCAGAAATCTGGCCACTGGGCCAAGGAATGCCCGCAGCCTGCGATTCCTCCTAAGACGTGTCCCATCTGTGTGGGACCCCACTGAAAATCAGACTGTCCAACTCACCCAGCAGCCACTCCCAGAGCCCCTGGAACTCTGGCCCAAGGCTCTCTGACTGACTCCTTCCCAGATCTTCTCGACTTAGTGGCTGAAGAGTGATGCTGCCCAATCGCCTCGGAAACTTCCTGAACTATCACGGATGCTGAGCTTCAGGTAAATCTCACAGTGGAGGGTAAGTCTGTACCCTTCTTAATCAATAGGGAGGCTACCCACTCCACATTACCTTCTTTTCAAGGGCCTGTTTCCTTTGCCTCCATAACTGTTGTGGGTATCGACGGCCAGGCTTCTAAACCTCTTAAAATTCCCCAACTCTGGTGCCAGCTTGGACAATATTCTTTTATGCACTCCTTTTTAGTTATCCCCACCTGCCCAGTTCCCTTTTTTGGTCGAGACATTTTAACTAAATTATCTGCCTCCCTGACTATTCCTGGACTACAGCCACATCTCATTGCCACCCTTCTTCCCAACCCAAAGCCTCCTTCGCATCTTCCTCTCATATCCCCCAACCTTAATCCACAAGTATAGGATACCTCTACTCCCTCCTTGGCGACAAATGATGCACTCCTTACCATCCCATTAAAACCTAATCACCCCTACCCTGCTCAACGCCAATATCCCATCCCACAGCACGCTTTAAAAGGATTAAAGCCTGTTATCACTTGCCTGTTACAGCATGGCCTTTTAAAGGCTATAAACTCTCCTTACAATTCCCCCATTTTACCTGTCCAAAAACCGGACAAGCCTTACAGGTTAGTTCAGGATCTGTGCCTTATCAATCAAATTGTCTTACCTATCCACCCCATGGTGCCAAAGCCATATACTCTCCTATGCTCAATACCTCCCTCCACAACCCCTCCATAACCCATTATTCTGTTCTGGATCTCAAACATGCTTTCTTTACTATTCCTTTGCACCCTTCATCCCAGCCTCTCTTCGCTTTCACTTGGACTGACCCTGACACCCATCAGGCTCAGCAAATTACCTGGGCTGTACTGCCACAAGCCTTCGTGGACAGCCCCCATTACTTCAGTCAAGCCCAAATTTCTTCCTCATCCATTACCTATCTCGACATGATTCTTCATGAAAACACGTGCTCTCCCTGCTGATCGTGTCCAGCTAATCTCCCAAACCCCAGCCCCTTCTACAAAACTACAACTCCTTTCCTTACTGGGCATGGTAGGATACTTTCGCCTTTAGATACCTGGTTTTGCCATCCTAACAAAACCATTATATAAACTCACAAAACCAAACCTAGCTAACTCCATAGCTCCTAAATCCTTTCACCACTCCTCTTTCTGTTCCTTAAAAACAGCCCTAGAAGCTGCCCCCACGCTGGCTTTCCCAACTCATCCCAACCCCTTTCATTACATAGAGCCAAAGTACAGGGTTGTGTGGTAAAAATTCTTACACAAGAGCCGGGACCATGCCCTGTAGGCTTTTTGTCCAAACAATTTGACCTTACTGTTTTAGTCTGGCCATCATGTCTCTGTGCAGTGGCTGCTGCCACCCTAATACTTTCAGACACCGTCAACATCACAAACTATGCTCAACTCACTCTCTACAGTCTCATAACTTCCAAAATCTATTTTCTTCCTCACACCTGACACATATACTTTCTGCTCCCCAGCTCCTTCAGCTGTACTCACTCTTTGTTGAGTCTCCCACAGTTACCATTGTTCCTGGCCTGGACTTCAATCCAGCCTCTCTCATTATTCCTGATACCACACCTGACCCCCATGACTGCATCTCTCTGATACACCTGATGTTCACTCCATTTCCCCATATTTCCTTTTTTCCTGTTCCTCACCCTGATCACACTTGGTTTATTGATGGCAGTTCCACCAGGACTAATCACCACATACCAGCAAAGGCAGGGTATGCTATAGTATATTCCACATCTGTCATTGAGGCTACTGCTCTGCCCCCCTCCACTACCTCTCAGCAAGCCGAACTCATTGCCTTAACTCCAACCCTCACTCTTGCAAAAGGACTAGGCGTCAATATTTATACTGACTCTAAATATGCCTTCCATATCCTGCACCACTTTGCTGTTATATGGGCTGAAAGAGATTTCCTTACTACACAAGGTCCTCCATCATTGATGCCTCTTTAATAAAAACTCTTCTCAAGGCCGCTTTACTTCCAAAGGAAGCTGGAGTCTTACACTGCAAGCGCCATCAAAAGGCATCAGATCCCATCACTCAGGGCAACGCTTATGCTGATAAGGTAGCTAAAAAAGCAGCTAGCTTTCCAACTTCTGTCCCTCACGGCCAGTTTTTCTCCTTCTCATCTGGTCACTCCCACCTACTCCTCCATTGAAACTTCCACCTATCAGTCTCTTCCCACACAAGGCAAATGGTTCTTGCACCAAGGAAAATATCTCCTTCCAGTCTCACAGGCCCATTCTATTCTATTGTCATTTCATAACCTCTTCCATGTAGGTTATAAGCCACTAGCCCGCCTCTTAGAATCTCTCATTTCCTTTCCATTGTGGAAATCTATCCTCAAGGAAATCACTTCTTCGTTGTTCCATCTGCTATTCTACTACTCCTCAGGGATTGTTCAGGCCCCTTCCCTTCCCTACACATCAAGCTCGTGGATTTGCCCCCACCCAGGACTGGCAAATTGACTTTACTCACATGCTCGAGTCAGGAAACTAAAATACCTCCTGGTCTAGGTAGACACTTTCACTGGATGGGTAGAGGCCTTTCCCACAGGGTCTGAGAAGGCCACCGTGGTCAATTCTTCCCTTCTGTCAGACATAATTCCTCAGTTTGGCCTTCCCACCTCAGTTTCTCAGGCTCTTGGTATTCAGTGGCACCTGGTTTTACCTCAAACTGCCACCCTTAAGTCTCTCTTTAAGTGGATAGAAGATCTTCAGTGACAAAGTACACTCCAATACTTTCACCGTGATGAAGTCCTATTCTTTACTTTTATACTCACTCTTATTCTGGTTCCCGTTCTTATTCCACCCTCTACCTCTCCCAGCTATCTCCACCACACTATCAATCTCACTCTCTCCTAGCCATTTCTAATCCTTCTTTAACAAACAGTTGCTGGCTTTGCATTTCTCTTTCCTCCAAAATTGCTGAGGCCTCAATTTACTCACTGCTGAAAAAGGAGAACTTTGTATATTTTTAAATGAAGAGTGTTGTTTTTACCTAAATCAATCTGGCCTGGTATATGACAACATAAAAAAATCTCAAGGATAGAGCCCAAAAACTTGCCAATCAAGCAAACAATAACATTGAACCCCTTTGGATACTCTCTAATTGGACGTCCTGGGTACTCCCAATTCTTAGTCCTTTAATACCTATTTTTCTCCTTCTTTTATTCGGAACTTGTGTCTTTCGTTTAGTTTCTCAATTCATACAAAACCGCATCCAGGCCATCACCAATAATTCTATATGACAAATGCGCCTTCCAACAACCCCACAATATCACCCCTTACTCCAAAATCTTTCTTCAGTTGAATCTCTCCCACTGTAGGTTCCCACACCACCCCTAATCCTGCTCGAAGCAGCCCTGAGAAACATCGCCCATTATCTCTCCATACCACCCCCAAAAATTTTCGCCGCCCCAACACTTTACCACTATTTTGTTTTATTTTTCTTATTAATTTAAGAAGACAGGAATGTCAGGCCTCTGAGGCCAAGCTAAGCCATCATATCCCCTGTGACCTGCACGTATACATCCAGACTGTCTGAAGTAACTGACGATCCACAAAAGAAGTGAAAATAGCCTTAACTGATGACATTCCACCATTGTGATTTGTTCCTGCCCCACCCTAACTGATCAATGTACTTTGTAATCTCCCCACCCTTAAGAAGGTTCTTTGTAATTCTCCCCACCCTTGAGAATGTACTTTGTGAGATCCACCCCCTGCCCACAAAACACTGTTCCTAACTTGACCGCCTATCCCAAAACCTATGAGAACTAATGATAATCCACCACCCTTTGCTGACTCTCTTTTCGGACTCAGCTCACCTGCACCCAGGTGAAATAAACAGCCTTGTTGCTCACACAAAGCCTGTTTGGTGGTCTCTTCACAGGGACACGTGAGACAAAGAGAAAATGAGATGAGAAACAGCGGGGGCAGTGAGCCAAGGCCACCACTGGGAAGTCTGGCAATAAAGGAAAAATGTCAGGACAGTAGTGTGAAAGGGAAGCTGGGTCCAGGCAAACTATCCTCAGAGGAAGGATGAGAGCACACACGCAGGCTGAAGGGAAAACACAATAGTAAGTGTCTAAAGTGGCTGGGTGCGGTGGCTCATGCCTGTAATCCCAGCACTTTGGGAGGCCGAGGCAGGCTCATCACTTGAGGTCAGGAGTTCGAGACTAGCCTGGCCAACATGGTGAAACCCCGTGTCTACTAAAAATACAAAAATTAGCTGGGCGTGGTTGCTTGCACCTATAGTCCCAGCTACTCGGGAGGCTGAGGCAGGAGAATCACTTGAACCCGGGAGGCGGAGGTTGCAGTGAGCCAAGATTGCGCCACTGCACTCCAAACTGGGTGACAGAGCGAGTGTCCATCTAAAAAAAAAAAAAAAGTGTCTGAAGAGATAAGAGAGAGGCCATAAGAAGTAAACTCCAAGATAGTTAACCGGCACTGTGTGTGCAGGGACCAATTCTTGTTTATCTCCGTATCTGTAGCCACTGGCACAGGGCCAGTCTTATAGAAGGAGCTCAGCAAATGCTAGTTAAATGAATGCATGGAGAAGGGAGGGACACTTTTCCTTAGAGAAAAGCATAAAGAAAGAGGAAGGATGAAAACCAAGATACTTTGAAATGGACATGCAGCCATCACATGAGATAACTTTCATTTTCTTAATCAGGTAAAAGACAAAACCATTTGGTGAAAGCAGGGACTGAGGAGAATGGGTCTGGCTGGTGACGAGAGCTCCTTGGTGCCTTGAAGCAGCAATTCCAATTTTGAGATAGAACATTCAGACATAAAACCACCAGTACACAAAGTTATATGTACAAGGACATTTATTGCAGATTTATGTGTATTGGCTAAAACCTAGAAACAACCCGGATGCCTTCAGTAGGTAAATGATAGAGGAAAACTATAGCATACTCCACCCATGCAACATGGCAGGTAGTGTCTCAGTCTGAGTAGAATCAAGAGAGAAAAACCACTTAGTAATTCAAACAGAGAAGTTTAACATGAAGAATTATTAACTATAACAGAAGATTGGAGTAATGAGGGATTGACTAGTAAGAAGTAGAATTCTAAAGAATACAGGAAGCAGGCTGCGTGCAGTAGTGGCTCATGTCTGTAATCCTAGCACTTTGGGAGGCCGACGCAGGTGGATCACCTGAGGTCAGGAGTTTGAGACCAGCCTGGCCAACATGGTGAAACCCCATCTCTACTAAAAATACAAAAAACTAGCGGGGCATGGTGGTGCATACCTGTAATCCCAGCTACTCTGGAGGCTGAGACCAGAGAATCGCTTGAACCCAGGAGGCAGAAGTTGCAGTGAGCCGAGATCGTGCCGTTGCCTTCCAGCGTGGGCGACAGAGCGAGACTTCGTCTCAAACAAACAAAAAGGAAGCGGTTAGGTTAGGAAGCAACCACTAACCCCATAAATGAGATAGAAGATCCAAGGAAGACCTACGGCTGAGATCCAGATCTTGTTGGAACGGACATGGCTGTGGCTCACTAAGTGACAGAAATCAGTAGAACTAACTGGAAATCCATCCTCTGAAACGTGTTAAGTATCTGTCTTCTAGGGTGCTGGGGAAAGCTGTTCACAGGGAGATGTCTCACTGTAGGAACTCTTTTATAAAAACTCCCTGGGGGAGAGTACCGGGAGGAAGCTGCGGCTGCTGGTGCACGAACCGCCATGCATTGCAGGAGCCAGAGGACTAAGACACCAAGTCGCCTGCAAGGAGACGGCCAAGGAAGCACACAGGAACCAGGAAGCAAGAGACTCTCCTTCAATGTCTGTAGCGCCCTCTACTGACAAAGCCTCAGCATCACTTGCAAAGGAAAATATTTAAAGGGCCCAGAACTGTTATTTACAGAGCCATCAAAAAGGATGAATTTGGAAGAGGCAATAAATTGGCAATGGGCACATAAGGTCATACACACAATGACACTTATTGCAGGATTTTTTTGTAATGTTTAAGCCCTAGAAATAACTTGGGTGTTCTCAATAAGAGAATGATTGACTAAAATCATGGTATACCCATCCCACTGGATATTGTGGCAGCTACTTAAAATATATGTTAGAGCCATATCAAGTGCTCTAGAGGGGCTTCTGTGAGCTTTGGCAAAATGAAACCAGAAATTTCAGAGGAAAGCCTATGATTTTTTTTTTTTTCAAGAGACAGGATCTCACTCCATCACCCAGGCTGGAGTGTAGTAGTGAGATCATAGCTCACTATCACTTCAAATTCCTGAGCTCAAGCAATTCTCCTACCTCAGCCTCCTGAGTAGTTAGGACTATAGGTGTGTACCACCACACTTGGCTAATTTCTCTATTTAGTATAGAGATGTGATCTCACCGAGTTGCCCAGGCTGCTGGAACTCCTGGCCTCAAGCTATCCCCCTGCCTTGGGCTCCCAAAGTGCTAGGATTACAGGCTTGAGCCGCTGTGTCTGGCTGATTCTATTTTTGTAAAGTGAACAAGAATTAAACCCTTATAGATAATTAGGTATGTTTGAGCATGAAGAATAAGCAAGGAGAAAGCGGGTGAAGAGGAAAGAACGAGTGAGGTAAGAAAAAAAAAAGTTCCCAGCAAAAATACAAGGATAAAATAATGGAAAACTAGTACAAAAGTGAATTAAAAATACTTGTTGCCAAGTGTTCTTTATACAGCAAAAATGTAGAGATAGCTTAAATGTTCAGCTACAGAGAGTTTTTTTTATTTTATTTTTTTATTTTTTATTTTTGAGAGAAGTGTCACTCTTGTCCCCCAGGTTTGAATGCAATGGCTTGATCTCCGCTCACTGCAACTTCTGCCTCCTGGGTTCAAATGATTATCCTGCCTCTGCCTCCCAAGTAGCTGGGATTAAGGTGCCTGCCACCATGCCTGGCTGATTTTTGTATTTTTTAGTAGAGATGGGGTTTCACCATGTTGGCCAAGCTGGTCTCAAACTCCTGACCTCAGGTGATCTGCCCGCCTCGGCCTCCCAAAGTGCTGGGATTACAGGCATGAGCCACCATGCCTGGCTATAGGGAGTTTATTAAATTAACTGTGGTATGCACATGTGATACTCTATAACCACTAAGAATAATGTTGTACATGAAATAGTGTTTAAGATTTATATTAATAAGTGAAAAAATTAGGTGATAGGTGAAAAAAATAATAGTGTAGTATAAGCTCATCTATTTACATGTTTTTGTTTTTGAGATGGAGTCTTGCTCTGTTGCCCAGGCTAGAGTGCAGTGATCTCAGCTCACTGCAACCTCCCTCTCCCAGGTTCAAGCGTTTCTCCTGCCTCGGCCTCCTGAGTAGCTGGGATTATAAGTGTGTGCCACCACGCCTAGCTTATTTTTGTATTTTTAGGAGAGACAGGGTTTCGCCATGTTGGCCAGGCTGGTCTCAAACTCCTGACCTCAGGTGATCCACCTGCCTCAGCCTCCCAAAGTGCTGGGATTACAGGTGTGAGCCACCCCACCTGGCCTATTTATATGTTTATATATGTGTAGAAATTGCCCAGATGAATCCACTCCAAAATGACAATGGTAGTTATTTATGAGCGTAAGATTGTGCGTATTATTCCCTGCCACTTTTGACTTTTAAGAAATCATTTGGCCGGGCGCGGTGGCTCACGCCTGTAATCCCAGCACTTTGGGAGGCCGAGGTGGGCGGATCACGAGATCAGGAGATCAAGACCATCCTGGCTAACACGTGAACCCCGTCTCTACTAAAAATACAAAAAATTAGCTGGGCGTAGTGGTGGGCGCCTGCAGTCCCAGCTACTCGGGAGGCTGAGGCAGGAGAACGGCGTGAACCCGGGGGGTGGAGCTTGCAGTGAGCCGAGATTGCGCCACTGCACTCCAGCCTGGGCGATAGAGTGAGAGTTCGTCTCAAAAAAAAAAAAAAAAAAAAAGGAAATAATTTAATTGGAGTATAACAAACATACTAAAAATGAACAAATTGAAAGTATACAGATAAATTTTCACAAATTCAACACACTTCAGTAAGCAGATCACAAAAAAGAGCATTATCAGTACTCACAGAAGCCTCTTTCTGGTCATTACCCTTACTCCAAGGAAAAGCACTATCTTGATTTCTAACAACGTAGATTTGTTTTGTCTAGTTTTGAATTTTCTATAAATGGAATCAGGCAGTATATGTCTTTTGTGACTTCTTTTGCTCAATATTATGTTTGTGAGATTCATCTGTATTTCTGTGTGTAGTTGTAGTTTATTGATTCTCATTGTGTGTAGTATTCACTGCCTGAATATATCACTATTTTCTGTCGATGGATATTTGGGTTGTTTCTAGTCTGGAGCTATTATGAGTTTGGTGCTATGAATCTTCTTGAACATGTGTTATGGTGAATATATATACATGTTTATTTTGGGCATATTTCCTCCTTTTATTTTATTTTATTCTATTTTATTTTATTTTTTTTGAGACAGAGTCTCACTCTGTCGCCCAGGCTGGAGTGCAATGGCGCGATCTCTGCTCACTGCAACCTCCACCTACCGGGTTCAAGCGATTCTCCTGCCTCGGCCTCCCAAGTAGCCAGGACTACAGGTGCCCACCACCATGCTTGGCTAATTTTTGTATTTTTAGTAGAGATGGGGTTTCGCCATATCAGGCTGGTCTCAAACTCCTGACTTTGTGATCCACCCACTTCGGCCTCCCAAAGTGCTGGGATTACAGGCGTGAGCTACCACACCCGGCTCCTCCCTTATTTTTAATGAGAGCAAACATTTATTGAGTGTTCAATATGGGTAAACCTTAGAAGGTTCTAAGGACTTTACATTTTAGTTCATTTGATACTTGCAATTTATAGCCATGCGTGGTGGCTCATGCCTGTAATCCCAGCACTTTAGGAGGCTGAGGTGGGTGGATCACCTGAGGTCAGGAGTTCAAGACCAGTCTGGCCAATGTGGCGAGACCCCATCTCTACTAAAAATACAAAAATTAGCTGGGTGTGGTGCAAGACTCCTGTAATCCCACTACTCAGGAGGCTGAGGCAGGAGAATCACTTGAACCCGGGAGGTGGAGGTTGCAGTGAGCTGAGATCACGCCATTGCACTCCAGCCTGGGCGACAAGAGTGAGACTCCATCTCAAAAACAGAAAAACAAACAAAAAAAACCTTGCAATTTTTGAGGCTAGAATTATTTCTCTCTTGATTAAGAAAATCTTAATCTTTCTTGATTAAGAAAATCAAGGTACAGGGATGTTAAGCAACTGGCTCAAAGTCACACAGCCGAAGAGCAAGGATTTGGATCTAGGCAGAGTCTGACTCCAAACCATGCAGCATTAACTACTTTTTATTTTTTTTTAGATGGAGTCTCGCTCTGTCACCCAAGCTGGAGTGCAGTGGCACGATCTTGGCTCACTGTGAGCTCTGCCTCCGGGGTTCACGCCATTCTCCTGCCTCAACCTCCCAAGTAGCTGGGACTACAGGCACCTGCCACCATGCCTGGCTAATTTTTTATATTTGTACTAGAGATGGGGTTTCACCGTGTTAGCCAGGATGGTCTCGATCTCCTGACCTCGTGATCTGCCCGCCTCGGCCTCCCAAAAGGCTGGGATTAGTTGTGAGCCACTGCGCCAGGCAACTGCTAGTTAACTACTATGTTTCAACTTGTATTAACCATGCTTTCTTTTCTTTTTTTTCCCTTTTTTCTTTCTTTTCTTTTTTTTTTTTTTTTGAGGCAGAGTCTTGCTCTGTCACCCAGGCTTGAGTGCAGTGGTGTATAGTCTTAGTTCACTGTAGCCTCAAACTCTCCCAGCTCAGGTGATCCTACCACCTCAGCTTCCCAAGTAGCTGGGACTGCAGGCATGCACCACCATGCCTGGCTAATTTTTGTATTTTTTTTGTAGAGATGGGGTTTCACCATGTTGCCCAGGCTGGTCTTGAACTCCTGAGCTCAAGTGACCCACCTGCCTTGGCCTTCCAAAGTGCTGGGATTACAGATATGAGCCACCACATCCAGCCCCCCTCCCTTTTTTAAAAGAAGAGAAAGCAAAGAAAAAAGGCTTTTAAACCTCAAAGATCCTTATTCTGCTGCCTTCCTAGAATCCGTAGACAGGAATTCAACTATGAACCTGAATTGACTTTAGGGGAATATCTCTCCAGCCTAGAAAGAGAAGCACCTGGAATTTTAAAATAAGAATCATAGACTTTTGGGTTTAAGGATTTTGAGAAAGCCGGGAACGGTAGCTCATGCCTGTAATCCCAGCACTTTGGGCAGATCGCCTGAGGTTAAGAGTTTGAGACCAGCCTGGCCAACATGGTGAAACCCCATCTTCACTAAAAATCCAAAAAAAAAAAGGACTGTGAGAAGCTCTGACATGTGATCACTTGGCTCTGTGCTCAAACAACCCCAAGGATGAAAGTGTCTTTTCTTTTTCTTCACCTAAACCTCCCGATTGCTGGGACTACAGGCATACGCCACCATGCCAGACTAATTTTTTTAATTTTTTTTTTTTGAGATGGAGACTTGCTCTGTCGCCCAGCCTGGAGTGTAGTGGCATGATCTCTGTTCACCACAACCTCTGCCTCCTGAGTTCAAGTGATTCTCCTGCCTCAGCCTCCCGAGTAGCTGGGATGACATGCATGCACCACCATGCCTGGCTAATTTTTTGTATTTTAGTAGAGATGGGGTATCACCATGTTGGACAGGCTGGTCTTGAACTCCTAACCTCGTGATCCTCCCGCCTCGGCCTCCCAAAGTGCTGGGATTACAGGTGTAAACCACCTCACCTGGCCCCCCCACCACCTTTTTTTTTTTTTTTTTTTTTGAGACAGAGTCTCCCTCTGTTGCCCAGGCTGGAGTGCAGTGGTGGGATCTTGGCTCACTGCAACCTCTACCTCCTGGGTTCAAGCTATTCCCCTGCCTCAACCTCCCAAGTAGCTGGGACTACAGGCATCTGCCATCATGCCCGGCCAATTTTTTTTTTTTTTTTTTTTGAGACAGAGTCTTGCTCTGTTGCCCAGGCTGGAGTGCAGTGGCATGATCTCAGCTCACTGCAAGTTCCGCCTCCTGGGTTCACACCATTCTCCTGCCTCAGCCTCCTGAGTAGCTGGGACTACAGGTGCCCGCTACCATGCCTGACTATTTTTTCTATTTTTAGTAGAGACAGGGTTTCACCGTGTTAGCCAGGATGGTCTCGATCTCTTGACCTCGTGATCCACCTGCCTCGGCCTCCCAAAGTGCTGGAGATTACAGGCATGAGCCACCACACCCAGACATGCCTGGCCATTTTTTTTATTTTTAGTAGAGACCGAGTTTCACCATGTTGGCCAGGCTGGTCTTGAACTCCTGACCTCAGGTGATCTGCCAGCTGCTCGGCCTCCCAAAGTACTGGGATTATGGCATGAGACACTGTGCCCAGCCATTTATTTTATTTTATTTTATTTTTTTTGAGACACAGTCTTACTCTGTTGCCCAGGCTGGAGTGCAGTGGCACGATCTTGGCTCACTGCAACCTCTGCCTCCCAGGTTCATGCGATTCTCCTGCCTCAGCCTCCCAAGTAGTTGGGACTATAGGTGCACCCCACTATGCCCGGCTAATTTTTGTAATTTTAGTAGAGGTGGGGTTTCACCATATTCATCAGGCTGGTCTCGAACTGCTGACCTTAGGTGATGTACCTGCCTTGGCCTCTGAAAATGCTGGGATTTACAGGTGTGAGCCATCGTGCCTGGTGTATTTTTTTTATTTTTAGTAGAGATGGGATCTTGCTATGTTGCCCAAACCAATCTCAAACTCCTGGGCTCAAGAGATCCTCCTGCCTCAGCCTCCTGAAGTGCTGGGATTACAGATGTGAGACTACACCTGGCCAAAAGTTTCCTTTTCTCACCACTGAAAAATTCTTACTTCTCTTGGGTCAAAAACCTCCCTCTGCCTCCTTCCATCCTTTCTTTGCTCCAGGAGCTGTGCTCTGAAGCCACCTGCTCTGGCTGTCCCCTCTTCTGTCTTCTGTACTTCCTATACCCTTCCCCATCACCATATAAAGACATCTCCCTGTCTCACTTAGGTCTTCTTGTTACTGGAACGGGTCCCAATCCAGACCCCAAGAGAGGGTTCTTGGACCATGTGCAAGAAAGAATTCAGGGTGAGTCCATAGAGTAAAGTGAAAACAAGTTTATTAAGAAAGTAAAGGAATAAAAGAATGGCTCCTCCTTTGGCAGAACAGTGGCATGGGCTGCTCAGCTGAGTACACTTATAGTTACTTCTTGATTGTATGCTAAACGAGGGATGAATTATTCATGTATTTTCCGGGAAAGGGGCAGGGATTTCCGGGAACCAAGGGTTCCTCCTCTCTTTAGACTATATAGGGTAACTTCCGGATGTTGCCATGGCATTTGTAAACTGTCATGGGTCTGGTGAGAGTGTCTTTTAGCATGCTAATGTATTACAATTTGTGTATAATTAGCAGTGAGAACAACCAGAGGTCACTTTCATCATCATCTTGGTTTTGGCGGGTGTTGGCTGGCTTCTTTATGGCATCCTGTTTTATCAGCAAGGTTTTTGTGACCTGTATCTTGTGCCAACCTCCTATCTCCTCCTGTGACTAAGCATACCTAACACCTGGGAATGCAGCCTAGCCCCTATTCAAGATGGAGTTGCTCTGGTTCAAAATATGTCTCTGACATTCTCATCACTGAAACTACCTTTGTACAAATTATAACTGAGAAAATTATGACAGTGAAAGAGATCTGACCTAACTGACTCTTTCTTGCTTCTAACCTCCAAGCTGTCCATGTTCATTTCTAGGCGTAGGCTGAACTAACTTTGTGAGGAACTTAGTTTATAGGTTAACTTTAAGACAAAGACAATAACAGCCCTTTCCCAAAATAAATCCTCTTCCTGCCAGGTGATTAGACTGCCTTTGCAGGACTAACAAATTAGCCACAAGATTAGAAATTATAGCTTTGGAGTCCAATAGCTGGAGGCTGCAAGATTCTAAACCTCCCCAAATTGCTCCTGGGGGTATTATCTTAGGTTACAGTAAAACCTAAGATCAGTGCTTGAGATAGTCTGCAGATCCTGTACTCGATGGATCAGCTGACACCACCCAGATCAATAAAATGGCTCATCAGGTCTTGTGGCCCCCACCCAGGAACTGACTTACTGCAAGAGGACAGCTTCAGCTCTCTATGATTTCATCTCCAACCTGACCAATTAGCATTCGCCACTTCCCGAGCCTCTACCCACCAAATTATTCTTAAAAATTCAGATTGATTGGTTCCAAGATGGCCAAATAGGAACAGCTCCAGTCTACAGCTCCCAGCATGAGCAACGCAGAAGACAGGTGATTTCTGCATTTCCAACTGAGGTACTGGGTTCATCTCACTGGGGCTTGTCAGACAGTGGGTGCAAGACAGTGGGTGCAGCCCACAGACTGTGAGCCGAAGCAGGGCGAGGTGATGCCTCACCCAGGAAGCGCAAGGGGTTGGGGAATTCCCTTTCCTAGCCAAGGGAAGCCATGACAGATGGCACCTGGAAAATCCGGTCACTCCCACCCTAATACCATGTTTTTCCAATGGTCTTAGCAAACGGCACACCAGGAGATTATATCCCGCGCATGGCTCAGAGGGTCCCACGCCCACAGAGCCTTGCTCACTGCTAGCACAGCAGTCTGAGATCGAACTGCAAGGCGGCAGCGAGGCTCGGGGAGGGGCACCCGCCACTGCTGAGGCTTGAGTAGGTAAACGAAGCCACCGGGAAGCTCGAACTGGGTGGAGCCCACTGCAGCTCAAGGAGGCCTGCCTGCCTCTTTAGACTCCACCTCTGGGGGCAGAGCATAGCTGAACAAAAGGCAGCAGAAACTTCTGCAGGCTTAAATGTCCCTGTCTGACAGCTTTGAAGAGAGTAGTGGTTCTCCCAGCACAGAGTTTGAGATCTGAGAATGGACAGACTGCCTCCTCAAGTGGGTAGCCTAACTGGGAGGCACCTCCCAGTAGGGGCCGACTGACACCTCATACGGCCAGGTGCCCCTCTAAGACGAAGCTTCCAGAGGAAGGATCAGGCAGAAATATTTGCAGTTCTGCAGCCTCTGCTGGTGATACCCAGGCAAACAGGGTCTGCTGTGGACCTCCAGCAAACTCCAACAGACCTGCAGCTGAGGGACCTGACTGTTAGAAGGAAAACTAACAAACAGAAAGGACATTCACACCAAAATCCCATCTGTACGTCACCATCATCAAAAACCAAAGGTAGATAAAACCGCAAAGATGGGGAGAAACCAGAGCAGAAAAGCTGAAAATTCTAAACATCAGAATGCCTCTTCTCCTCCAAAGGAATGCAGCTCCTCGCCAGGAATGGAACAAAGCTGGACAGAGAATGACTTTGACAAGTTGAGAGAAGAAGGCTTCAGAAGATCGGTAATAATAAACTTCTCTGAGCTAAAAGAGGATGTTCCAACCCATTGCAAAGAAACTAAAAACCTTGAAAAAAGATTGGATGAATGGCTAACTAGAATAAACAGCATAGAGAAGACCTTAAATGACCTGATGGAGCTGAAAACCATGGCACGAGAACTATCTGATGCATGCACAAGCTTTAGTAGCCGATTCGATCAAATGGAAGAAGGGGTATCAGTGATTGAAAATCAAATGAATGAAATGAAGCGAGAAGAGAAGTTTAGAGAAAAAAGAGTAAAAAGAAATGAACAAAGCCACCAAGAAATATGGGACTATGTGAAAAGACCAAATCTACATCTGATTGGTGTACCTGAAAGTGACAGGGAGAATGGAACCAAGTTGGAAAACACTCCTCAGGATATTATCCAGGAGAACTTCCCCAACCTAGCAAGGCAGGCCAACATTCAAATTCAGAAATACAGAGAACGCCACAAAGACACTCCTTGAGAAGAGCAACTCCAAGACACATAATTGTCAGATTCACCAAAGTTGAAATGCAGGAAAAAATGTTAAGGGCAGCCAGAGAGAAAGGTCGGGTTACCCACAAAGGGAAGCCCATCAGACTAACAGCTGATCTCTCAGCAGAAACTCTACAAGCCAGAAGAGAGTGGGGGCCACTATTCAACATTCTTAAAGAAAAGAATTTTCAACCCAGAATTTCATACCCAGCCAAAAGAAGCTTCATAAGTGAAGGAGAGATAAAATCCTTCACAGACAAGCAAATGCTGAGAGATTTTGTCATCACCAGGCCTGCCTTACAAGAGCTCCTGAAGGAAGCACTAAACATGGAAAGGAACAACTGGTACCAGCCACTGCAAAAACATGCCAAATTGTAAAGACCATCGAGGCTAGGAAGAAACTGCATCAACTAACCAGCAAAATACCCAGCTGACATCATAATGACAGGATCAAATTCACACATAACAATATTAACCTTAAATGTAAATGGGCTAAATGCTCCAATTAAAAGATATAGACTGGCAAATTGGATAAAGAGTCAAGATCCATCAGTGTGCTGTATTCAGGAGACCCATCTCACGTGCAGAGACACACATAGGCTCAAAATAAAGGGATGGAGGAAGATCTACCAAGCAAATGGAAAACAAAAAAAAGCAGGGGTTGCAATCCTAGTCTCTGATAAAACAGACTTTAAACCAACAAAGATCAGAAGAGACAAAGAAGGCCATTACATAATGGTAAAGGGATCAATTCAACAAGAAGAGCTAACTACCCTAAATATATATGCACCCAATACAGGAGCACCCAGATTCATAAAGCAAGTCCTTAGAGACCTACAAAGAGACTTAGACTCCCACACAATAATAATGGGAGACTTTAACACCCCACTGTCAACATTAGACAGATCCACGAGACAGAAAGTTAACAAGGATATCCAGGAATTGAACTCAGCTCTGTACCAAGCGGACCTAATAGACATCTACAGAACTCTCCACCCCAAATCAACAGAATATACATTCTTCTTAGCACCACGTTGCACTTATTCCAAAATTGACCACATAGTTGGAAGTAAAGCACTCCTCAGCAAATGTAAAAGAACAGAAATCATAACAAACTGTCTCTCAGACCACACTGCAATCAAATTAGAACTCAGGATTAAGAAACTCACTCAAAAGTGCTCAATTACATGGAAACTGAACAACCTGCTCCTGAATGACTACTGGGTACTTAACGAAATGAAGGCAGAAATAAAGATGTTCTTTGAAACCAAGGAGAACAAAGACACAACATACCAGAATCTCTGGGACACATTTAAAGCAGTGTGTAGAGGGAAATTTATAGCACTAAATGCCCACAAGAGAAAGCAGGAAAGATCTAAAATTGACACCCTAACTTCACAATTAAAAGAACTAGAGAAGCAAGAGCAAACACATTCAAAAGCTAGCAGAAGGCGAGAAATAACTAAGATCAGAGCAGAACTGAAGGAGATAGAGACACAAAAAACCCTTCAAAAAAATCAATGAATCCAGGAGCTGGTTTTTTGAAAAGATCAACAAAATTGATAGACTGCTAGCAAGACTAATAAAGAAGAAAAGAGAGAAGAATCAATTAGACACATAAAAAATGATAAAGGGGATATCACCACTGATGCCACAGAGATAAAAACTACCATCAGAGAATACTATAAACACCTCTACACAAATAAACTAGAAAATCTAGAAGAAATGGATAAATTTCTGGACATATACACCCTCCCAAGACTAAACGAGGAAGAAGTTGAATCCCTGAATAGGCCAATAACAGGCTCTGAAATTGAGGCAATAATTAAGAGCCCACCCACCAAAAAAAGTCCAGGATCAGGCAGATTCACAGCCGAATTCTACCAGACATACAAAGAAGAGCTGGTACCATTCCTTCTGAAACTATTCCAATCAATAGAAAAAGAGGGAATCCTCCCTAACTCATTTTATGAGGCCAGCATCATCCTGATACCAAAGCCTGGCAGAGACACAACAAAAACAGAGAATTTTAGACCAATATCCTTGATGAACATCGATGCAAAAATCCTCAATAAAATACTGGCAAACCAAATCCAGCAGCATATCAGAAAGCTTACCCACCATAATCAAGTGGGCTTCATCCCTGGGATGCAAGGCTGGTTCAACATATGCAAATCAATAAACGTAATCCAGCATATAAACAGAACCAACGACAAAAACCACATGATTATCTCAATAGATGTAGAAAAGGCCTTTGACAAAATTCAACAGCCCTTCATGCTAAAAACTCTCAATAAATTAGGTATTGATGGGACGTATCTCAAAATAATAAGAGCTATTTATGACAAACCCACAGCCACTATCATACTGAATGGGCAAACACTGGAAGCATTCCCTTTGAAAACTGGCACAAGATAGGGATGCCCTCTCTCACCACTCCTATTCAACATAGTGTTGGAAGTTCTGACCAGGGCAATCAGGAAGGAGAAAGAAATAAATGGTAATCGATTAGGAAAAGAGGAAGTCAAATTGTCCCTGTTTGCAGACGACATGATTGTACATTTAGAAAACCCCATCATCTCAGCCCAGAATCTCCTTAAGCTGATAAGCAACTTCAGCAAAGTCTCAGGATACAAAATCAATGTGCGAAAATCACAAGCATTCCTATACACCAATAACAGACAAACAGAGAGCCAAATCATGAGTAAACTCCCATTCACAATTGCTTCAAAGAGAATAAAATACATACCTAGGAATCCAACTTACAGGGAATGTGAAGGTCCTCTTCAAGGAGAACTACAAACCACTGCTCAATGAAATAAAAGAGGACACAAACAAAGGGAAGAAAATTACATGCTCATGGATAGGAAGAATCAATATCATGAAAATGGCCATACTGCCCAAGGTAATTTACAGATTCAATGCCATCCCCATCAAGCTACCAATGCCTTTCTTCACAGAATTGGAAAAAACTACTTTAAAGTTCATATGGAACCAAAAAAGAGCCTGCATTGCCAAGTCAATCCTAAGCCAAAAGAACAAAGCTGGAGGCATCACGCTACCTGACTTCAAACTATACTACAAGGCTACAGTAACCAAAACAGAATGGTACTGGTACCAAAACAGATATATAGACCAATAGAATGGAACAGAGCCCTCAGAAATAATGCCACATATCTACAACTATCTGATCTTTGACAAACCTGACAAAAACAAGAAATGGGGAAATGATTCCCTATTTAATAAATGGTGCTGGGAAAACTGGCTAGCCATATGTAGAAAGCTGAAATTGGACCCCTTCCTTACACCTTATACAAAAATTAATTCAAGATGGATTAAAGACTTAAATGTTAGACCTAAAACCATAAAAACCCTAGAAGAAAACCTGGGCAATACCATTCAGGACATAGGCATGGGCAAGGACTTCATGACTAAAACACCAAAAGCAACGGCAACAAAAGCCAAAACTGACAAATGGGATCTAATTAAAGAGCTTCTGCACAGCAAAAGAAACTACCATCAGAGTGAACAGGCAACCTACAGAATGGGAGAAAATTTTTGCAATCTACTCATCTGACAAAGGGCTAATATCCAGAATCTACAAAGAACTTAAACAAATTTACAAGAAAAAATCAAACAACCCCATCAACAAGTGGGCGAAGGATATGAACAGACACTTCTCAAAAGAAGACATTTATGCAGCCAATAGACACATGAAAAAATGCTCATCATCACTGGCCATCAGAAAAATGCAAATCAAAACCACAATGAGATACCATCTCACACCAGTTAGAATGGCAGTCATTAAAAAGTCAGGAAACAACAGGTGCTAGAGAGGATGTGGAGAAATAGGAACACTTTTACACTGTTGGTGGGACTGTAAACTAGTTCAACCATTGTGGAAGTCAGTGTGGTGATTCCTCAGGGATCTAGAACTAGAAATACCATTTGACCCAGCCTTCCCATTACTGGGTATATACCCAAAGGATTATAAATCATGCTGCTATAAAGACACGTGCACACGTATGTTTATTGCAGCACAATTCACAATAGCACAGACTTGGAACCAACCCAAATGTCCATCAATGATAGACTGGATTAAGAAAATGTGGCACATATACACCATGGAATACTATGCAGCCATAAAAAATGATGAGTTCATGTCCTTTGTAGGGATGTGGATGAAGCTGGAAACCATCATTCTGAGCAAACTATCGCAAGGACAGAAAACCAAACACCGCGTGTTCTCACTCATAGGTGGGAATTGAACAATAAGAACACTTGGACACAGGGTGGGGAACATCACACACCAGGGCCTGTCATGGGGTGGGAGGAGGGGAGAGGGATAGCAGTAGGAGATATACCTATGTAAATGATGAGTTAATGAGTGCAGCACACCAACATGGCACATGTATACATATGTAACAAACCTGCACATTGTGCACATGTACCCTAGACTTAAAGTATAATAAAATAAAATCAAATAAAATTCAGGAGCCATTTCATGGAAGCCGGGTGAGTGAGAGCATTGGTGGGTGTTGGGCCGGAGGAAAGCAGGAAGGCCCATCGGAGCATGTGGATTTGAGCCACCACATTTTTTAACCCTAGATCTCGAAATGCATCGTGATTCCTGTCCGTTGGACTGAAAGGTTTATGTAGGCAATCTTGGAAACAATGGCAACAAGACCGAATTGGAACGGGCTTTTGGCTACTATGGACCACTCCAAAGTGTGTGGGTTGCTAGAAACCCATCTGGCTTTGCTTTTGTTGAATTTGAAGATCCCCGAGATGCGGCTGATGCAGTTCCATCCCCGAGAGCTAAATGGAAGAACACTATGTGGCTGCTGTGTAAGAGTGGAACTGTCCAATGGTGAAAAAAGAAGTAGAAATCATGGCCCACCTCCCTCCTGGGGTCGTCGCCCTCAAGATGATTATCGTAGGAGTAGTCCTCCACCTCGTCGCAGATCTCCAAGAAGGAGAAGCTTCTCTCACAGCTGGAGCAGGTCCCTTTCTAGAGATGGGAGAAGAGAGAGGTCGCTGTCTCGGGAGAGAAATCACAAGCCGTCCCGATCCTTCTCTAGGTCTCGTAGCCGATCTAGGTCAAATGAAAGGAAATAGAAGACAGTTTGCAAGAGAAGTGGTGTACAGGAAATTACTTCATCTGACAGGAGTATGTACAGAAAATTCAAGTTTTGTTTGAGACTTCATAAGCTTGGTGCATTTTTAAGATGTTTTAGCTGTTCAAATCTGTTTGTCTCTGGAATCAGTGACACAGAGGTGTAATTCTCTATGGTTTGAAATGGATCATATGAGGCATGTAATACCAAGAATTGTTACTTTACAATGTTCCCTTAAGCAAGATTGAATTTGCTTTGAACTTTAGTTACGCATAGACTGACAATAAACCTCTAAACCTGCCCAGCAGAAGTGTGATTTTTTTTTTTTAATACAGAAGCAACTGGCAAAAATTGAACTAAGATTTACTTTTTTTCCGTAGCTGGGATATAGGATGCAGCTATAGTTGAACAAGCAGTCTTTAAAAACTGCTGTGAAACACAAGCCATCAGGTAAAAATAAACGCTGCACTATTAAATTACAGGTTTTTGAAAAATCCAACTCACTTTCATCCTGGGCAGAGGTTGCCTAGTTGGTATAGAATCTGTTAAGTTTCAAGAAAGTTTGCCTTTGCTTTAGGTCATAAGTTACTTATTTGATTGCTGTATATGAATACATGGCTGTTCGTGACATTTTTTATGTGCAAATTTGAGATTTCAAAAATGTCCTGCCAGTTTAAGGATACATTGTAGAGCCGAACTTTGAGTTACTGTGCAAGATTTTTTTTTCATGCTGTCATTTGTAATATGTTTTGTGAGAATCCTTGGGATTAAAGTTTTGGTTACAAATTGTTGTTTAACTTGAAAGCCTGTTTTTCCTTGCAAACTCAAATCTGTGAGCTGAGCTTGGTACCAAGTCCAGGTATAACATTCCTATTGGAAGCCATACTTATATTTTCTCGTAAAGTGCTTTTGAATTAATAAAGTATTAGAAAAAAAAATTCAGATTGCTGAAATTTTGGGGAGATTAATTTGAGCAATAATAAAATTCTGGTCTCCTATACAGCCAGTTCTGCATGAATTAAACTCCTTCTGTATTCTAATTCCCCTGTCTTTTCTTTTTTTTTTTTTTTTTTGAGACGGGGTGAAAGCAAGTTTATTAAGAAAGTAAAGGAATTAAGTAAATTATTAAGAAAGTAAAGTAAAGGGAGTCTCGCTCTGTCACCCAGGCTGGAGTGTAGAGGTGAGATCTTGGCTCACTGCAAGCTCTGCCTCCTGAGTTCAAGCAATTCTCTGCCTCAGCCTTCTGAGTAGCTGGGATTACAGGAGCCTGCCACCACGCCTGGCTAATTTTTTGTATTTTTTGTAGAGACGGGGTTTCAGCATGTTGGCCAGGCTGGTCTCGAACTCCTGACCTTGTGATTTACCAACCTCAGCCTCCCAAAGTGCTGGGATTACAGGCATGAGCCACCACGCCTGGCCACAGTTCCCCTGTCTTGATGCATCAGCTTTGTCTAGGCAGCAGGCAAGGAAAACCTGTTGAGTCGTTACACTGCCACAGCCCCCAAATGAAACAGTTATATATGCTTGAGTTTTCCCTCCTCCCCTGGGCACCCTCTGAGTTATGAAGGTTCCTCCTGAAACCAGGGCCACATAAAGTAAGGGAGGAGACCATCCCTCATATTGTCTTATGCCCAATTTCTGCCTCCAAAGAAAGAAGAAGTAAAAACTAGAAGAAGTAAAAGGCAGAAATGAAATCCACAGGCAGACAGCCTGGCACCGTGCCCTGGGCCTGGTTAAAGATTGACCCCTGACCTAACCAGTTATGTTATCTATAGATTGCAGACATTGTATGGAAAAGCATTGTGAAAATCCCTGTCCTGTTCTGTTCCGTTCTGATTACCAGTGCATGCAGCCCCCAGTCACGTACCCCCACCTGCTCAATCGATCACGACCCTCTCATGTGGACCCCCTTAGAGTTGTGAGCCCTTAAAAGGGACAGGAATTGCTCACTCGGGAGCTTGGTTTTTTGGATATGTGTCTTGCCGATCTCCTGGCCGAATAAAGCCCTTCCTTCTTTAACTCAGTGTCTGAGGGGTTTTGTCTACAGCTTGTCCTGCTACAAAAGGAGCACATTATTTCAGTCAGCACTGTGCTGATCTGTGTTGACTCCCAGGATGGGAACAGGACAGTATTTCCCAAACTTTAATCATTTCAGAAGCTGCCTTATGACTTTTGCCATTTCCACTTATTATCTGTACTATTCAATCCCTTTTCTTCAGGTTTTTAAAGATTAAATTTTTTTTTCATTTTTTTTTTTTTTGAGACGGAGTCTTGCTCTGTCGCCCAGACTAGAGTGCAGTGGTGCGATCTTGGCTCACTGCAAACTCTGCCTCCTGGGTTCAAGCGATTCTCCTGCCTCAGCCTGCCACTGCACCCAGTTAATTTTTGTATTTTTAGTAGAGATGGGGTTTCACCATCTTGGCCAGGCTGGTCTTGAACTCCTGACCTCGTGATCCACCCGCCTTGGCCTCCCAAAGTGTTGGGATTACAGGCGTGAGCCACCGTGCCTGGCCTTAAATCTGTTTTAAAAAGAAATCTGGGAATTCACTATCACTCGACTTAAATAGAAGGCAACTGTAAAAACATATGCAATAAAATGATTAAGTTCTGACTAGATACAGTTTTAAAAGAAATTAGCAAAGTGTTTGGAGCTAGGATTCAAACCCAGGATTGAGCCAGAGACAAGGTCTTAACAACGGTGATTCATGTACCGCCTAACCGTGCCATTTAGGAAACCACTGGGGAGGAATGTAGTAGAATGGAACTTGCTGAGAATGAGAGCCAGTGAGGAATGGTGGAGGGTGGGGACTGAAATTTAATGGGAAGCCTTGGAATAGGGTTGCCAGATATATTACAGGACACTCAGTTAAATTTGGATAAAAGTATGTCACAACTAAAAAGGTACTTGCTTGTTTGAAATTCAAACTTAACGGGAGATCCTGCATTCTTATTAACTAAACCTGGCAATCCTAAAAACTTAACGGGAGGTCCTGCATTCTTATTAACTACACCTGGCAATCCCACCTAGGAATCAAGGGCATGATTCCAGCAGGAAATTTATCCTCAGGGAGAGGCAGGCAGTAGTTGCGTCTGTGAGGCCTGTGGTAAGACTAACCCCTGTCACTAGGCAGCAGTAGAGAACCGAGCAGAGCAGGGGGAGGGGCTGATAGTGGGGAGAGAAGAGCGGACGGGTGTGGGACTTTGGGGCCGCTCTAGGTCCTCATGCAGAATCTCAAATCAAATTAGCAAAAGACAGGAACAGGCAGCTCACAGACAAACAGCTTATACATGGCTAATAAACAAGAAAAGACGGGCTGGGCGCAGTGGCTCACGCCTGTAATCCCAGCACGTTGGGAGGCTCCGGCAGGCGGATCACCTGAGGTCAGGAGTTCGAGACCAGCGTGGCCAACACGGTGAAACCCCATCTCTACTAAAAATACAAAAAATTAGCTGGGCGTGGTGGTGGGCACATGTAATCCCAGCTACTCAAGAGCCTGAGGCAGGGGAATCACTTGAACCCGGGACGCGGAGGTTTCAGTGGGCCAAGATCGTGCCATTGCTCTCCAGCCTGGAGGACAAAAGTGAAACTCTGCCTCAGAAAAAAAGAAACAAAGAAAAAAAAGAAAAAGAAAAAAATGCATAGTCCTACTCATAATTGAATTAGTCAACCTAAAATGAGTTCTTTTCCATCTCTCAGATTGGCAAAAATTTAAATATGAAAAAGATTACTAATACTGTGTTGTGGAAGTGTGAGAAAATACTATGTAGAGCAGAGACTGGTCACAGAAATTCAGGGACTGGAGTTTTTAAGGTTAATTTGGTGGGTAGAGTCTCAGGAAGTGGGGAATGCTAATTGGTCAGGTTGGAGATGAAATCATAGGGAGCTGAAGCTGTCCTCTTGCGCTGAGTCAGTTCCTGGGTGGGGGCCACAAGACCAGATGAGCCAGTTTATTGATCTGGGTGGTGTCAGCTGATCCATCGAGTACAGGATCTGCAAACTATCTCAAGCACTGATCTTAGGTTTTACTGTAACCTAAGATGTTATCCCCGGGAGCAATTTGGGGAGGTTTAGAATATTGCAGTCTCCAGCTGCATCTCTCAGACTGGCAAAAATTAAAATATCAAAAAAGATTACTAGTACTCTGTTGTGAAAGTGTGAGAAAATACTATGTGAGTAGAGACTGGTGCATCCTCTTTGGATTAATATCAAAAGAAGAGATGCACATAGCCTTTAATCAATGACGTAACTCCCAGGGATTTATCAGACAGATTTACTCTCCCTTAGATGTGGAGACATAAGAGGTTGTAAGTGCAACCTGGAGCTGGGTTGCTAGTCCATAAAGCACCTTGGATATCAATGTCGACTCCGCCAGCTGTGATGTCACTTGACCAATGGGAGGAGAGAGGGGAAGCGCTGGCTTAGGGAGCTGAATGTTGTCCACTCCCTCTCCCTGCCCTCTACAGCTTTTTCCCCCCAGCTGTGGCTGCTCTGGGAAGCAGAAGTAAATATTGATTTTTAGAACCATCTAGACCTGATGTCAAATCTGGTTCTGTCACTTACTTGCTGTGTGACCTTGTCCTAGCAAGTTCACCTCTCATTTTATTTTATTTTATTTTATTTTGATATGGAGTCTCGCTCTGTCGCCCAGGCTGGGTGCAGTGGCGCAATCTCCGCTCACTGCAAGCTCCGCCTCCCGGGTTCACGCCATTCTCCTGCCTCAGCCTCCCAAGTAGCTGGGACTACAGGCGCCTGCCACCACGCCCGGCTAATTTTTTGTATTTTTTGTAGAGACGGGGTTTTGCCATGTTGTCCAGGCTGGTCTCAAACTCCTAACCTCAGGTGATCCACCCACCTCGGCCTCCCAAAGTTCTGGGGTAACAGGCGTGAGCCATCACATCTGGCCTCACCTCTCCTTTTCATTCATTTGATGATACATGTATTCAAAAATATTTATTGAGAATTTACTACTAGGCACTGCAATTTTGTGGTGAACAAGACAAAGTCTCTTTATCTCTTAGAACTTTCAGGCATGCAGGGTTGTTGGGGAGACACAATAAACAAGAAAACTAATAAATGGTGTAATATGGAAATGGTAGTAGATACTAAAAAGACAATAAGATAAGATGGTTGGGTATGGTGGCTCACGCCTGTAACCCCAACCAAGGCAGGAGGATCTCTTGAGCCCAGGAGTTTGAGACCAGCCTGGGAAACATAGTGAGACCTTGTCTCTACTATAAACAAAAAATTAGCTGGTGTGGTGGTGTGCACCTGTGGTCCCAGCTACTTGGGAGGCTGAGGCAGGAGGTATCACCTCAGCCCGAGAGGTGGAAGCTGCAGTGAGCCGTGATGGTGTCACTGCATTCCTGCCTGGGCAACAGAGTGAGACCCTGTCTCAAAACAAAAAACAAACAAAAACAATAAAATAAGATAAAATGATACAGTGACCAGGGATGTTGCTTATATGTAATAGGAGATGACAATTCTGTTTCACAGGGTTGACATCAAAATTACATAAGATACTACATATGAAGCACTTAGCATTGTGCCCGAGACAGGGTATTAATTATGGTAACAATTACTGAATGTTTGTAATGTGCTAGACACTGTTCCAAGTACTATGGGTAGACTAACTCATGTAATGACCTTGTTTTCCAGATAAGGAAACTGAAGCACAGGTAGGCTGAATTACTTGCCTAAAGTCAGGGAATTAGCAGAGGATAGAACTGTGACATTCTGGCCTCAGAGCCTACAGTTTTAACTGTTTTATTAAATATTAGTGTCTGTCTGTCTTTCATATCTTGATTAAAGGGGGCTGGAGGGCCCCGAGGAGGGCATGCTCAAATCTGTAGGAGGTGTGGGGGTTGGAGGCCAGGTGGAACCTAAGGCAGCTTGTGGAGCAAATGCAAGGGCACTGGAAGGTGAGTCACCATGTAACCTGGTGATGCTACTATATGACAAGAAAGTGAGAATTGAGGATAATGGAGTTATGAGATAATGGAATAAAGAAGGTGTCTTACTTGGCTCAGGCTCTGGCTGCGATAACAAAATATAGTTGACCCTTGAACAACATGAGTTTAAACTGTGCAGGTCCACTTATATATGGGATTTTTCCCCCATAAATACACTGAAAAATTTTTTTGAGATTTGCGACTATTTAAACATACAGATCAGCCAGGCATGGTGGCTCATGCCTGTAATGCCAGCACTTTGGGAGGCCGAGGCGGGTGGATCACCTGGCATTAGGAGTTTGAGACCAGCTTGGCCAACATGGTGAAACCCCATCTCTACTAAAAATACAAAAATTATCCAGGTGTGGTGGCGCATGCCTATAGTCTCAGCTACTTAGGAGGCTGAGGCAGAAGAATTGCTTGAACCCAGGAGGCAGAGGTTGCAGTGAGCCAAGATTGCGCCACTGCACTCCAGACTGGGTGACAGAGTGAGACTCCATCTCAAAAATAAAAATAAAAAAATAAAAATAAAATAAAAATACAGATGAACCATGTAGCCTGGAAATAAATATAAAAAATAAGAAAAAGTTAGGTATGTCATGAATACATAAAATACATGTAGATATTAGTCTATTTTATCACTTACTACCATAAAATACACACAAATCTATTATAAAAAGTTAAAGTTCATAAAAACATATACACACATAGACAGCACATGGCGCCATTTGAAGTCAAGACAAACGTATGTAAATGTAAAGATGCAGTATTAAATCATAATTGTATGCAATAACAGTAGGATATATTATACTACTATAATAATTTCCTAGCCACTTCCTGTTGCTGTTGTGGTGAGCTCAAGCATGGTGAGTACCCACTTAAAACAGTGTGTGACGCTGATCTCTGAGTGAGCAAGTGAGTAGTTAATCTCTCCAGGAAATTATACATCACAGTAAAAAGTGATTTCTTAGGGCGAGCGAGGTGGCTCACGCCTGTAATCCCAGCACTTTGGGGGGCTGAGGTGGGTGGATCACCTGAGGTCAGGAGTTTGAGACCAGCCTGGCCAACATGGCGAAACCCCATCTCTACTGAAAATACAAAAAATTAGCTGGGCATGATGGAAGGCGCCTGAATTTCCAGCTACTTGGGAGGCTGAGGCAGGAGATTTGCTTGAACCCGGGAGGTGGAGGTTGTAGTGAGCCAAGATCACGCCACTGCACTCCAGCCAGGGCGACAAGAGTGAAACGCTGTCTCAAAAAAAAAAAAGTAATTTCTTCTTGTTCTGCTGTTTTTTCTTTTATTTTTTTTGTTTTTGTTTTTGAGACAGAGTCTCACTCTGTCACCTGGGCTGCAGTGCAGTGGCGAAATTTCTGCTCACTGCAACCTCCGCCTCCTGGGTTCAAGCAATTCTCATGCCTGAGCCTCCAGAGTAGCTGGGATTATAGGTGTGTACCACCTCGCCTGGCTAATTTTTTTTTTTTTTTTTTTGAGACGGAGTCTCGCTCTGTTGCTAGGCTGGAGTACAGTGGTGCGATCTCGGCTCACTGCAACCTCCGCCTCCCGGGTTCAAGCCATTCTCCTGTCTCAGCCTCCTAAGCTGGGACAATAGACATGCGCCACCATGCCCAGCTCATTTTTGTATTTTTGGTAGAGATGGGGTTTCACCATGTTGGCCAGGATGGTCTCAATCTCTTGACCTCAAGTGATCCACCTGCCTCGGCCTCCCAAAGTGCTGGGATTACAGGCGTGAGCCTCCGTGCCCGGCTAATGTTTGTATTTTTAACAGAGACGAGGTTTCACCGTGTTGGCCAGGCTGGTCTCAAACTCCAGACCTCAGGTGATCCACCTGCCTCAGCCTCCCAAAGTGCTGGGATTACAGGCGTGAGCCACTGCGCCCGGCCGCTTTTGACTTCTTTTACGACATGGACCTTTCTGTGATACAGAGACTGAAACTAAAGCATATGGTTGGAGAAGGATTGGTATTGTATAGACAAAAAATTTAGAGAAATGAAAAAGCAAAAAAGACAAATTACAACGTATTTTCATAAAGTTTCACCAAGTGTGCCTGCCTCTCTTGTTTCCCCTTTCACCTCCTTTAGCTTTGTCATCCTTGAGACAACAACACCAACTGCTCCTCTTCCCCTACCTCCTCAGCCTACTCACTGTGAGAATGATGAGAATGAAGGCCTTTATGGTGACCCTCTTCCACTTAATGAATAGTATATATATTTTACCTTCCTTATGATTTTCTTAATAACATTTTCTTTATTCTAGCTTACTTTGTAAGAATAAAGTATATAATACATATAACATACAGAAGATGTGTTAACTTACTGTTTATGTTATCGGTAGGGCTTCTGGCCAACAGTAGGCTAGTAGTTATGTTTTGGGGGAGTCAAGAATTATATGTGGATTTTTGACTATATGGTGGGTTGGTTCCCCTCACCCTTGCGTTGCTCAAGGGTCAACTGTATTATACACTGGATGGCTTAAAAAACAGACATTATTTTCTCACTGTTCTGGAGGCTGGAAGTCCAAGATCGCGGTGTCAGCATAGTTGAATTCTGGTGAGGGCTTTCTTCCTCACATGGTTTGGGGTCAGGGGAGTGAGAAATCAAAAGAAGCTTTCTGGTGTCTCTTATTATAAGGGCACTAATCCAACATGAGCACCCCACACTCATAACCTCATCTAATCCTAACCTCCTCCCGTAGGCCCCATCTCCAAATACCAGCACATTGGGCATTAAGGCTTCCACATATAAATTTTGGGGGATCACAATTCAGTCCCTAGCAGAGGGGATTGACAGGACCTGTGGAATTTATTGCCAGAATCATCTGGATCCACAAATCTCTCCCTGGTCAGGAAGATAGCAGATGAAACACGATAGGAAAAATATCAAGTCCTGAATTTAGATCCAGAAAACTGTGAAGTACAGGATGGAAGAAAATATTTTGGAATTTAATTAACTGCAACCTCAGCCTAAGGCAGCAAGGACAATGTGACCATCAAAAGAGCTGACTCTTCCCCTCTGGTCACATGCAAGCACTATTTTTTTTTTTTTTTTTTGAGATGGAGTCTTGCTCTGTGGCCCAGGCTGGAGTGCAGTGGCTTGATCTCGGCTCACTGCAACCTCCGCCTCCTGGGTTCAAGCGATTCTCCTGCCTCAGCTGGGATTACAAGCGCGTGACACCATGCCTGGCTAATTTTTGTATTTTTAGTAGAGACGGGGTTTCACCATGTTGGCCAGGCTGGTCTTGAACTCCCGACCTCAGGTGATCCACCCACCTCGGCCTCCCAAAGTGTTGGGATTACAGGGGTGAGCCACCGTGCCCAGCCTCTCATACCACTTTCTAAGGTCACGGCTTAGGTAGCTTGGTTGCCATGTCCAAACAAATCTTGCCATCTGCAACCTTCTTCCCCAGATATTTCCCAACAGCCTCAGTTGTCCTATTGCTTGTGTACTTTATGAAACACTGATATATTAATTTTAACTATTACCTAACTTACTGCAATACATTAGGCCTTTGTATAGATAGAAAGTGTCAAGGGTCAAGAAAAATGCATGAAATAAAAATTAAAGGCTGACCCACTGTGCTCGGCCAGTGATTTATATTATATTCTTTATGCTTTATTATGCTTTCTAAAGTTCTCATAATCTGTATATACATTACTTTTTTTTTTTTTTGAGGTGGAGTTTCCCTCTTGTTGCCCAGGCTGGGATGCAATGGCGCAGTCTCGGCTCACTGCAACATCTGCCTCCCAGGTTCAAGTGCTTCTCCTACATCAGCCTCCCAAGTAGCTGGGATTACAGGTGCCCGCCACCACACCTGGCTATTTCATTTATTTATTTATTTATTGTAGTTTTGGTAGAGATGGGGTTTCACCATGTTGTCCAGGCTGGTCTCAAACTCCTGACCTCAGGTAATCCACCCACCTTGGCCTCCCAAAGTGCTGAGATTACAGGCGTGAGCCACCACGCCCAGCCTATGTTACTTTCATAACCATAAAAGTTCTTTATAATAGCCTGTAAGGCAAAAAATATTTCCCCTAAGTTTTGAAAAGGGCCATACTGCAATGATAGAATCATGATACTGGAAGGAACTGCTTAAAAATCTTTTGAATGGGTCTTCATGCCTCCCCTCCACACTCCACTGTCACTACTCCAGTTCAGATCTTCTGCATTCTTTTTGTGGACTATTGCAACAGCTTCCTAATTGCTCTCCTTACCTCCAGTACTGACTATGCCCTCCCATTCTCCACATTGGTTGCTGCTGGAATGATCTTTCTACAATGAAAATCTGATAATTCACCTCCTATCTGAAAATCTTCATGGCTCCCATGAACTTCATCGCAAAGTTGAAACTCTAGCAGAGCAGGCCCACCACAATCTGGTCCTCAAACACACACCTCTTCCTGCTTCCTTGCCCACCATTCTCCCTGGTACCCTAAGCTCCAGACACACCTAGTCATTTTCTGTCACTCCTCTGCATCTTTGCACACATGTGATATTCTGGCTGGTAAACCCTGCCTTTTTTTTTTTCTTTTTTTTTTTTTTTGAGATGGAGTTTTGCTCTTTGGCCCAGGCTGGAGTGCAGTGGTGTGATCTTGGCTCACTGCAACCTCCACCTTCTGGTTTCAAGCGACTCTCCTGCCTCAGCCTCTGGAGTAGCTGGGATTACAGGTGCCCACCACCATGCCCAGCTGATTTTTGCATTTTTAGTAGAGACAGGGTTTTGCCATGTTGGCCAGGCTGGTCTCGAACTCCTGACCTCGTCATCTGCCCGCCTCGGCCTCCCAAAGTGCTGGGATTACAGGTGTGAACCACCGTGCCCAGCCCCAACCTTGCCTATCTTTTAAGCTATCAGATATCCCTTCCCTAGGAAGCCTTCTCAGATATCTCTCTCTGAAGGCAGCATTAGCCTTTCTTGGTACTCAATCTATTTACGGATTTATTGATTCTTATGTCTGTCTCCCACATAAAGATGCACCTCCTTAAAGACTGTTATGTGTTAACTTTTAAATAAATGCTCACATGTGCAAGGCCCTGTGGTAGGCATTGGCATATCAAAAAATAAATTGTTTTCTTGGCTGGGCGCGCTAGCTCACGCCTGTAATCCCAGCATTTTGGGAGGCCAAGGCAAGTGGACCACTTGAGGTCAGGACTTTGAGGCCAGTCTGGCCAACATGGTGAAACCCCCGTTTCTACTAAAAATAAAAAAATTAGTTGGGCGTGGTGGCACGTGCCTGTAGTCCCAGCTATTCGGGAGGCTGAGGCAGGAGAATTGCTTGAACCTGGGAGGCAGAGGTTGCAGTGAGCTGAGATTGCACCACGACACTCCAGTCTGGAAGACAGAGTGAGACTCTGTCTTAAAGTATATATATATATATATAGTTTTCTTTGCCTCTGCCCAGCACCTAGCACATGCTTATTCGATGAATGGCTCAATCAATGAGTTATTAGCACAGAGGTTCAGACTTTGGTGTGCATATGAATCACTTCAAGAGCTTGTTAAAATACGGATGTCAGGGCCTCACCCTAAAGCCCTGGCATCAGAACTTGTTAGGTGAAGTTTGGTCATGTATATGTCTAACAAGCTTCCCAATGATTCTGATGCATTCCAGTTTGTGAACGTTGAGAAACCCACTTATTTTCAGAAAAGGCCATCCCTAAGTCATTCTAGGCAGTTAAAGGCCCACTCTGAGTTTAAGTTTCCTCAAAGGAAGGAAAGCACAATTTTTTTTTTTTTTTTTGAGACAGAGTCTCGCTATATCACCAGGCTGGTGTGTGGTGGCGCAATCTTGGCTCACTGCAACCTCCGCCTCCCAGGTTCAAGCAATTCTCCCGCCTCAGCCTCCTGAGTAGCTGGGATTACAGGCACATGCCACCACACCCAGCTAATTTTTGTATATTTAGTAGAG
The DNA here is from genome assembly GCF_000001405.40 of Homo sapiens. Lineage (NCBI taxonomy): Eukaryota > Metazoa > Chordata > Mammalia > Primates > Hominidae > Homo > Homo sapiens. Next base: position 18,677,420 of record NC_000011.10, read on the forward strand.
ATGGGGTTTCACCATGTTGGTCAGGATGGTCTCGATCTCCTGACCTCATGATCCGCCCGCCCTGGCCTCCCAAAGTTCGGGGAATATAGGCATGAGCCACCACACCCGGCCAGGAAAGCACTATTTACTCAATACTTATTAAGTGTCAGGTGCTGTATATTTAGGTGCCTTATATACTTTTCTCATTTAATTCCCACAAAAACTCTCTGAGGGAACTACTTGTCTCCCGATTTCAAAGAAAATTGAGGCTCAGAAAGATTCTGTCACTCGCTCAGGAGAAATTGCTGTGGTAAGAGTCTAACCAGAAGTGGTTGGCCTCCAGAGCTGTTTCCGTGGCCCCAGGCTGCCTCCCATACCTGTCACAGCCAATGCCTCTCTGCTATGTGCCTTGTGTTTGCTGTCCCCAAATACCCACCAACAAACTAGTGCTGGTTCCTGATAGTGCTTTCACCAGGCCTAAGAGAAATGGGAAAAATAAAAGTAATGCAACTCTTTTTACTAAATGATTGACCTCAATTCTGAGATTATTTTCTTCATTTTTATGGTTAAAATGTCTTTTATTTCATAAAGTGATGATGATGGTAGTGGATTGTTTCCTTTTTTAATGTCTGTACTTGGTAAAATAAAAAAAAGTAGGGAACACTAGTTTGGCATCAAAGTTTTGTTGTTGTTGTTGTTTGTTTGTTTGTTTTTTTGAGGCAGAGTCCGGCTCTGTCGCCCAGGCTGGAGTGCAGTGGCGTGATCTTAGCTCACTGTAACCTCCTCCTCCCAGGTTCAAGCAATTCAGCTGTCTCAGCCTCCTGAGTTGCTGAGACTACAGGCGCACGCCACCACGCCTGGCTAATTTTTTTTTTTTGTATTTGTATTTGTATTTTTTTTTTTTTTAGTAGAGAAAGGGTTTCACCATGTTGGTCAGGCTGGTTTCGAACTCCTGATCTCAGGTGATCTGCCTGCCTCAGCCTCCCAAAGTGCTGGGATTACAGACATGAGCCACCACACCTGGCTAGCATTAATTTTTTTTTTTTTTTTTGAGATGGAGTCTCGCTCTGTTGCCCAGGTTGGAGTGCAGTGGCGTGATCTCGGCTTACAGCAACCTCCACCTCCTGGGTTCAAGCGATTCTCCTGCCTCAGCATCCAGAGTAGCTGGGACTACAGGCGTGTGCCACCACGCCTGGCTAATTTTTTGTATTTTTAGTAGAGATGGGGTTTCACCACGTTAGCCAGGCTGGTCTCGATCTCCTGACCTCATGATCCACCCGCCTTGGCCTCCCAAAGTGCTGGGATTGCAGGTGTGAGCCACCGCACCGGCCAGAGTTTTTAAAAATGATTCAAGGCTGGGCTTGGTGGCTCATGCCTGTAATCCCGGCACTTTGGGAGGCCGAGGTGGGAGGATCACTTGAGCTCAGGAGTTCAAGACTAGCCTGGTTAAGACAGTGAGATTGTTATTTTAGGTAGCTAGTCAGGCATAAGCAGGGCAGGAGGGGCTCCCTGCTATACCCCTGCCATACGTATACCACGAATGTCAGGTGACCATCAGGTGATGGTCAGGCAATTGTTAACTGGCTCTTTAAAATAATAATTGGTCACAGCCAACACCAGGAAAAGGAAGAATACCCAAAACTGGTCATCAACAGCTTTCTGATAAGATCCCAGGAATTGGGCAAGTTGGCTCAAGCATGCACATTAAGAGGCAAAATGGCGGAGTTTAACTGGTATATGACCTTCCTCTAGGAATGCTAGACTGGCAAGGGAAGAACACCTCAAGTGAGCATGTGTACAACTTCAGTAAACACACTGCACATGCTCTTCTTCCAAGCGCTAGCAGGCCACTGCACATGCGGACAGCTTACCCCAAGGAAAGAATCAGGGGAGAGGTAAACTGCAAGACCCCAGAAATATGCAATGTATAAAACCCCAAGGTGGCCAGGCACGGTGGCTCATGCATGTAATCCCAGCACTTTGGGAGGCTGAGGCGGGTGGATCACCTGAGATGAGGAGTTCGAGATCAGCCTGGCTAACATATGAAACCCTATCTCTACTAAAAACACAAAACTAAGTTGGGCGTGGTGGTGGGTGCCTGTAATCCCAGCTACTCAGGAGGCTAAGGCAGGAGAGTTCCTTGAACCCGGGAGGCGGAGGTCGCAGTGAGCCAACATTGCACCATTGCACTCCAGCCTGGGTGACAGAGCAAGACTCCATCTCAAAACAAAACAAAACAAAACCCCAAGTCAAAAGATCAAATGGTGTGCTTGATCTCTCGTCTCCTGCCTGGCCCTCTTCCACGTGTACTTTACTTCCTTTCATTCCTGCTGTAAAGCTTTTTAATAAACTTTCACTCCTGCTGTGAAACTTGCCTCAGTCTATCCTTCTGTTTTATGCCCCTCAGTAGAATTCTTTCTTTGGAGGAGGCAAGAATTGAGGTTGCTGCTGGTAACAAGACCCCATCTCAATTAAAAAAAAAAAAAGAAAGCAGAAAAAAAACCAAGCTGGTTCAAGCTGGGCTTGGTGGCTCATGACTGTAATCCCAGAGCCTTGAGAGGCTAAGGTGGGAGGATTGCTTGAGGCCAGGCGTTTGACACCAGCTAGGACAACATGGCAAGACTCTGTCTGTAAAAAAAGAAAAAAAAATTGACTGGTTATGGAAATCCCAAAAGGTGGTTATGACTGCTTTTTTTTTTTTTAGACGGAATCTCGCTCTGTCTCCCAGACTGGAGTACAGTGGTACAGTCTCAGCTCACTGCAACCTCCGCCTCCCAGGTTCAAACGATTCTCCTGCCTCAGCCTCCTGAGTAGAAGGCGGGTGCCCGCCACCACGCCTGGCTAATTTTTGTATTTTTATTAGAGACGGGGTTTCACCATGTTGGCCAGGCTGGTCTCAAACTCCTGACCTCAGGTGATCCACCCACCTCAGCCTCCCTAAGTGCTGGGATTACAGGCGCAAGCCACTGCACCCGGCCTATGACTGCTTTCAATGCAGTCTCACTTCCACAGTGTGAGCGTTTGCTCGGCTGGCTCTGCTGCAGCAGGTGGAGGTCACTTAAAACATTTCCCAGTACAACGGAAGTTTAGGTGCTTGTTGCAGGGGCTGTGTGTGTGTGTGTGTGTGTGTGTGTGTGTGTGTGTGTGTCTAGTAATAAGCAGAAAGGTCGATTTTTCACTTCTAGACGGATGGGGAACCTCTCTGCATCCTCACCTTGAGGTTGGGAGCCATCAGGGCTTGGGATAGGGAAAGGAATATGGTCACAATTCCAGCTTTTTTGTTTACTGTTTAAACCCTATTGTAATACATGAGTGTTATACACTCCCAAAGCCCCGTCTTCTCTGAATGGGAGGCAGGAAGCCAAGGAAAGGGTTGGGAGAGGGCCGAGGTAACACAAATCAAATAACTCTCCTGACCACTGCACAGGGTGCCTCAACCTCATTGCCTTTTGCTCCGCTTCTGGTCTGTTGGGAGGAATCCCCCTGAAGGCCTGGCAAGCTCTCGCTGTCCCTGCCCATTTTTCTGGTCTTGCGAGATTGTAGGAGAGCGAGGCAGGGTGGAGGAGGGAAGCTGAGGCCGTGGTCATTGTGTCAGCCTCTCCTGCCAGCTGGTGGGCTCCATGAAGACAGGGAAGGTCTTTGTTCATGTCTATGTCCCAGATACACCCTGGCCTGTTGTAAGTGGGTGATAAATACCAGTTACATTAATTATATAGATATATATTTTTGAGACGGAGTTTTGCTCTTGTTGCCCAGGCTGGAGTGCAATGGCGCAATCTCAGCTCACTGAAACCTCCGCCTCCTGGGTTCAAGCGATTCTCCTGCCTCAACTTCCTGAGTAGCTGGGATTACAGGTATGCACCACCATGTCCAGCTAATTTGTATTTTTAGTAGAGATGGGGTTTCGCCATGTTGATCAGGCTGGTCTCCAACTCCTGACCTCGGGTGATCTGCCCGCCTCGGCCTCCCAAAGTGCTGGGATTACAGGCATGAGCCACTGTGCCTGGCCTAGTAACATGAATTAATTATTATATCTGAGGGAGGCTAACTAGACGAAAGGTCTGGGGAGATGCGTGTCTGGGAAGATGGGGTCTCTGAGAGAAAGCGATAGGGAGGTCTGCTTTGCCCTGTTATCCCAAGACTGGTCCTCAGGCATTGATGCTGAGGACAGAATTATTAATTCAGGGTCCTGGGGCTTGGTGGGTGGGATCTTCTAGGTTTTTTTTTCTTTCCCTTAAAGACCATTCTCCTGCGCAATCCCCAGACACTTCTTTCTTATTTCTACTTCGTCCTACTAACTTCCCAACATGGAGGAAAAAGCAGCTCAACGGTGCACCCTCGAGAGCTTCAGGTCTGGATGGGGTGGGGGTAAAAGGGACTGGAGTCAGTGAGAGGGCTATACTCAGAGACCACAACACAAGGACTTCATAAAAACACTTGGACCTCACAGAGTTTGCAACTCTGAAACTTGGGTGTTGGTGGTCATCTAATCCCACACACCTCACTGAGAGGGATTTATCCTGGGGCATCCCTGGTATTGAACCCTGTTAGAAGACTCTTGGTTTGGCAGCTTTATAGTTAGAGAAATCCACTTGTGTCTCAAGGCCTGATGATGCCCCCATCAATATGTCAGAAGCATTTGAATCAGAGTGACTCCATCTTGAATAGAGGCTGGGTAAAATAAAGCTGAGACCTACTGGGCTGCATTCCCAGGAGGTCAGACATTCTTAGTCACAGGATGGGATAGGAGGTTGGCATGTCTGGTATCACAAGATACAGGTCACAAAAGCACTGCTTATAAAAGAGGATGCAGTAAAGAAGCCAGCCAAGGCTGGGTGTGATGGCTCATGCCTGTAATCCCAGTACTTTGGGAGGCCGAGGTGAGTGGATCACTTGAGGTCAGGAGTTCAAGACTAGCCTGGCCAACATGGTGAAGCCCTGTCTCTACTAAAAATACAAAATTTAGCTGGGTGTGGTGGCAGGCACCTGTAATCCCAGCTACTTGAGAGGCTGAGGTGGGGGAATCACTTGAACCCAGGAGGTGGAGGTTGCAGTGAATTGAGATCACACCACTGCACTCTAGCCTGGGCAACAGAGTGAGACTCCGTCTCAAAAACATATATATAAATAAAGAAAAATGAGGAAAAAAGAAGAAGCCAGCCAAAACCCACTAAGACCAAAGATGGTAATGAAAGTGGCCTCTGGTTGTCCTCACTGCTCATTATAGACCATTTATAATATATTAGCATGCTAAAAGACACGCCCATCGTGCCATGACAATTTACAAATGCTATGGTAATGTCAGGAAATTACCCTATATGGTCTAAAAGAAATTGCCTGCCCCTTTCCTAGAAAACTTATGAATAATCCACCCCTTGTTTAGCATATAATCAATAAATAACCATAAGTATTCTCAGCTGAGCAGCTCATGCTACTGCTCTGCCTATGGAATAGCCATTCCTTTATTTTTTTAACTTTCCTAATAAACTTGCTTTCACTTTACTCTATGGACTCGCCTGAAATTCTTTCTTGCATGAAGTCTAAGAACCCTCTCTTGGGGTCTGGATCAGGACCCCTTTCTGGTAACATCTTCCTGGCAAACCATGAAGGGACTATACTGAAGAGACCCTTGACACAAAGGAAAATTGTCTGCGCAGCACCGATTGTCCGACTTTGGGTGAGTGGTGCGGTTCATTTTACCTGGGTAAAAAATGGGATTGGGTTTGAGGCCCAACTTAGGAAGGTTAGAGTTTTTCCTAATATTTAAGGGGTTAGAGGTCCCCCTTGGTAAAGTCCCTCTTGGTTAAAAATGAATTTGGCACTGTGGGATGTTAACCGCTATTCTCATTGAACTAATCTTCCTTGTACTCTTTGCTGACTATGGTGGGTGTCAGAATTTGGCACATACAGGATCACTGGACATGAGGAGCTTTTTTCTCCCCAAAGGGGCACAGTTGACAACTGAAGGGACTGCTGGTAAAGATCCCTTCACGATGTGTTGCTGCAATGGGTGAGTCTTTCTCTGCTCTCCCCAATGTTCTTGCCTTCCCCACCCCATCGCAGGCAATGCTTTTCTGTCTCTCTCTCTCCTTTCCATTTCTTCCCACCTTTTCTGTCACCCAGGGCAACTGTCCACTCTTCCATCTTGCCCAGAGACCACGTGTTGAAACTCCTGGTTGGAGGTCATTCCACCCTACTTTGAGTGGATCAAACATGACAGGGCCCAACCTGGGGCAAGTTTGAGCCTTGCCAGTTTGATATTGGGTACTAAGCAGAGTGGCTAATGTCTAGGTTTTATCACATGTATTTTTCTTTTTCTTTTCTTTTTTTTTTTTTGAGATGGAGTTTCACTCTTGTCACCCAGGCTGGAGTGCAATGGCGCGATGTTGGCTCACTGCAACCTCTGCCTCCTGGGTTCAGGCAATTCTCCTGCCTCAGCCCCCATGATCCACCTACCTTGGCCTCCCAAAGTGCTGGGATTACAGGCGTGAGCCACTGTGCCGGGCCTGTCACACGTATTTTTCTCTGGCTGGAACAGAAAATGTAAATTGGTTACCCCATGCAACCCCTTGAGCAGCATCTTACAAAATTGAGAGGCTTTTTGCCAGTCATTCCATAAAATGGTAAAAGATGATTCTCCTTTGTAAGGTGGCTTGGCTCCCATAGCTATGGTGCAGCAAGCCGGGCCATCAAAGTCTAAGAGAAAAAGGGAACCCAGAAACCCGGCATCCTGGCAAAAGGGTAAGAATTTCTTACCAGTCAGACTTCTGGCCTCTCTATGCAAATCTGTTGAATAAATGATAAAAATCACTGTTTGTCTCTCTTGCAAGGGAATTGATTAATAAGAAAATGGATTTCTGGGGCTAGTCTTAAGCTGTAGTGAATCTGGTGTACTTTGTGCTATGAATTTGTCTTTGCCATCCTGTCATGAAAAGGTGTGCCATAGAATAAGATGTGGGCTTAAGACCTCTATAAACCTGCTACTCTAGCTGGCCCAGCAAACTAGTCAGATAGAGAAGCTTTGCTGCAAGTCCTTGAAACAAATAAACAAAAAAATGGGATAAGGTTTCCTTGTTATCTTGTTTTATGTCCTTCGGTGCTTGACCTTGTAACCAGGTGGTAATACTTTATCTTGTTCTCTGCCATCAAGAAGATAGGAATTTTGGAGTTCATGTCATAGTTTGCTCTAAAAATTATCTTGAGCACTTAAAAGCCTTTGCAAGCTCAAGACTGACTGCTCTAGGCTCCTTCTGGGAAGAGCAGTGGAAACAGCACAATGCTGTATTTAGTAGCTAAGGCTTTGTCTTTTCACAATGGCAGCCTGGGTTCAATTCCTGCCTGAGAGAATGAATCCTTTCTGGTCTGATATCTGTGTGACCTTTGCCACTTATTGATTCTCACAAACAACTTCTGACTTCCCTTCTTGAATCTTCCTTCCTCTGAGTTACCTTTGGAGATTCTAGATTTTGTAAAAACTACTAACCACCTCTTTGAAAATAGCTTGTACACTCGTGGTTAAGTCGTAACCTTAGTTAAGGCTTATGGGAGGTTACCTTTGGTAAAATTCAAAAGCCAGAAATATTGGCTGTTTGTCCTGGCTAGAGTCTGCTAATAAGAGATTTGGTTAAGTCAGTTTAATTAAAAGCAGATATCCAAGCTATACATATATTTAAAAGGCCTTTGTGTTTTTCTTCTCTTCTTGGATCTTATTTTCCCGAAGAAAAGAAAATTTTTTTCTTCTCAGTCGACTGAACTGTTTTTCTCCATTTTGTCTTCTTGCCATTCTTGATGCACACATGAGAGGAACTAAGATAGTTTCTAACAGCCTGGGACTCCTTTGGAAAAACAGAGGCACCACATTCCCATGCCTTCTTATAAGCATGTTTTGGGAAAAACCTCTGTTTTCCTCATGAAACCCCAGGAACTGAGAGTGGAAAAATCCCTCTCAAAATCCAAGGCTTTGTTCTGTGTTGCATTGTGTTATCTGATGATTTTGATGTTTGGGGGTATCAGAAATTACTTCGCATTATAAGAGAGCTTTGGTGTGTAATAACTAGGCGGGAAATATACTTTTAGGGATGGCTAATGGCAGTTATGGGGGAATACTTAGCTATTTGCATGTTTGGATTAGAGAAGTGTGCTCGTGGCTACCAGGACGGTATGGAAACGTCCCCACTCCTGGACTGAGAAATAAGACTCTCACGGGGGATGGGCTGATTACAGAATGGGCTGATTGGCTTTGGGTTGCCTTGAAATAAAAGGCACTGTAAAATCATTGCATTGTCTTATTTTGTAGTGTTTCTTTCTTTTGGAGATCCAGGATCCACTATAGATCCTTGATTTTTGAGATCTGTTTTACCTTCCAGCTGTGTTTGCTTATTACGCCCTAGAAACTGCATGTTTTCCTGGCCCTGTTCCTCCACGGGCCTCACCCTGAAGCCAGCAATCTAATTAAGAAACAAAAACTGACAAATGAAAAACTCTTACAACTACTGAATCTTCTGTCCGTCTATGTATTACATACGTTGTGTGTGTGATGTTTATATAAAAGAGCGCTGATTTGGCTTAAAAATAGCATTTAAATCAAATATTTTGTCAGAAAAGTAAAAACTGTAATGTCTTAGTTTATGTGACTTTAGTCATCTTTGGGAAATAAAGACAATTGTAAAGATTATTGCTTAAAAATGTCTTCATAATTCAGACATTTGGTCTAAATTAGGCAGACCAGATATTAGGCTTGCTAAATTCTTTAAGGTTATAAGCTGCTTCTTTGCCATTTGAAAATTGTTCAACTTACCTACTTTGGAGCCGTTAGATTCTAGATAAGGCCTGGGGATATGTGGAGTTAGCCTCGTCCCCTAGCATACACCAGAAAGAGTCAGACCTTATCTGCATCTCTGTCTAGTGTTCTAGGCTCCCCACTTGGTACATAATTAAAATCACCAGGGTTTTCACCAAACGTAAAAGTTTCTAAGAGTTCACAGTGTAACATGTACTTGAAACTACTGGAAAAACAGTTTTACATGCAAGGTGTGTACGGAAAGTAGAATGTGCTTTTGGTAAAAGATTATAAGAAGGCATGGTAATGTGGATTTTTTTTTTTTGCCTAGTTTAGAGAGTTAAAGGATTGTTTTAAGTTAGATAGGATAAAGCTGACTGTTTAAGCAAATTGTGGAAGGTTTGTGAAAGATTAACCTTGTAAAAAATTCTGTATGTGAACATATTGGCTAAAGTTAAAGGGATATTATTCAATTTTTACATAAATCGAACATTGGACTAAAAGCACAACAGGGCTGAGCGTGGTGGTTCACACCTGTAATCCCAGCACTTTGGGAGGTCGAGGCGGGCGGATCACCTGAGGTCAGGAGTTCGAGACCAGCCTGACAAATATGATGAAATTCCATCTTTACTAAAAATACAAAAATTAGCTGGGCGTGGTGGCATGTGCCTGTAATCTCAGCTACTTGGGAGGCTGAGACAGGAGAATCGCTTGAACCCAGGAGGCGGAGGTTGCAGTGAGCCGAGATCACACCATTCCACTCCAGCCTGGGCAACAAGAGTTAAACTCCGTCTCAAAAGAAAAAAAAAAGCACAACAGGGTTTTCTTAGAGCATTGATCTGCTCTTTAATAGAAAATTAAGAGTTATCAAAAAGATTTATGAGAATCTTACCTTATGGTCAAACTGATTAAGATTGGATATTATTTGTCTATAAGGTTTATTGTCTGTGCTTGGGCCCGGCATGGTGGCTCATGCCTATAATCCCAGCACTTTGGGAGGCTGAGGTGGGTGGATCTCCTGAAGTCAGGAGTTCGAGACCAGCCTGGCCAACATGGTGAAACCCCTGTCTCTACTAAAATACAAAAATTAGCTCAGTGTGGTGGCACACGCCTATAATTCCAGCTGCTCGGGAGGCCGAGGTACGAGAATTGCTTGAACCCAGGAGACGGAGTTTTCAGTGAGCCGAGATTGCGCCACTGCACTCCAGCCTGAGTGACAGAGCGAGACTCTGTCTCAATTAAAAAAAAAAGGGGGGGCCAGGCACGGTGGCTCACACCTGTAATCTCAGCACTTTGGGAGGTGGAGGCAGGTGGATCATGAGGTCAGGAGTTTGAGACCATCCTGGCCAACATGATGAAACCCCTTCTCTACTAAAGATACAAAAAATTAGCTGGGTTGGGTGGTGCCTGCCTGTAATCCCAGCTACTCAGGAGGCTGAGGCAGGAGAATTGCTTGAACCTAGGAGTTGGAGGTTGCGGTGAGCTGAGATCATGCCATTGCACTCCAGCCTGGGTGACAGGGTGAGACTGTCTCAAAAAAAAAAAAAAAAAAAAGAAAGAAAGAAAGAAAAAAAAAAGAATTGGGTTTGACATTAATGGTATGCTAATGCAAAGGTGAGATTTGGCTATCTCTTGAACAAGATTTTCATGTAACAGTAAAAGATAATGAAATATTTTAATTTGCTTTTTGAATAAACTACAGGAAAAATACGGGAAAGAAAAGAGACAGATTGTCTGGAAAGCTAAGTCTTCCCTCTATCAATGAGTAAAGCTTTTTGCCTTTTTGAGTTATCGTTTTGGCTAAATAAATGACTTAATGGAGACCTAGGATTTGATTTTATAGCATCAAGTGTTTCAAACCTTTGATATTTGACTTTCAAACCTTTGATATTTGGCAAAGTTTCCAAAATCAAATGATTAATTATATCTTTTTCTGACCTAATTAATCCATTAGATATTAGGTCCCCTAAAGTCCAAAAATGACATATTTGGCTTATTTGGTATATTAAAATCATACAGGAAGCACTGTCAAATATGAAATGGTGTTTTGCTTTTTTTAGACTGTATTTGTATAAATGTTATTGGTGTGCATTCCAAAATTATGATAAACTCTTATAATTCTGATATGACTTAGTGTATGTTATCAGCAACAATTATGATTGTTATGTTAAATTAAGGTGTGCCACAAAGATAAGCAAATTTGCTTGTCAGTTGTGTCTTTGACTATGGCTCCCCTAAGACTTTTTGTTGTCCACAGATAATTGTCTTGTTTTGATTCTCTTTAAAAGGTGGTTTATTTATTATTATTATTATTATTTTTTGAGACAGGGTCTCACTCTGTTACCCAGGCTGGAGTGCAGTGGTGTGATCTCAGCTCACTGCAACCTCTGCCTCCTGGGTTCAAGCGATTCTCCTGCCTCGGCCTCCTGAGTAGCTGGGACTACAGGCACATGCCACCATACCCGGCTAATTTTTGGATTTTTAGTAGAGAAGGGGTTGCATCTTGTTGGCCAGGGTGGTCTTGAACCCCTGACCTCAAGTGATCCACCTGCCTTGGCCTCCCAAAGTGCCGGCATTACAGGTGTAAGCCACCACACCCGGCCTAAAAGGCATTATATAATCAGCTGTAGGACTATGACAGATGCTCTTGAATGCAGGTCTCTGATAACTGTGGAAAATGGACCATTAAAATAGAGAGGAAGAAACTTCCAAGACTCTCTTGAAAAACTAATGTGTACATAAATATTGAGCAAAGCAGGGGTTAGTTGCATAGACTGAACTAATACAAGAACAAAAGAATCTTTTTATGACTTTTTGCTTAAAACATTTCTGATCCTTTCTGTTTTTTCAGAGTCAAGAAAACTTTTCTTTTGAGCTATTTGTAGCTTTTAACAAAAATATACTCTTATGAGGAAAATTTGGAGCATACATCTTTCTCTCTACTTGATTGCTCCAGAATTTGAAAACTTTGTGATAATTCTTAACTTATGGCAATATAGTTACTTGCATAAGTGCAATAGGAATCTGCTTTCTTTTATAACAGGACACAATTGGAGACACTGGTTATTTTACCAAGGCTTTGACTGGAATGGCATGCTTTCTGATACAAGCAGACTCCTTTCAGGAATCAAAATTGACTTACAGAGCCAATAAAAGCCCCTTGGGAAAACTGGCCTCATACCTTGTATACACAGTCCCTGTACAGGGTTCCTGACTTGTGGCAAGTAAAGAATGTCACTTTCTGACTGGCCAAGTAGCTCTAAGTTATCTTGGGACCTCAAGAGGTATGAAATTTATCCAACTCATGGAGCTATTTCATGGTACAAACCCATGGCTGGGCTCAAGGCTTTAAAAACTGAGATTCCTTATGGAACAAAGTTCCATCAAAGCCAATTTAAAAAAAAGAGCCTATGTGGGCCGGGCGTGGTGGCTCACGCCTGTAATCCCAGCACTTTGGGAGGCCGAGATGGGTGGATCACGAGGTCAGGAGATTGAGACCATCCTGGCTAACACGGTGAAACCCCGTCTCTACTAAAAATACAAAAAAAACTAGCCGGGCGTGGTAGTGGGTGCCTGTAGTCCCAGCTACTTGGGAAGCTGAGGCAGGAGAATGGCATGAACCTGGGAGGCGGAGCTTGCAGTGAGCTGAGATCGTGCCACTGCACTCCAGCCTGAGGGACGGAGCAAGACTCTGCCTCAAAAAAAAAAAAAAAAAAAAAAAAAAAAAAAAAAAGAGCCTATGTGGCAAATAATTATTCTGGCTGTGCTTTATGCAAATAATCAGGCCAAGTATATACAAGGAAATTGGTCCCATTATGATTTGTTTTTAATAAAAATAGGAGACTAGAGAAAGAAAAAAATATGTTTCCACAACTGTGGTACACCTGTTATTTTTATTTATTTATTTTTGAGATGGAGTTTTGCTCTGTCGCCAGGCTGGAGTAAAGTGGTGCAGTCTCAGCTCACTGCAACCTCCGCCTCCCGAGTTCAAGCAATTCTCCTGCCTCAGCCTCCAGAGTAGCTGGGACTACAGGTGCGTGCCACCACGCCCAGCTAATTTTTGTATTTTTAGTAGAGATGGGGTTTCACCATGTTGGCCAGGATGGTCTCTATCTCTTGACCTTGTGATCCACCTGCCTCATCCTCCCAAAGTTCTGGGATTACAGGCATGAGCCACTACACCTGGCCAGTACACCTGTTATTAAATTCTCATCTCATCAGTTGTTTTTGAGTGTTTTCTGCAATTTAGACTGACCCTGCTTATTCCTGTGAACCAACCAGTGATCTCTGACTGCAGCTCAGAAGAAACAAGAGGGGTCTGGGTGCAGTGGCTCACGCCTGTAATCCCAGCACTTTGGGAGGCCGAGGCGGGCGGACCACGAGTTTAGGAGTTCGAGACTAGCCTGGCCAACATAGTGAAACCCCGTCTCTACGAAAAACACAAAAATTAGCCAGGTGTGGTGGCCCGCACCTGTAGTCCCAGCTACTCAGGAGGCTGAGGCAGGAGAATCACTTGAACCTGGGAAGCGGAGGTTGCAGTGAGCCGAGATTGTGCCATTGTACTCCAGCCTGGGTGACAGAGTGAGAGTCCATCTCAAAAAAAAAAAAAAAAAAAAAAGAAATAAGAGGGATGGGTAATGTCAATCTTTGGATCTAATTCTGGCATGAATCTAATTCTGATTAGAATTAGCTAGCAACTCCATATCAGCTTGGTTCCAACAGTTGCCCAGTTCATGGAAAGCCTTCTTATTTAGTTTACTTGGGATAGTTTTACTTATTTTGCTTTACTATTGTGGAATATATTGCTGTTGTACTCCTTGTGTAGGAATGCAGGATAAGCTTAGTCAACATTTTCTTAAATTGAATACTTATTAATCTTCTAGATTTCACCTTTTGTCGGAACTCAGAGTTATGAATGGCCCTCAGCATACCAGTGCTTTCTGACTGAGCTCCTCTCTACCCTGGATACAAAAGATCCTAATAGAAAGGCAGGAATATCGTCACCCTTATTCAGCCTGAAGAAGCTGCAAAAGATGGATTTTTGTCCCTCTACAACCCTTAGAATTAAGGGTCCACTTATAAAGGGGAGGGGAGAAATATGTCAGGTATTAGAACCAGAGTGACTCAGGCTGGGCACAGTGGCTCACGCTTGTAATCACAGCACTTTGGGAGGCCGAGGCAGGTGGATCACTTGAGGTCAGGAGTTTGAAACTAGCCTGGTCAACATGGTGAAACCCCATCTCTACTAAAAATACAAAAATTAGCTGGGCGTTGTGGTAGATGCTTGTAATCCCAGCTACTCAGGAGGCTGAGGCAGGAGAATCACTTGAGCCCAGGAGGCAGAGGTTGTAGTGAGCCAAGATTGTGCCACTGCACTCCAGCCTGGGCGACAAGAGCGAGACTCTGTCTCAAAAAAATACAAAAACAAAAACAAAAAAAACAACACCAGAGTGACTCCATCTTGATTATGGACTGGGTAAAATAAGGCTGAGACCTACTGGGCTGCATTCCCAGGAGGTCAGACATTCTTAGTCACAAGATGGGATAGGATGTTGACAGGACTGGTATCACAAGATACAGGTCACAAAGACGCTGCTGATAAAACACGATGCAGTAAAGAAGAAAGCCAAAACCCACTGAAACCAAGAGGGCAACAGAAGTGATCTCTGGTTGTCCTCAATGCTCATTATATGCTAATTATAATACATTAGCATGCTAAAAGACATTCCCACCAGGGCCATGACAGTTTACAAATAAATGCCATAGCAATGTCAGGAAGTTACTCTATATGGTCTAAAAGGGGGAGGAACCCTTAGTTCTGGGAAGTGCCTGCCACTTTCCCAGAAAACCCATGAATAATTCCTCCCTTGTTTAACATGTAATCAATAAATAACTATGAGTATACTCAGTTGAGCAGCCCCTGTCACTGCTCTGCCTATGGGGTAGCCATTCTTTTATTCCTTTACTTTCTTTTTCTTTTTCTTTTTTTTTTTTTGAGACGGAGTCTCGCTGTCACCCAAGCTGGAGTGCAGTGGCGGGATCTCTGCTCATTGCAACCTCTGCCCCCCTGGTTCAAGCGATTCTCCTGCCTCAGCCTCCTGAGTAGCTGGGACTACAGGCGTGTGCCATCACGGCCGGCTAATTTTTGTACTTTTAGAAGAGACGGGGTTTCACCATGTTAGCCAGAATGGTCTTGATCTCCTGACCTCGTGATCCGCCCGCCTTGGCCTCCCAAAGTGCTAGGATTACAGGGGTGAGCCATCGCGCCCGGGTTTTTTATTTTTATTTTTATTTTTATTTATTTATTTATTTATTTATTTTTTTGAGATGAAGTCTCATTTTGTTGCCCTGGCTGGAGTGCAGTAGTCTGAGCTTAGCTCACTGCAATCTCTGCCTCCAAGGTTCAAGTGATTCTCCTGCCTCAGCCTCCCAAGTAGCTGGGACTGTAGGCATGCACCACCAAGCCCGGCTAATTTTTCGTATTTTTAGTAGAGACGTGGTTTCACCATGTTGGCCAGGCTAGTATCCAACTCCCGACCTCAAGGGATCTGCCTGCCTTGGCCTCCCAAAGTGCTGGGATTACAGGCATGTAATCCCATGCTTGGTCTATTCCTTTACTTTCTTAATAAACTTGCTTTCACTTTATTCTATGGACTCGCCCAGAATTCTTTCTTCCATGAGGTCCATGAACCCTTTTTGGGGGTCTGGATCAGGATCCCTTTCCAGTAACAAATACGCCAAGGAAAGGAAAGAAGAGTAAGTATCTTGTGGGTAAGGGGCTATGCTGGATATGGTAGATGCATCAGCAAACTTCCTTTCACGCCACCCCTTCCAGGTTTGCTATTTTATAGAAAAGGAAATTGAAACTCAGAGGGTTAAACAATTTGCCAAAGCCACACGGTAGATGAAGAGCCTTAAACCCATGTTTGCCTGGCCCCAAGCCCAGAGGCTAACCGGATAGCCCGGAATGTCCTTAGGGACACTGCTCCACATATTATCTCAGGACAGCATCAATATTTAACCCTCACCAAGGGTCTGGAAGAGAAGTTCTGCTAAAATCTTTGTCCTTTTCTTAAGTGCCTCCAGGAGCGGACTCTGTGTCACTGACCACGTTGGCCACTCCAGGGTTCACCTCCCTGACCCAAGCGGGCTCCAGCATGACAGAGGCCTTCTAGAATGGATTCTAGGCTGCTGATAACTGTAAGCAGAAAGGGCAGAAGGGACCTGGAGGAATGCCTGGGCTGGGGTTGGGTATGTGGAGCCTCCCACAGACCGTGGGCCATGGGGCACACAGTCAGTAATGGTGATGGGTCATGGTCATTTATCTTCAAAGCTTCTGGCCCACCACAATGGGGAAGCAGAACCAGCACCTGCCACCTGTTCCAGAGGCAGGGAACGAAACCACAAAACCCACAGATCATCTGTGAACATACACTTCTCTGGGTGTGTCTGTCTCTTTCCCTGTGAGTATACTTGGAACTAGGTATATCTGGGTGTGCCAGATACATTCTCAGCATATCTATTTATCTGTGTGTTTGTCTTCTTCCTTCTTTTCCTTTTTTCCACCATTCTCTTAAATGTTTGTCCCCAAAGTGCTTGTTCTAGTCCTCTTCTCTACTCCCTCAAGGCTCCTCTCTGGTTCATCACATCCATAGACTTTCAGTATGGTTGAGACTTCCAAATCTTCCCTGTGAGCCTGAGCCCTAGTTTTGTATCCAGTTCCACCCAAACATTCTCCACTAGGCTGACACACACATTCAGCTCACTCCTTACAACTCAACAACTGACGCCCTCACACTGTTATCAGAACATCTGACCTTGTCACACCCTCCTTAACATCTCTGATTTCTTCGACATATCTGCAGGTGGGGTGGGGGTGGAATCGGGTATGTGTGGTGACCCTGAGAGTTGGTTAAAAGTGCTCTGGAGGCTGGGTGCAGTGGCTCACACCTGTAATCCCAGCACTTTGGGAGGCCGAAGCGGGCGGATCATGAGATCAGGAGATCGAGACCATCCTGGCTAACATGGTGAAACCCCATCTCTACTAAAAATACAAAAAGTTAGCTGGATGTGGTGGTGGGCGCCTGTAGTCTCAGCTACTCGGGAGGCTGAGGCAGCAGAATGGCGTGAACTGGAGAGGCGGGGCTTGCAGTGAGCTGAGATTGCGTCACTGCACTCTAGCTTGGGCGACAGAGCGAGACTCTGTCTCAAAAAAAAAAAAAAAAAAAAGTGCTCTGGAGGCCTGAAACAGAAAAGAAATTAGCTGAGATCCAGCATCAGGTTGGGAATAAGATAATCAGTTTAGGGCTGGATTATGATTTCAAGCAGGACAAACTAAGTGAGGAAAAATATCCTGTGGCAAAACAACAGAGGTCAGAGATGAAGGAGGCCACTGGGTGAGAAGAAGCCCCATGGGGGAAGCGAGGCAAGCTCAGAATGATGATGGGTCATCATTTCTGTGCATTGCCCATGTCGCTGGTGGATGACAGCGGGCACAATTAGAGATGCTAAGGAACAGAGGACAATTGGTTTAGTGTCATCTACTATGTCAAGTCTAAACTTCTTAGTAGAACCTTCATTTTTATTTTTATTTATCTATTTATTTTGAGACAGAGTCTTGCTCTTGTTGCCCAGGCTGGAGTGCAGTGGCACAATCTCGGTTCACTGCGACCTCTGCCTCTTGGGTTCAAGCGATTCTCCAAGTAGCTGGGATTGAAGGTGCCCACCACCACACCCAGCTAATTTTTTTTATTTTTAGTAGAGACGGGGTTTCATCATGTTGGCCAGGCTGGTCTTGAACTCCTGACCTCAGGTGATCTGCCCACCTTGGCCTCTGAAAGTGCTGGGATTACAGGCATGAGCCACCGCGCCTGGCTGAGTAGAATCTTCAAGATCTGAGTTGGCTCATGCTTCTTCAGTTTCACCTTCTCACTCCCCAGCTCGAATCAGTACTACAGATATTTCCCTGAATTCAGTGTGTCTCTTGTGCTCTTATGTACACATGCAATTCCCTCTGCCTAGAATGGCATATACATTGGTGTCTGCTCAATAAAGACTAACTCGTTCTTCTAGATTTAACTCTAGCTCCTGCAATTGCTCCAGGTGTAATTTATAATTCTGATGTCTTTTTTTAATGCCACCTGTGACACCTTCATACTTCATTAGGTCAGCTACCACATTGAATAATTGTTTACTTGCCTGTCTGAAATGAACTGTGAGCTCCATAAGGATAGAGAATATATTTTACTCAATATTTTACACCCCAGAACCTAATACAGTGGTTAGCACATATTAGGTGCACTGTAAACATTTGTTGGATGAATGAGTGAGTGAATGGGCTCACAAGCACAGGGAAAATTACAAAGCTGTGTGAAAAGGGCCATGCCAATAGGTTGGAAAGGAAGAAATGCCAGTTCCTACCAAAAGGGAGAAATGCCCATTTTCAGGAAGCCTTATCCCACTTTCTGCCTCCTGCAATATGCAATTCAAAATAAAAACACTAGTAAATAGTAAACACTAGTAAATAGTAAATGAAAATTTACTTTTGAAACAACAAATCTCAACCATATGAATGAAGTCAGAATAAGCTCTTTCTCTTTGGGAAGAGGGTGGTGCCCTTGCTTTGTGGGTGCCTATATCAGCCAGGGTACTGGCACACTCAATAATTTAACTGAAGAGAATTTAATGACTATTTGCAGAGACGAAACTAGCCATGGGTGAGGAGGCACCTAAAGACTAGCAATAGCACTGGGCACAGTAGCTCATGCCTGTAATCCCAGCACTTTGGGAGGCCGAGGCGGGTGGATCACCTGAGGTCAGGAGTTCGAGAGCAGCCTGACCAACATGGTAAAACCCCATCTCTACTAAAAATACAAAATTAGCCGGGCGTGGTGGCACATACCTGTAATCCCAGCTACCAGGGAAGCTGAGGCAGGAGAATCGCTTGAACCCAGGAGGCAGAGGTTGCAGTGAGCATAGATCACACCACTGCATGGCAGCCTGGGGGACAGAGCAAGACCCTGTCTCAAAAAAAAAAAAAAAAAAAAAAGACTAGCAACAGCAGGAAACTGTTGCCACCCCTGGCCTGAAGGTATGGGGAGGGAGCCTGGGGCTGTAGCCATGGAGAAGCAGGCCACAGCCAGAATCTCAGCCTGGTCCATCAGGCCTCGTCCATGTTCTCATCTCCTGCCTCTGAATTTCATTGGCTGAACTCAGCCAGAAGCCAGGGCCCTGGTGATCCCTGAAGATACAGTCCATAGAGCTCAGGCTCCCAGGACAGGGTAGAGAAGAGCCAAGAATGAATCTAGGTGGTGGGAAGGCAAATGGAGAAAAACCGGCATTGAGGGGGGATGCCTCTGCTTTGTAGGCGACTTGTGTATATGATTAGTTTGCCTACTGGGTAATCAAGCACTGAGTGGAACCCTGTAGATGGGAGTTCTAAGTCTCATGTTTTGTATTGTTAGGTATTTGTATGTGCAAGCTTCTTAGAACTGGTGCCACTAATTAGTAGGTCTTGGGTGGGGCAACGGCATCTATGTTTTTAAAAGCTTTCCAAGTAATTTTGATAGGTACCACTTGTTGAGAACCACGGATATAGTCCACCTTCTCATTTTTATAGAGAGGCAAACTAAGGTCTAGAGAAATGAAAAATGCCCTGACTTGGCAAATTTCTGTTTGAGAACTATCCCTCAGGTGATGTTAGAGGGTTTGGCTGGAAAACTGGAATATTTGCACCTTCTACTAGCCCATTTCCTCCATTTTATTCATGAGAAATCTGAAGCTCCAAAGATGGAATGATGTGCTCAATTATACACCACAGTAGTGAGTCATGGAGAAGGAAGCACTAGGACTAAGAATGGCATTTCTAACTCTCAAGCCAGTGTTCTCTCTAGGCAGCACACTTGGTAGAAATGTGTGTGTGTGTGTGTGTGAGTGACAAAGCCCTGGGGCAGCAGTTATAGTCCTTCATTCTGGTAAGGTGCTCTCCCCAAAGCCCCTAACTGGAAAGAAAGAGGAGTAGGCAGAGGTCATTGACCCTTAGAACTCTATGCTGGAGGGGACTGGAGGGGATGGGGGGAAGATCTGGGTGACTCCTGTCCCAAGCCTTGACTCTCACTCTTGTTGTACTGGACTCTGAATCTCTGGTTGCCAATTCTGTCACCAGAAGAGGACTATCACCCCTCTGAATGGGTGTTGGGACTTTAGGGAAAACTGGGTAGGATCCAGAAGGAAAAGGAAGAGACCCATTGTGGGAGGGGCTTACAGGAGACTTCAGCCTGTCGGTCTCTGCCCAAACAGCACAAGGCTCAGGACCAGCACAAGGGCCTGTGTCACCATGCCAGGATGTTTGAAACTCCTTTTTGGCTGCTAATTAGGGCTGGTCACCCCTTTCCCATCAATTCCCAAAGCCTGACACACAGCTACTGCCCTTCTACAGTAGCTTACAGACTACTTGCCCATCCTTTGAGATACAGCTGAAATCTCCATCTCCAGGATTGCTAGACTTAAATTTCCTAAAACCAGCAGCCCTTCCTCTTCCCCAACCTACACATGTCAGAGTTGGGTGGAACCTTAGAACTCACCCGCTCATCTTCTAAGTGAGGAAATCAAGACCAGAGAGGGGAAGTGATTCACCCAATCTAACAGCATGGAAGTGGCAAAACTGGGACTAGATTTCAGTCCATCTGGCCACCTACCTCTCCATGTAATTCCAATGATTCTGAACATGCACCGCTCTGAATGAGCTTGTGTTCCTTTAGTCTACGTAAAATCAACATTAAATCCACTTGGGACGTATTTTTGGCAAAGTTAGCTCACGCTTCTTTGGGTCTGCCTGTCTGTCATTCTTGGGGTGCTCTTGTATGTGTGGCAGTGGTCTCTGAGTTGTAAGAGGTGTGTGCCTACGGCCAATTATCTGTGTTTGTTTCTATATTAGGGTCATGGGTCTACGAGCTGCTGTAGAGTCCCTGTATATGTCTCTTTTCTTACATGGAGCATATATGTCAATTTGTGGTTGTTGGTTTTGGATCTGTGTACTTGTTGAGTGCTTAAGGGTAATTATGATTCTGTATGTGTGATGTATATGCTACGATTATGGGTCCATGGCTGCTGCATACCTATATACGTGCCGCTTTTCAAGTCGAAGGTTGTGTGTTTGCTGATGATTTGGATGTGTGTTTGTACACAGTGAAGGTTGTGAGTCCAATTGCAATCGTATCGGCGTGGACTGCATGTTTAAAGGCTTAAGGGAATCTGTCTTTGCCTTTTGCTCCCGGGTTATGAGAAAATGTATGTGGCTGTGCGTCCAGGACAGCAATGTGTTTGTCTCTCAGCCAAGCTCAGTCCTCACCCAGGCACCGGGGTCACGGTCACGTTCACGTTCCGTGGACGCCTTGGCACGGCCTCCCAAGGGGGCGGGGCCTGGGGGGTATCCGCCTTCTGACCCCTGGGAGATGCCTCCTTTCTCCGAGCAGCAGCCGGGGGCCTGGCCGGCGCCGCCAGCCGGGCCCCGCCCCCCCGGCTCCCGCCCGCTCATTGGCCCTGGCAGCGGTGACGTCACGGGGCTAGCTGACAGAACCCCGGCGCCGGGCGCTCGGGAGGTATTGTCCGTCCCTCCGGGCTTTGTAGAATCGTCGCCGGCTTACCTGGCCGTGGGCGCGTCCTGGCCGCTGCAGCCCGGAGCAGGGTGCCAGCCGCCGCCGCCGCCGCCATGGTGTCCCCGGTCACTGTGGTGAGTGAGCGAGCGAGCGAGCCAGTGCCCGGCGCGGCTGGAGCCCACCGGCCTGGCCACCGGACTTCGGCAGGCCGAGCTGCCGAAGGGGCCGAGGCGGGGCGGGGGTCCCGTGGCGGCCGGAGTCCCGCGGCGGGAGGCGGGCGCTGTCACCGCCCCCCGCTCCTCAGACTCGCGGCGCCCCTCCTCGCGCGCCCCCAGCCCGCCCGCGGAGGGAGGAAAACACTGGCCACGTGACTCGGAAGCGTGACTTTGTTGATCTCCATGTATTTGGCGCGGGTCGGCGGGGTCGCGGCCCGGGAGAGGGAGGGGACCGCTGCCGGCCGCAGAGTTCCGCGTAGGCGGACCACAGGGAGGCGTGGGGGCGGGGGATGCTGGGAGGATAACAGGGACCTCCTGGGAATGCCGTCCCAAGTTTGTTTCCTAACCTTCCTCATTTTGTAAACAAGTTGGCGGACGCCCCTGAGTCTAAGAAGCGCTGATAACGCGCTGGGGGAAAAGGGGGCATTCTCTATGACATCCCCTGCTTTTCAGACTTTCTCAACTTGAACCTTTTGTTTCGTCTCCCCATCCTCCTTATTCTACTACTGGGTTCCCTATAACTGTCAGGGTCTCTCCAGCTACTGCCAGTATCTCCTTCTAGAAAATATGGGGCTGGGAGAGGCCATGGAGCGGAGGTTAATGCTCCCAGGGGCTGGCAGGTGGTTGCTGGGCATTGTGGGCCTGGGCATCCCCTCCAGCCGCCTCCTCTGACCATGCCCCTACCCTGACCAGCCTTAATTTCCATGGGAAGTGGAAGTCATCTCTTCTCACTGCTCTTACCTCTGGCAGAACAAGGAAAGGCTTGGACCCTGGAACCACCCATCCGCCTCTTCCCAATCCTCCTCATCACAGTCTGATCAGTCCTTAGGTACCTGGTCGTCTGGACTCTGAGTGTTTCCCAAGTCCTGTGCTGGGCAGCTCACCTAGCCAGAGACACAATCGCTTTGGGCAGAGTGTGGGTGTACAGGGAACTCCAGCTGCTCCATATCACCCTCAATGGATCTGTTAGCAGCCCAAGGAAAGGAGTTTCAAGGATCACAGATTCAGAACATCGCTGCAGCCCCCTCCCCCAGCTTGGACTCTGCCTGCAGTGGCCTTGGGTACAACCTTTCTTTAGCTGCCCTCTGCTAATCCGGCTGAGACCAAGTCAGCTGCTCTAACTTCCCCCTCTCAGTTCCCCATCTCCCAGCCTGTCTGCTGGCTCCAGATCAGAAGCTGGGAATAGAACCTCTCCCCCCTTTCCTGCCTCTTTCTGGTGTGGCTTGAGTTGCTCTTGTTCTCTGGGAAATGAGGCTGACTGACACACACCCTCCCTTCCCCCAATCCTTGAAATCTTTGGTGTTTGAAGGACAATTTTCTTGCTCCCAACTCATGGGTCCATTTATCTAGCCAGCATCCCTAGCATAGCCCTCCTTGCCCTTGATGCCACCTTCAGGCTGGGGCAGGTGGAGTGGAGGCTGAGGAACAGACTGGTTGAGGAGGAGAGAGGCTGTGGTGGCTGAGGTGATTGCCATTGCCTGCTTTCCCACATTCCTGGCACACACCTGGTGTTGCCAGGGCCCTAAGGCTGCACCCTGGCCCCATGCTGAGGATCACGAGTTGGCCAGTCAGGGTGTCTCTGTGGTTTCCCACTGACTTCACTCCATTCCAGAGTGAACAGCTGGGGGCTGTTGCTGGCAGAGAGGAGGGGCTAAAGGGGCCCTGAGGAGGGAGAAGGAGGGGGCAGGAAGGGAGAAGCACACTAGGCTGCAGAAGGGTGCCCCTCCTAATATACTGAGCCTCAGGGCAGTAATGGGTTTGGCCACAACCTGCTGGCTGGTAGAGGCAGGCCAGGCTGGGTTTCTCTGTGTCAGTCTTCTCAGGTTGGGGGTGGAAGTGAGGTGGGGGTATGGATGGGAGTGTCTCTGGGGTGGATGCCTAGGCTGAGGGTGCTGGCTTTCAACCCCCAAGTTCTGAGTGCTGCCCTTGTCCTGTGTCCTCCAGGTGAAGAGTGAAGGACCCAAACTGGTGCCGTTCTTCAAGGCCACCTGCGTGTATTTTGTGCTCTGGCTGCCCTCATCTAGCCCATCGTGGGTCAGCACCCTCATCAAGTGCCTGCCTATCTTCTGCCTCTGGCTCTTCCTTCTGGCCCATGGCCTGGGATTCCTGCTGGCCCACCCCAGCGCCACCCGCATCTTTGTGGGGCTTGTCTTCTCTGCTGTAGGTGACGCCTTCCTCATCTGGCAGGACCAAGGATACTTCGTGCATGGTCAGTGGCCATAGTAGTTGCCTGGGAGGAGTCCTGGGGCTGGGGGATAGAGGGTCCTGGGCTGTGGGCAAAGATTTGGAAGAGGGAGTTCTTGAACCAGAGTGTGGGGAGCCTGAGGGTTTCTGAGGCCAGGGACTGTGAGGGTCCTTGTTAGGGGATGACCTCGCAGGGGAACTAGTGATCAGTTCCAGAGTCCTTCAGGGGACTGGGGTGGTGGTCTTTAACTTTAGATCTTCCTACCCCTGTTATCCCAAAGCAAAGCTGCTGGGTTATCCCAAACACTCCACTCCATCGCCACATCCATCCCTACCCCCACCCTGTTACTCATTCTTCATCAAGCTTGCCCTCAGCTGCCTTTGCCCCTCTTACCCCCAGGTCTGCTGATGTTTGCTGTGACCCACATGTTCTACGCCTCGGCCTTTGGCATGCAGCCACTGGCTCTTCGGACAGGTCTGGTGATGGCAGCGCTGTCGGGCCTGTGCTATGCCCTCCTCTACCCATGCCTCTCAGGTGCCTTCACCTACCTGGTGGGGGTCTATGTGGCCCTTATCGGCTTCATGGGCTGGCGAGCTATGGCAGGGCTGCGGCTGGCCGGGGCAGACTGGCGCTGGACAGAGCTGGCAGCTGGCAGTGGTGCACTCTTCTTTATCATCTCAGACCTGACCATCGCCCTCAACAAATTCTGTTTTCCTGTGCCCTACTCTCGGGCGCTTATCATGTCCACCTACTATGTGGCCCAGATGCTCGTCGCCTTGTCAGCTGTCGAAAGCCGGGAGCCTGTGGAACACTACAGACTGACCAAGGCCAACTGAGGTGCCAGGGTCTGGTCACCCCTCTCTCCTCCTGGGGCTGGGGCCCAGATCCTGGGGACCTGCAGGAGCTGGATCAGGATGGCTGCAGTGCCAGCCTGGGGCAGCAGGTACTGCCTGAGGAATTTGCAAGTTCGTGTGGGGAGGCTGGAAAAGGATCTCCCTAGCAGAACTCGTGGTTCAGGACAATGCTGAGAGCTAAAAGAGCCAGCCTAATATCAGACTGGAGCCAGAAGTAGACATCTCCCCACCTCTACCCTATCAGGACTTTCAAAACCCCCCTGGAAGGTGATGGTGCTCAGCTTCTTGACACCCCCCCACCCACTTCCCCTACCAGGTGGAAGAGTCTGACTCCATGTGTTATGCCTAGGACCAATGGCAGTGCTGGGTTCACCCACTCCTCCCCTTTTTCATCTGCACAAAGTTGAGGGAAACGGGAGAATCTGTGCTGAGAAGACTCAGACCCAGGAGCCCCTTTCACAGGCCCCTAGTTGGGAAGACTGGATGAGAGTGGAGCCTCCGTTTCTTTTCCCTCTTCTATCCTTGTTACTTGAACAATCTCAGTCTCTAAGTGGTGGGTGGGGACATGAAGAGGTGTGGGTCCAGGTTAGGCAGGAGAGAGAACTTCTTTGGTCTCGGAGTTTGGGGTCTCAAGAATTCAAGTAGCCCCATCTCTCTCTCGGGCAAGCCCAAAGCTCAGGTCCCATACGCTACCCTTAGATCCTATCCCCAGGGCTAGGGTGAACCATGCCAAAGGAAGGGGCCAGCTTCTCTGTGTGTGTGTGTAGCCTGTCTCCTAGTCTGCCTATGTCTTTCTCTGCTATATGTTTCTGTCCTGCTGTCTGTCAAAAGTCTCACAGAGAGAGGGCCTCAGGGAGCTGCTGAGGGGTGCTGAGCCTGGCTCAGGGAGCTGGGACCCCTCCCCTCCAACACACATACTCACAGTGCTTTCCTCCTTGTCCCTCCTACACTAGGAGCAAGAGGAGGGGGCTCCAATGACACTCCGGGGTTTTAAGACCCAAGGCACATTCAATGCAAGGGGAGCAAGGATGGGACAACTCCATCTTCTGCTGCCCATGTGAAAAATAATAAAAATCAAGAGCCATTGGCTGCCCTGCTTGTGGGCCTGTGTGGCACATGCCTATCTTGGAGAGGGCATGGGGGCATGGTGCCAGAGGCTCTGGCTGTCCTCACAGCCTAGTCACAGTCCTGGGCAGTGCATCTTGGTGCCAGGCTGGCTACCTGGCTCTGGTGACACTGTGCCGGTTGGAGTGTGTCTCACTTCCCTGGTGTGGGTGAGGATGTGGTTTAGGAGGATGGGGGATGAGTGGTATTTGCCACTGTCCAAATTTGTCCTTGATGTACTCCCCTGTGCACAGGTGCCCAGCACCCTTGGTGACCTTTAGTTACCCAGTGTCATCTATTGCTGCCCACCTCCTCCCCTCCCCACTTGAGACCTGCTGCTTCCTTCAAAATGATCCAGATTCCCTTCAAGCATCTCCCTCATCCTGGACTCTGGGCTTAGTTGAACAGCTGGGAGCAATGGGATTAGATTGGCTGATTCATTCATTAGTTGTAAAGCCCTGGCAGAATAATACATCACTCTGCTCCAGGAGCATTTGTAACTTAACAGACAATGCCCTAACCCAGAAGTAGAAAGGGAAGCCTTGGGTGGTGGTGGATATGCCATCAGTAGAGGTGTTGCTCATTTGTGGGGATGTGATTTAGGAGACTCAAGTCTCAGGGGTGGTTGGATGAGTCAGTGATTTCCAAATTAGTTTTTACAGAGATTCCTGGTAAGGGGGTAGTGAAGGAATAATGAGAGAAGGCAGGCTCAAAGACCTCCTATCCTTATTTCAAGTCCAGTAGCTTCTTAGGTTGTGTTTTTTTTTGTTTTGTTTTGTTTTGGAAGGATTCCACTGAAAAACGTAAGTTTGAAACTTAGTGAGCTGGATGATCAATCCCTTCTAGCTCTGAACCCTGGACACTAAAGAGGGAAGATCTTGATCCTTTCAAACTTCAGAACTCTGAACACAGACCTACCTAGTGTGAAGAAATGGGAGGGAGCAGGATGGAGAGCAGGATGAAGTCAGCAGGACTTGCCCCCAAGCTCTGAGGGGAGGGGGAAAGTGCCATGTAGATGTGGAGGAGGGGAAGGGAAGACCAGGCCCAGTCACAAGAAGGCTGGTCACTGCCTTGTGGGTGGGTTTGGACTAGGCTTTCAGGGGTCCAGGTCTGGGATTCCCTATCATGCAATCACATCCATCCCCTTGGTCCCTGCTGTATATCACCCTCAGGAACGGGAAAGGATGAGTTACGTTTATTGCCCCATCCCTTCACTGAATGTTTACATTAACAAACACCAGAGAGCAAACTGGGCTTCCTACACTGGGCCATGCAGAGGACAGGCCAAGAAACTCCACATCATAACAGCCTCCTGATGCCTGGGCTTGGCTGGAGCTCACATGAGGTGCTTTGATTTCTTCTGCAGACTCTCGGTGATGGATGCTACAACTGACTTATCATCTTTGTCTGAAAGAGCAAAGGAAGTATTCGTTATATTAATGATGCTGGCGACCAGGGAAATTCCAAACTGCTGGACTTCCTATGCAGGAAACCAGGAGCTGGACCCTGGGACCCTTAATCTTGGGTTGGCAGAGTGTGAAGGGGCAAGAGCTGCCATTTATCTAGCACTTAATATTTGCCAGACATTGTGCCAGGCAGTTGTGTACTGTCTCATTTAAGCCTCATAGTCCTATAAAGAAGATGAGAAAACAGGCTCAATGAGGTAGCTTACTAAGGTCACATGGCTGGTCAGTGGCAGAGCCAGGGCCCTGGGCCCATTTGCTGTGCTTACAAGCAGATTTGAGTTATCAGGGATCTCTTTA
This sequence comes from Homo sapiens, assembly GCF_000001405.40. NCBI lineage: Eukaryota > Metazoa > Chordata > Mammalia > Primates > Hominidae > Homo > Homo sapiens. The sequence goes on from NC_000011.10 coordinate 18,704,895, forward strand.
GCTGTGGAATGAAAGCTGGATAGCACCCACAGTGCCTTCCCTGGCCTAGTTCTTTTACACAGCTCAGCAGCCTCTCTGGAGATATTGTCTCAGTGCCAGACACTTAGCTAAGCACTCGAGAGACAGAGCAACAGGACAAGGTCCTTTCCCCAAAGAAAGGTATCTATAACTGGATAAAAAAGGTCTGTAACCATGGAGACCACAGCAATGGAGTGTCATGGAAGGTTCAGGAGTAGCAGAAGGTGAGATGAGAGGTGGGGGAGGGGGAAACCTTCTTGGTTTGGGATTTTACCATGAGAGGAAAGCTGGGGGAAATTTAAGCAACAGAAAGCAAGGCAGGCCAGCTTTGCATTTAGAGTTCATGCTGCTAGCTGTGTGGCTATGAAGACAGTAGACTGGGAAGGAATAAAATGCTTCCCCCTATGTGTGCACACATGAGTAGAAACATGGCATGCATGTACAAAAGGGAGGGTTCCCTTCGCTCCTTCCCTTGTTTGTGCCCCCCACCGGTCCTTATCCTAGACCAGTTTTAATTTTTATTGCACATCAGAATCACCCGCAAAATTTTGTAAACATATAGGTTATTTCCAGAACCGTGCCAGAGAGATCGTGATTGGTGAGTCTGGTTGAGTCCTGATCACCAGTATCTTTTTTCTGAAGGCAGGTCTAGGCTCACCAAGAGTTGCAAACCACATCTTATCTAGGGATTGAGAACTCTCATGTCTGCAGGGGCCAGGCATATAACAAATGACATCGAAAGGATGGGAGAGTGGTAAGAACTGTGGCCAATTAAGAATGTTTGCACCACCTGTTGGCAGTCAGATTAAAAAACGGTGCCAGCCAAATAGTTGACCAATGGCCCACAAGACCAGCCTTTTGCGCCTCTCCCCCTCCTCGAGGCCGGACCCCGCGGCGCCCTCACCATAGACGGTGAGCGTGCAGCTGCTGCGGTCCTTGCCCAGCTCGTTCTCCACCAGCACGCTGTAATCGCCGCTGTCCTTGAGCGTGCAGGTGGGGATGACGAGGGTGCACACGCCGCTGGTGGAGTTGTACCAGAACTTGGAGTTGGCCGTGATGTTGACGTCGCCCTTGTAGAGGGTCACTGTGGGCCGCGGGTTCCCAAGGAAGGCGCAGGTCATGGTGCAGTCCTGGCCGCGGAGCACCGTGTGTGGCTTGAGGGGCGTCACGAAGCGCGGCGCGTGGCGCCAGTCCTTCTTCTCGTAGGGCTTGAGCTTGGCGCTCAGGTCCTGGACTGCGCGGGCGGGGCGGGGCAGGCCGTGAGGGCGCCCCAAGGCCCCCACCCACCACCCACGTCTTACAGTTCAGCTTACACGGAACCCCGAGGACCTAGGCCACATTCCCAGCGCCACCAACTCTGGGGGCCCAATGTTACACTGGTTCTTAAGGGCTCCCCACCCGCCCCCAGGCCTCCCCCGACCCCCCAGCCCCGTCCCCAGCCACTCCAGGGTTCTGCCACCCAAACCACGCTTTCCCACACCCCTGGGGCCGAGATGTCATTCCAGCGCCAGCTTCCTGGACCCGGTTATTCCCAGCCTTTAACTCCGCCTCCAAGCTTCCCCTACGTCATATCAGCGACCACAGTCTCCCCTCTTATCCCTTTAGCTCCTCAGTTCGAGTTTCCCGACGCGGCCCCCACCCTTAACCCCTAGCCTCCAGGGATCCCAGACATCCTCCCGGCTCCCTAGAGCCCTCCCCTGTTCTCAGCCCCGTTAGACCCTCCCCTCAGAGCAGAACGCGTTTGCGCTCTATGTCCCTCCGCAGCCCCTCCACCGTCCTCTCTGCCCCCAAAGGTACCTCCCCACCTCCACTTTAGTCTCACCCCTAAGTACCCCGAAGAAAGCCAATATTTCCTTCTCTCCGCAGCGTCCCAGATATTAACCGTTCTATCTCAATGGTTTTCAGATTTTATCTTGCCTCTTGGGTACCCTTTGGGACCCTTATGTCATCCCCACCATCAGGGCACCCAGACTTAACCCTAACTGCAAGTCCCAGACTCACTCTGGTCCTTATTGATGAGCCAGGTGTCCCTGGAGTCAAGTGGCTCACTGTCACCGATTTCATTCCGAGCCACCACTCTGAAGTAGTACTTCCTGCCTGGGAGCAGCCCCGTCACTGTGTACTTGTTGCTGAAGACACGCTCGGCTGCCGTGTACCAGGTGGCTGTGCTTGCATCCCGCTTCATGATGATGTAGTGAGCCTCACCGTCCTCCTGCACATCTGGGCTGTGGTTCCAGGTCAGAGTCACTGTGTTGGGGACTTCCTCAAACAACCGTAGGTTTGTGGGGGGCCGAGGGAAATCTGGAAGAGTTGGAAGATCTGTCAGCGACCTTGGGGCACCTGAAGTATTATGTCCCCACCCCAGCCATCTGCCAAGTCCGATGGAAGATAAGATGGGGCAAGTCTCAGGCAGCTGGTGTCTTGGAGTCGGAAAACTATTTCTGAAGTCTGCTCTGCCATTTACTAGCCTCGTGACCTGGGGTAAGTTACTTATCTGAGACTTCTTTCCTCAATTGCAAAATAGAGCTGACAATGACTATTTCGTAGAAATAGTGGGTAAAGAGACTGGCATGTAGTTACTGTTCAGTAAAAATGAATCCATTCCTTCCTTGGGGGTTTAGAGCTTTATTTTAAAGCTTCCAGCTCTCTTTAAGCAGTCACCCCAATTTTTAATGGATTCATCTCCATTTGTCCCTCCTGCCCCTCCACCCATTTCTACTCTCTCTGCCGACCATACTCTGTATGATAAAGTCTTGCTCTGTGGTGTCAAAGAAATCTTCATGGCCCTAAGGCATGACTTTCCTGTGGTAGGAACTCAAGCGGCACTGGGGAGCTGTGCTTTGGAGAGTGTACAGGGATGGGTCTTGGAGGCCTCTGCCTTCTCTCCATACCTGCCACGCGCACATGGATGTCATAGCGTGCTTCTCCAAACTCATTCTGAAGCAAGATTCGGTACACCCCTGAGTCAGAGCGCTTGGTGCTATTAATGAGGAACTGGGAGTGGTTTTTGCTCTTGGTAATTGTCTCTCGGCCCTTGGTGGGAACGCCATCTTTCTGCCAGATCACGTCAGGTGGTGGTGAGCCCTGAGTAGTGACAGGAGATGGCACAACTGGTCACACAGATGATATTTGGGGGCAGGCCTTCCTCCATTGTCGAGGAGTTTCCTGCCAGGCTGTCGCACTAGGGGTCTGGTGAGGGGCAGAGTCAGAGTCAGAGTCAGAGACTGTGATGGCTACAATAGCCATCTTGGTTATGTGGACAGTGTATGGAGGTCAGGGTCAGGGACAACTCACAGAGAAGGCTGCATGGATGCAGAGGGCTGTCCCAGCGCGAACCACCATGTGACTCTTCAGCCGGGCACTGAGGTCAAACTTGGGTGCAGCTGAGATGGAGGAGACAGAGGTGGAGGCATGGATCTGTCTTTCAAGAAGACTCTGCTTTAAGCCTCCTCATCAAAGCCTTCCCAACCTCTCCTCCTTTATGCCCCCACTACAGGCCATACAGACATCTAGCTGCCCTGCAACCCTGTGAAGCATTTATTTGTTTTCTCATCTGTCTCCTTCTACTAGTACGCAAGACCCTGGAAGGCAAGTCCTTGTGTCTTGTTTCTATAACCCTAACACCTCCTTTTGAAATTGCCATTGCAACAATTATAACAGCGAGAAAATTATGACAGTGAACGAGATCTGATCTAACCAACCCCCATCTTGCCTTTACCCTCCAAACTGCCCTTAATCATTCCTGGTTTCAGACCAAGCTAATGTTGGGAGAGACATTTAGTTTATAGCTTAGATGATAACAGTCTTCCCCCAAACTAAATCACCTTTGCGAAGCTAATGAAAGGCCACCAGGTTAGGAGGATGTGAGGAGCCTGAATTCTGCTAAGGTGTAGACATAAAAGATTACCAGCCATTATTCCAGAGATCACAAGATTTGCAACTCCCCAGCTGCTCCTGCAAATAACATCACTATTGTAGAGCCTAAGATTGGTGGTTGAGATGTCTTTTCAGGTTTTTGCATTTCTGACGACTGATGGCTCCACCTGGACCTGCTCTCCCTCCACCCCACAAGTCCTGAGGCCCCAGTCAGAAGCAGGCTCCCTGGACTTTGAATTTTCGGGGAATTGATTTGGGTAATAACTCTGTCTCCCATACAGCATGGCTGGCCTTGTGTCCATTAAACTCTTTGTTGCAATGCTGTGGTCTCAGTGAACTGGTTTTGCGTGTACAATGCGCAAGAAGAACCCATTGGGTGGTTACACCTTGACACACAGTAGATGCTATTTGGCACACAATGATTGATTTAGTAGGGGTGCCCCTGAAGTTACCCCTAACTTTGTCCAGGCACAACAACTATGGATGACTTTTTCATGATCCTAGCATCATCCAATTTTCCTGTGGGATGAGGCCCCAGAGGAGAAGGTTTGGAGGTACAATGTTGGGCATGAATCCCCAGCCCTCTCTGTGTCCTCACCTGGTGGTGGCATGGCACGGACCCCCTTGTCTAGCTCCACAGGCTCCCCAACCCCAGCCTCATTCACAGCCCGGATTCGGAAGAAGTATTTCTGCCTCTCGATGAGTCCTCCCACTGTGTAGCAGGTGCCTGAGATGGGGATCTTTGTGCACTTGGACCACTCCTTTGTGTCTTCAGCCCTCATCTCAAGGATGTAGCCAGAGGGTGGGTCTCCCTCTGCAGGCTCCCGCCAGGCCAGGGAAATGCTGGAGTTGGAGGAATCAGATACATGCAGGTCCTGGACCAGGCCTGGGGGTTCTGGGGTAGAACAGACATGTAGTCAGCCCCTCCAACTCATCTCCACTCAATGCCTTGCTCACTTCCCACACTCAATACTCCTGAACCCCATCCTTCACTACTTCTAGCTCCAGATCCCTCAGTTAACACCCTTAGTACCTAGCCTTATACACTCAACCTCCAAATTCAAATTCAGTTATCTTACTGTTTTAACACTTTCATCCTTAAACTCAATACCCCTTAAATTCAACATACCCCACATATTCAAAGCTTCTGTATTCAAAACCCCAGCCTTTAACCCAACCATCTCCACCACATCCACTTCCAGGCAGTACCTTCACCTTGCTTCCTAAATGCAACACCCTCCAACCATCTACCTCACACCCTTACTCAACCCTCAGCATGCCTCTCCTACCTCACCTAACTAGAAATACACGAAATTTAAAAAACGTTTTTGCACCCCACCTCCTCACTGTCCCTGACTCTCAATCTTTATTTGCTGGCTTTCTCTTGTGTGTGAATCTTGTCCCTCTATGAGGCTGGCAGTTTCCAGAGTGTAGAGACTGTGATACCTCGTGTCATACTTTCCCGGGGAAGAAATTCTTTCTCTACTTTGAATGGGCTAATTCCATTATGTGTCAGGACCTGGCAGCCGCATACTCACTAACAGGATCCTTGGCCACTACTGAGCTGGATGGCACACTGGGCTGTCCAGGGCCTGCCTTATTTACAGCTATAACTCGGAATTCATATTCTGTGTCCTCCAGGAGACCATCCACAGTGCACTTGGTGCCTGAAATGGGAAGATGAGGGGTCGTGAGGCCAGAGGCATCCATGGGGTGAGAACAAGAGTGAGAGACATAGAAGAGGAGGTCATGGGATGTTGTTAAAACTTCCAGAAGAGTTGGATGAGGGACTGTGTCAGTAGTTAATGGGTCCACTCAGCAAGACCTCCTTTGGTCACTCCTGGGCCTCTGTTCCAAGGACCTCACCCTGGATGGGGTCCTTGTTGACTGGCACCCACAGGTTGCTGCCTTTCTTCCTTCGTTCTACAATGTAGCCGAGCACTGGGGCTCCCCCATCCTGGGTAGGGGCATTCCACGTGATGGTCACGGCTTCTTTAGTCACATCAGTCACTTGAGGCTGGGAGGCAAAACCAGGAGGCTCTGTGGGGGAAAGAGAGAGTGCAAAGGTTAGGAGGGGGAGCATGTAGATATTTGCCCACCTCATGCTGACTTCTGCCTCGCCTGCTTAAATAAACTCAAACCAGTGATTCTTTTTTCTTTTTCCTTTTTTAGAGACAAGGTCTCACTCTGTTGCCCAGGATGATCTTGAATTCTTGGGCTCAAGTGATCCTCCTGTCTTGGCCTTCCGAAGTGCTGAGATTACAGGCATGAGCCACAGTGCCTGGCACAAATGATTCTTAACTTTGCTTGCACATTAACATCAAGTGGGAAGTAAAAACAAAAATGAAAACAAAACAAAAAAAAAACCACTGACAACAACTAGTGTCTGGGTCCTGCCTACCCATATTCTATGCCTGGTGTGAATGGCAAGTATTATTAGCATTATTAAAGAAACCAAGTGATTCTAATGTATAGCCGACATTGAGAATCAGTGACTTAAACTTTCCTACAGTGTGACCCCCAATCCCATCATTCTCAATCTACTGTCCTGACATGGAGATTTGGAGATCAGTTGGGAGAGGTATAGCAAGTAATTCATTTGCAGTAATAATAATATTATTATTTTTGAGACGAAGTCTCACTCTATTGCCCAGGCTGGAGTGCAGTGGCATGATCTCGGCTCATTGCAACCTCTGCCTCCCAGGTTCAAGCAATTCTCTTGCCTCAACCTCCCGAGTAGCCAGGATGACAGGAGCCCGCCACCACACCCAGCTAATTTTTGTATTTTTAGTAGAGATAGGGTTTCACCATGTTGGCCAGGCTAGTCCTGAACTCCTGACCTCAGGTGATCCTCCCACCTCGGCCTCCCAAAGTGCTAGGATTACAGGTGTGCGCCACTGTGCCCAGCCTGCAATTATAATTAAAATGCCAATGTTGTCAAGGATTTTCTGTGGAGAAAAAGAGTGGTTTCAAGGTTATCCCTAAAGCAACATCATGCTCACTTGGATTCTGGGATGACTTCTGGGATGGAGAAAGAAGTGGAGTCAGTTCCCCAAAGTTGTGCACGTCCTGGGTATACCCATGGGAGTGTGTTGTGCATGTGATATGACTGGACAACGTTGACAATTCCTGCCCAAAATGATGTTCTGTTTTTACTCTGGAATCGGTCTGTCTCATGAGACAGCCAGAGAGATGTTCCTGTGGAATTCCCCACAGATCAGTGTTCCTTCCTGGCTTAAGGTCTCCATGCTGACCCCTGGGTTCCCCACTGAGCACCAGGCTATCTCACTGACCTATGGGATTTCCTGCAAACACTTCTTCTGTCTCCAGTGGGTCACTCACACCTTCTGAATTGACTGCCAGGATACGGAACTGGTAGGCTTTTCCCTCTTCCACCTTGTTGGTGGAGAAGTTGGTGACTTTGCCGTCCACCTCGCCTATCTTAATCCAGGACTTCTTGCCAACTGCCCTCCGTTCCACTATGAACTGTGTCACAGGTCGTCCACCATTGTCCTTTGGGGCCTTCCACTTCATGTGCACACAACTACCTGAGAGCTCCAGGAACTCCACCCGGCCCTGTGGAGGCTTTGGACGGTCTGGGGACAGAGAACAGCTTCAGAATGGGGCTTTGGAACAAAGGATCAGAAGGGCCTCCTCCCACTCACCAAAGGTCTGCCCAGACTAGGGTATAGCTGGATTTTGAGCTTTTTGGATCCTTTGCCCCTCCCTGTGTCCACCATCCCTCCTTCTAAGACTTGCCCAAAGAGTTTGATCCTTGCCCCCGTGAGTTTCCCATCTGCCTAGCAATGGGTAGACTAGAGACCTTAGGGGCCCCTGCCCTTAGCTGATCTCCCTGTCCCCTTCCAAACAAGTTCTCCCCCTCTTCTGAGCTTTGAGAACACCAGTACTTGCTGGTACCACTGTTTACCTTACGTTATAATTACAGTCTGTCTACCAGTTTCACCCCTTTTGGATTGAGGAACTGCTGGGGATACTTCATCTCTGTGTACACAGCAGTGAGAACACAGAGCAGGTGCTCAGTCTTGCTGCTGAATTGAATTGAAACTCAAACTTTCCCATCCCAGAGCTCGATGGAAATGCAGGTAGAGGAGGTGGTGATGGCGTGTACGTGGCGTGTTGAATATAAGTACATTCAGGCCAGCTCCTCTTCTCTTTTCTTATATCCTCATGTTCAGACAAATCCCAAATCCCATTCCCAATCCCCATTCCATCTTTCCCACCTTATTTTATCTCCAGCTCTATCTGACCTCCCACCTCACCCTGTTTCACTTTCAAACTCACTACTCTTTCCAAACAACCTCACCTCCATCCCTAAATCCCACCTCTTTTTTGTTGTTGTTTCTTTTTTTTTTTTTTTTTTGGTGACAGAGTCTTGCTCTGTTGCCCAGGCTGGAGTGCAGTGGCCTGATCCTGGCTCACTGCAACCTCTGCCTCCCAGGTTCAAGCAATTCTTGTGCCTTAGCCTCCCGAGTAGCTGGAATTACAGGTATGTGCCACTACGCTCGGCTAATTTTTGTATTTTTAGTAGAGACCGGGTTTCGCCATGTTGGCCAGGCTGGTTTCGAACTCCTGACCTTAAGTGATCCACCCGCCTTGGACCCCCAAAGTGCTGGGATTATAGGTGTGAGCTATAGGTGAGCTATAGCCACCGTGTCTGGCAAATTCTACCTCTCTTTCACCTCATTTCCATCTTACCTCCTATCAAGTTTTCCTCTTCAAGTCAATAACAATACTTAAGTAACATCTGAAAGTATATTATGTCCTGTGTTCTTAGCTGTGCACTTTAAATTAACTAGAAATGGATACTAGAAAAAAAATCACCCTGTTCCAGGTAAGAAGCTGAGACTTAGGGAGGTTCACTCGGCCAAGAACTGGCTGGGAAGTTAGGAAGCGGGCTTCTGGCTGCAAAGCCAGCCTTCTAGGCCCATTCCCAGCCCAAACTTCAACTCTAACTCTGGCCTCCTACTCAGCCTGCCTTCTGCCCTGAGTCTGGGCAGCAGGTGCCCTCAGCTCAGCCCAGCCCGGACTGGCCCTGCCCTGACCCAGCACACTAAGGTGCAGAGTGGCCGTGGCTGAGCCGTGGTCATTCTTGAGCTTGAGCAGGATGAGGCCGCTGTCTTCACGCACACAGTTGGAGATGGTGAGCAGTGCCTGGTCTTCCCCGCGCTCCATGGACACGCGTTCCTCCTCCGTCACTTCCATGCCATCCTTGTACCATGTCACTTTGGGCAGTGGTTTTCCCCGGAAGGGGACCTTGATGTGGGCCGTGTGGCCTACCTTCACAGTGATGGCGTGCGCAGCCAGTGCCTCCAGTACTGACGGGTCGATGGTAGGAGGATCTGTGGGGCGGGGCGGCAGGGAAGGCTTGAGCATTGGCATGGAGGAGCCCATGGGGCGGGGGAGAAGCCATGAGCTTGTAGGTGGGCCAGGCATGGTTGAGCTTTGCCTACCTTGGACAGATCCATACCTGCGATGAATACAGAGGCTTCACTTTCCGTGCCCTTGGCCCGGAATGTGTACTTGCCCTCGTGCTCAGGGCCCATACTGGGAAAGATGAGCTTGTGCACTGCACCCTGCTTCACAATCTGCATGCCTGGCAAGTCCGTGATCTGGGGGTCAGGGGTGGGCCTGAGTGTGAGCATAGGCCAGGTCTACCTCCTTCACCCCCTTCCCTGGCCTCTGCTTCAGACCTCCTTGCCATCCTTCAGCCACACACCCTCCACCTTCTCGTCATTCAGCACTACACACAACTCAGCTGGGCTCCCAGTGGCCGCGTGCACGTCGGACATCCCGCTCTTCACTGTGGCCAGACGCTCTGGGGAGAAAGGTGGGCAAGGGACTGGCTCAGGATGTTGGGGTGGGAGGGACTTCTGGGAAAAGGGCTGGTAGCGATGGTCATGGGACTGGTCAGGGGTGCTGCGTCAATCAAAATAATTTATGATGAGCAGGCGGCTTGCCAATGTGGTCAATAGGTGATTAGGGGGTGGTCAGTGGGGGGAACTGGAGCAACACATGGGAGGGGGATGGGGAAAGGTCAGTGGCTTGGGAAATGGTGACCAGGAAAACTGGGAGATGGCTAGTGGGGAATTGATTAGTGGAGCGTGGTCAGCAGGGACTTAGGATGCTGGGTTGGAGAGGGAAATAGATGGTGAAGATGCAGGTGGTTACTGGAGTTGGGATGTTTAGTTGTGGTTACGCTAGACTGTGGGATACATAGACTGTGGGATACATACATACATGTCATTGGGGGTTGAGGGTAGCCAGGGTCTGCGGAAAGTGGTTTATGGTTAGGTAGTAGGAGATGGTCGGGATCAAGACGTCTGGGATATCAGGGTTGCTGGGGATGGTTAGAGTCTGAAAGTGAAGGATGAAGTCAGGAAATTTGGGATAGAGTCTGGAAGATGGGGGGTGATCAGTGTCTAGGAGGTATAAATGTTTAGGGCATGAGAGGTCAGAGATGGTCAGAATTTAGGAGGTGAGGGTGATCAGAGTGGGGAGACACAAGTTGGTCATGGTCTACAGGAGGGTTGGAGTTAGTGGGAGGGGGGCAATTGATGTCCACTGTAAGGGAATGCCAGGGTCAGGGGGATTGGTCAGTGGGGATTGATAGGGCGGGTGTTACCCTCCACAGTGACGATGGCAGTACTGTAGTATTCAGTAGGGTCTCCATCCTGCATGGCCACCACAGTGTACTCGCCACCATCACTGAGCTGTGCATCCTCAATGATCAGCTCTGCTCGCTTGCCCTCATGGTTCATGCTGTACTTAGTGCCATGCATCAGCAGCTGCCCATCCTTCTTCCAGCGCAGTGTCACATCCTTGGATGTCAGCTCACACTCCAGGCATGCGCGACTCCTCTCTTTCACACGTACATTTTTGAGGTTGCTCACAAACTTGATGGGGATGCCTGTGGACAGACAGACACTTGGGCCTGCTCCCAAACCACGACATCTTTTTTCTGCAGCTATAGAGCCAAAAGCCCTGTCCCTCTTTCTGTCCCCAGAAAACACAAGAACTTGTGATGCTGAATGTGTTTGTGTGTAATATGTGACTCACAGAAGTACCCGACAGGGAGAGTCTCAGCTCTGGCCCTGACTTGCTAGTTGACTGTATACAACTCATTTACCTCTCTGAGTCTCAGTTTCCTCGTATGTAAAATGGGGTGAGAACTTTTACAGTGCTCAATATCTCTAATGCCCCCTTGGAGCTCCAACCATACCTGCATTGTCTTTCTAATGTCTGGACATTTATACATGCTATTACCTCTGCTGGGGATGTTCTCTACTCTCCCTCATTCTTTGAAAGCAGTATTACCTCTGCTGGGGATGTTCTCTACTCTCCCTCATTCTTTGAAAGCGGAACTCCTTTTAGTTCTTGGTAAAGCTCGGACATCATTTCATTATATCATTTCTGATGTTGCCAGGTGATGCCTTTTCTTTGGTCTTCTACAGCCCTTGTGTCTCCCTCCATCACAGCAATGATGATTCCATGTGATATAGATTCCAGGTGCGGTTCAGATGTGTGACATGCTCATTGGTGTACCTACATTATGTGCGAACTCCCAAAGTAGTTGTGATAGCAGAATGTAAGTAGTCCAGAGTGACACAGATGTGCTGTAATATATGACATTAGAGACATAGACTAATACTTTCTTGGTCCATGATCTCACAGCTGATAATAAGACCCAGTGTGTCTTGACTCGTGGAATAATAACTGCTATTCTAATTTCATTTTCATACCTGCCTCCCCTACTAGACTAGGGGTTAACAGAGAGGAGATCCCCCTGTCTTTCCAGTACCTACCACAGGGCTTTGCAAAAAGGAGATGGATGGATAGATGGATATATAAATGATGACTACCTGCATGGAGGTTGCTGTGCCATAAAGCCCACCCCTTAGGCTCTTGCCCAACCACTCACGGTCAACAGTGAGCTGGGCCTTTTGTACCAGGTTCCCCGCCTCAGCAGAGAACTCGCCGCTGTCACTGAGTCTGGCATCCTTAATCTTAAGCGTGTGCGTCAGACCATCTTCGGACACCGTGATTTCATACTTGTCATCCCTCTTCAGCTCCTTCCCATTGAACTTCCACACAAAGTTGGGCTCTTTCTTGGAGAGGCGGATCTCAAACACAGCTGTCTGGCGCTCTGTCACCTTCACAGGCTTCATCTCTCCCAGGAACTTCAGTGGCTCATCTGCAGCAAACAGTAGGAGTGGTAGTCATTGGGCTGGTCCCTCCTGAGGGGTGGAGTGGTGAAGAGGGCACTCACATGTCACTGGCCTCCTGTAGCCCATGGCTGGGGGAAAGCACCCTGCCTTTGGTTTTGTTTTCGAGCCCTTCTCTCCTGGAGTCCCCTCCTATGATATTCATGTGGTCTTCTCCCCAGTAATGGTAACAGCAATTTTAAAAGCACTTATGTGGTTTTAGATATGTTCCAGGCACCATCCTAGCCATACTAATTCATCCAATTATCACATAGGTAGATTCTATTATTCCCCATTTTGTAGATGGGGAAACTGAATCAAAGAGAAGTTAAATAACTTGACCTAAATCACAAAGCTCATAAGTGGCAGAAAGCGGGATTTGACCTCTAGTAGTTTAGCTCCAGAGTCTGCGTTCTTTTTTTTTAACTTATTTTTTGAGACAGGGTCTTGCTTCATCACCCAGGCTAAAGTGAAGTGCAGGATCATGGCTCACTGCAGCCTCAGCGTGCTGGGTAGCTAGGACTACAGGTGTGTGCCACCATACCTGGCCAATTATTTATTTATTTTTGTAGAGATGGGGTTTCACTATATTGCCCAGGTTGGTCTTGAACTTTTGGTGTCAAACGGTTCTCCTGCCTCAGCCTCCCAAAGTGCTGGGATTACAGGTATGAGCCACCACGCCTGGCCTAGAGTCTATGTTCTTAATCACTATGCTACACAGCCCCAAGGCACTTATTATCTCATAGTCCTCTCCCTTACATCTGATGCTTCCTCCCTCCATTGACTCCCATCCCCACACAATCCTTTCTTGCACAGTCCCATAGTCCTCTCTTCAATATCCCCATGGATCCCAACCCTGGCCATTCCTCTCTTCCAACCCGACATGTCCTCCTTGTGCCCTTGCATGCCCCCACTCATACCCAGCACTGTGAGCTCTGCACTCATCCGCTTATCGCCCACGGACAGGCTGTAGATGCCAGCATCGTTCATGTTCACGTTGCTAATAACCAGCATGTACTTGGTGCCCATCTGCTTCACATCGTACTTGCCCAGGGAGTACTGGATCCTCAGTGGCTCAGTACCCTGCCTCATGGAACAGGTAGGAAAGCTGATGAAGGGCTTTAGGAGGAAGCTTCCAGAGGTCTCCATTCCCCAGCGCCAGCCTAAGCTGGAGGGTGCATGTCCAACCCTCTAAAGACAGAGATCCCTATGATCTCTATAGCCTCATCATCTGGTTTGGTGGGATCCAAGATTCCTGCCTCCCCACAGGCCTCCTCACAGGCCCGAGCTCTTAATATGCATGAGTTCATTAGATGCTTTCCCTTAGAGGCACAGATCTTCAGTGACCTTCAAGACTGTCTAATCTAGCCTTTCAATTTAAAGATGGGTAGACTGAGGCATAGAGAGAGGAATGTGACTCTCTTACATCACACAACAAAGGGGTGAAACAGTTAAGAGTAGAGCCCAATTCCAGCCTCTTTCAACCATACCAGGAGGCATCCTCTTGATGGGATGGAAGAGAGGCTATGGCTTATATACAGTGAGAGAAGGGGGTAGAGAGGAAGAGATATTGCCAAGGTGGACCCTGGCTAGGCATCCCCCACCTTGATCCATATCATCTTGACATTGGGGTCTTTCAGTTCCATTATGCAGTCAAAGACCACTGTGGTGTCAACCTTGGTCTCTTTGTCTTCCAGGGGCTTCAGAATCCGGATGGCCTGAGAGATTATGATAATAAAATGACAAGTGTCAGTGGTACCCAAAGCCTGCCCAGACTGTGTCCTCAATCCTGGAGAAACTCTTAAGCATGTGGGGAGAAATGACTAGGCTCATTAGATAACAACGTGCAGTGCTCCAGTGATCAACTGAAAGATTTAGGAGGAGAGGAACATTACGGGGGATGAGTAAAAAACCATCATTCATGGAATAGTCACTATGTACCTGGGCCCATTATATAGATTCCCTAATTCCAGTGTAGAGGCTTAATGAGTTGGTTGAGTGAACCAATGAATGACAGCAACAACACAAAAACAAATGAAAGAAGGAAGTATAATTTTCATTTTGTAGATGAGGAAACTGAAGCTCAGAGAGATGCCCAAGTTCACACAGCTAATAAGGCAGTACAACTGGGATTTGTTTGTTTGTTTGTTTTGAGACGGAGTCTTGCTCTGTCACCCAGGCTGGAGTGCAGTGGCGTGATCTTGGCTCACCGCAACCTCCACCTCCTGGGTTCAAGCAATTCTCCTGTTTCAGCCTCCCAAGTAGCTGGGATTACAGGTGTGTGCCACCACACCCAGCGGTTTTTTTTTGTTTTTTTTTGTTTTTTTTGTATTTTTAGTAGAGACAGGGTTTCATCATGTTGGCCAGGCTGGTCTCAAACTCCTGACCTCAGGTGATCCACCCACCTTGGCCTCCCAGAGTGCTGGGATTACAGGCGTGAGCCACTGCACCCAGCCTAGAACTGGGATTTGAATCTCGGTCTATCTGACTCCAAAGTCCATGCAAGTATGTTTGGGAGTGGTGAAGACAGAAGTAGAAGGAAGGTGACTTGTGCTCCCTTGCTGCTTTCACAGTGGAGAGTACGCCTCTGAGTATGTGTGTGCAGAACTGGGGAGACCTTCTTGCTGAGAAATACACAGGCACTAGCACTTTGGGTGAAGCCCTGCCCCTAGCCTGCAGGCCCCTGCTCCCTGCAGGGTACTTACCTCCACCTCTACTTTCTTCTTCATCTCTTTGAGCTTCCTGAGCAGCCCCCGAAAGTCGGTGAAACCATACTCCATGCACACCTTCTCAAAGTCTTTCTTGGGCACTTTGGACAAAATCTCCAGCATCTCTTTCTCATTTGCCACCTTCTTCTGCTTCTTCTTGGGAGCAGGGGGTGCCCTAGGAGAAGGAGGAAGGGACTAAGCTTGTACACAATGCCTCTCCAACCTTGAGAAACCCCTCCCTACTCCATGGATTCTTGGAACTCAGGGCCTTGTTGAGAGGCCTTTGAGAGGCTTTGGCCTGGATGAGGAGACAATATCTTGGGCAGAAGGACCTGCCAGCCTCACCTCTTCTTCAGCATCTTTTTGAAGTCCATTTTCTCTTGACCTGAGGATAGACAGAGGGACAGGTTCAGACAGGGGGAGTCTGGTCCCTAAGAAGAAAGGCCAAGAGGAAGGGGCCAACTCACCTTCTGTTACCAGCAGAGATACGGTATAGATGGCATCTGCATGGTCATTGCTTGCAATGCACTTATAGTTGTCAGAGTCATCCGAAGTCAGTGGCTCCAGCTGGATCAAAGTCCGGCCATTAGTGGGGGAAGGAAAAGGAACCACAGGGAGACTTTCTGTCAGATAAGGTAGGAGGCCTTTTTTTTTTTTAGGGGACAATAGGAACTGACTGTTGGGTATATGTGTGGAGGATTGAGCAGCCTGTATGATTTGGAGGTACCAGCTAGCAGTCAGTGTGAGTATGCATGTTTGTAGCCTGATTCCATAGCAATAAAACTGTCTGCTTCTCCATCGGACTCTCCCCCTTGGCTGTGAGCTCCCAGAAGGCAGGGCTTCCCCTGCCTTGTAACTCTATCTGCAGTTTCTGGCATCATCTGGCTGAGACTTCATTTAATACAATTTACTCCTCTGTACCAGACACTGGGCTGAGCCCCAGAAGGAACAGTGGTGAGTAAGGCTGACTTGATGCCCGTCTGCATGGTGCTTGCAGAAGCCTGCTAGGCTCTCAGAAGCCAAGGCTCTCAGAAAGTGTCTGCTGAATGAATGAGCTTGTGTAAGAGGTGGCCATCAGGGGGACTGGGGCAGCTCGTGTGTGCTGTGGGGGGCTTAGGGTCCAGTGATGATGGGTCTTTGGGAGCAGACTACTTCTGTCTGTGGGGAAAAAAGGAGGCTCTTTGCCTTTCACAACGGGAAATCGGGTCAGGACCCGAGTGATTATAGGATCATAAGTAATTATAGGCCTAGATCTCCCCGTGATCCATCCCTCCCTTTCCTCGAAGGGCCTGGAGCCAGGGGTTACAGCTGGGTAGGCCCAGCTCTCAGAAAGTGATCCAGAAGCTGGTTAGACCTAAGGATGGTCGGTCCTTGGGGAGGGTTCAGCTGAAGAGCCCGGAGCCCCTGACCCTCACCCCTACTCTACGGCGAGTCCCTCCGGCACCTCGCCACCCACAATGGTCCCGCCCTCCATGGCTACGCCCACCGTCTTGGTCCCGCGTTCCTTTTGGCTCACTCGCCTTGTGGACACGCCCCTTCGCTTCCATTGCGTCCCGCCCCGCCACGTTCTGGCTCTGCCCCTGCTCTGCTCTGCCCCGGGGGTACTTTGGGTCCTCTGCTCATTCCGGCAATATCCCGGTTCCTGACTCGGCCTCTCTTATCCTGCCGCGCCTCTCGGGCAATGACAGCTGCTTTTCCCACTGCCCGGCTCTCGGGCCGCCGTTAAGGCTCTCATCGGTGAGAAGACTGGCGGCCCGCCCTGGGGGTCCCTGCCTCTGGCCTTCTCGGTAACTGGACTTGGGCTTGGCCCCCGCACCTTCAGCACGTGTTCCTTGTTAATGCTGTCGTAGAATATCTTGGCGGACTCCTTGATGGGGATGCCGCTCTCCCTCTTCCAGGAGATGTGGGGTTTGGCGTTCCCCTGCACCCGGGCTCGGAACACGGCTTTGTCCCCTGCGATGAGCACAGGACGCGTTTTCGCCTCTTAGCCACCAGGCTAGAGCCTCTGCCACCCTCTGCCGGCTCTCTGCCTCCTCCCAGACACCTGGGCCTGGCCCCGGGCAGGGGAGGAACCCTCGGCCAGGCTCTGCCAGGGTTTAGCATTGGAGGTCGTTGGGGTAGGACGGAGGGTGGGGGCACTCGATTAGAAAGCGAAGCACTGGAGCCCGGTGAGCCACAGGCAGCAACACACCCTCGGGCGCGGTGACCGGTTGAGGCTTCTCCACGAACTCAGGGACGCTGTCGCCCGCAGGGATGTTTGAGCTCCGGGTCACTAAGCTGAAGAACTCCACTATGCTCGAGGACTTCCTCCTCACGACCTCCTCTGTGGGGGCAGGCGAGAGGTCAGAATGGGCTCCAGGTAGAAGCCCAGCTCGCGATGGGAGGACAGAGCTTTCTTGAGAGGACGGTGGAGCATGGGAACAAAGAGCATTTAGGGAAGTGGGAGCAGGACCAGCTACATGGGGAGAAAGCAGGGTGAGTCGATGGGCCATTGTGTTATGGCAAGTTTCAACCACTAGGGGAGGCGAACTCCTTTCCCACACCTCAGTGGTCCATTACCTTTATGGGGCCACAGCCCTGAGTCCTAATTTTTTTTTTTAAAGGAGGCTTCTCTTTTGGAATTTTCTTGGTCTCTTAGGCTTCTCTCCTGGAAGTCCTGGTCCCCCAGTAGCATTAAGAGGGGCTAGGCCTGCTTCTGCCTGGGAGGTCTGCAGCTTGGCTGAGCTCTGCTCTAGATTTTCTCCCTGCCATTCTGTGGGTTCAGCATTCATTGCCTTGGGAGTAGTGATTCTTGAGTGAGGGACAGGACACGACACAGTCCCACTCCAGTGGAGCTATATATGGGAATATCCTTATCTGAAAGCACATCTTCAATGTGGAAATATAATTTTATATTTGGAAAACAAAAAAAACTGTTTTTGCAGTATAAAACTACAGACAATCTTCTTGGCTGGTGAGTTATCAATTCACAACAATTGCTCTGAATCATGGAACACTTTCCTTGAGTCAGGAACTGTGCTAGGCACATATCAGAGATGATTTTATTCCATCTTCACAGCATCCCACTGAAGTAGGTGCCTTTATTATCCCACTAATCTGACAGAGGGGGAAAAGTGTGTTAAGAAGCTCTCATGGCCTGCTTTTAAATACTAACAAGAGGTCTCAAACAGGCAGAGTGCAGTGGACACCTGGCCTGCAGATGTCTTTTATGTGACCTCCACAATGTTTAAACAAAAAAGTAGCCCTACATCTGAAAGAGAAAGATTTCACATAAAAATTCAGATTTCTGGATTCTCAACACTGAACCTGTATTCCCATATGGCAACAGTCAGTGGGAGGTGAATAGTGGCTGCCCCTTTAGATGGGATATACAGTCTCTAGTTTACCCCAGTCTTTTCCCCACATTTATGTTCCCTGCCTGGGCCCTGTTGGTCAGTGGTCTACAGCTTTGGCTGCACATATATAATCCATGGAGAACTTTATAAGAAATACCTGATTGAATGGTCTGGGGTGAGACTCAGGTACTGCCATATTTTTGCCCTCCTCACACCCCCTGCACTAAGGTGACTCTGATGTGCGGCCACAGCAGAGAATCACTGCTGTAAATCACTTGAGTTTGGAACTTCTGGTCTAGACCATAGGCCTTGAGTCCCAGCTGTTCCACTTGCTCTGCCTCACTGGCCAGGAGGTGTTGGTTGGTATAGAGTGTTTATCTGGCCTTGACCTCTGTGCACGGAGGACTTTGAGGGACTCTATCCCTTTGAGGCTTTGAGGGAGGGGCAATGACTGTGAGAAGGGGTATCCAATGTCTTGGCCCCCGGCCATCTTTTAATCTCTTTCCACTAGAGACGTGACTAAAACACTCTGTTCAGCTCTGAGACCATTTCTCAGCTTTCCCTTGGATCTGCCCTCTTCCAAGTCTGGCCCCAGAGGGCTAAAAGCCTGGAAGGTAAGGTCACCTTCTTGTTTATGTGTTCACCTTCTTTCTCCACTGGTAGCCCCAAGTCTCCTATTTCTTAAGTGGAGCAGGGTCAGCATTACTGATATGTAGATAAGGTGGCTACCTTCCTAATTTCCCCTATGCCTGAAATTCTACCTTTGGAGATAGAATCTGTTCACCTATGGCTCTGATCTCCTTCAGCAATTAAGAGTTTATCAATCATTCACACACATCCACATGATTGATCTTTTCTAAGCTGTTTTCCTGGAGATCTGATCTGTGTTGAACATCCAGCTGGCTGAAGCTTTAACAAAGCCAAGATTAGAAGCACACGTTGGGTGGGGGTTGCTGTTGGTATTGTGGGCTCCAGAGGGGCCCATTAGTGGCAAAACTGGGGCCACCCAAGGGATGGGTGTGGAGGAAGAATAGCTGCCCTTCCCGATCCCTTCCCTGCCCCCATTCCACTTGCCTCCCACGATCTTGGTTGTCTGGGAGAAGGTCTGCACGTGGGTGGTGGAGCTGGAGAACTCCATGGACACGTGCTCCTGCAGCATCTGCCGGCTGTGAATGGTTGTCATGGTGACAGCAGGCGTGGGCACTCACCTGTGAGACTGGGGAAGAGGATGAGGCCATGAAGGACAAGACAGGGAGTAGGAGGGAGATTCAGAGATGTTATGTGTGTGTTCAGACATAAGAGGAGATGGAAGCACACAGGAGAGGGCCAGGAGAGCAGTCGAGCTCTCTTTTCTTCATTTCCTAGCTTCCTTTTCCTGGTTAGTTACCAGACCCAATAGGCCTGTCCTCTCACTGAGTAACTCCAAACTATTCCAGGGTCTCAGAGGGAGAGGTTATAGGGCTTAGACTTACCCAGCCAACCAAGTAAGGCCTGGAGGGAGTTGAGGATACCTATTGATAGCTACATGGCACTAAGGAGGCAGTGCTGGATGTTTCATCAGGAGGGAATGCAGTCAGACCTAAGAAAGAACTTCCTGACTAAGCCATACTGGAGTGGGCTTTAGAAGGAAGCTGTGTCTCTTATTCCTGGGCCCTGGGGACCCCGGCACTGGTGGAATGCTAAAACAGATGACAAAACATCACTACAATTCTGCTTGTGTTTGCGACATGGTAAAGGCAAAGGTTTAGTTTTTCTTACATTTTTCTTTGAACTGGTAATTCAATCACATAGTTAAAGAATAAAACAATATAAAAATCCATATGGACAGGCTCCCTCCCACTCCTGCGTCTATCTTACAACCTTCCCCATTGCAACAGGTAGCCAGTCTCTAGGCTCCTTCTAGACCTCCATCATGCAAATAGGAAAACTCATGTGTTCTTATCATCTTCCTTTTTTTTTTTTAATTAAAAAAGCACATAAGGTAGCCCATTATACACACTATTCTGACCCTTTCTTTTTTCATTTAATGTGTCTTGGAGATTTTTTCCATACCAGATGATAGCGTTTCCTCATTCCTGTTCAGAGCACCATGTTTTCTCAATGTTTTATTTAACCAGCATTGCGGTTTTTTTTGGGTGATCTCGGCTCATTGCAACCTCCTCCTCTCGAATTCAAGCCATTCTCCTGCCTCAGCCTCCCCAGCAGCTGGGTTTACAGGCACGTGCCACCATGCCCAGCTAATTTTTGTGTTTTCAGTAGAGACAGGGTTTCATCTTGTTGGCCAGGCTGGTCTCAAACTCCTAGCCTCGATTGATCCGCCTGCCTTGGCCTCCCAAAGTGCTGGGATTATAGGTGTGAGCCACTGCATGTGGCCAGCATTGCAGTTTTTTTGTTTTTGTTTTTTTGAGACAGAGTCTTGCTCTGTTGCCCAGGCTGGAGTGCAGTGGCACGATCTTGGCCCACGACAACCTCTGCCTCCCAGGTTCAAGCAATTCTCCTGCCTCAGGCTCCCGAGTAGCTGGGACTACAGGCACCCGCCATCACACCCGGCTAATTTTTTGTATTTTTAGTACAGATGGCGTTTCACTATGTTGGCCAGGCTAGTCTCGAATACCTGACCTCGTGATCCGCCCACCTCAGCCTCCCAAAGTGCTAGGATTACAGGCGTGAGCCACCGCGCCTGGCCCAGCATTGCAGTTTTTAAAGTCCTATTTCGTATATGAGGAAACTGATGTCTGAAAGAAATGACCTGTCCAAGGTCACTCAGACTAGACTCCTAGCTTTTGACTCCAGTCCAGTGGCGTCCCAGAGGGCTCCAAAGCCTTCTTTAACCCAGGTAGTTAGGGGTTAAACTCTATTCCCTCTCTCCACCCCCTAATATATCTCTGCCTGGGCTGCTTCTACCTTTGGGTTCTGAGACTACTCCCCTGTTCCTATTCCTGCCCTCTACCCTATAGTCCCCTCTGGGCTCAGAAGGTGGTCAGCTTTGTCCCCTTCCTGAGGGAGGAGGGGAGCCTTACCTTCAGCACTGACCAGTCCCTCCCAACACTCGAATGCTGTGTCCACGGCTTTGGAGGCTCAGCTAGTGCCTGGACTGTAGGGTGGCCCGTCTCCTTCTTCCTTTGCCCCAACAGTGAGGCTACCAGTGTCATCTGTTCCTTAAATGTCTGGCCCCCTGGGGGCGATTCCTTAGTCAGGCTCTGCAGCTGTCTCAGCTAGATGGCACACTGCTTGGTTGTGGGGGGAGGGGGAGGGCGGTGGAGAAGGGAGGCGGGAAGCAAAGCTGGATCCAGGCTGGGGGAAACACTGAAGGCCAGGCGGGAAGGAGGCTGAGGGTGGCAGTCCAGGGGTACTTTTTTTGTTCCCTTGTGGTACAGGTTTTGGCTCTCACTGCTGCTGGGTAGGACCTCTCTGAGCTGAGGGGCTCAGGGTAGTGTGTGTGCACAGGCACACACTCAGGTACAGGTGCATGCATAGTCCAGCAGGGCTCAGGGAGCAAAGCAACAGGTCTGTATTTTCCAGGGACTGGGACACGGTGAACTGGGGAGGGCCTCTGGGATCTGCTGCGTTGCTACACAAATCCAGGGGTTCCCATTCATGTTGCACTCCTATGTGTGGTTCATACACAGCCTGAGTATCTTTACAAGGCCACCCTGGGGAAGAACAGGGAAATGTTAGGTCTCCTTCCTCTTCCCACTTCAACAGCCCAATCTCCCTAATCTGGGTAGAAGAGTAGGAGGGCCCATCCTCCGGGGGTTGTGGGGAGGTCTCTGCTTGAGGGTGACTGGAGAGTATGGCCACCTCTTCTCAAGGACTTCCATCTGGGCTGCTTCAGCCACCTGTTGTTTTCTTTTCTTTTCTTTTTTTTGAGATGGAGTCTCTGTCACCCAGACTGGATGCAGTGGCACGATCTTGGCTCACTGCAACCTCTGCCTCCCAGGTTCAAGCGATTCTCCTGCCTCAGCCTCCTGAGTATCTGGGATTACAGGCGTGCACCGCTACGCCCGGCTAATTTTTGTATTTTTAGTAGAGATGGGGTTTCACCATGTTGGTCAGGCTGGTCTCGAACTCCTGACCTCATGATCTGCCACCCCTCGGCCTCCCAATGTGCTGGGATTACAGGCGTGAGCCACCGTGTCCAGCCCACCCTGTTGTTTTCTCATCATCTGTAGCACACCCCGCATGCCTGGACCCTGGATCCCACCCAAGGTTCTGGCACCTTGTAAGGACTTGTTGGTCAGCACCCTTGCCCTGGACCCCTCCTTCTGCCCTGGGGTGACCCCCACCTGCCAGCAGTGGCATCATGGCTACTTTTGCTCCATCCCAGGGGGGCAGGGGACAAGAATAGAGCAGGAGTGTCCAGGATGGCTCAGGATCTCAGCCCACATGCAGATTCCCTGGGCCCCTTGGGAGGAGCTACTCTGAGCCCAGGCCTTACAAGGGAAATTACTGGGCTGCAGCTGCTGTTGGGATCTGTGGAGCTAACATGGGATAAGAGTTTGGCCAACAGGGAGGGGCCTGGGTGTGACCTGAATGTCTCCTTACCCTAGCCTTGGCTTCTCTGGCACATCTGTTGGAAATGGTGACCTGCCAGCCACTGTGCCTTCCCTGGAAGCCTTCCACACCTGTCCTTGAGGCTCCCCATGGCCCAGAGCATGTGTCAGGGCCAGGGCTGAGGCTGTGTGAGAATCCTGCAGAATGTTCCCAGTTTGGCTTTACAAATTTGGACTCGCTCCATACTCCCAGTCTCCACAAGGGGCTCCAGTGAGCAGAAGGGCCAAGCTCACTGTGCTCATGCTGGGGAGGGGCACAAAGACCCAAGTACAGGAAGGAAGGCAGTGGAGGGGAGAGGCAAATCACACAGACCCAGGAGGTTAGTTTTGCTCAAAATGCTCCGTTTATTGCTCTATTCAATGACCACGAGCGAATTATAAAAAGACACCAAATGTCTCTGTCTGCCGTGGGATAAATATTTAAAGTCAGCAATAAAAACACGTGGCTCCAAGATAATACATGTTGCCAAAGAGTCATGCATGCCCTCCTGATGGGCTCTCAACACACGCATGGACATGGGAACACACGCAGAGCAACACGCAGTGAGACTTCTGGGAAGGCTTTCCCACAGTGACACAGAAAAATGTCTCACGTAGATCTGGGCTGAGTCCCCACCCAAACCTTGAGCTCCCCTCCCCTCCCCAACAGGGCCTAGATCCTCTGGGTTCTCCATGCCCCATCTGCCCCCTACCTTGCCAGTGCCTCACAGGCTGGGCACCCTCCTGAGAGCATCTGACACCCAGAGGCCACCCTGGCTGTGATGCCCACTCCAACCTAGAGAACTCTCCCTCAGCTGAAAGCTCTCTGGTGACCTTCTGGAGCTCCCCATGCCTAACTCCCCGTCATCTGCCTTTTGGGAGAAGTGCGGGTGAGGCCGAGGCAGGCAAGTCCGGTTGCTTAGGGGCTGGAGCTCATTACCCCTTCCTGGCTGAGGAGACACAGTGTCCGGTACAGAGGGCAGAGATGGATGGACAGACAGAACACATTGCAGCAGGACACAAAGTGTAGCACGGAAACATTCTGGATCAGGTATTGATGGAACCATCGTTAAAAACTGGAGCCCGGGGTCTGCGTGGTGTGGGTCAGGCCCCGGGGCCCCAGGCCTGGCCTGGCATGTCCCTTCCCGACCCTGCCCCCCACTCCCCAATATGTACAGTAGGAAGAGCAATGCTGGAGGGTAGGGGTCAGGCCAGGCTGACAGAGGACAGAGGGAGCTGACTGAAGGGGAGGAAGCGGGGAGCAGGCCCAGGACCCGAGGCAGGGCCCTGGGTGAGGGCCGAGACTCAGGCTGGGCAGTGCCCAGAGAACCTTGTAGGAGAAGCGCAGTCATTCTGGGGACTGGTGGGACAGCTGCTTTTCGTAGAGGCTCATGACGTGGTGCACAAACTGGTACTGCTCGCATGTCTGGATCATGCCGCCCCTGCCCGGCAGAGATGCACAGTGGGGGCAGGGTCGTGGAGGGATGGGCTGTGGGAGGTGCCCCAAAAGCCATGGAGTAGCAATCACTTGCCAGGCCTTGCCCCTGTGCGTCTTGGAGAGACCAACCCTTGCCAACCATTACCCTCTGCCCCTTCCTATCAGGGACACAGATGACATGTCCTACCACTTTCGGCCTCTGTCCTTTTATCCACCAGCTCTGCTTTTCTTCCCTCTTCATCTGGCCCCCCACTGTCTGGATCCTGCCCCTCTACCCAGCTGTCCTCGCTACTCCTTGTCTGCCCATCAGTCCGTGCCAGTGTTTTCCATCTGCCCCTCACCCCCCGCCCATGCACATGTGGGTCTCTCCCTCTACCCGCTCGGGGCTCTAGCTCCCTTGTGTGTCCCCACTCCCGCCCGTGGGCTGACCTGTCCTGACGGAGCTGGCACGTGGTCTTCAGGATGTCCACCACACCCTCCTGCCGCAGCTGCTGGCAGCAGATGCTGGTGGCAATGAAGCAGCCGGTCCTCCCAATCCCTGCACTGAGGGCCGAGGGGACCGGTGGGGTGAGGGGCAGGGCAGCCCAGCGGGTGGGGGGCTGCCCCGCTCCAGTGGCTGGCTGGGAGGACCCACCTGCAGTGGACGATGATGGGGGCACAGTGGGGCCCCTCCTGCTGGGCTGCCTCCTCCACCTCCCGCACCAGGTGCAGGAGTGGGGGGGCCCGGTCTGGGGTCTTCTGGTCGGGCCAGGATGTGAACCAGTAATGCTTCAGGCCTCGCTCCTCAGTCCCACTCTGTCGAGGAGACAGAGGCCCACCCCAGGTATGTGTGAACTCTTTCAGCTCACAAACCAGCCCAGAGATAGAGATGAGATGGAAGGAGGAAGAACACAGGAAGAACACTGAGAGTGGGACCCCTTCACCCTTCCATCTAGGCCACATTGCCCAGTGGCACCAGACACAGACCCAAAGCCAGCTTGGTTTTGGGGGTTGGTCAGCAGCGTTGGCATGGATCTTGCCTTTGGTCCTGCCCCAACAACTTCAGGATCATCCAAGAGGGGCCAAGAGCCCCTTCTCCAATTTATTACTATCTCCAGGGTTCCTTATCTTAACAAATGGTCCCCCAGTCATCCCTTTGTCACATAACCCAGCCCCGGGACTCTTCTTCGCCTCTTGCTGTGCCTCGCCTGCGCCTGCGTGACTCGCCTCTATCTTAGTGCTGCAATTAGTGCTGCAAGTTTTACCACCTCTTCACACTCCCCGCTTCACTGCCACCTTGACCTTTATCATTGCTCGAGTGTGGGAGATTTCTGCCTCATCCCCAACTGTCTCAGATCCACAGAGTCAAAATAGTCTGTGTACAACACACATCTGGACATGCTGCTCTCCTGCTGAAAACCTGTGGCTTTGGACTGAATGTGTGTGTCCCCTTAAGTTCACATGTTGAAACCAAATCCCAACATGGTGGTATTTGAAGGGAGGGCCTTTGCGAGGTGATGAAGTCATGAGAACGGAGCCCTCACGAATGGGATCAGTGCTCTTACAAAAGGAGCTTTCACTCCTTCTGCCACGTGAGGACATGACCCTGGAAGTGGGTCCTCACCAGGGTCACGGTGCCTTGATCTTGGACTTCCCAGTCTCCAGAACTGTGAAAAATAAACCTGTTGCTTACAAGCTACCTGGTCTATGGTATTTTGTTATAGCAGCCTGAGCAGACCACAACATCCTTCAATGTCTCTCACTGCTCTCAGAATAAGACCCACTCTCCTCAGTCCTTCACCTGGCTAGGAAGACAACTGCTACAGGGCCTGCCCTTCCAGACACACCTCCTGCCCCTGCGTACTTGTACTCAATGCTCCCACACTCCAAAAGGTTTGTAGGTAAAATCTCAGCAGCACACACAAACACATGTGCACACATACATGCACACAAGTGTTCCATCTTCCATGTCCTTACTTTTATTATTTTCTCACTGGGAATGTTCTCCTGACTTGTTTGCCCCTGGTCAACTCTTACTTATCCTTCAAGACCCCATTCAGCACCACCATGTACAGGAAGCCCTCCCTGAGCACATCAGCTGGCAGAGTGTCCTTCTTTTATACATATATATATACACACACACCTATATATATATTTATATTTTATATATATTTTATATATTATATATTTATATTATATATATTTTATATATAGGTATAATAGGATATGTATATCATATATACATACATATATGATATACATATCCTATATTCATCCAATATAACATCATATGATATACATATCCTATATTCTATATACCTATCTCTAGCTCAGTACTTACCATCTTATACAATGCTTCTCAAGGAAAGAGTCCAAGCTTTGGGAAGCTCTGTGTTCACAGTATCCAACCCAGAACCAAGCTCAGGCCAGGTGCTCGTAATGTCTTATGGACAAAAGTAAATTCCCTCAAACTCCAAGATGCCCTGGTTCTTCCCTCATCATCTCCATGGCATTGAGAAGGTGAGCAGCCCTGCCTCATCTCAGCCTGTCTTTCTGGGGAATTTCTACTCAGGAAGCCATTTTCTCAAGTCCTGAGTTACCTGGCTGTGACAGTGACCACTACTTCTGCTTTTCACTTCCTGGCCCTTCATGCCCTCCAACAAGACCTGGATCTTAGAGCTGCTTGTGGGGGCACTGCTCTTGGGGGCTGAGATGCTCTCGACACCCTACCTGGCCCCTATTCAGTGGGAGAGGGAACAGCTCAGAGGGCCAAGTCTCCGGTCTTGTGCTCAGTAACCCCTGTGGCTGTCAGCATCAATGAACTTCCTTGGCTGCTCCTGGATAGGGCATCAGCTTCCTGATGCCTGGTTCACCTCTTCCAGCCTTTGGGGTTATTACAATTACAGCCTTCCCTAAACATGGGTCTTATTTCTCACAAACAGAATCCACTAATCCCGATTTCAAAGGAACAGTCTCCTCTATTATGCTGATCCTGGAGGAAGCACAACTTCAGGGTGGGAGGATACCTTCTCCCACTCTTCTGGGCTGTTTTGTATTGCTCATATTTTGTGTGTCTTCCTTTTTCTTGCTGTTTTCTGTAACCACAGCCCCCTGTACAACCCCAAAGCAGCAAAGAGTGCCTGCCCTCTTGTGGACAGATTGGGCACTACAGGCCAGAAGCCCAGGATCCCAGGTGAAGAGATGTTTCTAAGGAGGATCTCAAAGTCATGATGAACCCTCAATTATAAGCACAGTGCTGGAGGCTGCTGAAGTCCCCTCATCCAGACAGTCCTGGCCTTGGGTACATTTGAAGCATAGCTAGAATGCATTATGAATGACAGAGTAGAGAGACAGAGAGAGCCCAACAGCATGAAATGTAACTGAGGACTGGGAAATGCAAGGGGTTTGATTCTACCTCTGGCTCCCAAGTCCATTCACCTCTCACTCATCCGTAATTATCAGAAAATCTGGGAGTGACACTGGCTTTTATGTCAGTTACAGTGGACTTGGGGGACCTGTTCTCTGTGGAGCCCCCAGTTAAGCCCCTACACTCATCCTCAGCTTCACCCAGCCCTGCCCCAGGCCTCACCTTGAGGGAGATGAGTCGCAGCCGGTAATCCTCCGTGTGAATGACTTTCTGCACAGTGATCTCAACACCGTCGTACGCCACCTGCTCCTCCGGCCAATACTCGGTGCATTTCTGCAGGGGCCCAGATCAGGCTGCCATACAATCCTGTTCCCTTCCCACAACTCTCTACACTCTCTTCAGGGCCAGCGGAGAGATACACAAGGGCAACAGGGTTGCTGCTACAGAGTGTTGGGTTCAAATCTCAGCTGCAAACTCTATAAGCTACTTCCGTTTCCTGAGTCTCAGTTTCTTCCTCTGGAAAACAGAAGTGCTACCCATCTGAAGGACTTTTATGGAGATTCGGTTAAATGGGCCCTTATGGGTACAGGAGTAGCCAACATCTGTCCTGGCAGGCTGGGAGGCAGCAGAGTGCTGTGTTTAAGGTCACGGGCACTGGAAGTGGAGAGGCCACCTCCAGGCATGCCTCTATCTGTGAAGCCCGGGGCAAATGACTTAACCTTACCGAGCCTCACATCTCCTCATCTTGGCAGCGGAGTGAACACCGCCGACCTCTTGAGATTGTCATAAAGATTAATTTGAGAACAAGATACTTAGTGTAGGGCGCAATGTAGCAGACACTTAGAATGGGGACGGGGGTCCCTACCTCGTTCATCTCCTCGATGTTGGTGATCATGACAATGATGGGCGTGTGCTCCTGCCACACCATGCGCCAGAAGTCGGCGACCGTGCTGACGATGGGTCCCTGAGTGGCGATGTACACCTTCTCCTCCCCACCATAGCCCTGCGGCCAGCCAAGTCCAGGCTGTCAGGGTCAGAGGCAGTGCTCCCAGGACCCCATCCCCACACTCAGGCTCTTCACAGGAGCTGGCAGGAGCCAGACTGGTGTAGGGACAAGGCTGGAGGATGGATCCCATCGACTCAGGCCTCCCCTTGAGCAAGAGGCCGTCAGGGTGGGAATACGTACCCGGATGTAGTTGGCATTGATGTAGGAACTCAGAGGGTCGTCAGGGTCTGGTGAGGTCAGACACACTCTGCTGTGAGGGTCTGGGGTGGTGGGAGACAAGTAAGGCTGGAAACTGGGCCCTCTGGTGCAGGACCCACTTGCTCTGGCCTATTCCAGCATACCCACACTTCTTCTGCGACATTAGCAGTTCTTCCTTCCCTTGCCCAGCAGCAAAACATTGACCCATTCATGGTTCATTTTGTAGGTGAGGACTCAGGATGAGGAGGAGGGTGGAGAGAGAGGGGGGTCCCCGGGTCTCTACCTCTGTCTCTATCCTTAGCCTGTGCCTCTTAAGTTGCCCTATACTCACTGCATCTTAGCTTCTGGAGAGGAGACAGCTAAGTCAACAATGGAATTACCTAGGGAAATTCCTGTACAGATCTTGTTCAGCAAGAGACAGCTAGCTTGAGTACACACTGTCATTGACTTGCTGTGTAGGCTTGTAAAACACATGGCCTTTCTAAGCCTTAGTTTTCCTATCTGTCAAATGGAGGCAAAGATGCCTACTTGCTTGGGCTGTTGGGAAGATGAATGAGAAAAGAGATGTGAAAGTTCTGTGTAAACTGTAAAGTGCTTTATAAATATAAAGGGCTGTTAAGATTCGGGAGTAGAAAGTTGACGGAGGCTATTAACATGAAAACGATAGTCTCCTCTATCTGGATTAAGACTGTGGGGTCTCAGCCTCATGTCCACATATGCAAAAAGGTTTTTTTTCCTTTCAATTTATTCACATGTCAAATCCCATAGTAAAAGGGTCTCTGTCACTCAGCTGGAGTGCAGTGGCACGATTATGGCTCGCTGCCGCCTCAAACTCCTGGGCCCAAGTGATCCTCCTGCTTCAACCCCCTGAGTAAGCAGGACTAAGCCATGAGCCACTGCACCTGGCTAAATTTATTTTTTTATTTTTATTTGTTTATTTTGGTAGAGATGAGGTCTTGCTATGTTGACTAGGCTGGTCTCCAATTCCTGGCTCAAGTGATCCTCCTACCTCGGCCTCTCAATGTGCTGGGGTTATAGGCATGAGCCACTGTGCCCAGCCCCCACTCTGCTCTTCTTCCTGGAGTAGATTTTGTTTTGTTCCAGCTACAGCCTCTCTGCATTGACTATTCTGTCAGCCTGCAGAGGCCAAGACTGAGGTTGTATGGGGTAAGGGGGAAGCTGGCTGGGGCCCCAGATTCCTGGGTTCTGGTTTAGTTTTGTCATCAGCTCACTTGTCCAGGCCTCAGTTTCTTTCCTATAATAGGGAGGACTGGACTAAAGGCACTTCCAGTGTGCACATTAGGAGGCTCTCACAGGCAGTATAGGGGAGTCATTAAGAGTCTACACCGCTGAGCCAGAGAGGCTAGGTTCAAATCCTGATTCTGACTTACTAGCAGTGTCAACATGGACAATTTACTTTATCTCCCTGTGCCTTATCTGTAATCTGGGGATGGTCATTCCACAATGACCTTGCTTATCTTGTAAAGGAGTTAACTTTAACAACTAGAGTCCTTATGCCAGTAACTAGGACCAACACGAAGTATCAGTTGCTGTTATTCCTGACATTATTACAAGTTCCACAAGTTAAAGGATAAAAAGAAGGATCCTAAACCCAGTAGGAGAAATTGGGGAGGTAAAGGGCACAAGCTTCGCCTCTTTAGCCCAACCCCAATGTCTAAGGTTTTGGCAGGTGATTTGGGGCAGTTCTTGTGAAGAGGGGGTGTAGAGGGTGGCAGGGATGGAGAGGAGACAGGGTAAACGGGAGGGGGGCTTTTGGGGGACCTGCAGCAGAGAGGGGCAGGAAGCTCTGTATGGGCCGTCTCCCTTCTCCTTGTCTGCAGGCAATGCTGTTCTGTCAGATTCACGTGCACAGTGCAGGGTAGGGAGTGGTGAGTGGTGAGGCTGGAGAGGAACCAGGCGACAAAGGGTCTTATAAACCAGGCTTAGAAAGCTGGATTTAGGCCGGGCGTGGTGGCTCAAGCCTGTAAGCCCAGCACTTTGGGAGGCTGAGGTGGGCGGATCACTTGAGGTCAGGAGTTGGAGAGCAGCCTGGCCAACACAGTCAAACCCTGTTCCTACTAAAAATACAAAAATTAGCCAGAAATTGCTTGAACCCAGGAGGCAGAGGTTGCAGTGAGCCGAGACTGTGCCACTGCACTCCAGCCTGGGCAGCAGAGTGAGACTCTGTCTCCCCCAAAAAAAAAAAAAAAGCTGGACTTAAACCTGAGGATTACGAGGGTGACAACAATGATGGCATTTAAGGAAGAGAATGACACAATTAGATTTGTTTTGCCTCATTTTGGTGACAATGGTAGAAGATGGAGAGGAGAGTGTGGAAGCCAGAAGACCAGTTAGAGGTTTACTGCAATGATCCAAGTAAGAAGTGTCAAGGATCACAGGGCTGTCCAGCCTGGCACGGCTCCAGGGGGCACTTATGTCAATGTAGTCTATGTAAATTGTGTCCCCTGGAATTGGACAACATGAAAGCCCTAACCTCAAAAACATCATTTGGCAGTGAGGCTGGAGAAGAGGATGTAGATTTGAGAGATATTATTCATTCATTCATTCAAATAGGTGCAGACCCCGGCATGGTGGCTCATGCCTATAATCCCAGCACTTTGGGAGGCCGAAGCAGGCGAGGACAGCTTGAGGCCAGAAGTTTGAGACCAGCCTGGTCAACAGAGCAAGACCTCCATCTCTACAAAAATTAAAACAGTCCAAATAGGTGCAGAATGTCTACCATGTGCCAGGCAGCACTGCTTTGATGCTTGGGACACGGCGGAGAAGGGGACAGAAATTGCTCCCAGCATCTTGTTCTCAATGCTGCCTGTGGGTTACTGTTCACTCTGACTGTAACTGTGCATGGACCTCTCTCCCCCGCTAGGCTGGAAGCTCCTTGTGCACAGAGTCTGTGTCCTATTTATGTCTAAATCCTCAGCCCCTGGGGCAGGAGCCGAGGAAATGTGTGCCCAGTGAATGAGAGAACAAACCTCAGCGCGTCCTGGATCTCAGAGGCAGCCTCTGCTCAGCCTCACCTGCCCTCTGCACCCCCCAACCCAGTCTCTGAGGGCACAGGCTCCATTCTTGCTGGACACAGACAAGATTCTTTATTGGGCTCGGGGGCCTGGAGGCTCAGGGCATGGTTGGAGGCAGCTCAAGCCTCTTGGAATGCAGCGGGGACTGCATCTGCACGGAATCCTAGTCTGCTCCCACCTTCCCCCAGTGGCCATTCTGAGCAGCCAGCAAAGTCCAAGGTTCTAGGATACTCGAGTCCCTCCCTCCAGGTAGGGCTGGGATCGGGGAGGGCAAGACGAGGGAAGAGGTGAGCATCCCTGAATAATGCATCCTGGCCTTAAATGGCTCTTTGTTTAACCGGAACTACCTAGAGACTGTGTAACCATAGCAACTACAAGTCGATATTTTAAAAGTTAAAAATAAGTCATGACATCTTACATGTTGTTGGAGATGCTGATGGCAAAACTGCTTTTTAAAAGCCTCGCTACTCCACAAACTGAATGGAGTAGGTTTATGGGGATTCACTTTCAACAAGTCAACGCCCAAGCTAGCCCTGGGGACTGGGGTCAGAACTTGGCGAGGGTGGCAGGCTCATCGAGGCTTGATAAAAGTTATCTGAAAATGATACCCCAGGGCTGAAAGAGGAGCATCAGGTCACCTGGTCTAACTGCCCCCAAAGGAGGAAAACCCCTTTCAGACCTTCTAGGGGACTGCTCGTGCCGCCTCACTTGAATATACTGAGTAATGGGGAGCTCACTCCCTGACAGAGACAACTCATTTGCCTGTGGGAGTGGATGTCCCTGTTAGAGGGCTTACAATTCGACCACACTCCACACAGTGTAGACAGAGAGCCTGACTCTGGGATCACAGAGGCCCAGGTCTGAAATTCAGCTCTGCACTTCCTAGCTGTGGGACTGCAGGTGAGCCACTTAACCTCTCTAAGCCTTAACTTCCTTTCCTTAAAATCTGCCCACTCTGAAAAGAGTTTCGGTTACCACAGTGTGGCTAGGAACTGCTGTCATTACCACCCTTTCTCTTTGGGTTTCTAGAGGGTCCAGCACAACATGTGGCCAGGCAGGGCAAAGGACCAGAGAGTGCTGTGCGAGGAAATGTACTCGCCTCTGGCCTCACCAGGGCAGCGCTTCCCTTCAGCCAGCAACCCCCAGCCCTCTGTCCCACCTCCTCCAGTCCTGTCACCCCTAGAGGCCCAGCTGAGGGTCCTCCTCAGGGTGAGGGGATCCCCAGGTGAAGCTGAGCCTGCCCCCATCCCTCTGGGACAGTGAGTACTCACTGGGAAGTATGGTTTTGTACCGGTTCTTCCGCACCAGCCCAGGGATGTCGTACTCTTTCGGATCCACAAAGTTCATGGGGATTTCCTGTGGAAGGAGGACACGGGGTGTGAGCAGCTATGGGCCCTCACAGATGTTTGAATCCAGGGGCTGCTGTGCCCCCAACTCCTAGCCCAGGGGCTGGCTTGAGTGCACGCATTCATTCAACAAACATTTACTATTAAGAGAGTTAGTGCTCACGACGCATTCAGAACAGTGCCTGGCACATGCTGAGTGTGTAATAAATATGATAATGACTATTGTTTATGGAGAGCCAGCCTGCCATATATAGACAGTCAATAAATAGCTGATGAATGAAGAAAAAGACAAAAAGTGACCTGGCCAATGGCTGCCTTCTTCCATGCTCCCTGGGCAGCATTCCTCCCTGGGCATCCCTATCTCGGGACCTAGGTTCGTGCTGCTTGCTCTGTGGTAACACACACCCCATCCTCATCTCATGTCCCGCCTCCTCTGAGAAGCCTTCCCTGATTCTCCAGAAGGAGAGAAGCCTCTTTCTGAGATCCCAGGAATATCTGCACCTCCCAACCACTGTCTGTGTCCAGAGCTCTGAGTCTGAACTTCTCTCCTGGCATGTGAGGGCTTCTTGAATCTGGCCTCTCTTTACTTCCAGTTAGGCCTGTTTCTCCCCTGTTGTTAATCTGCTGTTCTCAGTCCTGCCTCTGAGTCTGAGCTTGTGACGTTCTGCCTCCTGAGGGCGCTGGTCTCCCCTACCCCCATCTCTCCAAGTTGTTCCCACCCTTTAAAGTTCACCTCTGCCCGGGCGCGGTGGCTCACGCCTGTAATCTCAGCACTTTGGGAGGCCGAGGCAGGCGGATCACAAAGTCAGGAGTTTGAGACCACCCTGGCCAACATGTTGAAACCCCATCTCTAATAAGAATACAAAAATTAGCTGGACCTGGTGGCGGGCCCCTGTAATCCCAGCCACTAGGGAGGCTGAGGCAGGAGAATCGCTTGGAACTGGAAGGCGGAGGTTGCAGTGAGACAAGATCGCACCACTGCACTCCAGCCTGGGCAACAAGAGTGAAACCCTGTCTCAAAAAAAAAAAAAAAAAAAAAGTTCACCTATGAGTCTGTCTCCTCCTGACATCTTCCGGGATGACTCTCCATGCCTCTTGCCTCTGCATTTCCTTCCAGTCTGTCCACCAGCTTAGCCCCTGACTGCACCTAACTTCACACTGTTCATTGTTTTTGGACACACTAAGTATGGGCTTTGTAAAATGAGGATCATCACACTTTCCAGGATTGTGAAAATCAAAATAAAAATACAACACGTGCAAAACTGCCCCCAGAGTGGGTGCTCAGGCCACGCTCCTTCCTCAACAAAGACCCACCGGACAGGAAATGAGGTAGAGGATGTGATTCTTTCTCGAAGGGGAGATGATGGCAGTGGGAGCTCAGAGAAGGAGCTGAGGCTGGGGTGGTTAAAGAAGGCTTTCTAGAGGCATCTGGAGTGAGTGATGATGTGAGCAAAGGCACAGGAGGAGAAAGGCACGGACGAGACTGGCCCAGTTTGAAGTGGACAGTCCCTGCAGGGGTG
Organism: Homo sapiens; assembly: GCF_000001405.40. Taxonomy (NCBI): domain Eukaryota; kingdom Metazoa; phylum Chordata; class Mammalia; order Primates; family Hominidae; genus Homo; species Homo sapiens. The sequence goes on from NC_000011.10 coordinate 18,739,475, forward strand.
GGGCATGGGGCATAAGGCTGGAAAAGGAGGCTGGGGCCACACGAGGTAAGGGGTGCTGATGGTGTATGCAGGTGGTACCAAGTTCTGGAGAACTTGGAGCAGCAGATCAGATGATGATGGAGGTCTTCTCACAGGGGAGAGCTACCCGGTCCAGACAGGCCCAGGGCGGAGGCCAAAGGAAGGGAGCTATGAGGGAGGAGGCACCTGCTTCTGTACCCCTGTGGCTTCTACCAGGAGGAACTCACCCCAGATACTCTTGGCCTCTTGCCTTTTCCTGCTCACAGAAGTGAGGAGTTACCTGTTTGGTGAATTTGGTTGAGGAATGGAGCTTTGGAGCCTCAGCCCCTTCCTTCCTCCTCCTCTCAGGGCCCTCCTGCCAGGAAAGAATTATAGGGGTGCCCCCATGCGGCAAGGTCCGAGATGTGCCGGCACCCCTGTGGAGGGTGGAAAGTGCATGTAATTCTGGGTCTCAGTATCGGGAGGCTCACTCTTGCTGTACCCTGCTAAGCCACATTTCCAACCTGTATTTTATTGACAACAAAGGTGATATTGTAATCTCCTATGCCTTAGCTCTTAACTGGCTGAGCACTCAGGCAGGTAAACAGGGGTGCCATTTATTGAGCCCCTCAAAGTCCAATAGGAGGCAGCTGGAGGCTGCTGCAGAAGCCAGGGTGGAGGTGATTAGGACCTAAGCTAGGGCCCCAGGGGTGGTAACGAGGGGAGGCCACTAGAGAGATTTCAAAGGCAGAAGAACAATGCTCGGCAGGAGGAAAGTGGGAAAACAGAAGAGTTAGAAGTGAAGGTTCTCTGTGGCTTTCAGAGCACAGCACTGGGCAATAAAGACTTAGCATTGTCACTGTACCTCCATCACCTGGCTGGGTGCTCTGCACATGTTATAAGTCTCTTTAATCTTTGCAACAATTCTATTATTTTCATCCCCATTTTCCAGATGAGGAAACTGAAGCTCAGAGGGAAAGCAGCTTGCCCAAGATGGTGGGAGAGCTGATAATAAAGTGATACTAATCTACTGCAGATGCTGAGTTCCAGGCACCACGCTCCACCACCTGGGCAGGTGGATGATTGACATGGGTCTGCACACAGTGGGGCGACCGGCTCAAGGGAACTCACAAAGAATTCCGCCTGCAGCAGGAAAGGGTCCAGGGCCTTTTCATGAAGCTCTTCTGCTTGGAGGACACGGGAGGCGCTGAGCAGGTACTCGCGGGCGGACTCCTCACGTGGGGACATGAGATAGCCAAAGCCCTCCTCGTTGCAGCCCGGAGTGCACATGTCCAGGGTCAGGGAGACATTGGAACCCCTCCTGGAAGGACCAGGAAAGGGAGTGTGAGCCTCAGGGGCAGAGGGACGGGCATGAGCTGGGGTCTCCAGGGCTGGGAAAATGAGGGAGGGAGAGATCAGCTGGGAACAGGGTGGGGTTGAGGAAGAGGAGTGGGAGTGTGACAAGACCCCCTGACAAAGAAGCGTGAATCTCAGCCCTGAGGCATTGGCCTGACTCCCTATCTCCTGCCTCCTGCAGTGGAGATGTTAACTTAGTGGGGATTTGGGGCTCCAGTTCTAAAAGTTCCATCCAAAGCTACCCCAACATGGCCTTACCCTGGACTCTCCTCCATCACCGTTGGAGGAAGTTCTACCCTGTGGTCCCCAGGAAGCTCAGAGAGGGGACACCTGCCTGAAGCACAGAAGCGGGGCTTGGGCCCGAGAGGATGGCTCCAGACCCTCCCCACTGCAGTCCCGGGCCCAACAGCCCTGGGATGAGGCTGCTGGTGAGTCAAGGACATATTGTCCAGGAGAGGCCAGGACCCCCGCTGTCAGGAAGGAGGGAGTCCCAGGAGCAGCACGGTGGCCGCAAGGATGTCTACAATGGGCAAACTCTACTATACTCAGAGTCTCAGACACAGGACAGGATGGGGCTTCATTACATAGAAAGAGAAACTGAGTCCCCATGAAGGGCCAAGAGTTGTCCAGGCTCTCCCAGTAAGGGGGTGGCAGAGCTGAAATAAAAAGCTAGGTTTCCTGACTCCACACCCAGTGTTCTTTCTGTGACATCACATGGGTAACTCAAATTTGGTGTGATCTGGCTCACCCACCTAGACTCTGAAACGAGGGTGTCTACACTTCTCAAAGTGTGCTCTGTGGAACACTATGAGCTACCCTATAAAAACAGGTTCTAATTGGGTACCCAGGTACATAAAGATGGCAACAATAGAAACTGGGGACTACTAGAGGAGGGAGGGAGAGAGGCGGGCAAGGGATGAAAAACTAACTGCTGGGCACTACGCTCAGTACCTGGGTGATGGGATCATTTGTACCCCAAACCTCGGCATTATGCAATATGCTCAGGTAACAACACTGCACATGCACCCCCTCAATCCAAAATAAAAGTAAAACAAAAAAATAGAGTTCCGTGGTCAAGTGACTTTGGGAAATGCCACATACTGCCCCCTTGCTGATTTACAATGAACATAAGCATGTTAAAGGCCCTGACAAGTCCTGCAGCAAAGAAAACCACCCAAACTTACTTGAGCATGGGAGAGTGTGTGTGAACATGTGTACACCTATGTGTGCGTGTGCAGTAACAGTATTTCTCAGCATTCATCTTGGGGCACTTTGATCTCTATGAATGACCTGGATAGCACATGTCTACACTGGCTAAGCTATAAGGCCAGCTCTGCCCTGGGCACCAGGAGTCAGAGTCAGGCATCCACTCTTCTGATCAGGAGCTAAGAGCTCAAGGGCCCGTGGAGCCCACCCCTCCTCCACCCCTCCCACCTCTCCTGCAGACCCATGGACTTGACGGTGAGTGAGGTGGGGTCAGCCTCAGGCTTGATGTCCATCACACAATCAAACACAGGAGTCTCGGGCACCGGGTCGAGGTCCAGGAAGTCATCCTCGATCTTCTCCTCCATCCACTCTGAGTAGGTGAAGGAGGGCTGGCGGCTCACTGACTGGCGCCTGTCCTCAGGGGGCAGTGGGGTGGGTGGCTCTGGGGGTGTCCTCAGGAGGTGCCACACCTGGTTGGGGTGTACAGCATCACAGATTTCGGACCACGCTGGCTGCCCCCCGTGTTCCTGGAGTGCCCATGGGATTGACGCCCCCCCACTCCCTCAGTGTGTCTAGAGCAGCTCTGCTCTCCTGGGAGTTGTCCACAAGGCACTGCCCCTGGCCTCGATGGGAGGCTCCATGCCCACTCTCCTTCCCTGCCCCTCCCTCTCCCAGCTCTCTGTTTCTTGTGGCTTCAGGCCTTCTCAGTGGGGCTTGGGAGTTCCTACACCAGTCTTCTCCCTGTCTCATCCCCTTTCCTTAGCCCAGATCACTGCAAACCAATTTTCGGAAAGAAGGAGGCTCTTGCCCCAGGCTGGCACACTTGTGCAAAGAGATAGGTATCCCTCCTTGCCCCACCCAGAATGTCCAGCCTATAAGTCAGATGGGAGCTGGTAGAAATCCAGGCCTCAAGGTCAGAGGAGGACAGCCTTGAGGTTGGGGTCAGGAGGCGCCTTACCAGGGTGGTAACGAGGACCAGGCCCACGGACAGAAAGACCAGCAGCAGACTGGGGACTCCCCACGTCCCAGAGTCAAGCCAGGCCTGGGGAACATCAGATAAACAGGTCAGGGTGGTGGTGGGGGCAGAGTTCTCAGCTCTTGCAATGATGACAAAACCAAGATTCTGAAAATCACGTCCCAGGTCTGGGATGGGGAGCAGGCAGAAGAACTTCAGGGGCTTGGAAGTATCTTCTGAACTCAGAGAAGCCCAATCTGGAGGTTGGGGAGGGTGGGACTAGAGGCCCCCAACAGATCCCTGCTACCCTAGGACTCCCCAAAGCTTACTTACCGTGGGTTCCAGCTGTTTCAGGAGCGTCAGCAAAGAGGAGACGAGGTTTGTGGCGTTCTGTGACCAGATGTGGCCATAACCGCTGAACCAGAGCACCCCACAGGCAAGCTGGGGCACAGGGGAGCAGGCTGAGTATGGAGCCGGCCCCCTTCCCCCGTGTTCCCCCAGCAGAGCTCACCTGCAGCCTCAACCTGGCCCTGCATGGAGGCTCCTGAACCTCTAAGGTCCAGACCGGGCAGCTGAGAGCAGGGCCCCGGTGCTGCGTGCCCGGGGAGGCCTCAGGACTCTCCTTGGAGAAAAGCTGACTGAAGGGAACCAAGAGAAAGCCCTTTCCAGAGAGGACCTCACAAATATGTACATCAAAAGAGTAGTCTCCTAGAAAGGCCTCCACAGACAGGAGTTCTCAGGAGAACCCTGTACGGCTGGGAGCTCAGGGGTCGGGGAGGCCCTGTGTTCTGGATTCTTAGGTTAGGGAGGCAGGGTGTGAGGTCTCAGATGCTGGTGCGGTAGCTCAGAATTCCAGCCTTCCCCTTATCCCAGCCTTGAGGGCTTGGAGCTCCTGAGGAACACCAGGGAGGCCCCTTATCCTCCTGCCTTCCAGGTGGCCATCCTGGGGAGGAAGTGGGAGGCTGGCCCTCCACCCACCCTCTCTCCAGACCCTTGTGAGGCCTGTGCCATCCTTACCAGGAACTGTGAGGCAGCGAACAGGCACAGGCTGCTCCTGACAGTGAGGGAGTGGCTCCCAGCGCCTCGAGGTGGTGGCTTCTGAGCTGGATCTGAGGGCGGCGAGGGAGGAGGGGGTGGCGGCATCTCTCTCTGTGAGTCCTGGAGCCCTTCAGCCTCGTCCAGTGCCTCCATCACTATCGGCTGGGGGAGACCTGTGGAAGATGGGCCATGCGGGCCGATGACTCCGGCCCTGTCCACAGGCAGGGCTCTGCCACCCCTTTTGGGGTGGCTGTGGCTGCCTCTCAATCTGGGATCAGTCAGCGTGGCTCCACTTCCAGCAGTCACCCTCGATTAGCAAAGCAATATTCACCTACCTTCGTCAGAAAGAGCTAAGTGTGGGTGGACAAATTATTTCTCTTTTATTTCTCCAGTAACAGAGTTAAAATGGCAGGAGGTTTTCCAGGGAGTTAATATAGTTGTATTTACGCAGCTTCATTCTTTTCCATTTCTTAAGGAAACAAAAAACAACCACCTCAAACTCAATTAAAAAAGAAGCAGCAGCAGGAAAAAAAAAAAGACATGGCATAACCAGGCCATGACCCTGAGCAACCCACCCATGCCTGCCCTGTGGATTTTTGTCTCATGTGGGCCATGCCCTAACTGGGGCTGGAGGCTAGACTCTTGACAAGACCACATCCATGTGCCCCCACCCCATCTCAAGACTCCCTGCACGATGAGAGGGGCTGGGGGCAGTTAGGGCGAAGTGCCGGAAAATCTTGGTGTAGCAGAATTGATACCAGATGTCTGGGGCCAGTTCTGGGTCTGTCCCTAGTGACTCCGGAGAGTCACTCCCTCTCTGGATCTTAAGTTTCCCCACCTGGAAGATGGGGTTTGGGTTCAACCCTAGTTTTTCTAACTGTGCTTTACAGAGCCCTAGTGTTTTCTCAGGTGCACAGGGGCTGAGGCCCTATGTCTGCCCCTCAAGGGCAGAAGCTCTGCCTGTCCCTGTACCATATACTGGATTTCTGCTAAGATTATTTCAAGGCAGAGTTCTGCTACTAAAGAGTCTGAATACCATTGGCTTAGATCTGAGCCCCTGGCTATAGCATGGGGATTCTAGCTGCGGCCACCTCAGTGAGTCCCAGATATTGGAGGTCTGCACCCAAACTCACAGGATTTAGTTTACTGTCAAGAAAAGAGGGACCAAAACATGGATGTATACAGTGTGACAGCTGGGAAGGGGCTGTCTACATATCATGCTGTATATGGGACAATGGACTTGGGTGACAACAGAACCATGTGGGCCCAGCATAGCCGTTTGTCCATGAGCTGCTCGCTCACTTGACAAACATTTACTGAGCACCTCCCATGGCCTGGATCAAGACTGTGGTGCAGAGAACCCGGTCCTGGAGCTGTGTTTGTAGCACAGGCTCCTGCTTCCCAGCCGGGCCCATTTCAGCTTCACTCCTTGCAGTTCCTCAGGTAAGCCCGCCCCCTATGCTTTGACATGCTGTTCTCTCTGCCTGGAACATCCCTCCAACACTCTGTTCCCCTCCCCTGCCTCCCACACACTTTGCCAAGGTAACACCTATTCATCTTGTAGACCTCAATCAGATGTCCCCTGAAGTAGGTCCTGCTCTATCACATACGAGCACCCCATGCCTCTCTTTCATATCATCATCATCATCAGCAGCAGCAGCAATATGCCTGGAATGTGCAGGGGCCCTTCTCTGTGTGCCTGGGTTAATTTTTTAATTCTTCACAGCACCCCTATGGAGTTGCTACTACTATTATCCCCATTTTACAGAAAAGGAAGATGAGGTGCAGAGAGGTTAACAGAGCTGCCCAAGGTTGCTTAGCTGGTAAGGGTAGAGGTGGCTTCAATCCAGGGCAGTCAGATAGGCTTCAGGCTACATTACACTTGCCATGGGTTGTAAAATAATTTTTGAATATCGTCTCCTCTACCCACCAAGAAGTTCCATGAAGGCAGAGTGGTATCAGCTTTGTTCATCCTCATGTCTACAGCATGTAGCGTAAGTCCTGGTGTGTAAGGCTACAATAAATGTTTACTAAATGAGTGAATGATGATGGGCAAAGGACACTCTTTTACTCAGTTTTTTTTGCCTGATAAATGGAGATAATAATACATACTTTGAAAAGCTGTTATAAATATAAATATATATATATATATATATATATATATATACATTTTTTTTTTTTTTGAGATGGAGTCTTGTTCTGTCACCCAGGCTGGAGTGCAGTGGTGCAATCTTGGCTCACTGCAACCTCCGCCTCCTGGGTTCAAACAATTTTCCTGCCTCAGCCTCCGGAGTAGCTGGTATCGCAGGTGTGTGCCACCATGCCTGGCTAATTTTTGTATTTTTAGTAGAGACAGGGTTTCACCATGTTGGCCAGGCTGGTCTTGAACACCTGACCTCAAGTGATCCACCCACCTTGGCCTCCCAAAGTGCTGGGATTACAGGTGTGAGCCACTGCGCCCGGCAGCTGTTATAAATATTTTAGATACTACAGACGAAACACCTAGCATAGTGTTCAGCATTTAGTAAGTACCCAATAAATGGCAGATTATAATGCTAACACATAATTAATTCTTGTCTTCAAAAGGCTCCAGTCTCGTGGCTAAAACAGACCAGTAAAGACATGTTTACAATACAGTGCATTAAGCAATAAATCTAAGTGCCAATGGAGTCTAAGAGGGTCACGAGAGGGTATCTACCTTTGTCCATGGAGGTTATAGTTCCTGACCACCTGAGCAGTCAGTTCAGATCCTGGGAGCAAGGTGAAAAAGGAAAAGCTACTGCTAAAAGAAGGATCACGTGGGAAGGCAAGAGTTGCTACTATTGATAAGCAGGGGGTTGATTTCTCAAGGGGCAAGGTCTCTGCCCACACACAGTTGACAGGTGATGCCAAATATGGAACGGTGGGAAGGGACAGACCCAGGGGTTACCTGGCTTCTGTGCCTTGGTTCTGCAGAGCACATACTTGGACCTTGGGCAATCCCTTCTTCTCCCTGGGTCTCAGTTTCCTTATCTGTAAAAAGAAGGGCTTGAACTAGAATTCAGCGCTTCTTAGATGTTTCTGCAAACCTCAGAGGAGAGGGAACATGGGACTATGGGGAATAACATGATCTTGGACTTGGCTGCATTTTTTTTTTTTTTTTGAGACAGAGTCTTGCTCTGTCACCCAGGCTGGAGTGCAGTGGCGTGATCTCGGCTAACTGCAACTTCCACCTCCTGGGTTCAAGCAATTCTCCTGCATCAACCCCCTGTGTTGCTGGGACTACAGGCACAAGCCACTGCGCCTGGCTAATTTTTGTATTTTTAGTAGAGATGGGGTTTCACCATGTTGGCCAGGCTGGTCTTGAACTCCTGACCTCAGGTGATCTGCCTGCCTTGGCCTCCCAAAGTGCTGGAATTACAGGCGTGAGCCACCGCGCCTGGCCTGTATTAAGATATATGGGTGTTCTGCATTCTACACTACGATATATTTGTACTCGTTTTGATATGAAAATAATGTGTTTTATTTCCCTCTCCTAAAGCTCTGAATCACAAATTTTGCTTCAGGAAGATGTGTGACATTTATCCTATGGCTTTGCCCTCAGGGATACATGCACCCCAGTCTGAGAAGCATGAAATTTGCCTGCAATAAAACATTATGCAGCCATTATAAATGACTCTGCTGATGAATATTTGATAACATGGGAAAAAATTTTGATGGTATGGACTAAGAAAGGCAAGGTTACAAAACAGTATAATCTCACTGACCTTAAAAATTAAGAAAGTACAAATATGTCTATAAAAAGATAGCAAATACCTGATGTGAGATTAGAGGTTAACATGAGATAGAGATCATAGAGCATGGAGCAGTGAACTCTTGGCACACAGTAAGTGCTTAATAAATGTTGTACACAGTAAATGGGAAGACTAAAGCCAGGTAGTAACACCAGTTCTTTGGGGTGGGGTGAGATTAGAGGTGATTTCATTTACATATCCTCAATTTCCTCTAATAGATAAATATATATGTGTGTGTATACATACACAGACACATGCACACATGTATTTCTAGTGAGAAAAATATTTTTTTCAAAAAGATCAAAGTTCAGAGTTGATATCAAGAAGCCTAGTCAGGATTCTCAGGTTTCAGGCCTCGACTCCCACCTGTCACATCTAAATGCATACACTAGGATGTAAGAGATTGACAGAGTATGCGAGGCTCTGTGAGACCCACCCAGCAGCAGAACAGCCACTCCAGAGGCAGGTCCCTCGGATAATGTGTGATCATTACTTTTGCATATGAAAGATAGGTTAACTGTCTTGCACATTATGGAGGTGGTAGGAAAAACTGTAGGCTCATAGGGCCCTAGATGTGTAGCTCAGAGAGGGGGAGGCTTACAATTTTTTTAAGACTACTGGTCACCTGGCAGCCCTGGGGACCAGATGCATCCAACTGATGGGTATTTACTGGGCAACTGGTAGATGTACATCTTTCAGAGCAGGATTTATTTAGATATTTTTCTGGGTAGAAATCTGACTTTTTTTTAATCCAGCAAGATATGTTTCAAACACACTCTATATTCTGCACATAATTTTTGGGGAGATGCATGGACCTCAGGTTAAGAACCCCTGATCTCGGGGGTGGGCAGTGGATGTCTGTGATGGAAATTGGTGTTAGTTTCAAAGATGGAGAACTGGGCTAGGAGCCTGCCACTCTGGTTTTAGTCTCTGCTGATTTGTGCCTGAGTCCAACACACATTTATTAAGCGCCGATTATACGTCAAGCACTGGGAACACAAAGATTCAATGTCATGCAATTCAGAAAAGTATTTACTGGGGGCCTACTTTGTCAAGCACGGGCTAGGCTCTGGGGACACAGCAGTGAAGGAAACAGCCTCCACTTGCACGGACCACTGTGGTCCTAGGCCCGTTTGTTCTTTTGGGCTCTGTCCTGCTCCTAGAAATGACGTCAGCTCTTATCCTTTCCCTGCCCTCTCCTTTACTCACTATCTTGTTCTGGGAATAATACCACCTCACTGGGCTGGCTCTCTGCAGTTCCCAAAGTGCCTCTGCATACGCAATTGCATTTGCTTCTTTTGACAGCCCTATGAGGTAGACACGATCATCGTCAGCCCTGTTTTGTCAGTGAGAGGCGGCTGCTTGTGTCAAGGGCTGGCTTTTCAATAGTTCACAGCGAGGTAGCTGCTTTGCCACGCATGAAACCCTGACTCAGAGGCAGCTTGCTGACAAGTGATTTAACATTGGGCTCCTCATGGACTCACCTCTTGCACAGGATGATGGGATTTTCCAGGCAAGAAAAATCAAGGCTTAGAGAGGTTAAGTGTCTTGGCCAAGTAAGTGCAGACCTGAGATTCAAACCCAGGGCTTTCCAGCATCAAGTGATGTTTCCATTTTGCCATGCCGCTTCTCAGTAAAGGGTCACTGCAGCAAGGCAGGGAGGTCCTATGTCTGGGGTCGGGGGAGGGTGGGGGGCAGAACCTTGAACCTTAATCAGCTGCATGGGGGCCACGGTGCAGATTTTGTGCCTGGTCCCCAGCTGATGAAGCCTCAAAGTATACATGTAGTATGGAGGGAAGGAAGCAAGCCCTGGAAGGCAAAGCTCAGTATCCCAGGCCAAAGCTGTAGGATCCTGGGTAAGGCATGCAGGCAAATGGCCTTCAGATTTCACCTGGGGCACAGGGAAACGCTATGATCCCTCTCCTGTCACCCGGCTCCCAAATCCCACCATTGAACTCTGCAGCTACTCTGTGCCCTGGAGCTGGTGCCGCCTGAGCTCCAGAACTGTGGCTGCTCCTGTCAGTGACTCATTCTTTGAGCTCCCAGGCTGCCAGCCCACCGGAACTGGAGTGGAAGGCTGGCTCAGTCTGTTCCTGTTTACATGAGAAAGCAAGCTCTGTCCCAGTTAGCTTTTCTTCCCTTCCCAATGTGGCCAGCGGTCACAGGGAGCCCTACCCAAAAGAACATGACACTCAGACCTGCCTGGACTTCATGAATTACCGGCTGTCAGAGCCTGATGGGCCCTGAGGGATATCTGGTTCAGCCCATTAATTTCTCAGATGGAGAAACAGGCCCAGAGAGCGGAAGTGGCTTGCCCCAGGTCCACAGCCAGCCAAGGGCAGAGCCTGAACGTTGAAGACTTACCGTGTGCTGGGTGCGGTTCCAAGTGCTTTACATGTAGTAACACATTTAATCCTCACAACAATCCCAGAAGGTAGGCGCTGCTCTTACCTCCATTTTACACATGAGGAAACTGAGGCACAGAGACGTTAAGTCTTGGCTGAGGTCTGCTAATAAATGGGTAGAAGCTAAGACTAGAACCCAGGCAGACTGCTTCCAGAGCCCATGCTATTAGCCACACACGAGATGAGACTAACTCCCTACTCCTAGGACCAGGCATTCTGCCCGCCACACCACGTCATTGGTAACAAGTCTCCAGCACTCCCACCCCTCAACCATCTGGGTGATGATGCTGGGCTCCATGGCCTGTCAACTGTGTCCAAAATGCCACCAGTAGACACTGACTTCTTGTTCATAGGATTGTTGCTCCTATCTCATTGTGGGGATGGAGGGCGATATAGGAGCGGTATGGGTGATCTTGGGCAATTTCCCAACAGCTCTCTCCTGTGAAGAGATGAATCCACAGGGAGGATTTGCCCTCCCTTATCCTCCTATCCTGCCAGCTTGGAGCCAGGTACATTGTCAGTCTTATGCTGTTCAATAGTCACAACTGTGCTGCAGGTTGACATGATTGCCCATGTCTTACATGGGGAGCCACTGAGGCACAGAGAGGTTAAGTGACTGGCCTGGGATCACATAGCCAGGCAGTGACAAAACTGGACTTGAACCCAGGTTGGTGGGTCTCCACAGTCTATGATTTTTCTCTTACTCCACAGAAAGGTCTGGAAACCCACAAGGGGGATTGGTGGAGCAGGTTTGCCTACCTGGCCTATTTTGAGGTTTTGCTTGGGTAGGTCCAGAATCAAAGGAGGTACTGCTAGAGGAACTGAGAAGGGCGGAGTGGTGGAAGAGTCTAGAAGGAATACACCCAATCAGCTACTTCTGCCACTGCAATATCACACCCTCAGCACTCCCGTGGGCTCTGAGAGGAACAGCCTGGCCTTGCTGGGCACTGCTGTGATCTCTGTTCTCACTGGGAGAGGCTGGAGGTGGCTCCCTATTTTCTGCTACCTTTTGTGGGTGTATAGCAGGCAAAGTAGGTGTTAGAGGATATATGGTGCTGAAGAGCAGAGTCCCTGAAACACGGCAAACACTAACCAAGCACTTGCTCTATGCCTGGCTCTTCACTAAGATTATCTCCTGCCTTAAAGATGTTCTATGTTTCAACCTCAACACTGACCGATAGGACTCCTAGTGAGAGAAGCCCTGGAGGAAAAAATTTCCAGCTTCTCCCAGCAAAGGCAAAAGCAAACAGGTGGTGGATTTGGAGTTCTGGGAATTTGTACTGGCTCTCTGCAACCCCTCCACCCTGTTAGTCCTGCTCATCAGTGAGCAACACGACCAAGAGATCCACGCAAGGAGGAGGTAGGAAGATGATAAGGGTTTGGGCCAGCAGCAAGTCCATCTCGGATGGTAAGCTGGCTGAAGGCAGGGCCCAAGTCTTGTTAATCTCCACACTCTCCAGGCAGGCAGGATGGGCGTGGGAAAAGGAATCAAATTTTGACATAAGAAGATTCTGGACTAAAACATGGGTGCTCACCACTTATCAGCTACATGACTTAGGCCAGTTGTTTAACTTCTCTGTAACTTAACTCCTGTGGTGGTCTTAAAATACGTCTGTAATTCTTCACCATTTCTCCCATCAATAGGTGGCATCTATGTGCCCTCTCTGGCTGATTGCCCTGATGGAGTGAAGGTGGCAGAAGTGATGTTATACGACTGTAAGGCTAGGTTATAAGAGTCCATGTAGTCACTGGGCATGGTGGCTCACCTGTAATCCCAGGACTTTGGGAGGCCGAGGCAGGTGGATCACATGAGGACAGGAGTTCGAGACCAGCCTGGCCAATATGGTAAAACCCCGTCTCTACTAAAAACACAAAAATTAGTCAGGTGTGGTGGTGTGCGTCTGTAGTCCCAGCTACTCAGGAGGCTGAGGCAAGAGAATTGCTTGAACCTGGGAGGCAGAGTTTGTAGTGAGCCAGAGAGCGCGCCACTGCACTCCAGCCTGGGTGACAAGCGCGAAACTCCGTCTTAAAAGAGCAAATAAACTTGCCTCATAGGACTTAGAGGATGCTGTGAATTAAAACATGCAAAATGCTTAGCCTGCTGCCTGGCACATGGTGAGTACTCAATAAATGGGAGCCAGAATCTAGAGATGATGGGGAAAGGGGAGAGTGAGGGAGAGGCAGCAGTAAGGATTTCCCTTTCATCTGCCAGATGAGCCCCCCAGGAGGACAATGGGTGCCCCACCTGGACATGGGCAGGGGCTTTGAGGCTGCTGGCTGGCAACTGGGGTCGGTGGATGGAGTGGGCATGGACTGGGGGTGGAGGAGTTTTGTCTCTGCCAGATAATTAAGTTCAGAATGCTAACAAGCTTTCAAAACAAAACACAACTCAAGTACTCTTTGGATGGGATATAATAAAATGGTTCTATCTGAAATTGCAAACAGCTTTGTTGCTGCAAACAAAGGCTCAGTTCTTTGTGCCTCTTTGGCGTGGAGGCCCAGAAGTACGAGGGTGAAAAGGGTCAATGAAACTCTGAGGGTGTTGCTTCCCCCAGCAGCTGCCCATGCTGAGAACTAAAAGAGCTGACAGCAGAGGCCCTGCGGCAGGGAGGTACCAGAGGTCCCCAGTGCCTGAGACTTAAGCACAAATGCTTGGGGAGGAAGGGACAGACTTGAGAGAGCATCTTGCTCCATCCTCTCATTTCAAAGATGAGAAAACTGATGAGATCCAGAGAATAAGAGGCAAAACCAGGACTGCCATGCTCATCTTTAAGCCTCTAGTTCAGCTCTCTCATTAAGCTAGCATATGAAGTTCAACAGGGATTGCCTGTGGATATCTGGAAAGTCTAAGGCTTGAGGCCCCATGGCAGTGGAAGGCTGGGTTCTGGCTTGGGGTTCTTTGAAACATCCTGTTAAATGCCCTCAGAGGTCTAGGAAAATCCAGGTGACAGGAAGTGAACTCTTCAGCCCAAGGTCCCCCCAGGACAGCAGGGCAAATCCCAAGCCTCCAGAGGCTGCCAACCATCAGATGGTCTTTGCAGCCTGGGAGGCTCACACCATGTTCTCAAGGTGTCAGGGGGCCTGGACTCTCTGGCTGTGTGATCTTCGGCATCCATCTCACTACCTCAGGGGGCCTTCCAAGTGTCCCGTAAATTCAAAGAGTGGGACTAGGGGTCTTTTAGGGTCCTTCTATCTCTAAAGATCCACTGTTACTTAAAAATAAATCTGAACCTCTGCTTTAGTTTAATTCAATGGCTTCCCTTTGTTCTTAGGATAAAAACCAAAATCTTTGCCCTTGCCATGGCTAACAACAAAGGACCACCATGCTCTGGCCCCTGCTTACCTCCCCAGACTCTACCCACACCTTCTCCTAGTTTTCTCTGCTCTGGCTTCTTCCAGATCCTCTGTTGGAACCAGTATGGGAAGCAGAAAAGTCTGGAAACTGGTGGTTCTGCCCTAGGATGTTAATGTCAAGGAAATCCTCACACAGTCCCCAAGGGAGCATGTAAGCCAGTGTTCTCTCCTGTGCTATGTGTGGTGGGGGTAGGGGAGTAGAGACATCTGCAAGCCCATGGCTGGGGAGCTGGTGGGCCAAGTGTTCAGGGACATCTTGGGGAGTGCTGTGCAGCCCTTAGGAGCAAAGGATCAGAGTACCATGGCACCGTGGGGGAACTCAGAAACACAGTGTTGAGTAAAAAGAACAAGATTTAACACAGTACAATATGCACAATTAAAAATATAGACACAAAAAACATCACCCATTCTGCAAGGGCGCATGGCAACAAAAAACACACATTAAACACATTACCTGTTGAGAGAGGGGGCACAGCAGTGGGACATAAAAGGAAGTAAATAAGTGAATAAAACTAAAGAGAGAGCCAGTATGGCCCACTGGAGATAACAGGACCATGCACTGAGGAGTATGATGGAAGATGCTCTAGAAATTCTTGAAAACCACCTTTTCCTCTCCAAGTAAACCCAAAACAAAACCACCGAGTTGGAAGTTGAGCCAAGGTCCAATGGGGGAAACAACGAACGGAAATTGAGGGCCCTTCACCCTGTTTGCATCCTGGAACTGGGAGAGCTGGAGAGAGAGAAACCCTGGCTGTCTGGGAATCAACAACTCCGAACGGAGAAAGACTCATGGACTGAGCTGCAGCACAGCCGACTGTCAAGGAGACCCCTGAATCTCCTTTCCTCCGAGCTGGTTCACCAACATGACCTCTGAGTCATGTTCTTGGCTTTCTACAGGGAGAGGGGAATTCCATGCCTTGGTGGCTGTCTTCAAGAATAACCAGCCCCATTAAGATCCCTAGGGTTGGGTCAGCCCCATGTTTCCACCTGCCAAGTTGAACCAATCAACCCAAAGGGTGGTGACTCAACTCAGAGGGCCCACTCTCTCACCAGCTATCACTCTTGCTTGGCAAGGATTAATTAGTATTTTGGAGTGGCCAATCATTTTTTCTTAATGATTTTAGAAAATACGAAGACCTCCCCCTACAATAAAAGCATAAAGCAAAACCAAGTCATCCATACTCTTGCCTCACTGAGAAAGGCGTTGTTTTCCTTTTGATGTACTTTTCTCTCATTGTAGGTGCACTTTTACCTCGTGCATCGTTTTGTACGTAGGCATATCCTGAGACTATGCCTCTTTGGATTACAAGGATTCAACTTTTAAGCAATATGGCAGACAGCCTCCAAGGTGGCCCTCAGTGAACCCTGCCTCCTGGTCTTCACATCCTTGTGCAGTCCCTCCTACGTGGTACCAGGGTTAGTCTTCATGACCAACAGCACACAGCAGAAGTGAAGGCATGTCACTCTAGGATTAGGTCCTAAGAGACTGTGACTTCCATCTTGGACACACTCTTGCTCCCTCGTGTGCTCTCTCTTGGATCACTCACTCTGTGGGGAACCAGCTGCCCTGCAGTGTGGCCACTGAGGCAGCTCGTGGAGTGGCTTGTGTGGCGAGGTACTGAGACCTCTGGCCCAGAGGCTGCAAGGAACTGGAGCCTGCCAATCACCTGTGAGTGAGCTTAGAAGTGGATTCTTCAGCCACAGTCGAGTTTGGGGATTATTGCAGCCCTGGTCAACAACTTGAGATGTTGTGAGAGATCAGGCCAGACTGACTTAGGCCATGCGGCTAAGTCATTCCTGGTTTCCTGACTTAGAAACTGTGGGGGATAAGGAATGTTGTTTTAAATTACAAAGTTTTGGGGGTAATTTGTTATGTAGCAAAATATAACTAATGCAAGCGGTTTTATCCCTTCCTCAGGTAATATGGATTTTCATAGCAGGCTGTATTCCCAATGAGGAGAGACAGGCCTAAGAGGATGCGGGTTGCCCTGCTTCTGGATACCAGGACCCACTGGGAGGCTAACTCAAGACTGGCAGAGGGTGGCACTGGGCTGGGTAGAGGACTGATGCACAATTCCAAATGGTCTTGCTTGTGATTGATAAGGGGTTTGCCTCAAGCTAGGTGATGTTCAACAGGGATATGGGAAAAAAGATGATCTTTTTTGGGCCTGACGCGGTGGCTCACTCCCGTAATCCCAGCACTTTGGGAGGCCGAGGCGGGCAGATCACAAGGTCAGGAGTTCGAGACCAGCCTGGCCAACATGGTGAAACCCTGTCTCTACTAAAAATACAAAAACTAGCCAGGCATGGTAGCATGTGCCTGTAATCCCAGTTACTTGGAAGGCTGAGGCAGGAGAATTGCTTGAACCCGGGAGGTGGAGGTTGCAGTGAGCCGAGATCGTGCCACTGCACTCCAGCCTGGGCGACAGAGTGAGACTCTAAATAAAAAAAAAAAAAAAAAAAAGATGATCTTTTTCAATATCTAATAGTCACGTCAGGCACAGCCCAAATAGGGCTGAGATGGGGTAGGCTAGTGACTGGTCCTCAGAAGAAGGATGCTGTATGCAAAGCCTTGTCTTGTTTAGGAAAATGGTGTGCAATGGGAAATTCTGGGCAGGCTTCTCATCTGTATTTTAAAAGGCAACATTACCCCAGCTGACATCTGGCTTATGTCTGGTTCAGACAGCCTAGTTCCCTCTTTGCTGATAACTCTTCTTGGTCCCTTACATCCTTCACTTTTTTTTTTTTTTTTTTTTGAGACAGATTCTCACTCCGTCACCCAAGCTGGAGTGCAGTGGCATGATCTCTGCTCACTGTAACCTCTGCTTCCCGGGTTCAAGTGATTCTTGTGCCTTAGCCTCCTGAGTAGCTGGGATTACAGGCACAAGCCATCATGCCTGGCTAGTTTTTGTATTTTCAGTAGAGACAGGGTTTTACCATGTTGGCCAGGCTGGTCTTGAACTCCTGACCTCATGTGACCCACCCGTCTCAGCCTCCCAAAATGCTGGGATTATAGGCTGAGCCACTGCACCCAGCCCATCCTTCAGGTTTTAACCACTTGGAATTAAAAAGAAACAGCACCGGCCGGGCGCGGTGGCTCACGCCTGTAATCCCAGCACTTTGGGAGGCCGAGGCGGGCGGATCATGAGGTCAGGAGATCGAGACCACCCCGGCTAACACGGTGAAACCCCGTCTCTACTAAAAATAAAAAAAAAATTAGCCGGGTTTGGTGGCGTATGCCTGTAATCCCAGCTACTCGGGAGGCTGAGGCAGGAGAATTGCTTAAACCCGGGAGGTGGAGGCTGCAGTGAGCCAAGATCGTGCCACTGCACTCCAGCCTGAGTGACAGAGCAAGACTCCATCAAAAAAAAAAAAAAACCAAAAAACAAAAACAAAACAAAAAGAAACAGCACCAAGGTCCTAATAAACATCCCCACCTGTCCCACACATCATTTTCATATGTGTGTGTGTGAAATTCCAAAGTTTAGAGATGTAAAGTGATTCATGCAAGATCCAAGCTCAAAAAGGGCGGAGTCCAAATTCATTCACATCCAGGGCTTCTGAATCCGACAATAAGAAACCATAAAAAAATGAGCTGTGAATAAGACTTTATGGTTTACAAATCCCCATTCCCATCCATTGTCTCACTGAATTCTTATAACTACCATGAAAAAAATTGCTTTTCTCATTTCACAGTGGAAATGCCTCATGGGAGGGATGGAGCAGTGCAGGGTTTGTCCAAGCCCATCAGTGAAAGGCAATGCCCAATACAAGGGCAGACACACTCAGCACTGTCTTTACACCCAGGAAAATGTCCCTCATCCTGATCTCACACTTTGAAGGGCCCTGCTCCAATCCTCCATCAGGTATGCTCCTCCTCACAGGTAAGGAGTCCAGGGAACCAAAGGGACATTCTCCCTGTAAGGCCACATATTCAAAACCCCAGATTCCCTGGTCAAATGCTCCTCAGCCTGATTCCTGGACCTGGTGGCCCTCTTTTTTGACTGCTTCATGAGAGTACACTGTGCTGTGTGTATTCCTAGAACTGGCTAAGGTGACTGTTTGCAGAAGGTGTGTTTGGAGCTCAGATGTGTGGGCTGGGGTACCCATCTACCCAAGTGCTCATGAGTGTCCTTGTGGTGCTGGACAGAGCAGGGGTGGACTGGAGACTGGCTTTCCCTAGACCCCATATTTTGGTGCAGAACTCAGAATTCTCTATTTGAACCTGGCTTTTAAACTCCCTACAAATGAATATTCGTCAGAGTGGAAGGACAACATATTTCCTTTCAAAGCTTATCAGCTTGCTTTCGAACAGTTAGCTATCTAGACATAACATATACAGCCTTACAAATGTTAGGGGTGGGACTGCACACAGCTGTGCTCTTTGAAGTAGCAGGGAGGAGAGCCAAAGAAAAGAGAAGAGCAAAAGAGCCGAAGATTTAAGCAACAAAGGGTCAGTAGCTCAAATAGTGGAAGGTTGGGGAAAAGAATGAGACATGGGATGAAGGCCAAGGGGAGGAAGCTTTAGGAGAGGATGAAGCTAGTGTTAGGAGGAATGTGAAAGCTTATAAAGAGGATGTGCTGGTGGATGAAGGATGGCCACAGATTCTCTGCACTCCTCCTATCAAGAGGTGGCATTTACTTCCCATCCCTTGGATCTAGGCTGACCCTGTGACTGGCTTTGATCAACAAAATGTAGTGGAGTGACATTGTGTAACTTCTGGAGCTGGGCCTTAAGAGATCTGAAGCTTCTTTTTTGCCCCTCTTAGAGTGCTCCTTCTTGGTAATCACATAAGAAGTCCAACTACCATGAGACCATCATGCTGTGAGGAAGCCCAAGGTAGGAGCACTGAGGTGCCAGACATATAATAAAAGCTTTCTCCGACATTCTATCCCAGCACAGAATGAGGTGTGTTCAGCTGAATGAGTGACCTCAGCTGATGCCACATGGAATGGAAGAATCACCCAGCTAAACCCTGCATGACCCTCCAAGTCATGAGCAAATAAAATGGTTGTTGTTTGAAGCCACTAAGTGTTGAGATCGTCAGGCAGCAACAGACAACCAAAACAGATGCTGAGATCTGAAATGAAGAAATGAGCTTCAATGGAAGGATGAGTTTTTTTTTTTTTTCTTCAGATATAAAGAATTCCTGAGAGCTGGGGTGATTTGTCCCTGAGCCAGACCAAAGAGAAAGGTAATGGCATCTGTCACTGCATATGTTAGGAGTACGATGGATGTCCATTTGTCTAAAAGGGCATTGGCATCAACCTTTGAAGATGCAGGGGACTGGACCAGATGCATTCCTTCTTTCAGTTGCAAAGACTCTCTTTAAGTGTCATCACACATCCAGGCAACTCCCTAGAATATGAGAACTGTTTCTATCCTGGTGAAGGAAAACGGAGGATCATTCTCCCCACCAACCCTGGCCCCTTAAATATGTAAGCATAAAACACTCCTGCCTGTGGCTGTGCTGGTTCAGTGAGGTCTCAGACCTGTGGTGGGGAGTCAAGAAAGGACCACCAGATACACTACCCCACTCCACTGCTGTAGAACTGGCCTGGACCTGACGCCCGAGCCCCAGGCACAGGAACACAAAGAAAGAAAAAACACAAAGGAAAAAAAGGTTTTTTTTCTGTTCACATTCCATATCCTGGAACAACCATCACCGTCACTATTAGCTATCATTTATAGAGCACTCTGTAATAAGCACTTTACGTCCATGAACTCAATTAATCCTCACAAAATCTCTGTGAAGATGTCATCATATTACTACCCTTATTCTAGAGTGAGGAATTTGGAACTCACAGCAGTTAGATAATTTACCACAGGTCATGCTGTTGGTCAATAGCAGAGCTGGGATTTGAACCCAGCTGCCTGGCCATAGCACCCCAAGGCCTAGCTAGATGGGCTCCATCCTGGTGTCTGAGAATAGTTAGCCTCTACTATTGCTGACCAGTGGGCACCTGGGATGGTACTTCTTTTCTCAACACAATGGCATCGTTACAGAATACTGCCCAGTTAGTGTTCTTAGCACATCCAAATGGTGTTTCGTTTATACTTTAATTATCCATTCTGAAGACTCAAGTAAAAAACTCATCGTACCATCAATGACAATAAATATCTCTAAATGTATTTGAAGTCTTGAATGAAAACAGAACCATCAATTCAACAAAGAAATAAAAATCAACAGAACCTCTACCACTGAGTGTTGACAGCTACCGGTGACATCTCAGCAGTACTACTACAACCAGGTCCATCTTCTGGAGGTTTGTCCATTTGGGCTTCTGCACCTGCCCACAGACCAGCTTAAACCAATATAAGCACCACTCTGGGGAGCTTTGTGAAAACAGGGGCTAGCAGATCAGGGATGAGGCCCATTATGAGGTAAACCTGCTCCTTAAAATGCTTGACACAGCAGGTTCCTGAAGACATGAATCGAGACCCTATTCATGTTCTAGGTCACTTCTTAGAGGAAGCCTTCCCTGACCCACCAAGATAGGGTTGCAAAATGGCTGTACCCTTCCATGGCACCCTAAACTCTTTAGGAGCAGGGACCATGTCTGTCTTGCTTGTCACTGTATCACCAGTGCCTGGCAAGCATGGAGCATGGAGTAGGTGCTCAATAAAATTGAGTGGATAAAAGAATCAGGCTGCCTTTTCAACTGCCCTTGTTGGCTACTGGTCCAAGACCTCATCTGTGGCATGGTAGGAAGGCTATGAAAGCTATGACTTGTTCTTTCCTGCTGGTCAGAGATAGGCGCTGCAGGATTAGGGTGACAAAGCTTTCCTTGATTCAGGCCTCCAGCTCCTTTACTTTAAAAAGTGGCACTCGGGATGGGCAGTGGCCTCTTGCTGAGACCTAGACCTTGTCCTTGGCCCGAAGGAAGGGTCCACTTAATACCCACAATGATACAGAGCAGAGTGCCTAGGGCTGGGTTGGGGACAGGTTGCAAGACATCAGGATCTAAGGTGAAGAGTAGGTCTCAGAATCACCAGCCCAAGAGGCCAGTTGTTCCTACCAAAAGTGCAATGGCCTACTCAGGCCTTCAGCATACTCATGACCTTGCATAAAGCCAGCTAATCATGACACACTGAAATCTCAGGTTGGTAGGGATTGTCATGGCTCCAGCCAGCTGCCCGCAGGAAGGCTCCAGGAGTACTTTGTTCCCAAGAGCAGCGTTGTCCTTAGACCTGGGCCCTGTGCCCCGTCTCTTCTGTCCATGGCACTCCCCATGAGCAGAGAAGTCCATAGGGCTCAGGAGATATACTCAACTAGAGTCTGTTAGCAGCTGGTGTCCATGTTCCCCTTTCCAGGATACACTCTAACTACTAGGACTTCAGGATTTCCTGCCCAAATGGCTTGAAGCCTGCATGGGTCTCTTGCTCAGGTACATCCCTGTGAGGGTAGACACTGTCTCCTGCTTACGCATCTTCAGGTTTGAGGGGTGGCCAAGGAGTAGCTATTAGGGTGGAGTGTGGACCAAGCTTGAACATACAGACTGGCCTGCCCACATGCATGCACGCAAGCAATGGCCCTTGCAGTGCAGGACTGAGCAGGGGTGGTATACTGCGAGGGTCTTTATTGGCAGTCTGACCTTGGTCCCTGCAGGCCTGCCCACGAGTCTGCATGATGATGCTGCTGAGAGCAACACCTGGTGATGTTGCTCTATTCCATGTGCTGGCCCCCACTGGCACCTACTGCTGCTTTATCTACCTCCTTCTTCTACCTTGTACCTCCGCGGCAGCTGCTGGGAGCTAGGACTATGCTGGGCTAGGCCTGTACTGGTGCTGGATGGGGGAAGGAGTGGAGTCCCCAACATTAGCAGTGCCACCTGGTGTCTTGCAAATGTGAACACCTACACATAGAAGAAGAGAGATTGTGAGTTTGAATGTACCAAAGTGTTTGGGTGACTGTGAGCAAATGAAGTGAGCAAGAAAGGAAGAGTGAAAGAGAAGAGGAGGGTGACCACATGAAAAAGGGTGTGTGCATGAGGGAGAAGAAAAATACATGTGTGCACATGTGCACAGGGGTGGGGAAGGCAGTGGGGTAGACACTCACTGCCCCCACAGTACCGGGGAGCTGGGCATGACTGAGAGCCTGAGAAGAGGACAGAGAATGGAGAGGGAGAAAAGGAGTCTGCCTAGTCATTTTCAAGAGTGTGCGTGAAGAAGGGGTACAGTAGTGGGAGAAAGAGAAAGACACCTAAGGAGGGAATGAGAGAGCAAGCACATCACCAGGAAGCATGCAGAGTGGAAGCCGCGGGATGGAGGGATGGAGCTGAGAGAGGTGAGTGTGCAAGAGGAAGGCATGCAGGTGTGTGAGCCTGGAGGTGTGCGTCCGCCCCTGCAGGGCTGTGTGAGACAGAGGCAGGCCACGTGCCCGGGTGACTGTGCGTGGGAACATGCATGTGCATCGGGGAGCATGTGGCTATGACAAGTGAGCACAAACACGAGTGTGCGAGAGCACATGTGGGGGGTGTCCCAGGGGCTGTGAGGCAGCATGCCTGGCTCTGGGGCATTGGGGGGAGCTCCCAGGGAGTGTTGGTGATGCTGAGGACGTTTCCACCAAGAAAGCTCTGATGGGACTGTATGACCTGTCCTGTGTTGGCTCAGATCTGGGTGATCGTGGTGGCTCGGAGTGTTGGCCATGTTGCCCCCATCTGAAGGTGGGTGTGGGAACGAATGAGCCACCAGGCATGGCTGGCCCTCACTCTGCCTCGCCTCTGGGTAAGACAGAGAGTGGAAAGAGTACTTGAGGGCTGGATTTTTATACCATCATTATGCAATTGCCTGCAGTGCTCATGGGCTCCTTCTAAAGGCCTAACACTCCAACTCTCTTGGCCTACAAACTCCCATTTCCTTTTATGTCCAAGTTGCAGTACAGGTCAGTGTCCTTGACAAACATTTGTGGAAGTCTACTCTACACCAGGCTCTGGTGTAGAGTAGATTTCCACAAATTCAATGTGAATTTACCCTATTCACAATGTCAAACCATTCCCCAGTTCTTTCCCATCCCCCTCTTCATGGCTTTAATTGTCTTCATAGCACTTACTACTATTAACCATACTATGTGGCATGACTTACTTATTTTATTTGTTGTCTATTTTTCCTTAATAGCAAATGTCTGTACAGCATTTGCTATATGCCAGGCACTGTTCTAAGCTTTCTGTTAATTCACTGAATCCTCTAACAACTCTGCACAGCAGTGAATATTGTTCTTGCTATATTGTGAATGGGGGGTCCAGAAAGATTCAGTAGCTTGTCCATGATCATCTACTGGTAAGTGGTGGGGCCAAGCTGAGGTCCAGAGTCCCTGTTCTTGACTAGCACATAATACTGTCCTGGGAGGGTGGGAACTGTTTTCAGTTTGGATTTCTGTTCAATCTCTAGTGCTTACAACAGTGCCCAGCACATGTAGGTGCTCAATCAGTAGTGACAGAATGAAGAAATGAGTGAATACATGCTGGACATGGAGGATGCAGAAATGAAACAGAGAGGTCCTTGCCTTCAGAGAGCTCATGACCCCATGGAGGAGGCAAATAATTACTGCAATCCCCTATCAGGACAGCATCGTGGGAGTCTAGAGGGTCACACAACTTGCTCGGCCTCTGCAAGCAGGACTTCCCAGAGGAAGGACACAGATAGGGACAGGCACAGGGACGTTGTCTACCTCCTCCAAACTCCTGTCTGGAACAAACGCACCTAAACTCTTTCTGCCTCAGTCCACAGGGTGCCAGAAGATGACAGTGGCTCCATGGGGACAACAGAGGCAGAACAAGGTAGCGGTGACGACACGGGCTACTGAGAGAGACTGCCTGGAGTGAATCCTCCCTCTACCAGCTAAGTGACCTTGGACAGACTGCCTAAGCTCCCTGGGCCTTGGTCCTCTCATCTGTAAGAAGGGGTAGCAAATGACACTGATTTCCTAGGATATTCCATGACCAAAACTCTTCTATTCTACACTGGTTGCTTGCTTTTGGGGAGAAATGGGAGAGAACATTGGGATTTAACCTATTATGCTTATTACTGCAGCCTCTCTGCTGCGGCTTCATCCCATTTTGCAGAAGCAGCTCAGAGCTGAAGTTGTCCATGAACTTTCCTTAGGGAAGGGACTATGTCTGTTTTATTTACCTCTATATATCTAGCACCTAGTACCTGAGACCTAGTAGGTGCTCAATAAGTACTTGAGTGAATGACTGAGTGGTTACATTTATTTATTCCCCCAGGACACTTGTGAGGATAAATATTCATATTGCTATTGTTTCTGCTCACAGATGAGGGACTGGAGCTCCAGCAAGGTTAAGTGACTTGTGCATAAACACACAGCCTGAAGCAGAACAGGCGGACTCAAACGCCAAATCCCATGCTCTTTCTTCCTCCACACCGTGCTACTCTCTGGACTCCTATTCATCCTGTCCTATTTTCTGCAGATTTCTTCTAGTCAGTGGTGCCATCCCTGATTGTAGAGTCATCTCCGAATTCTATGACTCATATCTGAATCACAGAACTGTTTAATAGTTGAAGGGGACTTCTGATGTCATCTGGACCTCCCATCCATTGTGGAAATTTCCTCTCCATTGTCTATCTATCTAGTACTTGAATGCCTCCTGTGACGGAACACGCATTTCTTCCTCTGGAATTATTGAGTTCTATGACTGGACCACTTTTAGAGTCAGAGAGTTCTGCGTCTATGGGCCAAAGGCCTGTTTTTAATTTCAATGCCTTGGGCTTACGTCATCCTAAGATACACAGAATAGATCTGCTGCCCCTTCCGCAAGACAGCCATTCAGATATTCAGGAAGTTCTCACATCTTTTCAGAGAATTCTCTTCTAGACAGACGGTCCCATCTTAGACCGTCTCAACAGGCTGTCCCAAGTGTTTTGAGCAATGGCACCCCCTACTGGTTAAGGTATGAACTGCATCAAAGGGCTTCCTCAGGAGCTGGGGCACTGAGTGTGGTGTGAATAAAATACCACTTATTTTGAAGAGTCATCGCTTTAGACTCATACCTGGTTGTTTCCAATGTCTATCTTAAAGAGTATCACGTGAAGACTCCATTCTAAGGTTCCTTGCCAATCATGAGGTCTCTGAAAAGCTACAGGTTTGGAATTTCAACGTTAGAGTTCAAAAGACTTGTCTTTGTTTTGTTTTGTTTTGTTTTGTTTTTTTGGAGACGGAGTCTTACTCTGTCGCCCAGGCTGGAGTGCAGTGGCGCGATCTCGGCTCACTGCAAGCTCTGCCCTCTGGGTTCACGCCATCCTCCTGCCTCAGCCTCCCAAGTAGCTGGGACTACAGGCGCCCGCCACCACGCCTGGCTAATTTTTTGTATTTTTAGTAGAGACGGAGTTTCACCATGTTAGCCAGGATGGTCTCGATCTCCTGACCTCGTGATCTGCCCGCCTTGGCCTCCCAAAGTGCTGGGATTACAGGCATGAGCCACCGCACCTGGCCCAAAAGACTTGTCTTCTAACAAAATGTTCAGAAGGAGAGATATGAAAATATATGCTATGTTACAGGATTATGGCGATTTTTCTTTTTTTATTTGTATTTATTTTCTAATATTTTGACAGTTAACCTTTTGTTATAAGAAGGAAAAGAACAATAAAAACTTATAAAAAAATGTAAAACTCTCCCCCCACCCCTTCTTTTTCTTCCTTCTGAGGCTGTTTATCATGGCGTGGGTCATGGGGCTACAACTGGGACGAGCTGCCACCCTGTGGGCAAGAGTGCCTTGGTAATATCTCCACGGTGGCTGCAATGGCTTGGCTCCCTGCAACTGTGGTCAACTGGACTCAAGCAGCACAGTTTCACCCTCAAGCCGGGCTTCTCAACAGGGAGGTCAGGTAGTTCTCCACATCCCCCACCCCATCCTTGGCTCATGCTGCCTTCAGGTTTTGCTTCCTACCCTTACCTCTTGAAGTCAGCCCAGCCCT
Source organism: Homo sapiens (assembly GCF_000001405.40). Taxonomy (NCBI): domain Eukaryota; kingdom Metazoa; phylum Chordata; class Mammalia; order Primates; family Hominidae; genus Homo; species Homo sapiens. The sequence goes on from NC_000011.10 coordinate 18,765,494, forward strand.
GAATGGTCAGTGGTCATTCCCTAGGAGCCCTGTACTCCTCAGCTCTTCGTCCTTCTTTTCACTTCCTAGCACACCTTCAATTGCCTGCTCTTCCCTCCATGTGAGCCTAGAGCAGCTCCAAGTGATAACAGGTCAGAAGGCATCAGGGATTAGAAAAACAAGTCCCCATTTAAACGAAGAGCTATGGAGCAGCTGCATGGATATTCTTGCGCAAGTTCACAGCTAGCTAGGCTTTACTCCAGCCCCAGCTTCAGCCGGGGCATTGTCTCTCCATTCTGAGGTCTGGGAGGAGCTGGGTGCTGAGAAGACTCACCCGGTAGCCTCTCACTGCAGCACATGTCCAGGGCCCCTCCCTCGGAGTCATCAGCAGCGTGGTTCTCTCTCTCACTCCTGCAGCAGGATGGAAAAGGTAAGAATATGCTGTTGAGCCAGGATCAAGACAAAAACCCTGAGCAAAGATAAGAAGGCTCCCTCTCCTGTATTCTGTATCCCTTTGAATAACCCCACCCCATCAAAGGGACCTGAGGAAAATACCAGCCTGTTGAGGGGTCAAGCTGCAGAGGCAGGAGCAGAATTTTGCAGGTGTCTTCCTTGTGGAATCAGTGGCAGCAGTATCATCACAACCATCATCATCATCATCACCATCATCATCACCTCTACAGTAGGAGGATTTACTATACGCAAGCACTTTGCAAACTTTATCACATTAAATCCTCACCATGACCTCATGAATGAGGGATCATTAAACAGGCTCAGAGAGGTTAAGTAACTTGCCCAAGGTCACACAGCTCAATAGAATAGAGATGAGTTTGAAATTATGACCTAGGACTCCAGGCTCATGCTCTCGCTGTTGTGCCATTCTGTCTCCTAGTTCCAGTAGTTTTGAACCATGGGTGGACAAGAAGAGGGCTCTGAGTAACCCACAATCCTGTGTCCAGCTCTCCAAGATATGCAAGTCCCCTCTGCCCCAGGCAGTGAAAAGTGGTATGCAGAACTCTTCTCCAGAATAGCTAGAAAAAGTAGTTACATACATGTTTTGTATAGTCTAAATGTTTCCTTCCTGAAATCAGAGAACCCTCTTTCTAGCCTATTAGGGCACCTTATAGGAGAGTATGGGGGTCTAGTTTTTCTCCTTTACCTGGCAAGCTGGAAAAATGTTGCTGGAGATCAGCTAGACCCCATGAAGCATCTTGAGAGTAGACATATCTTGAGGGCAACCACTTGACTCACAGGGGGTCCCCTACCCTGGGAATGGCCTGAAATGCAGCGTGGGCTCCAGTGGCCTTGTCTGCCTTTCATGTCTCTGACCCTTGGCAGTAGCTGATGACTGATCCAAGGCTGAACACACAAACCAGCCTGGGTCAATCAGATCCTCTCCCTTGCACACTGAAAATGCATTCTGATGCATTTTGCTGGTGCTGAATCATGGTAGCCACAGTGCCCTGGAGAGAAGACCTGCTGCTGAGGGCCTGAGAGCTGCCTTGTTCCCATCTGTACTGAGTCTTGGACAATATGCCCTTCAAGACCATAAGATGGCCGTGGATCCTTCCAATAAATCCCCACATTTTAGCTTACGCCAGTGGGATGTGATTTCTGAAACTGGCAACCAAAAGAACCTTTGACATAGCCTTGCTAGCATACTTTCAGGAATTCCAGAGGCTCAGCTGCTTCTCTGCCCCCAAGTCCTGCTATCCTGCTTCTTGGACTGGCCCTAGGGCCAGTTTCAGGCCCAATTCCAGATTTTAAATAATTAAGGGCAGAGAGGTCAGGTTCAGGGTGGCCCTTCTCCCTCTGATATCTTCTTTTTCAACTGGCATTATATCATTTTATTTTTTTCCTCAACCCAATTGCCAGGGTCTCTGAGAATCACAAGTCCTAGAGCCCAGCACTCCTGCAGAGAGGAGGTCACTTCCTTCAAGGTAACTTTAAGTGCATTCTTTAAATGTCTCTGGAGTCCCTCCACATTTCTCCCTCCCCATCTTGGTCCCAGCCACCATCATCTCTTGCCTAGATTGCTGTGGCAATATTTTAACTGGTTGCTGGCATCCACTCGGGCTGGCCTCCAAAACATTCTCCACATGGCTCCAGTGCTTATGGCACAGAAAATCTGTGCAGTTTACAAACTGCACAACTGGATGTGGAAGTCCCCTCTGCCCCAGGCAATGGAAAGTGGCATGGTGAACGCTTCTCCAGAAGAGAGGAGCTAGAATCAATTCCTCAGAACTCAACGTTTATCACATAACCTTTCTTGAAAAAATATTTTCATGGCATCCTTATTGTACTTAGAACAAAGAAAAATCCTTTGGCATAGTTCATAGATGTTGGGTGGTCTGGTCCCTGTGGATCCCTCCAGGCTTACCCTAAGTCCCTCTCCCTCTTGACCTCTGCACTCCAGCCACACTGGGAAGGCTCTTTCCTCACAGCACCTTCCACATGCTTTTCTCTCACATGGTATGCACTTGACACGGTTAGAAATGTCACTGTAATATATGCCATTATTCAACATCTGTCTCCATCATTAGACTGTGGCTTTCATGAAGGCAGGGTCCACTATTTCTGTTTTATTTACCATTGTATCTTCAAAGCCTCGCACAGTGCCTGGTTCGTAGTAGGATGTTCAATAAATAAACACTTATGGAATAAGTAAATGTTGACCTGACGTTCTTGAGAAAACATTAGGAATCTCAAACACAGCCATCATCTGAGCTGCTTTGTGGACGGGTCTTTGCTAAGTAGCTGGGAGCTCTCCTCCACAGCTGTTGTCCACAGAAGTCAGAGAATCACAGATCTGGAAGGCCTCTCATTTTACAGAGGAGAAACTGAGCCAGAGAATGGGGTCTGACTTGCCCCACATTTTATACTGAGTTGGTGGTGGCCACAGGGATTGTGTTTGAGAGCACCCACCCCCAACCTTCCAATCCTAAACTTGTTCTTTCCTTACCCTAACGAGCACCTAGCTGGATGGCAGCCCATGAGGGCTGACCCCTGGCTGGGTACAGAAAGGCACAGTATCCAGATACCTCTGGAAGGGGACCCATGTGTGACTCACACCTGCTTTCACACCTTAAGCCTCTCAGGCCCCAAGCTGTGTTCAGAATAGCTCAGTGCTTCATGTGTGCAGTGGACTCTATAAATAAGCTTCCTAGAAAATGACTAATTTCATAACCAGAAAAGCAGAACGAGTAGCACCTCTTGACTGCAAAGGAAAATGGAGCAAGAGCCTCTGCTGCTCTTCCCTGTAGTCGAAGGACTCCAGGCAACCCCAGCCACAGCCTGCGTGTCTAGACTGTCCAGAGGAGGGTTTAATTAGCTTTCCAAAGAAAATACATGGCCCATTCAGGCTGGATGGGGAACCCAGTCTCTGGGCGCTGCCTTCCTCCCTCCCCACCAAGAGCAGAAATAGCTGCTTTTATTGGATTGCTAAGGCTCCTGCTCTCTCCTTCCCCACTTCTATCAGCCAGGCAACAGGAACAGAACACTGGCCTGTGACAACAGCAGCCACTTGCTGGGCTGCCCCCACCACTGCTTCCCTTATAACCAGAGACCACCAGGGATGAAGGGACTTGGAAATCACCCAGCCTGCCCCCACTTCACTGATGGAGGATGTCCCGGAGTGAAAGTAGCTTCCCAAAGCCATCGTCGCATTCAACAGGCGTGTGCTGAGCACCTCCTGTGAGCAAGGCCTGGAGCTGCCCTAGGAATACAGTGATGAATAATCCAGGCCCCTCCTTGCAGGCTCCCAGTCTTCTCAGGGAGACAGACATGCAGACACGACTGTACCCTGATGCCTGCTTTAATTGATGTATGCATGTGACCATCCTGGGGAAGGCTCTGCTCATTTGTGGGAGGGGCAAGGGGAAGAGGAAGTCTTCTCCAAGGGGGAGACAGGAGCTGGTTTTTTTTTAAATTAATTAATTAATTAATTTTTGAGACGGAGTCTCACTCTGTTGCCCAGGCTGGAGTGCAGAGGCATTATCTCAGCTCACTGCAACCTCTACCTCCCCGGTTCAAGTGATTCTCCTGCCTCAGCCTCCCAGTAGCTGGGATTACAGGTGCCTGCCACTATGCCCAGCTAATTTTTGTATTTTTAGTAGATACGAGGTTTCACCGTATTAGTCAGGCTGGTCTCAAACTCCTGACTTCAGGTGATCCTGCTTGCCTCAGCCTCCCAAAGTACTGGGATTACAGGCGTGAGCCACCGCGCCCGGCCAGGGACTGGTTTTTAAAATATGTTTTTAGGTGAATGGGGGGTTGGGAAAAGGATTTCTTGGGTAGAGCAAATAGAAAGAGCAAGGCATGGAGGCCCAAGATGTGTGGAACATCTGGTGCCATCAGAAGTAGGCTGGTCAGTGGGATGGAGCAGCAGATGGGGGCTAGGCCTCAGCAGAGGCACGTGGGCAAGAAGCAGCCTAGAAGACAGGAATCCTGCCTCCTGGGGTGGCGGGGGAAGCCCTCTTCCACTTGATCATGTGGCTTCCCTGTGGCTTCCCTGCACTGAGAGTGATGCTGGCTCTCTCACACCTGGTCTGGCTGGGTAGGTCTGTAACACGAAGTGGGGGAGCAGCAGCTTACGTTTAAGGAATGGACTTTAGACCCAGCTGGTAGCGTCCGATCTGGTCTGAAACTACTCTTTTTACTGTGCTAAAATTCCCATAGCATAAAATTCAACATTTTGACCATTTTAAAGGGTACAATTCAGTGGCATTTAATACATTCATAATGTTGTGCAACCATCATAATGATCTGCTTCCAGAATATTTTTGTCACCCCAAAAGGAAATCCTGTACTCATTAAGGAGTCACTCCCTGTCCTCCTCCCCACAGCCCCTGGCAACGGCTTATTTGCTTTCTGTCTCTATGGGTTTGCCTATTCTGGATATTTCATATAAATGGAATCATAAAATATGTAGCCTTTTGTGCTTTTGTGTTTGGCTTCTTGCACTTAGCAAGTCCGTAGCATACATCAGTACTTCATTCCTTTTCATGGATTCCTTTTCAAGGCTGAATAATATTCTACTGTAGGACAGACGATGTTTTATTTATCTATTCATCAGTTGAACATTTGGCTTGTTTCTACCTTTTGGCTATTTGTGAGTAGTGCTCCTGTGAACCAAACTGCTCTGTTTCCACTCTCCTCCCATCACGCTTGTGGTTTTGGGCAATCCTTTCTGCGCTCTGGGTCTGAGGCCTCACTTATGAAAATATGGTGGTCAGACTCCAAGCCTGTTGTAACTTGAAGGTCATCACCTTCCTCTGCTCGTTCGTATGTGTGAAGGTAATGCGTTGTGCAGCTACGCCACCAGTGCTGGGTGCTGGAGATCCAGCCTAGACCACCCACCCCATTTTCTAGAAGTTCACGGCCAGTGCAGAAGATACAGAACAGCTGCTGCCGTGGGCTGGGTGAAGTGTTCTAACAAAGGCACCGCCCCTCTGCCTGGGGGGTAGAGTGGGGGATGGGGGGTGCTATTAGGAGACATCCTGGAGTCTCCTAACATGAAGTCCCAGCTTTGCCCAGGACTTATGCAGAGAAAGAGCTGGCTGGTTTGCTGAGCCAATCAGGGAGCCTGAGCCTGCTTCCAAGGTCGGTGAGGAGCAAGGGGGAACTGGGATGCTGAAGCCAGGATTCCTGGGTGTGAGGCTGAGCCAAGCCCAGGCAGACATGCCCTCTATCCTGGGCTTTGTGCTCCTGGTACCCCGTAAATACCCCTCACTGTCAACGTGGAGCTCCTACCACCCTCTTAAAGCTCCAACCCCACCTGACATCTCTATTCGCTGAATCAAACCTGTCCATTCCTCCCTTCGAGCCTTGTTTGTGCTGTTCCCTCAGCCTGGAAGATCCTTTTCCCCTTTTGTCAAATCTTACTCATTCTCCAAGGTGCGACTCAGGCGGTGCGTCTTCCACGGAGCACTCCCTGATCTCTCAGGAAGAACTGCGTCCTCCCACTTCTGGGCTCCCCCACACACCTGGTTCATATGTCCCTTTGTCTCTTACTTTGTTCTGCTGCTATAGTTAGCTGTGTATGCACCTGCCTCTCCCACCAACTTCCGACTCTGGAGCATCCTCACCCCCTCAACCACCTCTGCATCCCAGGTGTTTAGCACAGGGCCTGAGCCTGTTGATGTACACCTTAAAGGCCAAATGCAGGGTAGTGGCAGGGTCTCAGGGTTGGTAGCTTTAGGGGCTCTAGGAAGGCAGACTCCAGCTAGGAGCATCCCAATTAAAGAAGATGGCCAAACCATAGCCAGGAAGAGGCCCATAATGCCATCCAGATTTTCATCAGCACGTTCAGCAGGCAGGGGCAGAGGGCATGCTGGTTTCATGGAAAAGGAATGATCAGGCTGAACACCTCATGAGAATGGGTCACGTGTCCCAGAGCATCCAGATGGAGAAGGCTTGGCCTCCTCAGTGGGCGGGTTGCAGGGGGACGGCGTAAACGCTCACTCACCTGGCTCCCTCATAATTCATTCCCAAGGTGTCTGGATGGGGAAGGGTGCCATCTTCCAGGGCAGGAAGCTTTCTCAGCAAAAAGCAAGCTGGTGATATAAATGAAGGAGAGAGGGCAGCTTCAGATCATCCAGCTGGGAAAACGGGGCAAAGAGAGATTAAGTGACTAGTCTCAGGTCACACAGTGTGCCAACAATTTGCTTTCAGGTAGTTAAAATCCTGATTTCCTTCTGGGAGTCACCTTTCTCCTCCCCTGGTGCCCTGCTTGCCTCTTGCTACACAGACAGCCCAGAATCAGAACTCAGTATTTATATCATACCCCAAAGCCTTCTAATAAATATCTTTTCTGCCTAAGTTACTCAGAGTCCTCTTCTGTTGCTGGCAACCACAGAACCCAGACTGATGCGTGCAGCAAACTCGTGGAATGAATAGGCTCTGAGCCCAGGACTCCCAATGCTTAGTTCACTGCTATTTCCGTCCTGCCAAGCTGCCTACCCTCCTTGCCCAGCTGTCCACTGTCCAGCCATCTGTCCTCACGTCTGAGCAGACTGCAAACTTGAGTGTTCTGGATCCCAAACACAGGGTCTGAGTGTTCTCTGCTTGGGATGTGCCCAGACAAATGACTTCCCTTCCATCCCTCCTCTTCTCTGAGTGGGAGAAGTGGGTGCGGGCATGGCAGGGACCCCAGGGAAGGGAAGATGAAAAGTGCAGGGTAGGCCCAGCCTGCTGAGGGGCTCGGGCAACAGTTGTCCATTTTTCATTTGAGTCTGATTCAGGGATTGGACCATTCATTTGTTCAACCCGTTTACTAAACACCTGCTATGTTCAGGCTACGTGTGGGACCCTGGGAATACAATGAACGACAAGCATCTCATGGGGGATGTAGGTAAGAAGAAAAGGCAATGGTGACACAGGTGACCCGTGTGCGGGGAGACGAGCAGGGTGCCCTGGGAGTGCCAGCCAGACCCCTAAGGAGGCAGAGGACTCAGGAGACGTTTGGTACCCAGGAAGGGCCATCTCTGGTGAGATGTGAAAGAGGAGTGGGGGTGAGAGGCCGTGGGATGAGACAGGAGGGGGTGGGGTGCTCCAGGTAGAAGGAGGGCATGTGGACGGGCCTGGAATTGACACAAAGCAGGACACATTCAAGGACTAGAAAGAAATGTAGTCTAAAAGGGGAGTGTGGAAAGGGGGTGAACCGCTCACTTGGAATTTTTTCCTTTTCCCTCCCCTTCTTTCCAGAGAGGTAAGACAGACCTATATTCCCTTGGGAGAGGCGGCTTGGCTGCAGGACCAAAGGCCAAGTTCCTGGAGGAGCTATCCTTCCAGTCTTTGTTTTGTAAAAGCTGGAGCACCTGGGGGCGGGTGTCTCTTTGTCAGGGAGGTGGGGGTGTGAGGAAGGGGAGGGGGTCTCCGGGCCTGGGAAGGTGACAGAGCCCATCAGTTTCATGACTGGTGCCTGGTGTGTGGGTGGGTGGCACTGAGTGCATAGAGAGGGCTGGATCTCAGCCTGCAGGGCTTCCGCTGCACCCCACACGGCGTCCTCCCGACAGAAGGCACAGAGTCTGCAGACCCAGAGGGGCTCTTCAGTGGGGCTGGGGTATCTCAGCTATAATCAGTGTGGTTTCCTTGAAACATCCCTGGCATGGGGGTCACAGCAGTGGGTCAGAGTCATTCCAGTGATGGCTGGGATTGAATTTCCTACCAGATAGGGATGCTGGGGAGCTCTGAGTCTGGGCTAATTTCATTTAAGGAGCATAATGAGACATTTCTTCCATACCTGATATTAAGGATTAAAAAAATCAACCAGTTCTAAGAATAGATTCTTGGCTTGGGAGGCAGGAGACCAGCCAAAAAGGTGGGTGTGTCAATCAGGTAAGAGATGGGGCATCCTAGCCTGGGACTGCAGCTGGGGACTGCCCCCTTGCTGGGCCACCTGCTCCAGTCACTCTGATTTCAGACCGTAACTGCCTCCTCATCACCCCCGTGACCATGAAGGACATCCTTCCCTTCACCCTTTGCTTACGTTGTCTCTCTTGCCTGGAAGGCCATCACCTCTTTGCACCCCTCCTTAAAATCAAACTCAGACTTTAAGCTCCAGCTTAATCTTGAATTGCTCTAGGAAGCCTTCCCTGGGGATAGGTCTTCACTCTGCTCTAGTCAAACTGTGTGGCTCTAGGAAAGTGTCTTTATCACTCTGAGCCTTAAATTTTTCTCATATGTCTAACACGGATGACAACACCTTCCACACAGGATGGCGGTGAAGATCACCAGTGAATGAGAAAGGTGAATGTTGACTATCATGGTGACTGGTGAACAGCAGGTGCTCAGGATCTGTGCAAACCACCAACAAAGGCACAGCAGAGAAATGAGGGTGGTGGTGGTGGGGAAGCAGGTGTAGACAAAGGGCTCTGAACAATGCCAAGTTGTCTGGGGCAGCCTTTGGACAAGAGAGGCATCCCAGGACCATGTGCCCTCCCTCGCTGACAACAGAAAGGCGTTGCTGGGCCTGCAGGTGTCTGTGGTCTGGTCCAAAGGTCCAGTATGAACTGAATTTACCAGCTTCCCCCTGTACTCTGAGGAGGAGGGGGCTGGAGGGGGCTTGAGGAGCCCTCGTCCTGCCAAATTCCTAGATTGGGTGGGATGGGAGCAGGAAAAACACACACAGATTCTTTGCTGGCTTTGGCCACCCTGCTGGGACCAAAGTAGCAGGGGCTAGCTGCATAGGCAGCATTGAGAGAGACCAGGGGCTCATGATTGAAGCCAACACATTCTGTCCTAAATACATCTTTGGGGTGGAGGGTCAGAAATTCACAGTGATTCAGCTCAGACTCTGTGGACCCTCCCAGCCTCTTCTCAGGGCCACTTTGGCTTTCTTTTAAAATCTACACTTTTAAAATTTCATGGTCAGGTTGGTGAGGATGGAAGGGAACAGGAGGAGGTGATCTGAGAGAGAAAGGAAGCAGGAAAAAGGGCAGAAGCAATCTTCGGACCACCTGTTCAGTAACATCTTAGCTCCCGACCGAAGAGGATAACAATGACAGTATCTTCACAACAGAAAGGGCAGCTGTCACTACTGCACCCGGACCACACAGGCCAGGAACTGCTCCAGGGCAGGTGTTAGCAAACTCAGTCCTCACAGCAGCCCCTGGAGGAACGTACTAACGTTTCCTGCATTTTCTAAAGGCGGAAATGGAAATTCAGAGAAGTAAAGTGACCTGCCTAAGGCCACACAGCTAGTTATCACAGAACTTCCCCCATTGCCCACATTCCTAACCTCTCTTTCACTTTTTAGCTTTTGGTAAGAAAAAATATTCCGCAAATACAATAGGAAGAGACAGCATATCATGGCAGTTGCTTTCTATATGTTCTTTTAAAAAATCCTCACCATAAATCTATGTGAGTAGCATGTGATGATCACCATTTTTACAGACGAGAAAACTAAGGCTCAGGGGGTGAAGTGACCCAAGCAAACGAGTGAAGGAGCAAGAGGGAGATCCCTGTGCCTGTGTCCTTGCTTGGGATCACTGCTGTTCTCCCCAGAAGAACGACTGGAAGTCCTGCGCGGGACCACGACCTCGGGTTTCTCCACTTGAAGCAACAGCCCAGGAAGCAGGCCTTGGGAGGCTAGCTTGCATGGGGAGTTTGGGAGGCTGGCTTGGGTGGGGAGCCTGTGTTGGTGGCAGCTGTGTTCCATCAGTGCCATGACGAATACACTCACTGGCCCAGGGCCCAGAAGCCATGGGCTCTAGTCCCAGGCTACTGTGTGACCTTGGGCTAGTCATTTCCCTTATCTGAATCTCAGTAGCTCCAAATGAAAACCAAAGGGCCTGAATGAGATGACCTCTAAGGGCCTTTCCTTAGAGGTCAGGCTTCAATTCCAGGCCTGTCAGGTTTAACGAGGCAGAGGGTGGAACGGCAGTGAACCAGCAGAGGGCGCTCACAGCATCAGGGAAACAGGCCTTGGTCCATGGAGCCCAACCTGCAAGCATGTCCGGCCTGAGCCAATTATTAAGAGAGTCCAGGTTCAGCTGTGATTTGATGCTGTGGATGGTCCTACCTGATTATAAATGGTGCGGCGGTCACGGACCCAAAAGATAGAAAGGCAGGATTTTGGAGTTCAAAGGTTATCCGGTCTGATCCTCTGTTCTCCAAGACTCTGAAAACATTGCATTCTGCTCCCTCTCCCTGCACCTGCCCCCAGGTATGCAGTTTAATTTACCGGGAGAAAACAGGCAATCACAAATGCAAAGGTGTGATCACACTTCTTGTGGGCGTCTTCTGGTATTTCCGTTCAGTTACATGCTTGCTCCTACCTATAATGCTTTAGGATGCACTTTTTCCTCCACTGGAAAGCCCCCTTTTCCCTTCTCTGCTTGGAAAATTCTTATTTGCCTTTTAAGACTCTGTTCAAATGTCACCTCCTCAATAGAACCCTCCCCAACTCCCTTAGGAAGAACTGGGTACTCCGTCTTCTGTTCTTACCCCTCCATACGGTCATTATCTGTTGATGCCAGTCTCCCAGCCTCACACAGAGCTCCCTGGACATAAACCTGTGGTCTGTGATTACCGCAGCTTCCTTTTATTGCAGGCTTATTGTGTGCTGGATGTCGTGCCAAGCACTGCACACGTATGACATCATTCACCTCTCACTAGAACCATATGAGGTAAAAAGTCATCCTCCACCTACACGTGGAGATTGGGACTTGGAGACACTAAGTCACCTGCTCAAGGTCATATAGTTGGTATGTTGCAGAACCAGGCTTCAAACTCAGTTTATCTCAACCCCAGGCTTTATTTAAATCACTAGGTTTACAGCATCTGATATGGACTTTTCTGCTTCCCATGTCCAATACTGTATCTGGCACCAGGCAAATGTTAAAAAAAATGAAAAGTGGGGTAATGTTTGAGCATTTACAAATGGCTCATTAAAAACACCATAAAGGGCCAGGCACGGTGGCTCATGCCTGTAATCCCAGAACTTTGGGAGGCCGAGGTGGGCAGATCACCTGATGTAAGAAGTTTGAGACCAGCCTGACTAACATGGTGAAACCCTGTCTCTACTAAAAATACAAAATTAGCCGGGCGTGGTGGCGGGCGCCTGTAATCCCAGCTACTTGGGAGGCTGAGGCAGGAGAATCACTTGAACCAGAGAGGCGGAAGTTGCAGTGAGCCAAGATTGTGCCACAGCACTCCAGCCTGGGCGACAGAATGAGACTCCATCTCAAAACAAACAAACAAACAAACAACACCATAAAAGTAGTAAACACATAGGCTTTGGCTCTGGACTCCCCCAGTATGAATCAAGGCTCCCCCACTGGCTGCCTGATCTTGGGCAAGATTTTGACTTCTCTGTGCCTCAGTTTCTTCATCTGTGAAGCAAGGATAAATGTGTCTACACTCCAGAGGGTTATAATGGAGATTAAATGAATGTTGATCTTCACACAAAGTTTTTACATGAGATGCATGGAAAATGTGTAGATCAGGGCCAGGAAGCTCCTAAAAATGTTAACTGTCATCATCTTGTGTTTCAGGCTTTGCCTGTTTCCCAGTTAATATAACTTTTCTCCTCCCACGGATAAGGTCCATGAAGACTCTGGGATGAATCTTGCGGAGTGCTGGTAAACCGGTTCTTAACTTTCTCTTTACTGGACCTGAACTGCTGTATCACTGGGAGCAAGATGAAGTAAATGAGATTATTATGCAGGAATTAAAAAAAGAATAATGTAGGCCAGGCATGGTGGCTCACACCTGTAATTCCAGCATTTTAGGAGGCCAAGGCAAGAGGATCACTTGGGGCCATGAGTTCGAGACCAGCTTGGGAAAAACAGTGAGATCCCATCTCACCAAAAAATAATATGTGAGCGGAGCATGGTGGTACACACCTGTAGTCCCAGCTACTCAGCACGCTGAGGCAGGAGGATCGCTTGAGCCCAAGACTTCAAGGTTGCAGTGAGCTATGATCGCACCACTGCATTTCAGCCCAGCTTACAGGGCGAGACCCTGTCAGAAAAAGAAAGGAAGAAAGGAAGGAAGGAAGGAAGAAAGAAAGAAAGAAAGGAAGGAAGGAAGGAAGGAAGGAAGGAAGGAAGGGCCCTGATTTGTGCCCTCTGCCAATTTTCATGGTGTAAATGCTCCCACCATGGCTAATTTCAAGCTATGATTGTGAAGAGTCATGCTGCCAGTCTCAGCAGAGGTCCAGAGTTTTGCTCAATCTGTGCCTCAGTTTCTTCATCTTTAAAATAGAGCAGCAGTAGGACCTAACTCAAAATACTGTTGTGAGGAGTAAACCTGAAGCTCTTAGACGAGCACATGGCACGCTGTATGCTCTGTGTTAGCCAATATTACTGTTAAGAGTTTCAACTCAGTCTCACTGTTGCTTATCTGGCTTGGACACTGACCCAACCCCAGCAACTGGCCTTCTGCTCTGATGGGCAGAGTCTCTGCCTTCTAGGATTAGGCCTTGTCCACTCTTGCAGCTCTCCCTTCTCCCTCTGTGACACAGTTTGGATATTTGTCCCCACCCAAATCTCATGTTGAATTGTAATCCCCAGTGTTGGAGGTGGGGCCTGGTGGGTCACGGAGGCAGATCCTGCATGGTTTGTGCCATCCTGACGAGAGTTCTCACAAGATCTGGTCTTTTGAAAGCATGTGGCACCTCCCTCAACTCACTCTCTTGTTCCTGCTTTCGCTGTGTGATGTGCCTGTACCCTCTTTGCCTTCTATCTGATTGTCAGCTTCCTGAGGCCTTCCTAGAAGCCAAGCAGACACCAGTGCCCTGCTTCCTGTACAGGCTGGCCATGTGCCAATTAAACCTCTTTTCTTTATAAATTACTCAGTCTCTTGCACTGCTATAATGAAATTGCTGCATTTCTTTATAGCAATGCAAGAACAGTCTGATACACCCCGGAACTAGAATTCTGGCCTAGCCTGTGTTGGTTACACACCCACCCTGATCACACATTATTTCATGCCTCTGGTTTCATCCCTAGACTTCCCTCATGCTGCCCTGGGCCTGGGCTGCCCATGCTGCTGTCCCTTGCTCCGGATGGTCCATGATGATCCCTTCTGGCATCTGCTCCGCTCCTCATTGCTTACAAGGCTCCTTCTCATGGGGCTGGGATGTACTTACAGAGGGGAAAGCTGAAGTTCAGAGCTCAGTTTGCTCCCACCTGCAACTAGAGGGGCCCCTAGCTCCTGCCACACCCTGCTGTGAGCTCCAGCTTCTCATCAGGGCCCCTACCCTCAGCCTGATTTAACCCTTCTGTGCTCAGGCCTGGCTCACGTCATGGCAACCTGGGAAGATCTTGGCATCTTCAGGTTTGGTGGAAGAGTCTAACTGAGTCAGAAGCAGGGCCTGGAGGGGAAGACACAGCGAGGCTGGGTTTGGAAACATTAGCTGGATTTGAGGCTCTTTTGCAAGGAAAAAAAAAAAAATAGAGTGTAAACTAGGAAAAAATCCCAGGTGGGACCAAGAGTCAAGGTTGAAAGGAGCCTGACCTCTTGAATTCAAATTTAATAAATAGCAGCTGCAGACCTACCATATGCCACATGCTTCTCAGTACCTTATTTCATTAGCTCTTTGAGACAACCCCATGAAAACATCATTATCTCACTCTGCAGGAGCTATAGGCACTTAAGAGAGGTTAGGGACTGACATGAGAGCAGGTACGTGGTCTCCCTGGTCCTGGGCCAAGGATGGCTGATTCTCTCCTTTCCCTGTGCCAGTGGACAGCTGGAAACCTGGGCCCAGGGCAGGCTGTCAACAGAGGTCCTCAGTCACGGGCTGAATTCCTCAAAGCACGACAGACTGACCATTCTGAGATCACATATTGTAAGGCAACCCTGGTCCTCCGGGAAAAGGATGAATTCAGAGGCAGAGAGACCTGGCTAACATGCTGTGCTCTGCCACTTTCTCCACAAGGGGCCTTGGGTCGGTGTCCTAACCTCTCTGAGTCTCAATTTCCTCCCACTTAACATGGCACCGATGAGAGCTGCAGGGTTGTGATGAAGCCTGGGAAGCGAGGGCTGTACATAGGGAGAGCTTGGCAGTCCTGGGCAGGCCTCCTTCTCCATATTCCTGCTGACCTGGCTCGAAGCTTCACTTCCTGTCTCCCTCCAAGTCAACCTCACACAGGAGACACTCCTGCTCTTTGTACCAGGCAGTGCCATCAGCTACAAAGGTCTGCTTCCTATTTCCTCAGGCTCTGTCAGGTGTTCCTGGAGCTAATGAGAACAATGCAGGTGACAGCAGCTGGAGGATGAGAGGGGTCTTCCCAGCAGAACCTCCTCTGCCCTCTGGAGAGCTCCAGGCTGTTTCCAGGTCCCCAAGTCAGACCCAGAGCCCTAGGAAAGGGCGGGTAAAAGAACTGGAAACTCCACTTCACAGGATTTCCCAAATCCTCCTCTGCCATGACATCCGCCTGCCCCAGCCATGCTCCCTCCTGCTTTTCTGCCTTAGTCTCTCAGCTCCTAGAGCGGCCCCTAGCTCCTGCCACACCCTGCTGTGGGCTCCAGCTTCTCATCAGGGCCCCTGCCCCCCGCCTAATTTAACCCTTCTGCACTCAGGCCTGGCCAGGAAAGGCCTTCCTGCTCCTCCTCTTTGTGCTGTGGTTTCCAGCCCTTCCAAGGCCCACCTCAGCCCAGGTCTCCTCCAGGAAACCTCCCTAGTGAGTCTAGGGTGTGTTGACCTCTCCTCTGGCTCAATCCTTCCCCCAGCACTTTTTGTGACTTGGAAACTGGTAATGAGCCACACCCTGTCCCGGGCTGCTCCCTGGCTCTCTTGTCCATAACTTTGGCTTCTGTAAACTTCCCAGGCTGACAAGGGGCAAGGGATAAAACCCCCTCTTTATCCCCCACGACAGAAAGCCCAGTGCAGAGGAGAAAAAAACATGGAAGGCAGGTCCAGCTCTTTCCTTTACACTCAGATTTGGAAGGAAGATGGGAAGGAAAGACCAAGTGGGAGAAAAAGAAGAAAGACATGAGTGGAAAGGAGTGAAGGAAGAGGGAAGGGCTGCTGCATGACACTCAGTACCAGGGTCATGAGAGGACAGATCAGGCCCACGATCCAGGTGGCCTTGAATCATGCTTTAGGGCTCTCACACTCTGATTATGCAACTCCTAGGCTTGACACAGAGACCTCTTTGAAAACCTTTGGAACTCACCTCCTCCAGGCAGCCTTCTGAGATTGACTCTGATCTTTGCCGCACCCCCCCGGCCCCGCCCCGGCCCCCTTGACTCCCTGAGCTGCGCTACTTTGCACTCATCCATGCCACTTCCCATGATGCTAGGTCCTCTGGGGAAGGGATGGAGGTCTCTGCCTCACTGGCAGGAAGTCAGTTTACATTTATCATCTGTAGCCAGAGATCAGACTGTCTTTTTTTGACCACTTTTTTTTTTTTTTGAGATGGAGTCTTCCTCTGTCACCCAGGCTGGAGCGCAGCGGCGCGATCTAGGCTCACTGCAGCCTCCGCCTCCCGGGTTTAATCAATTCTCCTGCCTCAGCCTCCCAAGTAGCTGGGACTACAGGAGCCTGCCACCACACCTGGCTAGTTTCTGTATTTTTAGTAGAGATGGGGTTTCACCATATTGGCTAGGGTGGTGTCAAACTCCTGACCTCAAGTGATCCACCCGCCTCGGCCTGGTGCTGGGATTACAGCCATGAGCCACCATGCCCAGCTCCAACTTTATTAGCTCCAGGGGGTGGTTCAGAATATATTTTGTATTTTAAACCCAGTTTGTCTCTAAGATAATCTTACTATAATCTTATATCAATTTCTTTAATATCAGGCTCTGTACTGAGCCTTGGGGGACACACAGATAACTAAGAGCCAGTCCCTGCCCTCCACCCAGCATTCGGCCTAGTGAGTTGAGTGAGAAATGCATTAAAGGCCCACTGAGGCTGTCTTATGGGAGCACTCAGGAGGGCACAAAAACAGAGTCTGGGAAGCTGCACAGAAGAGACCCGAAGGACAAGCAGGAGTTCACCAGATACAGGGAGGACATTCCAGGCAGGGAACACTGCAGGGCAAAGGCCCGGAGAGGTGAAAGCACAAGGTATGCCAGGCAGACGAGGCAGCTCAGTGTAGCCACAGAGTAGACGTAAGAGGGACTCTTGTCACACAGCAGACGGCTTCATGAATCAGCCTAAGACACACTAACTTTGACTCACAGGCCATTTTTTCTCAGGGGGACAGAGGCAGGTATTGCCATGCTAGTTGGCATTTAGAAATCTGTGTGTGTATTGGGGGTTAGTGGGGAAAACGTGACAACGTGGATGGATCTCAAAAACTATGTCTTTTTTTTTTTTTGGAGATGGAGTCTCGTTCTGTCACCCAGGCTTGAGTGCAGTGGCATGATCTTGGCTCACTGCAACCTCCACCTCCCAGGTTCCAGGGATTCTCCTGCCTCAGCCTCCCGAGTAGCTGGGACTACAGGTGTGTACCACCATGCCCAGCTAATTTTTGTATTTTTAGTAGAGATGGGATTTCACCATGTTGGCTAGGCTGGTCTCGAACTCCTGACCTCAGATGATCCACCCGTCTTGGCCTTCCAAAGTGCTGGGGTTACAGGTATGAGCCACTGCGTCTGGCTTCTTAAAAACTATTTCATGACACAAAAGAGCATGTACTATATGATTCCACTTATATGACGATTAGGAACAGACAAAATCCATCTACAATGATAGAAATTGGAATAATCGTTATCTCTGAACTTTTGCGGGTGATGGAAATCTTCTGAGTCTTGCTCTTGGTGATGGTTATATGAGCTCATGCAGTTGTCAAAATGCACTGAACAGAACACTTAAGATCTATACATTGGACTGCTTGTAAAGTAAACCTGAAGAACATGTGTGAGCATTTTTGGTTGTTATAATGACTGAAGGGTGCTCCAGGCAAATATATAGGAGATGGGGCCAGGGATGCTTTTACATCAAAGAACTCTCCCACCCAAAGGCCAGTAGGTCCCTGTTGAGAAATACGGCTGCAAGCTATGGGGAGCCACAGAAGGATGGAAACACCAGAGACTTGGCCACATCTGTACTTTGGTAAGACAGGGCTCTGTGGTGGTGGGAGTATCTTGGGACAGTGATGTGGCACAGAAGGTGGATATATGATTTTCACTGCCACTCCTAGGCCTCGTATTTGCCTAACTCTTAGCCCACTGGCCTGATGCTGCCCCGAAGGGGCCCCAGGAGGTCCCTCTGAGGTACCTCAGATGCTGACCAGCTAGGGAAGTAGCAGAGGCAGCAGATGGCAGTGGGAAATGGCAATGCCTCACCCCCAGCCTCCCTGCCTCATGATAAGCAGCAAGGATGATAGAAGTGATCATCTTCCTCTGAAGTGGAGTCTCAGTGAAGGGGTCTCCCTGAGTGTCTAGAGTCCCTGGAAGCAGGGCTGAACGCTACTGCTGCTACTATAGGAAAGCACTGTTTTACATCATGGGCTAAAGAAGAACACAGCTGACTTGCGTGAAAATACTCACCTGACCCCTGCCTTCGGAAAGCCTTCTCTGACCTCCGTCCTGGGCAGGTGTCTCTCCTGTGTTCCCACAGCCCTACAGAGCACAGTTACTGCCTAGGTTTAAATTCTGGCTCTGACTCTTGCTGTGCGTACCTGAAATAGAGTTACTCAAGCTCTCTGTTTCCTCACCTGCAAATTGAGGATAACAGAAACCGTCTTCACTGAACTGTCACCAAGATTGAGATAATGTAGTAAGCACTCAGTAAGAGTGAGTGCTTATGATGAGCCTAGAATGCATCAGTACAGACCACTGTTGCCAGGTGACTCCTCTGGCACCTCCACTAGACATTAAGCTCCTTGCGGGCAGGGTCCTTGTGGTCGTGTTGATTGCTGAGGGCCTTGTGTCCACCACAGTGCCTGGTACAGTAAATACTTGCATGCTTGAATCAATTCCACCCACTAAGATCTCTCCTGAGAGCTTTCTTTTTCCACCCACAATGCCTCTAAATCACAACAATTCTTCAGAAACGGAGTCAGACTCATTTGTATTCTGTTCCCTCTTCTCTCTTCTCTGTTACCTCCATGGCCATGCAGAACCCAAACAACATTTAGTTTTTAAATTAACAGCTTCTTCCTGGACTCTCTATTCCTAAGACTTCACTCAGTGGTCTTCATACTGGGCACACAAAAATCCTTTTTAAAAAATGCACCCTGCACCTCTCAAAAAGTGAAACACAGAATGATCATACGATCCAGCAATTCCACTGCGAGGTATATACCCCAAAGAATTGAAAGCGGGGGCTCAAACAGATCCTGGCACACCAATGTTCATAGCCGTATTATTCACAATAGCCAAAAGGTGGAAACAGATGAATGGCCAAACAATGTGGTATATCCATACAATGGAATATATTCAGCTTTGAAAATAAATGAGATTCTGATATATGATACCACAGAGACGACCCTTGAAAACATTAGGCTAAGTGAAAGAAGCCAGACAAAAAAAGACAAACATGATGCCACTTACACGAGGCACCTAGAATAGGTGAATTTATGGAGACAGAAAGTAGAACGGAGGTCACCAGAGGCTGGGGGAGATGGGAATGAGGAATTAGTATTTAATGAGTACAGCGATTCAGTCTGGGAAGATAAAAAGATTCTGGAGATGGACAGTGGTGATGGTTGTATAACACTGTAAATATACTTAACGCCACAAAATTATACAGTTAACATTGGTTAAAATGGTAAATTTCGTGTTATGTGTATTTTACCACAATTTAATAAAAGCCTCCCACACCAAACAAACAAAACACTGGAAGGACAGACTTCCCTCTGAAATCTGACAGAGCTGCATGTCCCTCTGCCACCCCTAGGGCTCTGTGACCTTGACCCCCTGGCCCATGATCTATCTTCCTCTCCATCCTCTCCTTGGTTCCAACTCTTGGGTTCCCTGTTCTTTTTCTTTTTTTCTTTTTGAGACAGGGTCTCACTCTGTCACCCAGGCTGGAGTGCAGCGGCGCTATCTTGGCTCACTGCAACCTCTGCCTCCTGGGTTCAAGCAATTCTCATGCCTCAGCCTCCTGAGTAGGAGGGGCTGCAGGTGTGCGCCACCATGCCTGGCTAATTTTTATATTTTTACTAGGGACAGAGTTTCACCGTGTTGGCCAGGCTGGTCTCAAACTCCTGACCCCAAATGATCCCCTGCCTCAGCCTCCCAAAGTGCTGGGATTACAGGCATGAGCCACTGCACCAAGCTCCCTGTTCTTTTTCTACTCCAGACGCCAGGGCCACGACATGTTCTTTTCCTTGCACCCCTCTTTAACCACCTTGATCCCATCATATCTCTTGAGGGTGCTTCAGATGGATGCTTTGAGACTCTGAGATGGAAAAGCTATGTGCCTGGAGATGCTCATTATTGACTATGTGCAACAATAAAGACATAGTTAAATAAAGCAGGGGTCAGCCAACCAAGTATAAACAGAGAAGTCATGACAAAATGTTAAGTGAAAAATGCAGGCTATAAACCTATATGTGGACTAATTTCAACTATTACAAAATACAGATTTACAGAAAACATAGAATAGGGCATATAAAATGATGGTTCATCTTACGTTTGTTCTCTAGCATGGAGTATGGTTATTTTCACAACTGTAATTTATAATTTATACCAGACAACATCTTTAGGCAGATGATGAAATACACACATTGTTAGTTTTGCAAGAATCTTCAGAATTGATTCCAGATGCCCATATGCTGCCACCATTGAGGCCCACAAATCCCTCCCGAAAGGCTTGCAGAGGAATGGGAGGCGAGGGGCTGTTTCATGTCGACTCTTCAGAAAGACACTTCAGGACTTGGTGTGTCTCTCTAATGACTCCAACCAACTACCTCACCACAAAAAAGGAGGGCAATTTAGGGTCTTTATTTTGCTACTGGACTAACCAGGAAATTTGGCTGTGAACAGTTTATCCCTTACATTAGCCCAAAGTTAGGAATTCCCATGATGCTTGTTCCCTTACAAATCTGCAAACAGTGGATCTCCCGCATCTGGTGTGAGGGGATCCCCTCCCCATCCAACATGCTACACCCCAGGTATAGAAACTTGAGTCACGCTTGCTTCAATGGGGACAAAGGAAGGAGGGTGGCTTCTGTTCCATGTGCTGCAGCACAGTGGGAAAAGCTTTTCTCAGTCTAAGAGTTTGGAAATTACTGAGTTTTGCCAGACACCGGTGGCCATGATGCTCGTTCCACATCTCACCAGATGCAGAAAAGATGGAGATGATGTTAAAGAATGGGGGGAATCTATTTTTTTTTTTTTTTCTTTGAGACGGAGTCTCGCTCTTTCGCCCAGGCTGTACTGCAGTGGCTCTATCTCGGCTCACTGCAAGCTCCGCCTCCTGGGTTCATGCCATTCTCCTGCCTCAGCCTCCTGAGTAGCTGGGACTACAGGCGCCTGCCACGGCGCCTGGCTAATTTTTTGTATTTTTAGTAGACACGGGATTTCACCATGTTAGCCAGGATAGTCTCGATCTCCTGACCTCATGATCCGCCCACCTCGGCCTCTCAAAGTGCTGGGATTACAGGCGTGAGCCACCGCACCCGGCCTAGAATAGGGGGAATCTTATTTTCCACAATCCCCTAAGATAAGGAAGAGCCTTTTGGTGATAACACTGCTTAAAAGAGAAAAGAGTTTCTAGTTTTTGTTTTTCTTTTTTCCCCTTGAGATGACCTGAGTTTCTACCTTCTACATATGACAGGTGACAGACCTGTGGCTGCAGATGGAATCTGGACTGGGGGTCCAGAGATCCTGTGATTCTAAGACTGAGCCTGCATGTCACCTAGCCCCTCACATGGTCCAGCCAGTTTTCCCATCTCCACCTGTAGATCCATTTCAACAACTGATTAGGTGCCCGAAGCATTTATATGTCTATAAATAATTTCTCCCTCCCCACTGCCTTCTCTTTTTGGGAATCTGTCAGTTTACTGGAGATGATAGCATCTTGTCCTGCAAATATGGGTCTTTGTGTTAGAGATGAGTTTCCTTAAAACCTCTATGAAGGAAATGGTTGAGAGTGCAAGAGAAAATTTGAAATGAAGCCAGAAGGATGTATATTTGTGCGGGGAGGAGGATGAAGAAAGACCAAAAATGTTATTTTCATTGTTTTACAGTCATTTCAGGTACGTTTTACTATTTCGTCTTAGTCAACAGCAGTGTTTATAATATAAAGCCATACTGAATAAAATATGCAGACTTCACTTAAATTTTCATACTTGAGTGACAACACAGCATTCAAGTTATCTGAGCTTTATTATTTTGATCATAGTACAGATTACTATACCCTTACTATGGTATAATATCTTTATTTATTGGTTCATATAAGTCTAAGATATGCAGTCTCACACATAAATGGTCATTTCCAACATTCATTCATTCATTCATTCATTCACTCATTCAACAATGATTTACTGTGAAGGGCCAGGCTTGGTTTGCTAGGCACAAAGAATATAAGGTGAATAGGATATGTGTTCTCTTAGATTCATTAACATCATGCAGCTTCTCATTCTTCAGGTCTATAGGCCCTTACATGATTGGCTCTGCCCACTCTCTCACCTTTTTCCTTATCACTTTCCCCCTTTGTCTGTCTCTTACAGGTACACTTCAGGTTCCTTGAAGACACCAAGCTATTGTTACCCCAGGGCCTCTGCACCTGTGGTCTCCTCTTTTTAGAATGCTGTTCCCCAGGTCTCCTCTTCACTCAGGTCTTTGTTCAAATATCACCTCCTCAAAGACAATTCTATTTAAAGGCAGATCTCTTTCTCCATTCTTCCTCCCAGTCATCCCTCTTCCTACTTAATTTTTCTCCAAAGCACTGCTCACCACCTGAACAATTTTATCTTCTGTCTCCCCTGGTAGAGCTTGGGCAGGAAGTTCGTCTTTTTAGCAACGTATCCCTAGGGGCTAGAACAACCTGGCATGTAACAGATGTTTATATGTATTCAGAGAATAAATGAATGAATGAACTGGTTCTTGATAGTTTAGGGTGCTTGATGAACCAGCTTTTCAGGAGGGCTCATTATGGTCCCTGGTAGATTCATAGTCCCTACTCCTAAGCCTCCCACTCCTCCTCCTATTGGGCTGTGTCTGTGAATGACATCCTTGGCCATTCAGCCTCAAAGCCTTGCCATCACTTATTCTTCCCTCCTGTTAGTGCCTACATCCAATCAGTTACCAATTTTAGTGACACTGTGGCCTCTTGCATCAACTCCTTTTTCTAACCATTCTTACAACCACCCCCAGTCCATACTCTCTTTATCTCTCACCTAAACCATTGTCATCATTTCCTACCTGGGCTTCTGGCCAGCAGGCTCTCCACATCCAATCTGTTCTCCAAGGGGTAGCCAGAGTGAGTTTCATCATGTTACGGTTTGATTATGTTTCTCCCCCACTCAAAAACTAAAGACTCCCAACTCCTTAGCTTGGCAGTCAATGTCCCCCCAATAACCTCCATCCCCTTACCCAACCTTCCTTCTCAAGTCCCTTCTTTTATTCTTTTTGCTCCAGTTGGAATGAACTGCTTTCCAGTTTCTGTATATATCCTAGAAGTCCCCATGCCTGTCCATCCTCTGCTCATGCTATTTCCACTCCTCGAAATAGTTTTCTTCCTTTCTTCTAACGTACAAATCATTCACCCAGTTTAAATGCTACTTGGCTTCTCCAAGAAGCCGTTACTGACCTGTGAGGAGAATAAAAGTCCTCTTTCAACTGTTTTTAAGGGGTTATCCGCCTCTCTTTTAGGGCAAGTCTAGGGAAAGGACAGGCAATACGACACAGAACAAAGAGTTCAGAATCTGGAGTCAGATCATCTGAGCTGGAGGCCTAGCTCTCTGGATCTGAGACTTTTGAGGTATGCACCCTTAGATAAGTGAAAATCCAAGCCTTAATTTCCCTATCTGCAAAATGAGGATGATAACACTATTGTCACGGATGTCTTATGAGGAGTAAGTGACAGAGTATAGGAAGAGCTTTTGACACTACATACAAATTAATTATGAAATTCTATTACGCTAACGTACAAAAGGTTGAATAAACAAAAGTGTTGATCCTCCCAGGGAGTTTTCACAGATGTTTTATGCTGGCTGAGCCTGAAGTCCAGGAATAGGTCAGGGGGAAAGGAATTTTTTGAGGGAGGAGGACTTTGAGGCCTTAAGAATCCCATGTCCTTGGATGATCTGAAGAAAGGAAGAAGTATAGGGTATATCCACAAAGCTGGAGTCCTAGTGGAATTACTAGCTACCAATTCCTGAGCATTTTCTATGTGTTAGGGACTGTACTAAGTACTCTACATACATCATTCTTGAGTCAGAAATTATTCCTTCATAAAGCAAAAGAAGCCCATAGCAGTTACATAAATACGTGCTCCCACCCCACCGCCAAATAGTTCATAACATCATCAATCCAATGATGTTATTTTTTTGGATGGAGAAATTGAGACCCAAAAGGGTTATATACTGACACCGTACAGCCAGTGAGGAAGAGACTGGGACTGGAATCCAGATCCCTTCACTCTCAAGGCAGAAATCCCTACATGGCAAAAACCCAGGGGCCACCATTCATTATGAAGTCTGTGTAAACTTCATAGCCAATGCCATCTACATGGACTACACTGTCAGTGGCAGCCCCTGAAGTTCTGCCACTTGGCCACCCTGGCTCAGCTCCATGATGAGCTGCTCACCCCCCTCAAAAAGGAAGTTCTCGATGGAACTGGAGACTATGATTCTAAGTGAAGTAACTCAGGAATGGAAAACCAAACATTGTATGTTCTCACTCATAAGTGAGAGCTAAGCTATGAGGATGCAAAGGCATAAGAATGACACAATGGACTTTGGGGACTTGGGGGAAAGGTGGGAGGTGGATGAGGGATGAAAGACTACACATTGGGTTCAGTGTATACTCTGGGTGATGGGTGCACCAAATTCTCACAAATCACCGTTAAAGAACTTACTCACGAAACCAAATACCACCTGTTCCCCAAAAATCTATGGAAATAAAATAAAAAAAGGAAGTTCTTGAGACCAGAACCTCAGGTCCCTGGAGACTGAACACTGCCCTCCTTGCCAACTATTCCATCCAGTCTCCTCCAAGGTGACTGACTCCATCCCTTCACCATCCGTCTATGCTTGTACTCCTTCAACACATCTCTCGGGGCACCCTCTCTGCACCAGGCATCAGGCTCAGCTCTGGGGACACCTGGCTGCCCTTGAGGGAGCCGCGTGCTGAGAAACCACCCGAACCTGGTGTGATTGTAACTCAAGCTTCCCCAGCAGCTTTGTCAGCAGCACCAAGAGGCTGCCCTTAACGAGCCCCAAGGAGAAAGAGGTGGGGACCTCCGCAAAGGGATGACTACAGGGGCCTGGTTGGAGTAGAAGATCTGGCCCTCAAGCGGGAGGGAAGGGTGACTGGGAGGGCATGCAGTCAGGACACAGTGGAGAAGAGGACGAATCCTGGGATGCCACATCACCTGGTCCAACTGAGGACACTCAGGCTCAGTGTGTCCTGGGTGGATCAGGACTAACGCCTGGGAATCTGATCTCAGGTCCTGGGCTTCTTCATTCTCCCAAACGAATCCCAAACCCGGAGTGTTTGAGTGTTATGAGAGCTCTCCTTTGAGGTTGAAGGAAGCAAATTAAAGCCCCCTCTCCCCTTTTTTTGGTACCATAGGTAGGGAAGGTAGAAAATGAATGGCACCTGCCCCTCCAAGTGGGGCAGGGCTGGAATTACACACTTTCGTGGTACACTCAGGTGAATTTTGGGGTTCTGGGGCTTCAATGTGGGTGGGATCTAGTTGTGTAGGAGGGGAGCATGAGTATGAAAACCAGGAACCCTAGATTCTAATGAAAGCTTTACCACTAACTCTCTGGTGACCTTGGTCCGCCACCTTACTGGGCCTCAGTTTCCCCATCTGTAAAATGAGAAGGTTGAATAAGTTCCCAGGATTCGTCTGGCCCTGATCTTCTAAGCCCTGTGATCCTTGATAAGGTAAGCCTCCCAAGGCTCTGACCCGGGCAATCTCCGGTTTTGCAGGAGCCTGGGCCTCAACCAGAAACAAGCAGCATGCTGGGGGAGGGGAGCGCGCTAAGCTTGTATTCTAGGGGAGGGTGGGACGCGGGAGGCTAAAGCTAAAGGGTCGGTGGAGGCGAAGCAATGGGAAGGCTGGGAGCCGCGCTTTAGAGGCCAGAAGGCTAGCGGCGATTTCCAATCTCCCTCAGGGGCTTCAGGCTCCGGAGAGGCGATGCAGCCCAGAGCCGCGCACCAGCCTCCGCCGGCCGCAGAGGCTCAGACCCCAAACCACTATCCCGATTCCTCCCCGGAACCGCGCACGGGCTTCGTGGGGAGTGGCTGCCGCTCCCTCCCGGCTACCAAGCGACAAGCCCCCTCCTCTGCATGGGGGACCCCTCCCCCAGCATGCGGGCGCCCAGAGCCCCACGGGGGCGTGGCGGGGGCGGGCGCCGGCTCCTCGGCCGGGAGGGCTGGAGAAGGTGTCAGTTGCGGGGCCGCCCGAAGGAGGGACCCGCGCCCTCCACCTTCCGGCTCCGCACACAAAGGCGCAGACGGAGGCGCCGCACTTACCGGCCAGAGCGGGCTCCGGGCGCCGGCGAGCAGGCGGGCAGGCTGGCGGGAGGATGCGCGCGCGAGTGTGCGTGTGTCTGCGTGTGTCCCTGCTTGTGTCTGTGCCAGTGTGTATGCGACGGGGGCCGCGCCGAGCTCTGTGCGTCTGCGTGTGCGGGGGCGTCCGTCCTTCGGTGCCTCCGTCCTTCGGTCCGTCCGCCTGGCGCTCCGTCCCGCGCTCCGTGCGCGCTCCCTCGCCCGACCGCCTCACCAAATGCGCTTCAGCTGCAGAGTCGCTGGCGCAGCCGCCGGGTGGGTTTGGCACCCCCCAGCCCCGGCTCCGCCCCGCCCCCGGGCGGGCTTCCGCCGCTCGCCGGGAATTGCGCAGGGCTGGCGGGGCGGGGGACCGGGAGAGCGGCCTGCTCCCGGGGCACGAAGGGGGCCGGATCACAGACCCTTAACCCCTGACCTCATCTCAGGTGCCTCCCTCTCCCGAGCAACTCTGCGCGGAGTCTCCGCAGTCGTCGCCCCCATGCCAAGGTTGCTTGGACAAGGAGGGCGGAGGAGTGGGAGCAGCGCATCCATTTCATTCATGATTTTTTCTCCTCTTGGGAGCCCCGGGTCGGGCCGCGCGGCTACGGCAACTGCCAGAGGGACCCCGGCAGGGCCGTGCGCGCTGAACCTGGGACGGGACAGACAGGCAGACAGAAGGAGTAGGGGCCAGCGAGACAAAGGGGGCAGAGTTGGGGGAGGGAGTCGGCTCATTGGGGGCATGCCGTGGCGCTCCCCGCATGTTGCCAACACCTGCGCAAGTGGAGCGGCCCCATACTAGGGCGCATGCAATACCAGGTGCCGAGGACTCGTTCTAGGACGCTGAGGAGGCGTCCTTTTTCCCAGTTCTCCCTGTTCAGCCTCTGGGGAGCTAGAGCGAGTGGACAGCCCCTCCCTCCACTGAGTCTTGCCCTCCTGACGTGCGGCGCGGGGCACGCACCTGTTTTGGTTTTCTCGTGGGCACCAGGGGCCCGGACGAGCAGGGAGCTGCCCATGTGCCCCACAATCCTGCCACAATCTTCCGTATTCTCCAGGCTGCTAGTGCGCTGGCCAGAGGTTTCCGGCATTCCATCCCCATGGGGGCTTGAGGCTGTGGGCTGCACACAGGGCAGGGATCCTAAACTCCATTTTTTACACGGGGAATCAGAGGCGAGCCACCACGTAGCTACCACCCTGGTTCCAGCCACCATCCACCCCCGCCCCCCGGGATTTCCATTATAGTCTCTTTACTGGTCTCCCAGCTTCCACCCTTGGCCCCCTGCAGCTGATTCTCTACACAGCAGTCAAGGCGATCCTTTAAAATTTAAGTCAGAGCACGTCGTTCCTTTACTGGAAATCCTACACTAGCACTCCATTTCATCCAAGGGAAAGTTAAAGGCCCCTCATGACCTGCAAAGCCCTTCAGGAACTGGCTCCTTTTTAGCTCTTTAACCTCTCTTTCTACCACCCTCCCCCTTCTCCCACGCTCCAGTCACATTGGCCTTTTTAATGCATCATCGGCGTGGCAGCCCTGTGGCCTCAGGACCTTTGCACTGCTGGTCTGTCTGCCTGGAAACTCTTCCCTCTGATAGTCACACGGCTACTCCTTTACCTCTTCAAAGTGTCACTCCCCCCACCCCCCCGCCCCCGAGACGGAGTCTTGCTCTGTCGTCCAGGCTGGAGTGCAGTGGCTCCATCTCAGCTCACTGCAACCCCTGCCTCCTGGGTTCAAGCGATTCTCCTGTCTCAGCCTTCCGAGTAGCTGGGACTACAGGCGCCCGCCACCATGCCCAGCTAATTTTTGTATTTTTAGTTGAGACGGGGTTTCGCCATGTTGGCCGGGCTGGTCTCGAACTCCTGACCTCATGATCCGCCCGTCTTGGCCTCCCAAAGTGCTGGGATTACAGGCGTGAGCCACCCTGCCCAGGCTCAATGTGTCGCTTCTAAGATAATTGCTGTAACTATCCTGTTTAAAGTTGCTGGCCCTCCCTCCTCATTTTCTCCATGCAGCTATGACTTTTATTTCTGTTCCCTGCCCCTGAGGCTCACTGGCTTCATTGCCAGCTCCCATCTCAATCCCCTCCCATCCCAATCCTTCAGCCTCACCTCACTAATCTGTTTTTTAAACAAACCCTGTGTTTTCCTGTCTCTAGGCCTTTGTTCACGTTGTCCCTGTTCAGTCTGGAATGCCATCCCTCCCATGTCTTGACTAATTTTTAAGGTCCAGCTTAAATACCACCTCCTTCTCCCCACATTTCCAGGGACACTCAGCTCTCATTACTTTCTGTCTGCTGTGATAGTGGTTCCTTCTCTTTTTCCCCAGGTGCACTATGAACTCCTGGAAAGTAGGGCGGGGTGTCTTCCCTTTCCCCAGTTCCCAGCACAGAAGGGCCCATCAGCACATGTTTGTGGATCAACGGCACTGATTGGGAGGCCCTAGGCTGGGCCTCAATTGGTCTTTTTTTTTTTTTTTTCCCCTAGGAAAAGACCTAGAGACCTAGACCCAATTAGGTCCCTGTGTTGCCCTCAAGGAGTTTCCTGTGGGGTGGGGGAGGATTATATATTGGGTAAAAAGGCCATACTGCTTGGGTTGTGTGGAAGTGTGAGTAGACATTTCAGCCTGTACGCCAGGACCTGCTCCCTACCCCCCGAGAGCATCATCACCATGGTTCGGCATGAGGCTGATTTCTCCAGGCTGCATCAGTTGAACAATAGCAGCTACTATACATGGGCACTTTAGTATGTGCCAGGTAGTGTTTTGTGTTTTCTCAAGGCACTGCTCTATTGAATCTTCATGACATCTGTGGGAGGTAGGCCTTTTGACATCCCCAATTTCAGTAGAGGAAGCAGAAGGAATAAGTGAGTTACTTAAGGTCACTTAAGAGGTGTGTGTTTCAAATTCAGATCTAGCCAGTTCCATAGCACGTGGTCACAGAAGCAGGGATGCCTTAACATGAAAGCCCTTTGGGCTGATGGAAGGAAGGGGAGAAAGTAGGGCTTAGAGAGCTTCAGTGGCATCAGCCTGGCCCAGATTCTTGATGTCCCCAGCTCAGGGGTCACAGAGTCATGGTACTCCAGGTGCACTGGGGCCTCACAGGTTCCTGTCAGTGCTGCCTCTGATGTCCTGTGGTGGAGGCTAATGGCTGCCCTTGTAAAGGCAACTTCGGAAAGCTAGCGGTGCCTCGCAAACATTCCTAGCTGTGTGCTCTGGGTTCAAAGCCCAGCCCCAGCTGTCACATGTGGATAATAATGCCCATCTTAAAGGGCTATGGGAAGGAAGAAGTATGACAATACCTCTAGAAAGTAGTAAGGCAACAGCAACAACAAAGATCTTTCTTCTTTTGTTTCTTGTATTGAGTTTCTGTCAGATAGGGATATACCTAAACTAGTCTCCTCACCCTGTTTCCACCCTATACACCCTCTTATTGAAGAGTGTTACCCCAGGGTGCAGTTCAGGAAGGAAATCTAGCATTTTCTGAGGGCTTTAAAAATAAGCTATCCACGTTGCTTCCCTGCATTCTCTCGTTTGATCTGCCAAAACACCTTAGGAGGGACTGCTATTACCAAGGAGGAATAGGAGGCACAGAAAGGTCCAGGGGCTTTCCCAAGGCCACAGAGCTCACTAAACGAGATTCTAGCTTATGTCTGACTCTGTTCACTTAACCAGCACCCTGCCAACACACGGAAAGTGACTGCTTTGATTTCCTTTCTCTTCTCTGATGAGGAAGAGTCCTGTGAGGCCCATGGCAACGAAATAGTTGTGAGGTTGTGACGACTTAGGAGTCTTCTTGAGCCGTTTTGTGTAACTCATTTACCCTTTCATGATAGAGGGAAGAAGAGGGATTTAAGAAAGAGGAGATGGGGAGAAAAAGATGGTCTGAGAAACCAGAGAGTGTTTTACTGGTGGTTCTTGGTGGACTGTTAGAGATTAGAGTCCATCTTTCTTGCTTTTGGCCCACTTGCAATTCACTGTCTTGGTAATGAAATGCTTTGCTTCAGTGAAAATGTCCCCCTATCCAGATTTTTATTTATGTATTTATTTACTTACTTATAACTTACCCCAATCCACAAAGGATTTGAAGTAGCTTACCAAAGGGGCAGGATCCATAAAACAATGTTAAAATATCAATGAGGATAAAGAATCAGGACCAAAGAAAATGTAAATAAACGTTGAGTGACATGACCAAAGCTCAATAATCACAGCTGTTTTTTTATTGAGTTTATTCTTGTGTGCAAAGGAATTTGTGTACATTATTTCATTTAATCCTTAAAAGAGCCATGTGAGGTAAGTACTATTATTATCTTCATTTTGAAGCATAGGGAGGCATTTCTCTCAGGCTGGGAGACATGAAATATGATGCCCTAAGTCACGTAGCTGGTAAGTGGTAGAGGCAGTATTTGAATCCAGGTTGACAGTGGAACCGATACCCTTAACCACTGTCCTATCCTGCCTCTCGAGGACAAAAGATTACAAACGTACAGACCACAGGGGCCTCTAGAGTACTGTGCTTGAACCTCAAATTTGGTTCTGATCATTTGGGATGCCAAAAAGAAACAATCTGTTACATAGAACTAATGCCTTTATATCCTTCAAGTTTTTGCTCCACTGTCATTTTCTCATTGAGGCCTCCCCTGACCTCTCTACCTAATACGTCAGAGCCTGCCTTCTCCCGTTCCCTTCAGGAGTCCCAATCTCTCCTTTTCTTTTATAATGACACATTTTACCTTCTAATGTACTGGATAATTTCTTTATAAACTATGTTATAATATCTATCTCATATTTTATATATTTCTTATGACATATATTCTATATTAATAAATTTATTTACGAGCTATAGATTAGGTAGTTTATCTATTTTGTATGTTCACCCTTTAATATCTGTTAAATATCTGTTTTTTTCCCACTGGAATACAAGGTCCACAGGGCATCTGCATCCGTTAGGCTCATTGATATATCTTAAGTGTCCAGGACAATGCCTGGTACATAGTAGGTACTCAATAAATTTTTGTTGAATGCTGAAATAAGTATCTCAGAGGGGAAGAAACAGACTAGTATATCTGAAGTAGCAAAGTATGTCACTTTTTTTTTTTGCAAGCTTATACTACTTTCTTTCCATTCCCTCCTTTCTTTTCTCATTTTGTTTTTTGTTTGTTTGTTTGTTTGTTTTTTGAGACAGAGTCTCGCCCTGTCACCCAGGCTGGAGTGCAATGGTGTGATCTCAGCTTACTGCAACCTCTGCCTCCTGGGCTCAAACAATTCTCCTGCCCCAGCCTCCTGAGTAGCTGGGATTACAGGTGCACGCCACCACACCCAGCTAATTTTTTTGTATTTTTAGTGGAGATGGGGTGTCACCATGCTGGCCAGGCTGGTCTTGAACTCCTGACTTGGTGATCTGCCTGCCTTGGCCTCCCAAAGTGCTGGGATTACAGGCATGAGCCACTGCACCTGGCCCTTTTCTCCTTTTTCCCTATTCACTTCCATAAAAAATGTGAGGTAGTTCTAGCACTTAGCTCTAAGAGCAAGTCTTCAGGAGGTTTTCCTGATGTTAGACCTTTAGGATTTATGCAGCCAGGGACCTTAGTCTCATCGTTAGAGTAAATGAGCAAATGGGAATTCATGAACCTAATTGTGGTGGAATCTCTCAGCAAAAGCTGGATATTATCCCCTTACCTAAATCAGCAAAGGTAATCCTTTTAGGGGTATAGGAATAGTGCCCAAGTGCCGTATCTCAAGGATTTGGGATTTCGAGCAGATGCTATTATGATGGAGATGGGAAAATAAAGAACAGAGCTTTTTTTGTGAAATGATTGATTTAAAGAGAGACGACATCCTGGTGCTCCTAAGAGCTCATCTCCAGGGTTTATTTCCTGGCTGCAAGCCTGAAGAGTAAAAAGCCAAGGACATCAGCGAGGTTTCTCAGAGAACCTTAGCTGAGACCATTTGCTGGTGTTTGTGTGTGTGTGTGTGTGTTGGTTGCGGTGTGGTGTGATCTTCCTGTAGGGGCTGGCCACAGAGCTGGGACAAGCCCCTGGGGGCTACAGATACCAGTCTGTCAGCTCAGGGTGAAGGGCAAGGTCACCTGGCTGCTGATCCCAGGAAGAAACATCAGAAACACTTGGTCAGGAGGAGTGAGCATCACAGCTTTGTTTCCTCCATGGTCATGGTTCTGAACCCTTGCAGAGCAAATTATTTAACAAATATTTTATTGAGGGCCTACTCTGAGCCAGCTACTGTTTCAAAAACTGGATATGTAGTAGAGAAAAAGACAATCAGCTTCCCTGCTATCATGGAACTCGCATTCTGGTGGGGACACGCTGACAATAAGCCAGGTTAAAATAACAGATAAGAGGATAATTTCAGACAATGAAAGGCACAATGAAGAAAAAGAAAAGAAGGTGAGTGATGGAGAGCCGCCATTTTCAACTGGGTGTTTGGAGAAGGTTTTTTGGAGGAGATACCATTTGAAGAGAGACTTGAGTTGCAAGAAGGAATGAGCCACTCAGAGTAGGGCAAGGATTTCCTGGGCAGAACGTTCTCTTCTAGGCACAGCAGGAGAACAGAGTGAAAGATTGGGTAGGAGAGGAGCCCAGAGCATCCCAGCTGTATCTCAGAAACATCTCAGTGAACTACTAAGAAGTATGGATTCTGGGCCATGTGCGGTGGCTCAGGCCTGTAATCCCAGCACTTTGGGAGGCCAAAGCAGGTGGATCACTTGAGGTCAGGAGTTCGAGACCAGCCTGGCTAACATGGTAAAACCCCATCTCTACTAAAAATACAAAAAAATTAGCCGGGCATGGTGGCAGGTGCCTGTAATCCCAGCTACTCGGGAGGCTGAGGCACGAGAATCGCTTGAGCCAAGGAGGTGGAGGTTGCAGTGAGCCGAGATTGCACCACTGCACTCCAGCCTGGGCGACAGAGCAAGACTCAGTCTCAAAAAAGAAAAAAAAAGTGTGGATTCTGAAGCTCCTACCCCTGGAAAATTTAATTCAGTGGGATTGAGGTGAGGCTCAATGTTAAATGAAAATAAGTTCTCCAGATGATTCTGTTGACTGGCGATTGGCCAGGGTTGGAAACAACTAGCCTGGCCAAGGACCCCAACTTTTGGAGGAGGATACTGAGGCACAGGGGGAGGAAATCTCTTGTCTGGGGTAGCCCAGTGAGTTAATGGCTGAAAAGTCTCCTGAATCTGGACCAGACATGGTCAGGGATCTCTGGCAACAGGCCACAGAAATGATCATTGGCTGATTTAGGTGAAGGGGAGTTTACTGGAAGGCTGTAAGGAGGCTCATGAATGGAAATGGAGGCTGAAGAACCAGGCTTGGAAAGGTGGATGTCGGGAAGCTCCAGAAGTTTGCAGGGTTAGGAACATCTCCACAGTCACATCCAGATGTCACCACAAGGAAGTATGAGTAACTAACTTTTCTTCTTCCTTCCTAATTCCTCAGAATTTTGGCTGAGTTCCAATTGTGGCCTCACCCCACTGGCTAGAGGAGGGCACATCCTAGTTGATGTCATATCAAAACTTCATCCAAGTCTTCATCCAAAAGGAAATCAGGAGGCTGTTACCAAAAAAGCAGCCCCAAAGGAGCAAATGTGCACTACACCTGGCACCTCAGAGGGTTGAAAGGATCAGTCATCACTGTCATCATCATTACAAATAAACACACACTTATTTGTTTAGTAACTACTTACTATATGCCAGGTACTGTTCAAAGCATGTACATATATTGACTCATTTAATTCTTCCTTTATGACAATGAGGCAGATACTGAGGTAGGTACTGAGTCAGGAAACTGAAGCACAGAGAGGGTATGTAGCAACTAATGTTTAATTCTGTTTCTACAGGTTCTAAAGCTCATAACACCTCTTGTCTAAGTTGCTCCTTACAACGGCCTGTAAGGATACGCATTATACTTTAAGAGGTATAATGAGCTTTATCTACCTGTAAATATTACGGGTAGAGAAAGTAAGCATGCACATTCCAGGGTCACATACCTAGTAAATGGTAGAGTCCTTAGATTCGTAGATTCACTCACTTATTCATTCATTCATTTGTCAAATGGCATGTGGCTTTCAGGGGCCAGATACTGTGCTAGGTTTTGGCAACTCGCTGGTGAATAAGCTATATTTCTTCTCTCCAGAAGTTCACCAACTCCAGGGGAGTGGCAAGAGAAAAGGCTAGAGTGTGAGCAAAGGCCAGAAAAAACCAAGGGTTCATACTAAGGAGTCTGGATTTCATCTCAAGGGCAACCACAGAAAGATAGTAAGCTGGAAACTTGTGTTTTGTAAAGGCAGCTCTTTGCCCAGACCAATGTCCAGAAAAGAGAGTTTTCCTAGGTTTTCTGTGAGTATTTTAATAGTTTCAGGTCTTACATTTAAGTCTTTAATTCTTTTTTTAAGAGACAGGGTCTCACTCTGTCACTCAGGCTGGAGTGCAGTGGCAATCATAGCTCACTGCAGTCTCAGACTCCTGAGCTCAAGCAATCCTCCTGTCTCAGCCTCCCAAGTATCTAGGATGCAGGTGTGCACCACCATACCCAGCTAATTTTTATTTGATTTGATTTTTTTGTAGAGATGGGGTCTTGCTATGTTGTTCAGGCTGGTCTTGAACTCCTGGCCTCAAGCGATCCTGTTGCCTTAGCCTCCCAAAGCACTGGGATTACAGGTTTTAATCCATTTTGAGTTAATGTTTAAATATGGTGAGAGATAGGGGTCCACTTTAATTATTTTGCAGCCAAATGGATAGAACTGGATGGGGGCCATTATCTTAAGTGAAACAATTCAGAAACAGAAAGACAAATACCACATGTTCTCATTTATAAGTGGGAGCTAAATAATGTGTACTTATGGACGTAGAGTGTGGAGTGATAGACACTGGAGACTTGGAAGGGTGAAGGGGGTGGGAGAAGGTGGAGGATGTGAAATTACTTAATGAGCAGAATGTACATTATTCGGACGATGGATACTCTAGAAGCCCAGACTTCACTGCCACTATGACATAGAGCCATGTAACAAAATTGCCCTTGCACCCCTTACATTTATACAAATAAAGGAGACCTCCACATGAAGATAAATTTTTATCACAATTTTTAAAAGGCAACTTTGACTGCAACATGAAGAATGGACTGGAGGGGGCTAAGAATGAAGAGAGGGAGACAGTCAGGTGCTGATGCAGTGATTCCAGTGAAGACATGGTTGCCTGGATTAGGAGGATGGTGCTGCAGATGAAAGGAAGTGAACAGAGTAGAGAGGAAAGAAATGGAATTGACAGGATTTACTGATTGGATGAGGGTAGAAGGGGAGGGAGAAGTTAAGGACGAAAGCGAGATTTTTGAGTTTGGCAACTGGGTGAGGGGTAGTGCCATCCACTGTGAGGAAGGCTAGCAGAGGAGCCATTTGGGAAGAGGATAAGATAAGCTCAGTTTTGGAAATGTGGAGTTTGAAGTTCCAGTGGGATAGGGACATGGAGAGATATGGGAGTTTGCTGGACCTTTGTCTCCAGATCCCATTATTTTCCCACAATGCCTGGCTAATTTAGAGTCTCCATCTGCAGAGGCTGTCAGAAACCCAGAGACTGTCAGATCAAACCATTGAGATTGCCTGCTTCATCTCTCTCACAGTTCAGGTGAGAAAACAAGCCTGAGAGAAGTGGCTTCTGGAGGTCACAAGCCAAGTGGATGACTGAGCTGAAACCCAAGCCCAGGTCTTCCCAGAGGGCTTCTTCCCTGTCACCCCACAGTACCCTGAGCCAGAGGGTGCAGACTACAAACCTGAGGCTGAATCCAGACTCTAGTAGGGCCCTGTTTGGCCTGCAATGAATTCAGATTGGTGGCCACCATAGAAAAAATTGGAGCATTTCAAATATAAATCCATATTTTTAAAAATAACAGAAAGTTTGGGAACTTCAGGCTCACATCTCTACATGACAGTGACCACATGGAGCTGGATAGCAGTTGCTCCTCTGAGGCAGAGCAAGTCCAGGTTGCCACAGTGCCCATTCTTGCCTCCATCACTGAGGGCATGTGCTATTTGCCATTTATCAAATGTTTGCTCTGTTGTTTTTCTTAAAGGGGAAAGTCACACATTTCCTGTAATATATCTAAAGTATCTCTTATCTGACCCCAGCTTGCTTAATTTCCTTGGCCCCTGCAAGCATTTGAGTTATGATCTTGCCCCTTCTGCTCTGAACCGTGCATCCTTCATTTGCAAAGTGAGTAATTTTAATGTGGTGATTCCAAGGCCCTCTCTAGTTCTGGCTTCCAGGGCTCTCCAAGTCTGCACTTCAGAAATGAGTTGTGCTATTGACAATGCTTAATTGTTCTGCAGATGGTTTTTGAGGGATTGCTCACCCTTGACTCTTTTGTCCTTGATTTATAATTTATCTCAGTCCTTGGAAAAAATGTCTTTTGTTTTGGGAGTTTATCCTTCATCTTTGAACAAAATGAATACTTCAAACAATGCAGCATAGCTGCAGTTGCTAGGAAGACAGAGCAGCAACAGAAGCTGCCTGGATACAAGGCCATCAGAAAACTCTCATTTTTTCCCTCCCTCCCTCCCTCCCTTGCTTCCTTCCTTCCTTCTTCCCCTCTTCCCACCCTCTTTCCCCTCTTTTCAGTGAAGATATCACACTAAGTAAATAACCGCTTCTACAAAGACCAGTCTTAGTCATCAATAGAGTTTAGGTTGTCCTGAATCCAAAGGGTTATTTCTACAGACAACTTCCAACAAGCCAAACAATTAAATAGTCAGTGAAATAATCTCCTGGGTTTTATCCCAGGCTTTGCGTCTAGATAGTCATTTGACTTTGGGCAAGTAATTGTTAAGTTTTCTCTGGGCCTCAGTTTCCCCACGTGTAAAATAGAAGAGTGGAGGAATGGCTGACGCCCTTGCAGCTTCTTCTAGCCTGGACAGTTTACAAGGAGACTGCCAGAGATTTAGACAGCGAGGTAGCGCCTACGGGTAACTTCTCTATGACTCTAAATCCAGGTGAGCGAGGCCCTGGGACCCCTTCACCTAGAAGCCATACTACTCAGCTCCACGTCTGTGGCCTCTGGCTCTCTGCTGGCTCCCTAGTAAGTGGTAAAGGAGTGCTTTCTCTCCACCTTTCTCACTAGATGGGATGTTCTCCAAGAATCAACTTTGCTCTGTAATATTTCTTTTGATGTCATAACTTTGTTGTAGGAAGGGCCAGTGACAGGACCTAAATGTCTCTGATTGTTTATTCTTCAAGTCCTGCATCTCAGATTCTGCAGGTCCCCGGCAGCAGGAATGTGATGATGTAAGCAACAAGTGCGCCCTCTGGTGCCATATATAAAACTTGCGAAAAGGATCTGCCATTACGTAACTGAATTTAATAAATCCCGTTTCTGTCTAACCCACAAGTTAGGATAAAAATGGACCTAAATATACTGTAAGGTAAGATACTGCCTACAAATTGGAAGCCTATTGTTTCTGAATCTTGCATTTTCCCTTTCAGAGATGACTTTTGCTCATTTGGCATGCCACCCTTGCCCCTCAGTTCTTGACTTGGTAGCTGGGGTAGAGGATATATCGAGTACAACACTGCCCTCCTCTAGTCATACCTGCCTCTCAGTGAAACAATGGAATGGATTATTTTAGGAGCAATCAGCTCTCAATTGCTAGACTTGTAGAAGCAGATTCTGCATGAGTCCTTTTTGAGAATGCTATAAAATGGAGGGGTAAGGTTATTCAAACAAGCAAATATTTGTTGAGTACTTACTATGTTCCAGAAACTTTCCAGAGTGACAGGTATACAGTTGTGAACAAAACAAACTCCTTGTTTTAGGAGCATACCTTTTATTGGGAGAAACGGCCTCCAATATTCTTTTCTAACCAGAGATTCTAAGATTCATCAATTCACAGTAATGGTACTGTGGTTTGGCAAGAATATGTAACGATGATTTTGGCCAGAGACTCAGGGCCCTAAGGGGATTTGTACATCACAGCGAAAGCAGCTGAGGTTTCTGGACATCACCTTGACAGACAGGAGCCACACCACTAGGGGCTGTTCTGGGTCCTGAAAGTGGACTCCAAGGGAATCTGGTTCAATGTTTTTATTCTTGGAGTACAAATGGTCCTGGGTGTGGCCTATGGGAAAGAGGGAAGGAGACAGAAGAACATGTACAAGCATCAGAAGTGGCATATATACACAATCACCAGAGCTGGAAGACATTTTAGAGATGATCTTTTATAACATACCTATTTTAGTGATGGAGCAACTGAGACCCAGAGAGAAGTGCCTTGCCCGAAATCATAATCAATGGTCATTAGCAAATAGGAATTAAAAATTGAATTTGTATTTATTGATAAGGAGACCAAGCGTAGTACAAATAAATGTAAATATTGTGATTTTAACTTTGATTAAAAATAACGTGTGGTTGTCTTTTGGAGGTGAGATTGTAAGGGTTTTAAATTTTCTTTGGTATATATTGATGTATTTTGAAAAACATTCTACAATGAGAATGGATAATTGTAAAATAAAAATAATTTTATTCAAAAGATTTTTTTTTGATTTGAGACAGAGTCTCACTCTGTTCCCCTAGCTGGAGTGCAGTGGCACAATCTCGGATCACTGCAGCCTACACCTCCTGGGTTCAAGCAATTCTCATATCTCAGCCTCCCAAGTAGCTGGGACAACAGGCATGCACTGCACCACCATGCCTGGCTAATTTTTGTATTTTTAGTAGAGAAGGGGTTTCACCAATTGGCTAGGCTGGTCTCGAACTCCTGGCCTCAAATGATCTGCCTGCCTTGGCCTCCCAAAGTGCTGGGATTATAGACATGAGCCACCACCCTCAGCCACGAATTTGTATTTTCAATGACTCAAAGAAAATAAACCAGAAACCAACAGCAGTGGGGGCGTGTGTGTGTATGTATGTATGTATGTATACACATGCATGCACATACATGCACACACACATAGATAAAATTGATTTTTTGACTTTCATGAATCTTCCACATTTTATTTAATAACTGTTGACATTGCTAATCTCCCCAGTATGCAGTCTTCTTATTCTGGACATAGAGCAGAATTACCCTTCCTTGATCTTGCAGTTATTGTAGGATAATATGACTAATTCTGGTCAATGGGCAGTGACCCATGTGATCAATGGAGATGATCCGGGTTGCCTCAGAGTTGCAGCATTTAATTTCCAGTGTGAAATTTTTTTCACAATGAACTTTAAACCTCCTGTCAAGATGGAGGTGCCTCAGAATGGAAGCTGCCTGCACTGCTGAGTGGTGAATGTGGAGGACAGCTGCCCTGAGGAGTTGTCCAGACATGCTGTAAACTTTGTATGAACAGGAGTTTAACCTCTACTGTGTTAAATCACTGAGATTTTGGTATCATTTGTTGCAACAGTGTAACCTAGTCTACTCCAACTGTTGTAAGAGTGTAACCTAGTCTATTCTGACTAATATAGTAACATGTTTACCTTAGTAATAAAAAGAATTGTTACCATTTTATAAAATGTAATCAATTAAACAAGTACCGTATTCAAAAATTTTCATGTCAGAATTTCAGAAAGTCACATTAAATTACATTTGTAATAAATGATCATGCTATGCCTGGTTTAAAATCAAGATCACTTTTTCAATTAAGAGATATTGATTTGTGATAAATTGTTAACTGAACCATAGACTTGTAATATTGGCAGGAACCTCAAAATTTCATTTTGCATATCCCACCCACAAGTTCATATACGGGTATGTCTAAACCATCCAATACAACTGAGTTGTCTAAACCAATGGGTTCCAAAACTTCCATCATCAGAAATATTATAACTTAAATAAAAGAGGAGACTCCTAAGTCAGACTTCTGGAATTTTGGTTAAGGAGATCTAGGACAGGACCTGGGAAATGGCATTTTAAAAACTGTACCATGTGATTTCAGTCACAGGGAGGATTGGGAATCCCTGGTCCAGAACATAACTTTCAAATGATCATTACTTCAATTTAAGCTTCACTTAAACTTTGTGCCCATGTTGAAATTGAGATCACTTTTGTAATTTCAGGCCACGTTCTCCAGAAGCAGAATCTGAGGTGGGGATTCATGTGCATGTGATTTACTAAGGAGTGCTCTCAGGGGAAGCCTGTAAGGGAATGGGGAAAGGAGGACAGGGAAGGGGAAGAATCAGGAACACATTCTATGATTTAATGATTTGAAAATGAAACAAACATTTTATTAAATACAGAAATGATGGTATGGTGGAAAAAACATGGGCTTCAGAATTAGATAGACCTGACATTAAAAAATTTAAATTATTAATACTATGTTAGATTGACAAACCATAATTGTATACATTTATGATGTAAAATGTGAAGTTTTAATATAGGTATACAATGTGGCATTAATAAATTAAGCTAATTAACATATCAATCACCTTTCTTGCCTATCATTTTTTAAGGTGAGACATTTGAAATGTACTTATTATGAAATATATTATATAATACATTGTTATTGATTATAGTCAGCCTTCTGTGCAATAGATCTCAAAATCCTTTCCTCTTATGTAATCTGGGTCTTGGTACTCTTTCATCAGCAACTGTTCATTTCCTCCCTCCCCTCTTCCTCAGCATCTGGTAACCATTATTCTACTGTCTACTTCTATGAATTCACATATTTACATTTCACTTATAAGGAAATCGTGAGGTATTTGTCTTTCTGTGCCTGGCTTTTTCACTTACCACAATGTCTTCCAGATTAATCCATGTTGTTGCAAATGACAATATTTCCCCCATTTTAAAGGCTGAATAGTAGTCCATTGAATATGTACACCATATTTCTCTTTATCTGTTGATGGAAACTTAGATCGTTCTCCTACCTTAGCCATTGTGAATAATGCTACAATGAATGTGAGAGTGGAGATACCCCTTCAACATACTGATTTCAGTTTCTTTTTTTGAGACGGAGTCCTGCTCTGTCACCCAGCTTGGAGTGCAGTGGAGCAATCTCAGCTCACTGCAACCTCTGACTCCTGGGTTCAAGTGATTCTTTTCCCTCAGCCTCCCGAGTAGCTGGGCTTACAGGCACCCACCACCACACCAGGCTAATTTTTTTGTATATTTAGTAGAGACAGGGTTTCGCCGTATTGGCCAGGCTGGTCTCGAGCACCTGACCTCAGGTGATCTGGCCACCTCAGCCTCCCAAAGTGTAATTTCAGCTTCTTATTAATATATACCCAGAAAGGAGATTACCGAGTCCTATAGTATTTCTATTTGTAATACTTGGAGAAAACTCCATACTGTTTTTCATAACAGCTGTACTAATTTACATTCCCATCAACAGTATATAAGAGTTCCATTTTTCTCTGAATCCTCTCTAACACTTGATATCTTATCTCTTTGATAAAAGCCATTCTAACAGGTATGGGGGATAGTTCATTGTGGCTTTAATTTGCATTTGCCTAATGATTAGTGATACTGACCTTTTTTCATGTACCTATTGGTCACTCACATGTCTTTTTTTTTTTTTTTTTTTGAGAAATATCTGTTCAGGCGCTTTGCCCATTTAAAAATTGGGTTATTTATTTTTTTTCTTGCTCTTGAATTGAGTTCCTTACATATTTTATAAATTAACCCCTTATCAGATGTATGGTTTGCAAATATTTCTCCCATTCTATGGGTTGTCTCTTCCTTTTGTTAATTGTTTCCTTTGCTATGCAGAAGTTTTTTACTTTGATGCCATCTCATTTGCCTATTTTTCTTTTTGTTTCTTGTGCTCTTGGGATCCTATCCAAGAAATCCTTGCCCAGAAAATTGTCATGAAGCTTTCCCCCTACGTTTTCTTCTAGTAGCTTTTCAGTTTCAGCTTTATAGTTAAGTCTTTTGCCCATTTTGAGTTGATTTTTGTGTATGGTGTAAGATAAAGGTCTAATTTCTTTCTTCTGTGTGTGGATGTGCAGTTTTTCTAATACCATTTATTGAAGAGATGTTCTTTCCCCATTGTGTATTCTTGGCATGCTTGTCAAAAATCAGTTGACTGTAAATGCAAGGGTTATTTCTGGGTTTTCTAGCCTGTCCTACTGGTCAGTGTGTCTGTTGTATGCCAGTACAATGCTGTTTTGATTGCATTGCTTTACATGTTTCGAAATCAGAAAGTGTGATGCCTCCAGCCTTGTTCTTTTTTTTTAATTAATTAATTTATTTTTTTTGAGATGGAGTCTCACTCTGTCGCCCAGGCTGGAGTGCAGTGGCGCAATCTTGGCTCACTGCAACCTTTGCCTCCCTGCAACCTTTGCCTCCCAGGTTCAAGTGATTCTCCTGCCTCAGCCTCCCAAGTATCTGAGACTACAGGCATGCACCACCACACCTGGCTAATTTTTGTA
The DNA here is from genome assembly GCF_000001405.40 of Homo sapiens. Lineage (NCBI taxonomy): Eukaryota > Metazoa > Chordata > Mammalia > Primates > Hominidae > Homo > Homo sapiens. The sequence goes on from NC_000011.10 coordinate 18,807,881, forward strand.
TTTTTAGTAGAGACAGGGTTTCACCATGTTGGCCAGGCTGGTCTTGAACTCCTGACCTCGTGATCTGCCTGCCTTGGCCTCCCAAAGTGCTGGGATTACAGGCATGAGCCACTGCACCTGGCCCAGCCTTGTTCTTTTTGCTCAAGATTGTTTTGGCTATTTGGGGTCTTTTGTGGTTCCATACAAACTTAAGGATTTTTTTCCATTTTGTAAAAAATGACACTGGGGCTGGGCGCAGTGGCTCACGCCTGTAATCCCAGCACTTTGGGAGGCCGAGGTAGGCAGACCACGAGGTCAGGAGTTGGAGACCAGCCTGGCCAATATGGTGAAACCCTGTCTCTACCAAAAAAAACAAAAATTAGTCGGGCGTGGTGGTGCGTGCCTGTAATCCCAGCTACTTGGGAGGCTGAGGCAGGAAAATCGCTGGAACCCAGGAGGCGGAGGTTGTAGTGGGCTGAGATTGTGCCACTGCACTCCAGCCTGGGCAACAGAGCGAGATTCCATCTCAAAAAAAAAAAAAAAAGACATTGGATTTTTGATAGGGATTGCATTGCACCCTTAGATCACCTTGGATACTATGGACATATTCACAATCTTAATTTTTCACACCCATCAACGTGAGATATCTTTTCATTTATTTGTGTAGTCTTCAATTTTTTATTTTTTAGAAACAGGAATCTCACTATGTTGCCTACACTGTACTTGAACTCCTGGTCTCAAGTGATCCTCCTGCCTCAGCTTCCCAAGTAGCTGAGACTACAGGTGCTTACCACTGCACCTGACTTTCAATTTATCTCATCAGTGTTTTATAGTTTTCAGTATACAGGTATTTTACCTCCTTGGTTAAATTTACACCTAAGCATTTAAATTATTTTGTTATTGTAAATGGGATTGTTTTCTTAATTTCCTTTTCAGATAGTTTGTTATTAGTACATAGAAACACTAATGATCTTTGTATGGTTCTTTTGTATTCTGCAACTTTACTGAATTTATCAGTTCTAACAGTTTTTTGGTGGAGGCTTTAGATTTTCTATATATAAGATCATGTTGTCAGCAAATAGAGACAATTCTACTCTTTCCTTTCCTGTTAGGATGTCTTTTTTTTTTTTCTCTTGCCTGATTTCACTGGCTGGGACTTCCAGTACTGTGTTGAAAAGAAGTGGTGAAAGTGGGCATCCTTGTCTTGTCCCAGATCTTAGAGGAAAAGCTGTCAACTTTTTAGCATTGAGAATGATGTTAGCAATGGGTTTGTCATATATAACCTTTATTGTGTTGAGGTACAGTCCCTCTGTAGCTAACCTGTTGACAGTTTTATCCTGACAGGCTGGTTTCTTTTCTTTCTTTCCTTCCTTCCTTCCTTCCTTCCTTCCTTCCTGCCTTCCTGCCTTCCTGCCTTCCTGCCTTCCTGCCTTCCTGCCTTCCTGCCTTCCCGCCTTCCCGCCTTCCTGCCTTCCTTCCTCTTCCTTCCTGCCTTCCTGCCTTTCTGCCTTTCTGCCTTCCTTCCTCTTCCTTCCTCTTTCTTTCTTCTGATGGGGTCCCAGTTTGTTGCCCAGGCTGGTATCAAACCCCTAGCCTCAAGCAATCCTCCTGCCTCAGCCTCTAAAAGTGGTGGAATTACAGGTGTAAGCCACCATGCCCAGCTTGTGATATTTTTAATGCCTGCAAATCTTTGCCTCTAGCAATACTGTGCTCTCTTATCTATCTCTGTAGATTCTTCTCAGTCAGGAGCCACTGGCTGATACTCCGACCTTGCTGCCCATTGTGGTAACTATGTTCTTCTGATTATTATTATTATTATTTTTTATTATTATACTTTAAGTTTTAGGGTACATGTGCACAGTGTGCAGGTTAGTTACATATGTATACATGTGACATGCTGGTGCACTGCACCCACTAACTCGTCATCTAGCATTAGGTATATCTCCCAATGCTATCCCTCCCCGCTCCCCCCACTCCACAACAGTCCCCAGAGTGTGATGTTCCCCTTCCTGTGTCCATGTGTTCTCATTGTTCAATTCCCGCCTATGAGTGAGAATATGCGGTGTTTGGTTTTTTGTTCTTGCGATAGTTTACTGAGAATGATGATTTCCAATTTCATCCATGTCCCTACAAAGGACATG